>NC_000017.11:56310980-56935980 GCF_000001405.40 Homo sapiens | reverse complement strand
CAAGTAAAAATGGTATTTTCATGAAAAATGTGGCTAGTTGAGCTTACAATTCAAATAATTGCATAAGTGCTGTTCCTTGAGACAACCATTGTATTATGGAATGCAGAAGTGCTTATGTATTCTTATGAAGGTGTGTCTCTAAGGGTCAAGACTTAATAATGTTAATAATTGTTACTCTATCAAGGATATTAAGGGCAGTTGGCTTTGCCCCTTACTATGAGTGCGTGGCCCAGTGGTGCCACTCACTAGCAGATTTATGCTGAAGTGCAGCAGTTCATTCCGTATTGGTTTTGCTCCATCAGAGCAAACATCAATGCTGTGAAAAGACAACATAATCATAGTAGCTTTGACCTTGCAGATCCCTAAAAGGGTCTTGAGGGCAAGAGTCCATAGACCACACTTGGAGAACCACTGACATCGTGGAAAGAAAACAGGTTTTGAAGTCAGATTTGGGTCCACATCTGAGCCAGGTTACCTAGGGTGAGTGTCTTCATTTGCAGCATGGGCCTAACCCATGCTCAGACTTATAGTGAAAAATTAAAATCATGCTAGACTAGACCCTGGCACACAGCAGATGTGCAGAAGTATTGATCTACTCTTAAGCCTCTAATCAGACTCAAAAGAGGGTGATTAATAAAGTTCAACTCATTAATATTCAGAAAAAGAATAATGACTGAGTTATTAGCATGGGGTATTCTTATGATGGATTCATTTCACTTTGCAAAAGTTATATATATTTTGAGACAGAGTCTTGCTCTGTCACCCAGGCTGGAGTGCAGTGGCACGGTTTCAGCTCACTGCAACCTCCGCCTCCCAGGCTCAAGCGATTTTGATGCCTCAGCCTCCTGAGCAGCTGGGACTACAGGTGTGCGCCATTGCACCTGGCTTTTTTTTGTATTTGTAGTAGAGACCAGGTTTCACTATGTTGGCCAGGCTGGTCTGCAACTCCTGGCCTCAAGTGATCTGCTCACTTCGGCCTCCCAAAGTGCTTGGATTACAGATATGAGCCACCGCACCCAGCCTGCAAAAGTTACATTAATTTAATCAAAAGGGTATTTGCATCCTGCCTCAAATAGTTGTTCACTCTAAAGGTTCACAGCCTAAATATAAGAGTGCAATCAACACCCAGTGCATGAAACAACCAGGTGTACCCATGAGAATGTGATAGCCATGAGAATATGTCTCTCCCGTGTTCTTTTTTTTTTTTAATTAAATGACTTAAGGATCTACTGCTGGGATCTCCCGTGTTCTGATGGACTCAATGAGGAAATAATGCAGTGGTCTAAACAGTGAGTCTCAACTGGAATTTAGGCACCCGATCTTATGGCCATTGGAAGGTCTTATAATGTTAAAACCAGAAGCCACCTTCCAAATAAAGAAGCCCCACCCTCCACTTTACTTCTGAGACAACAGACTCAAGAGGAGATGACATCACAGAGATGGTGAGTGGTTAGAATGTGGCTGCCACAGTGATGACCCAGGTGCAAATTCTGCTTTGGTCTTAGTCACTTCACCTTAGGCAAGTTCTAACCCCTCTAAGCCTCAATTTCCTCATCAATGTACCCACCAACAGTAGTGTGGTGAGGACGGAATGAGATGATGCATGCAAAGCAGTTAGCACAAGACCTTGTACATCGTTAAGTGCGCATGAGATGTTATTATTTATGTTTCTATTTTGTGACTTGCCTAAGGTCCTGCTCCAAATTTTCAGCAGAACTTGCATCCCATCCTTTTAAATTTATTTTCATCTGTTACAAACAATGTGTGCCACATTTCATGTAGCTGCCATATTTAAACTCTAGTTACATCTTTGGGTAGGAGGAAATCAGTCACCTATTTCTCATCAGAGATACTTTTATCTTGTAGGGCTTGGAAGATTTCTGCTGACTACATTCATCCATTGTCTCCTAACCGTTGTGTCTTCTGATGTTGAATTGACATAGCTTTCTTCCCACTGCTCTAGCCACTTAAAACAAATGATCCCACTTTCAAAGAGGTTATATTAAGACAACAGCAGCTGGGTGTGGTGGCTCATGCCTGTAACCCTAGCACTTTGGGAAGTCAAGGTGGGCAGATCACTGAGGTCAGGAGTATGAGGCCAGCCTGGCCAACATGGCAAAACCCTGTCTCTATCTACTAAAAATACAAAAATTATCTGGGCATGGTGGCGGGTGCCTGTAATCCCAGCTACTCGGGAGGCTGAGGCAGGAGAATTGCTTGAACCTGGGAGGCGGAGGTTGCAGTGAGCTGAGATGGCACCACCGTGGTCCAGCCTGGGCGACAGAGTGAGACTGTCACAAAAACAAAACAAAAAAACCCAACCCAGTTTTGTGGGGTTATTAAATTGAACAGGAGAGAGAAGTCATTCACAGATGGATTAGTGAGAGATTACAGGAAAATAAGCACAGTGAAACCCCAGAGGAATGCAGTTGGGATATAGTGGGAATGGTGTTTGCCTCCTGTCTTCTGCAGATGCTCGCCTCAATCATTTTATTAACCTTGCAGTAACACAAACCCACATGATAAGGGACCAGATTTAGAGACACCATTTACAGGGTTTTGGCAGGGTTTCATCATATAAAATGTGGCAATTAGATCACGCCACTGCACTCCAGCCTGGTGACAGAGCGAAACTCGGTCTCAAAAAAAAAAAATTGGCAATTAAGGTAATGTCTGGACAGGGTGCAGTGGCTCATGCCTGTAATTCCAACACTGGGAGACTGAGGTGGGAGGATTGCTGGAGGCCAGGTATTCCAGACCAGCCTGGGCACATAGCGAGACCGCATCTCTACAGAAAAATAGAAACAAATTAGCTGGGCTTGGTGGTGTGTGCCTATAATTTCAGCTACTCAGGAGGCTGCAGTGGGAGGATCACTTGAGCCCAAGAGGTCAAGGCTGCAGTGAGCTATGATTGCACCACTGCACTCCAGCCTAAATGACAGAGCAAAGACTGTCTTGAAAAAATAAAATAAAATAATGATATTTGTAGGGTACATTGGGGTAAGCAGAGCTGTAGAGCTCAAAGTCTTGGAATGCAGGTAATGTGAGCCATTTGAGCATACCAGTGCTTTGCAACAGAGCAGTTGGTTTAGGGGCAAGGAATTAGTAGTTTAGGACCAGAATGCCCTGACCAGCCCTGACTATCCCTACCATCATGTTGGCCTGGCCACCATCAGCATAGGAGAAGCCATCACTGCCACTGTGGCCCCAGATGGAGACCCACAGCTGGAGACAAGAAAATTATCACAAGGAAGCTTTGGAGAGTAGAAATGACAGTAGCTATGTGCCAGCTGTTTTTCCAAGCACTTTACAGGTATTAATTCATTTACATAACTTAGGAGATAGGTACTGTTATTTTCTCCCTTTCACAGAAGAGGAAACTGAGGCACAGAGGTTAAACTCCTTGCCTATGAATACAGTGAATGAAAGAGCCTGATTCAAACACAGGTTGTCTTCTCCAGAACTTGTACTCAACCACTATGTCCCATAAAGAAACAGGTGCAGAATTAAGTGAAAAAGTAAATTATAGCACATTATATACTTACAGAGTTTATTTCTCATTTGAATTTTAAAAGGAAGCTCCTTGGGTGTGGTGGTATGCCTGTAGTCCTAGCTACTTGGGAGGCTGAGGTGGGAGAATCACTTGAGCCTGGGAGGTTGAGGCTGCAGTGAGCTGTCACCATGTCACTGCACTTCAGCCTGAGTGACAAGAGTGAGACTTTTTCCAAAAAAAAAAAAAGGCTCCTGATGTAGGATATGGATAAAAATGTTCTGGAAGGACATGCATGAAACGTAATAATAGTCACTGACTGCTCTGCAGAGGGACTGATGGGTAAGGAGCTGCTGCTTTTTTTTTTTTGAGACATCCGGGCTGGAGTGCAGTGGCACTATCTCGGCTCACTGCAACCTCTGCCTCCCAGGTTCATGCGATTCTCCTGCCTCAGCCTCCTGAATAGCTAAGATTACAGGCATGCACCACCACGCTTGACTAATTTTTGTATTTTTAGTAGAAATAGGGTTTCACCACATTGGCCAGGCTGGTCATGAACTCTTGACCTCAAGTGGTCCACACGCCTCAGCCTCCCAAAGTGCTGGAATTACAGGCAAGAGCCACTGTGCCTGGCCATACAACTTTACAAAAGCACAGCTTAGTTTTTATTGACTCCAAATTATGAAAAATGGGGAAAAAGGAAAAATAATGGAAACATTATTTTGAAGAGTTGTAGCTAAGAAAAATTAGAATTCAGTCCAAACTGTAAAAAATAATAAAAATGAAAAATATTAGGCAAGATTAGAATCTAGCAACATGTGTACTATAGTTTTTGAAACAATTTTTCTCTCTCCAGTTTCCCATTTTTACTAAAGACAGATCATTATGGGACTGATTTGCATTATTATACTTGGCCTAATTATTTGTATATAGTGCAGCAAGGATAATTTTTTTTTACATAGGCTTTTAAATTGGCTTTGATGGAACTTTGTTCCATAGAAGGAATCTCAGATAAGACTTTTTAAAAGCTGAACGTGGCCATGGATTTGTACCATCAAATACCTATGAGTTGGGTGATTCCTCTCCTCTTGTGGTTCCAAGATAAACTTGGTGCTCCTGGGCCTGTCAGAAAGTGACATTCTTTACTTATCACAGGTCAGAAACCCTGTACAGGAACTGTAGACAAAGGTATGAGGCCAGTTTTTCCAAGGGGTTCCTACTGGCTCTATAAGTCAAGTTTGATTCCTTAAAGCACACCATTCCAGTCAAAGCCTTAGTAAAATAACTAGTTTCTCCAGTTGTGTCCTGTTACAAATTAAAACAGATTCTTATTGCACTTATGCAAATAACTGTATTGTCATAAGTTAAGAACACTCACAGTTTCCAAATTATGTAGAAATCAGGTAGAGAGAAACAAATAGACTCCAAATTTTGTTCATGGGTGCATACTCAATTGTTAAAAGCTGTAAATAGCTTAAAAGAAAAGTTTTCTTCATTCTGAAAAACGAAACAAAGGATCAGCAACACTTTAAGCAAAAAGTTAAAAAGATTACTTCAGACTTCTATTAGTTTAGTCTATGCAGTGAATTCCTGTTCTGCGTGATATTCATGAACATTTAAGCTCTCCATGAGTACTGAAAGTTTTTCCTTAATTCTGATGTCACAATCTCCAAAGTTATCAGAAACCTGCATTCAAGAGCACCTATTAGAGTTTTATAGCTGATTATAAAACCACCTTCTAAAGAGGACCAAAACAAGACAAAAATTGTCTGTGGATGACAAAAAGTTTTAGTGCAGCCATAGTCAAAGACACAATTGACAGGAAATCTGTCACTTCTGTGGCACGTAATACTTTAATGTAACAATTATTACTGATAACATACATTAAGTCATATCAGTATTATAGGAGTTTCCCATAATTTTGGAACATATATGACTAACATATTTATACAAATACAGCCCAAAGAAAACCAAACACCATTTCATATTTGTCAATGCTTCCTGTATAATTTTTATACCAAGTAAGCCAAATATGTCATTTTTGGACTTTAGGGAACCTATTAATATCTTAAAGAGTTACTTAGGTCAGAAAGAGATAATTTATCATTTAATTTTGGAAACTTTGTCAAATACCAAAAGTTTAAAACACTTGATATTACAAAATAGGATCCCAGGCCATTGTAAAATAAGTCATTCATTTAACCAAAGTAATAATTCAAAGATTTTTTAAAAAGGCAAAAACCTTCATTCTTTGAGACAGGAGACTTAATTTTCCAAATGATAAGCCCTAATAAAAACGGCATGAAGACAATTAAATTTTTTTCCAAAATTTTATAAGCAATCTATAAAATTTTTATCTTGACCATAAGATATAACTTCCATAAACCTTTATAACCTTTAATAAGGAGTTGGTTAATGCTTCAAGAAAACCTTGTTAATTTGACACAGGGGCCCATATGCTGGTCTTGCATCAGTGTGCCTTTGACATTAATGATTAATTTATAGAGAAACTGAACTTATTTTATCTCTCAAAATCAGCCCTTACAATCTCACATGCCCACCTCTTCTGCAATAGTCCCTGGGCCTTGAGGAGTTGAATAGCTTTAATTTCTGGCCCTGTGTCTCAGGAATGCAGTTTGTTTTGATTAGCATCTTCTATTGGGCCTGAAGATGAGGCTTTAATTGCTGCCAGTATTTAAGATTTAGCAAGACTTGGTGTTCTTTTTGGACCCAGGAGTCAAAGCCCTGTAACTCAATGTCACAAGTACTTTAAAAGGGCATACAGAGAGATACACAGATGTAATAACCTTAATTTAAACAAATTTTATTCTCAATTTTTTCCCTAAGCAAACCAAAGCTTAATAATAATATGACAACTTGATCATATAAACTTTTTTTTGTTTTTATAAATCCTCTTATTGTGATTTATACAGACCATTCATGACATGCTTGGACTTTCTGGTTTGTCTTGAACATCCCTTTCTTAAACAACCAGTTATTTTACTTTAGGACTAAATTTACCACACAAGATTCTTTCTCATATGAAATTATTTCTCTTTAAGCTTTTTTAAATGATTACCAAAAAACCCTCTTTATTTTCATAACTTTCTTTACATCTCTCTTATTTCTTTGTTCCTTTTACCTTGTTTTATACATGACCTTTAAATAAACTTTAAATCAGATAAAAATTGTTCACCTTTTTTAAAAGGACACTTTTTTTTTTTTGAGATGGGGAGTTTTGCTCTTGTTGCCCAGGCTGGAGTGCAATGGCGTGATCCCTGCTCACCGCAACCTCCGCCTCCCGGGTTCAAGTGATTCTCCTGCCTCAGCCTCCCGGGTAGCTGGGATAACAGGCACCTGCCGCCACGCCCAGCTAATTGTTGTATTTTTAGTAGAGACAGGGTTTCACCATGTTTGCCAGGCTGGTCTTGAACTCCTGACCTCAGGTGATCCACCTGCCTCGGCCTCCCAAAGTGCTGGGATTACAGGTGTGAGCCACCCTGCCTGGCCAGGATACATTTTTTTAAATAGAAAGAATGTTTTCCTACAATATATTTTAATTGGAAAATACCCAAATAATGATATACCTATTATTTAATTTAACTTTAGATTCTAAATTATGACAAGTTTGTCTGCAAGTATTTATCCCATTACATTTATCTATTTTAATTGTTTACCCAGATTTATGAAAACTGCAATAGTCATCATTTAAAGTTATGAAACTTGCCATTGCAAAATTCTGAGACAGTGAAAAATATATGACCTAATGGACTCCATCTTGCTTCTAACCTCCAAGCTGTCCTTGTTCATTCCTGAACTTTGGGAGTAACTTAGTTTATAGTTTCACTTTGAAACGAAGATGATAACAGTCCTTTCCGAAAACACACCTTACTGCCTGTGGACTAGACCACCTAAAGCCACAAGATAGAAGTATGGTAATCTTATTAAATTCAAGATGCAGCTATTTTTATTAAATCAATGTCAGTGTCTTATTTATTAAAGACGACATGAGCAAAGGTCATTATGTTTTGGGCTGGCTTTATAGTTTTGTAACCCCCATGTCAAATTTTGACACCTTGTAGTATTTGGCAGGGATAAGTATGAAATTGCTTGGTCAATAAATGCAAACAAAAAGATGTATGCTGGCAATTCTTAAGACATTTCTAATATTAAATTACCAATAATTAAATTTATTTATTTATTTTTTGAGACGGAGTCTGGCTCTGTCGCCCAGGATGGAGTGCAGTGGTGCGATCTCGGCTCACTGCAGGCTCTGCCTCCCGCGTTCACGCCATCCTCCTGCCTCAGTCTCCCGAGTAGCTGGGACTACAGGTGCCCACCACCATGCCTGGCTAATTTTTTGTATTTTTAGTAGAGACGGGGTTTCACTGTGTTAGCCAGGATGGTCTCGATCTCCTGACCTTGTGATCTGCCCGCCTTGGCCTCCCAAAGTGCTGGGATTACAGACGTGAGCCACCGCGCCTGACCATTACCAATAATTTTAAAACTAGCTTATTTATTAAAGATTTTACTTGGCTGGGCACAGTGGCTCACGCCTGTAATCCCAGCACTTTGGGAGGCCGAGGCAGGCGGATCACAAGGTCAGGAGATCGAGACCATCCTGGCTGACATGTTGAAACCCCGTCTCTACTAAAAATACAAAAAATTAGCCAGGCATGGTGGCAGGCACCTGTAGTCCCAGCTACTCGGGAGGCTGAGGCAGGAGGATGGCGTGAACACGGGAGGCAGAGCCTGCAGTGAGCTGAGATTGTGCCACTGCACTCCAACCTGGGTGACAGAGCGAGACTCTCTTTCAAAAAAAAAAAAAAAAGATTGTACTTACTTAAGGTATGTAAACTTGAAAAAGCATTTGACTAGTCTTTTCTTTTTTCCTGATAAAGTATTTGATTCAAACACTTTTATTTTCTTAAGACAATTAATTAGAGCTCTTTTATATATTTTCAGCAGTGAAACATTGTGTACACAACACACACATACATAGAGATATTAGGCATGCAAATAGAAGCACATTTTATAGATTCATAAAAACCTGTTTTTTTCTATTTCAGACTTTCAGATTCTTGATAACCTGTTTCACAGCCCTAGGCAGTTGTCAGTTAAGTAGCCTTAAATTTGCATATTAAAGGAAACAACTCAGTTGAAAATCAAATAGCAAAATTTACATCATAAGGTATGGAGAGAAAAAGTCTGGTGTGCTAGAGGAAGATTAAAGATGGATGCCAGATCAAACATAAAATTATAAAAACGTATCATAGGATTGTACAAGGAGACCAATTTTATTTAGATAGGTCTTACCTGTCTTTTACCTGGATCTCTGGGCAGAGCCCACACTGAATCCTGGGTCTCCAAAAAGGGAGAATTACTATTAGGCTAAACCACGTGATGTTTTTACAGGGGACTTAAAAAATTTTTTTTTGTAACAAAGACATTTTTAAGTGTCTACACCCCATGCTTCTTTAAAAACCCAAGAGTAGCCTCTGTTGCAATAACTATTTTAGTCAATAAATCAGGTAACACCATACAAAAGCAAGCAGTTTAAGGGCTTAGACAAACTTGTCTGTTTACACTGTTGGGATTCCATAAGGAAAAACAGGTTTCTCCCCTAAAGGGAGTCTGGTGCCTTCTCCGTTTGCTTTAAGGAACTCCAGGCTATTATAAGCTATTTTAGGTCCCTCATACAGCAGAGGGTGCAAGAGAAAGGAGAGATAGCAGAAGTAAATGAAGAATTCAGTCAACTGAGAAGAAAAAACTTTTGTTCAAAAAAGAGACAAGGTCCTAGAAGAAAAACAAAACAAAAATATGAAGGCCTTTGAAATATAAACACACATATGCACAGATACACACACATCTTGGATGTTAGCTTTAAATTAATGGTGACTTTTAACTATTGAGCTCCTTTAAAAAAATCTTTTTAAATCTTATTACCATATTTCAGTGAGGACAATTGCTGCTATTTCAGAAGTACAGCCATTGCTCTTTCAGTTCAGCCTGGCTAGCAAAATGGTGGCCTTGTTATGTAAATAAAGCCCCTTAGTAGTCAAAATTTTTCCACATTTTTTTTCTTCTGCTGGCTGTTTTTCTCCCCTCACCACACCAGCTGGTGGTTAATCTTAAATTTAGCCAAGAGAAACCCCAATTCAGTTACTTACCTAGGGATGGGTCTCAGGCTGAAGACAGCTCTCTACCATCCTAGAAGCAGGAAAAAAATAACCTCATCTTCCCTGTTGTAAGTGAGCTGAAACTCCATAAAGGAGTTACCTGCTTTCCATCGTCATGGAAGCAGGAAAAACTTGCCTTCCTTGTGTTGGAAGCAAGTAAAACTCCAAAAAAGAGTTGCACAGCAAAATAAACTTTAGATCTCAATCAAATATTGGGAAATCAGAGATTCTCTGGAGGGTGTGCTTCCAGGCCTCAGCAAATTGTCCTATTGGTTTGAGCCATAAAGATAGCTCAAGCTGGTGCCAAGCACCAATAGGAGATTTGTCAAAGGTCAGGGGCACCTCCACGTAGAATCCCTCTGTGGTTACCAAAATGTGAACTTCGAAAATCTGAGACAAGTCTCAGTTAATTTAGAAAGTTTTGGTCGGGCGCGGTGGCTCACGCCTGTAATCCCAGCACTTTGGGAGGCCGAGGCGGGCGGATCATGAGGTCAAGAGATCGAGACCATCCTGGCTAACACGGAGAAACCCTGTCTCTACTAAAAATACAAAAAATTAGCTGGGCGTGGTGGCGGGCGCCTGTAGTCCCAGCTACTAGGGAGGCTGAGGCAGGAGAATGGCGTGAACCCGGGAGGCGGAGCTTGCAGTGAGCCGAGAGCGCGCCACTGCACTCCAGCCTGGGTGACAGAGTGAGACTCCATCTCAAAAAAAAAAAAAAAAAAAAAAAAAAAAGAAAGTTTATTTTGCCAAGGTTGAGGATGCACACCTGTGACATGGCCTCAGGTGGTCCTGACTATGTATGCCCAATGTAGTCAGAGCACAGTTTGGTTTTACACATTTTAGGGAGACAGAAGACATCAATCAACATATGTAAGATGAATATTGCTTCAGTCTGGAAAGGTGGGACAACTCTAGGTGGGGAGGGAACTTCCAAGTCATAGGTAGGTAAGAGACAAATGGTAGCATTCTTTTCAATTTCTGATTAGCCCCTTCAAAGGAGGCATTCAGATACGCATTATCTCAGTGAGCAGAGGGGTGTCTGAATAGAATGGGAGGCAGGTTTGCCTTAAGCAGTTCCCAGCTTGACTTTTCCCTTTAGCTTAGTGATTTTTGGGCCAGCCCCAAGATATTTTCCTTTCACAGTGTGTAGTGGCATCTCATCGTTGTCTTAATATGTCCCATCCCAATGACATATGATATGATGTTGAGCATCTTTTCATATGTTTATTTGCCATCTGGATATCTTCTTTAGTGAGGTGTCTGTTCAGACCTCTTGCCCATTTTTTAAATGGTTGTTTTATTGTAGAGTTTTAAGAGGTTTTTGTTTTTGTTTTTTGAGATGGGGCTCTTGCTCTATCACCCAGGCTGGAGTGCAGTGGTGAAATCCTAGCTCACTGCAGCCTTGAACTCCTGGGTTTAAGCAATACTCCCACCTCAGCCTCCTGAGTAGCTGGGACTACAGGCGGGAGCCACTATGCCCAGCTTAAGAGTTCTTTGTATATGTTGGATAAAAGTCCTTTATCAGATAGAGAGTATATCTCTGCCCAAAAGGGGTGTGGTACATTTAGACATTACCAGGAACTGATGGGAAAAGAGTAATTGGTCCCACAGACAACATAAATCAGGTGTAAAATTTCTGACGAGAGGGGTGCCATTTACCCCTATTACCTCACAGGATTTAGGGGAAAGTTGCCCAGGGGAGGTAAACATGGAGCAGGCTGCTCCCAAATCCAATAAAAAATTCACTGTCCTCCCTGCTACATTTAAGGTTGCCCTTGTCTCTGTCCCTTTGATGATGATGTTAGATCTGAGAGCCAGTCAGAGCAGAAAGCCATTCTGCTCAAAGCCATTATTGGATCGGGGTCTGTGGGGGACTTTTGGCTCTTGGGACAGTCCCTTTTTTAGTGGCTGAGCTTTTGGCACAGGGGTCAGGCCATGTGGGCTTTTTCCCATTTGGCCCATTGGGGCACTTTGTCCTCCAGCAGCCTGGCTTTCCGCACAGATAGCGATTAGCTGGGAGGGTATTCTCAGGGCAGCCTAGAGTGACTGGCAGACTTGTAAAGCAGCTAATAATTGAGCGTGCCTCTTGTCTTTCCGTTTCTTCTTCTCCCTCTCCCTGTTCTTATTCTGATCTCAGTTATAAAAGACTGAGGAAGCTAATTGGAGGATTTCTGAGATGGGGACCGTAGATCTCAAAGCCAACCTTTTGCAATTTTTTTCCTGGATAAAAGTCCTTTAGTAGATACGTCTTATATAAATACTTTCTCCAAGTCAGTGGCTTGTCTTCTCATTCTCTTGATCCTAATACATTTTTAGCTTTAGGAGACAGAGTGAACAAAATTTTAAAAAATGTAAATGGAAGCTGGGCGTGGTGGCTCACACCTGTAATCCCAACATTTTGGGAGGCCACGGTGGGCAGATCACTTGAGGTCAGGCGTTTGTGACCAGCCTGGCCAATATGGTGAAACCCCATCTCTACTAAAAATACAAAAATTAGCCGGGCAGGGTGGTGAGCACCTGTAATCCCAGCTACTTGGGAGGCTGAGGCAGGAAAATTGCTTGAACCTGGGAGGCAGAGGTTGCAATGAGCCAAAATCACACCACTGCACTCCAACCTGGGTGACAGAGCGAGACCCCGTCTTAAAAAAAAAAAAAAAAGTGGCCAGGCGCGGTGGCTCATGCCTGTAATCCCAGCACTTTGGGAAGCTGAGGTGGGTGGATCACGAGGTCAAGAGATCAAGATCATCCAGGCCAACATGGTGAAACCCCATCTCTACTAAAAATACAAAAATTAGCTGGGCGTGGTGGTGCGTGCCTGTAGTCCTAGCTACTTGGGAGGCTGAGGCAGGAGAATCACTTGAACTGGGGAGGCAGAGGATGCAGTAAGCCGAGATCACGCCACTGCACTCCAGCCTGGCGATAGAGCAAGATTCCGTCTCAAAAAAAAAAAAAAAAAGTAACTGGAGACAGGGTAGCGCTGGATTAACCAAATGGTGGATATGATCTAAGTTTAGGGCATCAGTAGAAAGGGGAATAAAAGCCACGAGAAACACAAAGTTTTGAAAGACTCTGATGTTGGCTGGGCGTGGTAGCTCATGCCTGTAAGCCCAGCACTTCAAGAGGCTGAGGTGGGAGGATTCCTTGAGGTCAGAAGTTTGAGAAAGCCTAGGCAACATGGCAAAACCCTGTCTCTACAAAAAATACAAAAATTAGCTGGATGTGCTGGTGTACGCCAGTGGTCCCAGCTACTCAGGAGGCTGAGGTAGGAGGATGGCTTGAACCCAGGAGTCGGAGGTTGTAGTGAGCCAAGATCATGCCACTGCACTCCAGCCTGGGTGTCAAAGCAAGTTTCTGTCTCAAAAAAAAAAAAAAAAAAGAAACAAGGTTTAATAACTGTTTAAAACAAATATAATAATATAATACTGTGGGGTTACTATATATGCAGACGTTAAATACAACCACAGTAAATGGACAAGAACAGCAAAAGAGAGGGTAAGTGAAATTTTAATGTAATAAGGTTATCATATTTTATATGAAATAGTGCAATTTGATTTATTGATTTATTTATTAGAAATAAGGTCTTGCTATATTTCCCAGGCTGGTCTTGAACTCCCGGCCCCAAGCAATCCTCCCAACCTCGGCCTCATTGTACCATGGTAACTGTAAATAGACTGTGCTAAGTTAGAGATGCATGTTATCATCCTTAGCACAACCACCATGAATATAGTAACACAAGGAAATTTGGGAAAGTAAAACAATATGTGGAAATTAAACAACATACTCCTAAGTAGCCAATGGATTAAATAAGAAATCACAAGGGAAATTAGAAAATAGTTTGAGATGAATGAAAATGAGAATATTCCATACCAAAACTCTTGAAATGCAGTCAAAAACATGCTTAGAAGGAAACTTATCACTATACATACCTATATTACAAAAAAAGAGGAAAGAAAAAAAGAAAGATCTCAAATCAATAACCTCAAATCACCAATTTTGTTGATAAAATCCAATACCCTTTCATGACTAAAACACTCTATAAAATCAGGAAAAAAGACTTTCTCAACTTAATAAAGGGCATGTAGAAAAGAAGAACAAACTAAACTCAGAGAAACAAAAGGAAGGAAATCATAAAGATTATGGTGGAAAGAAAGGAAATAGATAATAGAAAAACAATAGAGAAACTCAATAGTGTCGAAAGTTGGTTCTTTGAAAAGATTGATAAAATTGACAGAACTTTAGCTAGATAGAACGAGAATAAAAAAGAAGACTCAGATTACTAAAATCAGAAATAAAAGTCGTGGCCAGGTGTGGTGGCTCATGCCTGTAATCCCAGCACTTTGGGAGGCCGAGGCGGGTGGATCACAAGGTCAGGAGTTCGAGACGAGCCTGTCCAAGATGGTGAAACCCTGTCTCTACTAAAAATACAAAAATTAGCTTGGTGTGATAGCGCACGCCTGTAGTCCCAGCTACTTGGGAGGCTGAGGCAGAATCGTTTGAACCCAGGAGGCAGAGGTTACGGTGAGCCGAGATCCTGCCATTGCACTCCAGCCTGGGCGACAAGCACGAAACTCCATCTCGAAAAAAAAAAGAAAAAATAAAAAAAATAAAAGTCAGGATATTACTACTGACCTTACAGAAGGAAAAAAATATTATAAAGGAATACTGTGAATAATTGCATACCAACAAATTAGATAACCGAGATTAAATGGACACATTCCTGGAAACTCAAATTACCAAAACCAACTTAAGAAGAAATAGAAAACTCGAATAGGCCTATAACAGGCAAAGAGATTGAATTAGTAATCAAAATTCTTCCCTGAAAGAAAAGCCCAGGACCAGGTAGCTTCACTGGTGAATTATGCAGATATTTAAAGAGAATTAACATCAATCCATCACAAACTCTTCCAAGAAATAAAAGGATAGAGAACATTTCCCAATTCATTCTTTGAGGCCAGTATTAGCCAAAGACATCACAAGAAAAAATTACAGAATCATATCCCTTATGAATATAGACACAAAAATTCTCTACAAAATACTAGCAAACCAAATTCAGCAATGTATAAAAAGCATTTTTTTTCCGTAATATACACCATTATACACTATGACCAAGTGGGATTTACCTCAGGAGTGCGAAGTTTTTTCAACATATGAAAATCAGTACAATTACACCATGTTAATAAAAGAGTAAAAACTCATAGTTATCTAAATAGATTCAGAAGAAGCATTTGACAAAATCCAACACACTTTAATGATAAATATACTCTGCAATTTAGGAGCAGAAAATTTCTTCAACCTAATAAAGGGCATCTATAAAAAACCCATAGCTAACCTCATACTCAGTGGTGAAAGACTAAAAAATTTTTCCCTAAGGTGAAGAACAAGACAAGGATGTTTCCTATTGCCATTTATGTTCAGCATTGTACTGGAGATTCTAGCCAGAACAACTGACCAAAAAGGAAATAAAAATAAAAATTACAAGATACAAATAAATTAAAAAATAAAATATTGGAAAGGAAGAAGTAAAACTATTTCTACTTACAGATGACATAATCTTGTATGTAGAAAATCCTAACAAATTAACACATAACAACTATTATAAGTAATAAACTAGTCCAGCAAAGTTGCAGGACACAAGATCAATATACAAAAATCAATTATATTTCTATGCAATAGCAGTGAACAATCTGAAAATGAATTAAGAAAACAATTCCGGCCAGGGGCGGTGGCCCATGCCTGTAATCCCAGCACTTTGGGAGGCTGAGGCAGGGGTATCATTTGAGATCAGGAGTTTGAGACCAACCTGACCAACGTGGAGAAACCCCATCTCTACTAAAAAAAAAAAAAATACAAAATTAGCCAGACGTGGTGGCGCATGCCTGTAATCCTGGCTACTCAGGAAGGTTGAGGCAGGAGAATCACTTGAACCCACCAGGCGGAGGTTGTGGTGAGCCAAGATCGTGCCATTGCACTCCAGCCTGGGCAACAAGAGTGAAACTCCATCTCAAACCAACAAACAAACAAAAAAGAAAACAATTCTATTTACAATAGAATCAAAAAGAATATAATACTTAGGAATAAATTTAACAAAGTGCAAGAATTGTACACCGCAAATTAAAAAAACTTATTGAAAGAAATGAAAGAACTAAATAAATGGGAAGACATCGCATGTACATAACTCTGAAGACTTAATATTGTTAAGATGGCAATACTCCAAATGACTCCTCAAATTGATCTGCATATTCAACACAATCCCCATTAAAATCTGAGCTGGAATTTTAGCAGATATTGAAGAGCTGATGTTAAAATTCAAGAGACCCAGAATAGCTAAAACAATCTTGAGAGAGAAGAGCAAAATTGAAAGACTCACATTTCCTGATTGTGAAATTTATCACAAAGATATAGTAATCAAGACTGTGGTGCTGGCATAAGGAGAGACATAGACAGAATAGAATTGAGAGTCCAGAAATAAGCCCATGCATTTAGGGAGAATTGGTTTCAGCCAGGTTGCCAAGATATTTCGACTGGGGAGAGTATAGCCTTTTCAACAAATGGTGTTTGTATAACTAGATGTAAAAGAATGAAATTGGACCCCTACCCCACACCATATATAAAAATTAATTCAAAATGGATCAAAGACCTAAATGGAAGAGCTAAACTATAAATCTCATAGAAGAGGCCAGGTGTGGTGGCTCATGCCTGTAATCCCAACACTTTGGGAGGCTGAGGCAGGAGGATTGCTTGAGCCAGGAGTTTGAGACCAGCCTGGGCAACATAGTGAGACCCTGTCTCTATAAAAAACTAAAACATTAGATGGATGTGTTGGCAAGTACTTGTGGTCCCAGCTACTTGGGAGGTTGAGCCCAGGAGGTTGAGGCTATAGTGAGCTGTGATCACACCACTGCACTCCAGCCCGGGCAACAGAGCAAGACCTTGTCTCAAAAAAAAAAAAAAAAAAAAACAAAAGGCACAGGATTCCAATAGACATTTTTTCCAAAGAAGATATACAAATGCCCAACATACACATGAAAGGTTGCTAAACATCATTAGTCATTGTCATTGGGAAATGCTAATCATAACCATAATGATGTAACACTTCACACCCACTAGGAGAACTATACTAAAAAAGATGGACAATAACAAATGTTGCAAAACCGGAGCCCTCATATACTGCTAGTGAGATTATAAAATGGTACACTGGCTTTCGAAAACAGTTGGCAGTTCCTGGAAATGTTACACACACAATTACCACATGACACAGCATTTCCACTTAGGTATATGTCCCCATGAGAACGGAGAACACATGTTCATACAAAACCAGAAATGTTCATAGCAGTATTCTTTATAATAGTCAAAAAGTGCAAACAACCCAAAGGTCCATCAATGGATGAGTGGATAAACAAAATATGTGATATATCTATGATTGTAGCCGTAAAAGGGCCAAATATTAGGTAGCCATAAAAGGGACAAATTACTGATACAGGTTACAATATGGATGAACTTTGAAACGTGCTCAGTGAAAGAAGCCAGGTGTAACAGAACATAATGTTTGATTCCATTTATATGAAATGTCCAGAGTAGGCAAATCCATATAGACAGAAAGTAGACTAGTCATTGCCAGGGGCTGGGATACAGAGGTGAATGGAGAATAACTACTAAATGGGTATAGAATTTCTTTTGGAATAATGAAAATGTTCTGGAATTAGATAGTGGTGATGGTTGTACAACCTTTTGAACATACAAAACACATTAAATTGTACACTTAAAAATATGAATTTTATCATATATGAATTATATCTCAATACAAAATATAATGTAAAATACAAAATAATGGGAAAGGTCTGTCAGTAATGAGCCAGGTTAAAAAAAAATAATAAAGGAATAATAATAATATGGCAATATTACAATCTTTTGGCCATAAATTCATTAAAGAAAATGAACAAATTCCTTGAAAAAGACAACTTACCAAAAACTGACACAAGAAGAAATAAAAGCCAGGAAGGTAAAAAATAAGTAAAAATAAACAAAAGAAGAAACAAAAATGCTGAATATTCCTATAACAGTTAAAAAAACTGAATTAGTAATTTAAAACCTTCTTATGAAGAAAATTCCAGGCCAAGATAGTTTTTTTTTTTTGTTTTTTTGTTTTTTTTAAGGACACATGACTGTGACTCAGCCTCAGGAGGTCCTGACGTCATGTGCCCCGGGATAGCTTTAATAGAAGAGAAAGTTAAGGAAATTTCCTAGAAGGCGAGCAAAAAGACAAAGAAGACCAGTTCAAGAGGTTCAGAATCCATGAATTCTATCAAACATTTAAGAAATAATGCCAATTTTACACAAGCTCAGAAAATACAGGAAAGAACAGTTCTCAATTCATTTTGATGAATACGGCATGACCTTGATAGCAAATCCTGACAAAGATATTACAAGAAAATTTTAGACTACCATCCCTCATGCACACAGATGTAAACACCCTTAACAAAACACCAACAAATCAAATCCAGCAATTTATAAAACAATAATGCATCATGACCAAGGGGGTTTATTTCAGGAATGCATGGTTGGTTTGATGTTTCATTAGTATAATTCACCATATTGGCCAAATCAAGAAAGAAAAAAAACTATGATCAGTGTTGTTTAGAAAAGTATTGATAAAATAAAAGAGAGTACCTCAACAACAAAATGATCATAGTTATTATGGAAAAGATAGAAATTTTGTTAGAACTCTTTACACTTAATTTCTGGTTAAGAATAGATTTTTGTTTGCTTGCTTGTTTTAAAATTTCATCATGTGGGGGCATGGGCACCATAGTCTTTTCCATATCTCAGGAATGATAATCCTAGGACTTTGTCTGTAGCCGTTTGTGTGATTGTAGGTCATTTAGACTTCTCTGGTCATCTTTCAAATGAGAAAAGGAACAGATGTCCTTCATAAAGTGTTGAGGACTGGAGCACTGGGTGTTAGAACCACACCCACAATCTGACCTTAAATTCTATGAATTGTCATTGGTAGAAATAATTGGCAGATTATATTTGCAGACAAAGTTTATTACTCCACCTAATTTTCCTAGCCTACAGATGCAGAGTGAGAATCTGATTAAGATAGCCAGCCATCTGCTGGATTAGGCCATATAGCTCCCTTTTGACTAGCTGGGTCATATTTGACTTGACAACATTGTTCTACTGTGGTTACTGATGATAAACACACCCTCCAGCCCTGGGGACAGTCCCTGGACCTCCAAAGCCCATTTAAGGATTAACACTCATGATGCCCCAATCCTGCCTATATTACTGTAATTCATGTGTGTTTAAACAAAACAAAACAAAAAACACAAAAGAAACAAGGCCGGGCACCACCCAGCACGGTGGCTCATGCCTGTAATCCCAGCACTTTGGGAGGCCAAGGTGGGCAGGTCCTGAGGTCAGGAGTTCGAGATCAGCCTGGCCAACATGATGAAACCCCATCTCTACTAAAAATATAAAAATTAGCCGGGCATGGTGGTGCGTGCCTATAATCCCAGCTACTCGGGATGCTGAGGCAGGAGAATCGCTTGAACCCAGGAGGTGGAGGTTGCAGTGAGCTGAGATGGCGCCACCGCACTCCAGCCTGGGCAAGACAGAGCGAGACTCCGTCTCAAAATTAAATAAAATCGCTGGGATTTACGTGTGTCCTTCCTTCCTTCCTTCCTTCCTTCCTTCCTTCCTTCCTTCCTTCCTTCCTTCCTTCCTTCCTTCCTTCCTCTCTCTCTTTTTGGTGGAGTCTCACTCTGTTGCTGAGGCTGGAGTGCAGTGCCACGATCTCTGCTCACTAGAACCTCCGCCTCCCGGGTTCAAGTGATTCTCCTGCTTTCCTGCCTCAGCCTCCCAAGTAGCTGGGATTACAGGTGCCTGCCGCCATGCCTAGCTAATTTTTGTATTTTTAGTAGAGACAGAGTTTTCACCATGTTGACCAGGCTGGTCTCAAATTCCTGACCTCAAGTGATGCACCTGCCTCATCCTCCCAAAGTGCTGGGATTACAGATGTAAGCCACCGTGACGGGCTCATGTGTTACATTTTTATTCTACAACATCCCATGAAGAAGGTATTATTGGGATTCTTACTGTCCAGATGAGGAATCCATACCCCTAGCAGGACCTGACTTCTCCCCATATTTCTCTTTACTGCTTTATGCTGTTGTCTTCTTCCTGTTTTAGAAGGCAGGCCCAGGTTTGACTCACATCTTACTCATTTAGCACTCAGTCTGTTGCATGCCTATTGCACAGTAGGTCTTAGTAAATATCTACTGCATGGAATTTGATAAAGTATGGCCCTCCTATTCATCCTCATTGGTCTAACAAGCCCTTCTAAACCAACCAGCCTGGAAAGTGAATTCCACATTCTGGCATGAATCACTAGGCCACCTCACCCATGATAAATAGGTCAGAGGGGATTTCACAGTGTTTCCTGGAAACTGCTCCACTCCTCCCTTTGGAGGCAGCATTTTATGGTAGGAAACTCCTGGCTTTGGAAAGCAGATGGGCTGTGTGCCAATGTCCATTCTTAGACACACTATTTAGTTTCTCTAAGCCTCAGTTTTCTCATCTGTAATTTTTTTTTTTTTTTGGTGAAATGAGATTCTATGCATAGCTTTCATTTCCTATCCCCTCATTCTTCTGTCTTCCTCCTCTCTGTGCAAACAAGATGTGGGACAGGCCCATGGTGGCTCATGCCTGTAATTTTGGCACTTTGAGAGGCTGAGGTGGGAGGGTTGCTTGAGGTCAGAAGTTCAAAATGAGCCCAGGCAACGTACAGAGACCTTGTCTCTACAAAACAATGTTTTCAAAAATTAGCTGGGTGTGGTGGCACGTGCTTGTATTCCCAGCTACTTGGGAGGAGTGCCGCACCCTAGACAACAGAGCAAAACCTTGTCAAGAAAAAGAAAGAAAGAAAAAAAAAGAAAAGAGAAGAGAAAAGAAAAGAAAGAAAGGGAATACATAAAAGGTAAATGGTAAAAGGTTTTAGGGGAAAAGGAGTCTGCAGAACAAGAATTAGGGGGACCAGGAGTGAGTGACAATGGGGAGGTCAGCGATCCTGAGCTACAGTCCCAGTCCTGCTTTGCATAAATTGAGACTCTCATTCCTAAAATGGACTGGCAGTCTTGCAGGGGTTTATAAGGATTATAAGAGATAACCATGTGACTTATCTAGCACACAAAAGGTACCCCCCCATAAATAGTAGCTATTACAAGGTAATCTAAGACATTTACCTTTTCCTCATTTTGCTACTCACTCTGTCCCCAAAGCAAACTCCAACTAACTCCTTCCAAAACACCATCCTTCTCTTTGCCACCATCCCCCCTCTTTTGAACACTTCTACTCTCCTGTCCACCCATATGTCCTGCAGTCAAGCCAGAGGAGGGAAAACAGAGCAAAAGAAAATATTAAAGGAAGTAAGTTTAAATCAATAACTTTGAGAAAAATATTTAAGTTCCAATATTGTGTGTGTGAGTGTGCGCGCGCGCGACAGAGAGAAAGAGAGCGAGCGAGCGAGGGAGAGAGACAGAGAGAGAAGGAGAGAGAAAGCCTTTGTTAAACTGGGTAACTCCAAATCCCAGGAAAGTAGAAATGGGAATTTTTATAAAAGCATGATACATCAGTAGAATGGAAAGAAATCACCAGGTTTAAATTTGAGTGTGTGACTACGGCCTCCAGTCTTCCGGGATTGTATGTCCGCATGTCCGAGTCCGGGAAGAGGAAAGAGGAAGGATTAAAAAAAAGAAAAAAGAAGAAGAAAAAAAGCACTGTGGTTTAACAGTTCCTTTTTATTTTTTTAAAGGTTGGCCCACAATATAACCAGCGCTGCTAGCGGGGACGGTGGGGACACCTCTGGTCTCAGATGAGTGCTGGGAAGGAGGGGACTTGCTCCGAGCGCAAGTTTGTGCGGAAGCGCGGCTGGACCTGGGCTCTGAATCCGGGGGTCCGGGGTTCTGCACCCAGGCGTCAGCTTCCTCATCCGCAGAGTGGCCCCCAGAAGCCTCCGGGTGGTCGCGAGGATGCTCTAAATCCCGGGGGCTAAGGCCGAGCCCGGCGTCCCGCGCCCAGCCCGCGGGAGCTCTTGGGGATCGGAGCGCGGCCGACCTTCGCCAGCTCATGGGCGACTGGGACTGCGGTGCCCGCAGGCTCCCGGGAGTACCTCGCGAGGCCCGCCCAGTCCTCGCCGCCCGCCCCCCCGCACCCCACGTGACTTCCTGACGGCTTCAGGGACTGCTCCTCTCGAGCTAGGTTTCGTTTCCTCGGCGGCCTCGGAGCGCGGGTGCAGCAGTTGTGTCCCGACCCCTGGGAGCGCCATGGCAGAGCTGTGCCCCCTGGCCGAGGAGCTGTCGTGCTCCATCTGCCTGGAGCCCTTCAAGGAGCCGGTCACCACTCCGTGCGGCCACAACTTCTGCGGGTCGTGCCTGAATGAGACGTGGGCAGTCCAGGGCTCGCCATACCTGTGCCCGCAGTGCCGCGCCGTCTACCAGGCGCGACCGCAGCTGCACAAGAACACGGTGCTGTGCAACGTGGTGGAGCAGTTCCTGCAGGCCGACCTGGCCCGGGAGCCACCCGCCGACGTCTGGACGCCGCCCGCCCGCGCCTCTGCACCCAGCCCGAATGCCCAGGTGGCCTGCGACCACTGCCTGAAGGAGGCCGCCGTGAAGACGTGCTTGGTGTGCATGGCCTCCTTCTGTCAGGAGCACCTGCAGCCGCACTTCGACAGCCCCGCCTTCCAGGACCACCCGCTGCAGCCGCCCGTTCGCGACCTGTTGCGCCGCAAATGTTCCCAGCACAATCGGCTGCGGGAATTTTTCTGCCCCGAGCACAGCGAGTGCATCTGCCACATCTGCCTGGTGGAGCATAAGACCTGCTCTCCCGCGTCCCTGAGCCAGGCCAGCGCCGACCTGGAGGTAGGGAACGGCCTGCTGGGTGCAGAGGGCAGCCTGGCCTGATGGGTGGTGCAGAGGGGCCACCGGGGGCCTCTCTGCCACACTCTGGACGCCCTGGGGAGATGGGCCTGAATTCGAGGCCGGGGCATCTCCAATGTCAGAGTAGAAAGGGGATGGGAGATTATATAGTCCCTTCCCATCATCCATGAAGACAGGTTAGGTTGCTTGCCATAATCCTGTCATTGTCTGATGGTGTTTATTTTTATTTTTTTGAGACAGGGTCTCGTCCCTCTCACCCAAGCTGGAGTGCAGTGGCGGAATCACAGCTCACTGCAGCCTCGACTTCCCGGGCTTAAGGGATCCTCCTACCTCAGCCTCAAGAGTAGCTGGGACCACAGCCTCCCAAGTAGCTGGGACCACAGGCTCGCTAATTTTTTGTAGAGATGAGGTTTCGCCATGTTGCCCAGGCTGGTCTCGAATTCCTGAGCTCAAGCGATCTGCCCACCTCGACCTCCTAAAGTGCTAGGAGGTCTTTAAAGGCGTGCACCACTGCGCCCCACCATCTGATGGTGTTTAGTAGAGGGTTTTGAATGTCAACTATGAACGTTGGAGGTTACCTCTGTTCCCTCACGAAGTCCTGGTGGCACCCAGGAGGTGGATATGATTTAGTTTCATTTTACTGTTGAGGATACTGAGGTCCAGAGAAATGAACTTAGCCTGACCTAATGCAGTAAATAGCCACGCAGGCATTGTGACCCGGGTTGGTTCGATTTCATAGTTTGCATTTCTTCCCATGGACCAGCCTCGTATCCAGGTCCGTAGAGTCCGGAGCACCAAACAGTCCAGGAAGCTTGAGGTCATGTAAGCAAAAGCCTTTGGTGGGCCGGAGAGTTCCTGTGATCAGGAAGGGTTGTTATTAGAGGCCTAAGAGGGAGGGTGGGCAGCGTCCCAGTAATCACTGGATCAGAGCCACAGGGAGAGCCAACACTCTTGCACCATAGTGTCCTCCGTCCTGGCCGTGTGACTTTGAGCATGGGGTTTGGCCCCTGGACCTGGGTCCTCACCAGTATAGTGAGGCTGTGGGACTAGGTGGATTCCTAAGGGCCTTTCAGGTCTGCAATGTTTTTAGGTGGTTTGGGGATCATACCTTCCCCTTGTGGCCTCAAAGCAGAGGCTGAAATCAAACCACCTTTTGTTACATCAGCCTAAGATCCAAAGCATGGCCTGATTTCATTTCATTCTCACAGCACCTTCAGGGAGAACAAGACCCGTCTTCGTGTTGTCAGAGGAGACAGTAGCCTGAGCAAGGTCAGAGTTGGGGGTCTGCATCCAGCTTTGTGTAGCATATAAACTTGGCTTTTTTTTTCTTTTCTTTTAGAGACAGGGTCTTGCTATGTTGCCTAGGATGTTCTTGAACTTCCGGCCTCAAGGGATCCTCCCATCTCAGCCTCCTGAGTAGCTGGGACTACAGGTGTGCCACCGTGCCTGGCTCTAAACTTGGCTTTTTTTTTTCTTCTTTTAGAGACAGGATCTTACTCTGTCACCCAGGCTGGAGTACAGTGGGGTGATCATAGCTCACTGTAATCTCAAACTCCTGGGCTCAGGTGATCCACTTGCCTCAGCCTCCTGAGTAGGTAGTACTACAAATGTGAGCCACCACACCTGGCTAAGTTTTAAAAAATTCTTTTGTAAAGATGGGATCTCACTATGTTGCTCAGGCTGGTCTTGAACTCCTGGCCTCAATCCTTCTCCCATCTTAGCCTCCTGAGTAGCTGGAACTACAGGTGTGCTACCATGGGGCCTGGCTATAAAATCAGAATTTTTTTTTTTTTTTGAGTTGGAGTCTTGTTCTGTCGCCAGGCTGGAGTGCAGTGGTGCGGTCTCGGCTCACTGCAACCTCCACCTCCCGAGTTCAAGCGATTCTCCTGCCTCAACCTCCCGAGCAGCTGGGACTACAGGCCTGCGCCACCATGCCCAGCTAATTTTTGTATTTTTAGTAGAGACTGAGTTTCACCATGTTGGCCAGGCTGGTCTCGAATTCCTGCCCTTGTGATCCACCCGCCTCGGCCTCCCAAAGTGCTGGGATTACAAGCGTGAGCCACCACGCCCGGCCCATATATATATATTTTTTAATCTTTTCTTTTAGAGACAGGTTTTCACTCAGTCACCCAGGCTGGACTACAGTAGCATGATCATAGCTCACTATAACCTTAAACCCTGGACTCAGGTGATCCTCCTGCCTCAGCCTCCTGAGTAGCTAGGACTACAAGCACGCACCACCACACCCAGCTAATATTTTAAAACATTTTTTGTAGAGACGGGATCTCACTATGTTGTCCAGGCTGGTCTTGAACTCCCAACCTCAAGGGATCCTCCCACTTCAGCCTCCTGAAGTGCTGGGATTACAGGCGTGAGCCAGGAGCCTGGCCTAAACTCTGCTGTTTAATCCTAACAACAGGCCTTCCTCTGCCAACACCTACCCCCCTGTCCTGACTTGCTGAGTCCTATAACAGGTCTGCTTTTTGAGCCCTGCTACTGCTGCTCATCACTGTTGGCAGAGCCAGTCTCAGCTGGGCAATGCCCTTAGCCTCGGGGGCTGGGTTGCCTTGGCCACTGGTGGGGTCGGACTTGAGACTCTGGTGCCTCCCATGTGGAAGACCCAAGTCTCTAGTCTGTGAAGGGATCCTCAGGATTTCAAAAAGTCCTTTGCCTTTGATTAGGGGATTATTGCTGCTACCAAAGTTTTTGGGTCACTTTCCTTTGGTCTGGAGTCGTGTGGGCACCATTCATGATGAGGGTACTGCCGCATGTGTTTGATTAATGGTGTATCAAATCTTTCAAAATATAGGGCTCAGGGTGTAGTGCTATGAGCAGCTCTTGAAAGTGAAGCAGTTGGCAGCCTTGGGGTGTTCTGAGGTCTCTTCTTGCTCTGAGGCCAGCAAGGCCGGATGTATGTAGGCCTGGTCTTTGGCCCACACCTTATCTTGGCCACTGTTAGAGGCCAGGTCGAAGGGCAGTGTCACAGAGGTCAAGTTTGAAACATCATGAGCAGCTTGGGCTTTTCGGATTGAGTTAGTGTGGCCTTGGTCCCTGCCTCCAACCCCTACATGTGACTGTCACTGGGTTGTTCAAATCTAGATTCAAGATCAGGTTCCGCCCAGAATATCTTGGGTGGAGTTGAAGAGTCTGGGAAGTGGAAGAGAGAGCCAGAGTATGTTGAGCCTGCTAGTTACGGGAAGGAAATTTTTTTTTTCTAGAAATCTCCAGCATGCTCAGTTTGGGCATGTGTCTATGATTTTAATATCGGGATCTTAGCTGTGCCAGTTACTAGTAGTGTAGCTGGGGCAAGTCACTTAATTGTTCTGTGCCTCAGTGTCCTTGTCTGTAAAGGCTGGGTAATTCCTACCTCATAGTGTTGTTCTTAGCTTTAAGTAAGTTAATACAGGTAAAGCACTAGAACAGTGCCTGGCATACAGTAAGTGCATAATAAATACTGGCTGCTGCTGTTATGGTGGTGGTGATTTTCCTTCCCATTTCTGTGCAGTATTCATCTGAGCAGGGAGGTAGGAGACTCAGATATTGATTATGAAAATTAATTGAAATCAGATGAGGATATTAGCTTCCTTCATATACAGTTTGCCTTTGTTTCTGGAGGTGGCTAGGACTGAGCAGATTTGCACCTGGGCTTCAGCCCCTGTGAGCTACTTCATCTTTTTTTTTTTTTTTTTGAGACAGGGTCTCACTTTGTCACCCAGGCTGGAGTGCAGTGATGCCATCTCAGCTCACTGCAGGCTCAACCTCCCGGAATCAAGCGATCCTCCTGCCTCAGCCCCCTAAGTAGCTGGGACTACAGGTGTGCACCACCACACCTGGCTAATTTTTGTATTTTTAGTAGAGACAGGGTTTTGCCATGTTGCCCAAGCTGGTCTCGAACTCCTGAGAGCAAATGATCCACCTGCCTGGGCCTCCTAAAGTGCTAGGATTACAGGCATGAGCCACTGCGCCTGGCTGGCTGATTCATCTTATTCCCAGCCCTTGGTGGTCCCAGTCTGCAGTGAGCCTTGGACTCTGATTTCTGTCTCCCTGCCCTGTGAGGCTGACAAAGGCTCCCAGCCTTGTTCTGGGATTGGCAGATGCCTCTGGAGAGAACATCCTAGATATCAGGCTTATCTCTCTGGGCCCCCTTCCCCCTTCTCCTGGACCTTGACTTCTTAATCCTCTGCTTGATTGGCTCTCCAGCATCTTTTAGCAGATCTCCCCGCTGCCCCATTATTTGGACTGCTTTCCTGGCTGTTTGCAGTGGGAGGATTGGTCTGAGTGGCCCCACCTGCCATTACCGAAGCAGCTGTCCCAGCTCGTTCTGTTCCTGTGTGAGCTTGGCCACCTTTCTGTCCTCCTTGCTTGAGTTTCATTGGCTGTAAAATGGGTAATTAGAGAAAAACTCATAATAATATAAGCTGGCATTTAGTATGTTTTTCCTAAGATCCAGGCATTGGGCTGAGTACTTACATTGTTTCAATTAATCCTCCCAATAGCCCTGTGAGCTGGGGACAGTTGTATCTATTTTGTGTCCAAGAAAACTGAGGTGAAGGACACAGTTGCACAGCTGGGAGTTGGGACTGGAACCCTGGTCTGTACTGTCCTCTGAAAAGGATGAAGGGAAGTAGTAAGTATTAGAATGCTTCAAAAAGCTCCAAGCAGGCAAGACTCGGGTGACAGGACTTGGGGTGGCAAGACTTGGGTGGAGTGGAAGAGGAAGGAATCTATCCTGTGGGATAGTTCCAGGGATGGCTTCTGGTGGGGCTGGGCTGAAGAGGTGCATTCTCAACCTCATTTGTTTTCCCTGCAGGCCACCCTGAGGCACAAACTAACTGTCATGTACAGTCAGATCAACGGGGCGTCGAGAGCACTGGATGATGTGAGAAACAGGCAGCAGGATGTGCGGGTGAGTGGCAGGGCTCTCCAAGGCCAGCCCTGCCCTGTGGCTTCGCTCAGCTTCCACGCGGGATGGGCGTGGCTCTGACCATGACAAGGCTGGTGTTGGGTGCACTCACAGTGTCAGGATGAAACATCAACCTTGCAAAGCATGCAGACAGCTGTGTGTCTGAGAGAGATCCTTTGCAAACCCAAACCAAAAATTACCTATAAGCCCAACTGTGGGGGAAATCATTATAAATTAGGATTAAAAAGTAGTAATTCAGAAAAATGGTTATGATATAAAGTGGGAGAAAAAGAGGAAGCAAAAGTATATAGCTCATAGGGTTGCATCTATTTACAAAAAGGAAGTATATTAGTTTCATAGGGCTACTGTGACAAATTGCCAGAAACTTGGTGGCTTACAACAACAGAAATGTATTCTGGCAGAGTTCTGGAGGCCAGAAGTCCAAAATCAAGATGTTGGCGTGGCCACACTCCCGAAGTCTCTAGGGGAGAACCCTTCTTTGCTTCTTACAGTTTCTGGTGGCTCAGGCATTCCTTGGCTTTTGACTGCATCACTCTGATCTCTGCCTCTGTCTTCACATACCTGTCTCTTCTTCCCTTAGTGTCTTCCATCTCCAATAAGAACCCTTGTCATTGGATTTAGGGAGCACCTAGGTAATCTATGATGATCGAATCTCAAGATCTTTAATTGCATCTGCAAAGACCTCTTTCCTAAGTAAGATTACAGTCACAGGTTCTGGTATATGGACATGTCTTTTGGGGGCCCAGCATTCAACCCATTACAGAGAGCATGGAAAGAAACTGAAAGGGAATATTATAGAAGGATCATAGTGGAAGTGTTGGAGTGGTAAATTAGGAATGGTTTTGTTCCCCCTGTTTTTCAGATTTTCGATACGTTTAAATTGCTTTTAAATGGAAAGATCAGATTTTTACCCTTTTTCAGAGCTGCAGCACCAGTTTTATTGCAGCAGTTATGGTTTCATTAGATGAGATCTAGGTTAGAATACCAGCTCTGTCACATACTAGTTTATGTTGCTTTGGTCATGTTGACAGATCTTTGAACCTTCGTTTCCCAATTTGCACAATGGAATCACAAGTTCTTTCTGAAGATGACTGTGAGACAAATGAAAGAATGCACGTGAAAGTACCTGTATTTGTTAGAGGGCAGGCTATACTGCTGTAACAAAGATACACCAGAATTCAGAGGCTTAAATATGATTGAAGTTTATTTTACCAACTGACAGTCCAAACCCACACATGAGTAACCCAGACTAAGGGTTCATGTGATCATTCAGGGATTAAGGGTTCTCCCTTCTTATTACCCTACTATTCCACAAGGTATTGTCCCAGCCTCTTTGGTTGAAGCTGGGTTACCATTACATCTTTGTTCTAGCCTGTGACAAAGGGACAAAAAGGAGGTGGAGGACAACAAGCAATTTTCCTTTACACAAGTGACACAGTGTTGCACATATCACTCCTGGGCATGGGTCACTGGAAGGAGTTTTGTCACATCGCCTAGTCTAGCTGCAGGGGAGGCTGGGAAATGTAGTCTGAGTAGCCACACGCCCAGATGAAACTCCAGGGATGTTCTCTTACCAAAAGGAAAAAAGGGAAAATGAACACTGGGGGACACTTGTAGTCACATTAGAAGTTGCACAGTGAAAGATTGGCAAAGAAGGCTGGGCGCAATGGCTCACGCCTGTAATCCCAGCACTTTGGGAGGCCGAGACGCATGGATCACCTGAGGTCAGCAGTTCAAGACCAGCCTGGCCAACATGGCGAAACCCCATCTCTACTAAAAATACAAAAAATTAGCCGGGCGTGGTGGTGCATGCCTATAGTTCCAGCTACTCAGGAGGCTGAGGTAGGATAATTACTTGAACCCGGGAGGCAGAGGTTGCAGTGAGCCGAGGTCATGTCATTGCACTTCAGCCTGGGTGACAAGAGTGAAACTTCATCTCAAAAAAAAAAAATATTGGCGAAGAAATACTTGAATTCCTCTTTTCCAGTCTACTGTCCTTCTTGTGTGTTTTTCTCTTTGTTATGTTTGATTCTGAGCTATTGTCTTAGTCTGTTTTCTGCTGCTATAACGGAATACCACAGACTGGGTATTTGCAAAGAAGAGAAGTTTATTTGGCTCAAAGTTCTGGAGCCTGAGAGGTCCAAGAGCATGCTTCCAGCATCTGGTGAGGATCATCCATAGCGGAAGGATGGAAGGCAGGAGAGCGGGACAGGAAGAAGGAGGTCAAACCCTGTGATAAGAATATGAATCCATTCATGAGGGCAGAGCCCTCGTGATCTAATCACCTCAGTGGCAATTAAATCTCAGCATGAGCTTTGGAGGAGACATTCAAACCATAGCAGCTATTGAGGCTACCCAAGATGTGAAACAAAATTGCAGCTACTAAAGCAGTGCTGTCCAGCAGAAATACAGTAGGAGTGCAGATGTCATTTTAAGTTAATTTGAATAGTACATGAGATTTATTGTATTTTATTTATCTATCTTTTTTAGGACAGGTCTCACTCTATCACCCAGGCTGGAGTGCAGTGGAACAATCATAGCTCACTGCAGCTTTGAACTCCTGGGCTCAAGTAATCTTCCTGACTGAGCCTACTCCCCTTCACCACCCCCACTCTCCAGGAATACAGTCCATCTAATTTTTTTATTTTTATTTTTGTAGAGAAACAGTCTGTCTATGTTGCCCAGGCTGGTCTTGAACTCCTGGCCTCAAGCGATCCTCCTGCCTCGGTCTCCCAAGGTGCTGGGATTATGAGCATGAATCACTGCACTTGACTGAGATTAATTTTAATATTATAGTTTATTTAATTTGGTATATCTTAAATATTATTCTTTCAACATATCATCAATTTAAAAGTTTTAAGATATTTTACATTCCTTTTTTTGGTGTGAAACCCTTGAAAGCCAGTATGTATTTTACACTCATGGCAAGTCTCAGTTTGGACTAACCACATTTCAAGTGCTCAGTAGCCACATGTAGCAAGTGGCTATGTTATTGGAAAGTACAATCCTAGAGCATGATATTCTCTAGAAATTTTCCAGAGCTGCATCCTGACTTTTTGTTTTGTTTTATTTTATTTTATTTTTTTGAGATAGCGTCTCGCTGTGTCTCCCAGGCTGGAGTGCAGTGGCACGATCTCGGCTCACTGTAACCTCTGCCTCCTGGGTTCAAGCGATTCTCCTCCCTCAGCCTCCTGAGTAGCTGGGACTACAGGTGCGCGCTGCCACAACCAGCTAATTTTTGTATTTTTAGTAGAGATGGGGTTTCACCATGTTGGCCAGAATGGTCTTGATCTCTTGCTGACTTTTATTTTTAAAAATTGCCCATGAACCACCTTTAGCTTAAGAAATAAAATATCATCGATGCAGCCCCTCCCATCTGTTTCTCCCTTATTCTATCCCTCTTCCTCTCTTCCAGAAGTAACCACTCTCCTGAATTTATTTATTCATTCCCATGCGTTTCTTTGTGCATATAGCCATTCTGTTTGTTTCTAAGCTTTATTGAAAGAGCATCATATGGTGGATCTTCTTCTGCAAGTTGTTTTTCTCTCATGGAGATTTATCCAGGCATAGCTCCAGTTTATTAATTTTCATAACTGTTTAATATTCCATCCTATGAATAGCTCCCAGTCTTTGCTTCAAGTCTTCTTCTGATGGATGTTCAGGTTGATTCCAGGTTTTTGCTACTTCAGACAATGCTGCCTGTGAACATTCTTATGCATGTCTCAGGGGCAGGTGGCTGCAATTTTTTGTAGCACATATTCCTAGGACTGGAGTTGCCGAGTCATAGCCTATGAGCACCTCCAAATTTATTAGATATTGCCAAGTTGCTCCCCACAGTGGTTTGTTCTCCCACAAAGTACAGGTAAGAGTTCCTGGAACTCCACATCTCACCCATGCTTGGGGCTGCAGCCTTAGCACTTTTGCCCCTTTGACGGGCATCCTCTTACCTTGGCCCTCTCAGATGACTGCAAACAGAAAGGTGGAGCAGCTACAACAAGAATACACGGAAATGAAGGCTCTCTTGGACGCCTCAGAGACCACCTCGACAAGGAAGATAAAGGAAGAGGAGAAGAGGGTCAACAGCAAGTTTGACACCATTTATCAGATTCTCCTCAAGAAGAAGAGTGAGATCCAGACCTTGAAGGAGGAGATTGAACAGAGCCTGACCAAGAGGGATGAGTTCGAGTTTCTGGAGGTAGGTCGCCACAAGGCATTGTTGAATGTTTTTTTTTTTTTTTTGCCTGATGTCATGCTGTTGATGATAGGGCCCTCAAGGAGCGGGAGACTGGAAGAGGTCACTGGAAGCATCCCTGAGACACACGCTGTATTAGTTTTCTGAGCTGGGCAACAACTTACCACAAATGTAGGGGCTTCAAAAAACACATATTTATTCTCTCAGAGTTTCTCTGGCTCAGGAATCTGGACATGGCTTTATGGGTGGCCTGCATAGGGTCTCACCAGGCTACAGTCTGCGAGGGATGGCCAGGCTGTTTCCTTTGGAGCTCAGGGTTGTCTTCCAGGCTCATGTGGTTGTTGGCAGAATTTAGTTCCTTATGGTTGTAGGACTGAGGCCCCCCGCAATTTCCTGCTGGCTGTCTCTCAGATTGATAGCTGACTTCTTCAAGGCCAGCATGAGAATTTCTCCTCTAGAAAGATGCAATCCCTCTTTTAAGGTCTTTTACCTGATTAAGTCAGGCCCACCCCAGATAATTGCCCTTTGATGAACTCAAAATCAATTGATTTGAGATGCTAATTACACCAGCAATATTCCACCCCCTTTGCCACATGACATAACCTAATCACAGGAGTGATATCCTATTTCATTCACCGTCCTGCCGATACTGAAGGGGAGGGCATACTATAGGGTATGTACATCAGTCGGGGTCGGGGGCTTGAGGGCCATCTTAGAACGTTGCCTGCCACTCACACTCCACCTCTTCCTCCCATCCTTCCTCCAGCAGCTCCTGGAAGTGTGTGTTAGTAGTCCCTTTTGCATTGCTATAAAGGAGTACCTAAGACTGAGTTATTTATTTATTTTATGTATTTATTTTGAGATGGAGTTTCACTCTTGTTGCTCAGGCTGGAGTGTAGTGGTGTGATCTTGCTCACTGAAACCTCTGCCCCCAGGCTCAAGTGATCCTCCTGCCTCAGCCTCCTGAGTAGCTGGGATTACAGGCGCACGCCACCATGCCCAGCTAATTTTGTATTTTTAGTAGAGACGAGATTTCACCATGTTGGCCAGGCTGGTCTCGAACTCCTGACCTCAGGTGATCCACCCACCTCGGCCTCCCAAAGTGCTGAGATTACAGGTGTGAGCCACTGCGCCCAACCAGACTGAGTAATTTATAAAGAAAAGAGGTTTATTTGGCTCACAGTTCTACAGGTTGTACAAGCATGGCACCAGCATCTGTTTGGCTTTTAGTTAGGCCTTTGGTGAGGAAGGAAGCTTTTACTCATGGCAGAAGGTGAAGCTGGGAGCAGGCATGTCACAGGGTTAGAGAGGGAACAAGAGACAGAGGAGGAAGTGCCAGCCTCCGTTAAACAACCAGTTTGTGCAAGAACTCACCTGTTACCATGGGGAGGGCACCAAGCGGTGCATGGGGAATCCACCCCCACGACACGAACACCTCCCACCCTGCCCCACCTCCAACACTGGGAATCACATTCCAACATGAGATTTGGAGGGGACAAACATCCAGACTGTATCAAAGTATCTGTCTAAAGCATGGGCCCCCTGCTGTTTCTGGCCTCATGTCCCTTAACATGGCCTGCAGGGTCCTAGGTGACTGGGCCCCGCCTGTGCCAGCAGTCTCATCTCATATCATCCATCCCTGGCTCATGCCCTATGCACTCACTGTTCCCCAGACACAGTGGGTGTGGGTGGGATGCCATGCTGGGCATTCTTGCCTAGTGAGTCGTATCCTTCCAGGGCCTTGGATCCCATTGCCATGCCGTATCGGTGTTCCCAAGCATGCCACACTGTTTCTACAGTAACATTGGGTGATGTTGTTTCAGATGTGCATTTTTTCATGGCTGTTTTGACTGTAAGCCCATCTCTTATTACCCCCATTCATCCTCCTGCCAATCTGACCAGCACATAGCAGAGTGCTTGGCATATAGTGGTGTGCCCCATTGATTGAGTGACCTGCAGCTATACCTGAAAGACCCAGATTCCTTGTTCAGATCAGGGGGTGGGGAGACAGTGCAGGAGTGAATGGGAACCTTGTCTCTGTGCACTGAGGCCTGATGCGTGCCTAGTCTGGATGGCGTTAAGTTTCATCCCAAGTGTTCATTCCTGTCTGTTGGAGCAGCTGCCCCGAGCTCTCGAAGGATCTGAGTGCACATCTAGGCTTCTTGATACTGTACAACCCTATTTTTCTCAAAGTTTGGGACTTCCAGGAAGACCCTCCCTTCCCATAAGATATTCCCTGGCTGCAATCCACATCCCTTGAGATGTCCCTGTCTGTTACCAGAATGTGTGATTAGAGCTGTTCCCCTAGGATTGGGGTGGTCCTGAGTTTCCTGTGCTTTTCCACCTTTAGCTGGAAAAGTGGAAAGAACATTGTCCTGGGGGATCGGAAGATCTCAGTCCCAGCTGTGTCTGTGCCCCTAGCTGGTGGAGTTCCTGCCATGTCTAGACCTCAGTTTCCCCATCTGTAAGATGAGTGACCTCTGGGGTCCCCTCCAGCTCCAGATTACTGTGTCTTCAAGTGTCATTTAAACTCCTGGTGACCTCTGGCCTGTAATTTGAGAAGGCCAATTGGACTTAGCACTCTTGGGCATAGGGGAGAGCCTCCTGGGGTTGGTGAGGACTGAGCCCAGGTCCCCGTTTCACCAGAGCTGCCTGCACTAACCCCCTGGCATGTTCCAGAAAGCATCAAAACTGCGAGGAATCTCAACAAAGCCAGTCTACATCCCCGAGGTGGAACTGAACCACAAGCTGATAAAAGGCATCCACCAGAGCACCATAGACCTCAAAAACGAGCTGAAGCAGTGCATCGGGCGGCTCCAGGAGCCCACCCCCAGTTCAGGTGACCTTAGCAGCCCCCTATGCTGCCCCCTGTGGAACCCTGCAACCCGATGGGTCCCCTAAATGTTTTGGGATGGGAGATTGGGGCGTGATCCCGAGCACTGGGGCCTGAGTTTCAGGGCTCCTGAAACATCCGCCCTCTGTCTGGAGGCTGGTGGGGAGTCTGCTTCATCCTGACATTTTAGGATCTTTCCTAAAGCATTTTTGGGGACTTGATGTTAATGCTTGGACTTTCTGGACAGATAGGCTCTTTTGGCCTGTGATCTTGAGGCCAACTTGGATGGGTTTTGAATAAGCTAGGGCTTGTTATTGTGTTTGGTGGGGGAATGGCCCGTTTGGGGGAGAAATCTAGAATTCCTCTTTGACACCCCCTTTTCATCACCCCATATCCAATCCATTGCCAAATTTCACTTCTTTCAATCTCCTGACTCAGTCTGCTGATCCTAGCACTGCTTGCCTGTTCTCCATTGCCATCACCTGTCGCCCCATGACTGTAGCAGCTTCCTAAACCCTCTGCATCTGCCGCTGCAGCCAGAGAGGGATTTTCATGATGCAGAGCTCATGTCCTGGGACCTATTCTGCTTTGCCCTCTCACTAGGCTTCCTATTACTCCCTGATGCAGACCAAACCCTTGACCCTGGTCTAGATGCCAGGTCAAGCCCTGTTGGTCTCTCTCCAGCCCCAAGGCGCCCCCCACTCTCCTCTGGTGCATCTCTCTGCATTCAGTTCCTCAAATATGCAAAACTTCCTGCTACAGGGCCTTTGTGTTTGCTCTTCCCCACTCTCCAGAAGGCTTGAACTCCACCGTCTTCACTAATTAACTCCTCTCACCCTTCAAAGATCAGCAAAACATTACATTTATAGCCAGCCTCCCCTGCCACTGCTCCCACTCCTCAGACTGGGCCCAGGGTCCTTGTCATCCTCTTGGGACTCTTGCATGGGTAGTATCGCATTCTTCCTTGGGATCCCCGTATATCTCCCTCATTAGGTTGTGATCTCTGTGAGGTCAGGGGCTGCGGCTTATTTATTTATTTATTCAGGATCTTGCTCTGTCGCCCAGGCCGGAATGCAATGGCGTGATTATAGTTCACTGTAACCTCAAACTCCTGGGATTAAGTGATCCCTCTGCCTCAGCCTCCCGACTAGCTAGGACTATAGATACACACCATCATGCCCGGCTAATTAAAAAAAAATTTTTTTTTTTTTGAGACGGAGTCTCGCTCTGTCACCCAGGCTGGAGTGCAATGGCCCAATCTCTGCTCACTGCAACCTCTGCCACCCAGGTTCAAGCATTTCTCCTGCCTCAGCCTCCTGAGTAGCTGGGATTACAGGCATGTGCCACCACACCTGGCTAATTTTTGTATTTTTAATAGAGACATGGTTTCACTACTTTGGTCAGGCTAGTCTTGAACTCTCGACCTCAAGTAATCTGCCTGCCTCAGCCTCCCAAAATGCTGGGATTACAGGCGTGAGCCACCGGGCCCAGCCTAAAAAATTTTTTTTGTAGAGCCAGGGTCTCGCTAAGTTGTCCAGACTGATCTTGAGCTCCTGGCTTCAAGTGATGCTCCTGCCTTGGCCTCCCAAATCATTGGGATTACAGGCTTGAGCCACTGTGCCTGGCCTGTCTGATTTTTCTTCAACGCTATTTCCCTAGTGCCTAGCACAGAGCCTGGCCCATAGTAAATCTCTGTTGTGTAGTCCAAGATTGGGCTTGAATCTCAGCTTGGCCTGCCGAGTGTCCTTGCAGAAGGGCTTCTGAAATCGGTGGCGGTGCAGCCCCATTGTGGAAGTGCTGCGTGGGGGCAAAGCTATAGGTGGCTGGTATGTGGGAGGAGGGGAGAGAAAGAATAGTGGGAAAGGAACAAGTGTTGACCCAGCCTCCGCTACATGACCTTGATCTCATTCAGGAGTCACATCAACCATGAGCAAGGTGAAGTCATCCCCATTGTGTGCTCGAAGAAACCAAAGCTCAGAGAAGTCTCAGAGGCCACAGAGCTGGGTGCTGGTGGAAAAAAGACTTGGCCCTTGCTACATTTTAAAAAGTCAGAGAAAAAAGGGAATACACCAAACTGGTTCTTAGATCACCTTGTTTGTAGCTCTTGTAAGCGATGGGATGGGGAAGGTCGGAGGAAATGGCTGTCTGTGTAAACCCTCTGCCTGCCCACCGACCCATGGCAAAGCTGGCTGCTAGGGTCAGTGAGAGGAGCCGCACACACTGAGCCCTTCTTCTCTGACACAGGTGACCCTGGAGAGCATGACCCAGCGTCCACACACAAATCCACACGCCCTGTGAAGAAGGTCTCCAGTAAGTAGCCCCACCCCTGTCTCCATGGCAACAGCATGGCTGTGGCCTCCCCAGGCTCTGGCCAAGTCACTTCCGGCCCATCCCGAGTCACTGTGGGGCCTGGACCTCAGTGGGAAAGAAGTTGGTGGCAGTCCCCACTGCGGGGGGCTGTAGGGCTGTGGCAGAAGCTCCGCTGTCCATCAGCATTGCACGTTTGGGCTGCCTGGAACAGCAAGATGCCTGAGGCTGGCTTGTTTTGAGAAATATTTACTATACCCAAGTCCTTGGGCAGAGCCTTGGGCAAGGAGACTGATGGCGGTCCAGGAAGGGTGGAGGCTAAACCTCCTTGGCATCTCAGCAGTGTTAAGTCTCTGGGTTGTAATGGGCTTCTGCTATTACCATGTTTCTCAACTGTTTTTTTTTTTTTGGTTTCTCACTGTTACCCTCCTCCTGCTCATCCCCAGAACCATTTGAGAAAATTTTTTTCCTAATTACAACCCATGAAATTTTAATACCACCCATCTACTGCATAACTGTTTATGTTTGTGCTTTTACACATAAAAAGAGTAATCTTTTTTACTCCCCCTCCCCCAAGGATCCATTTTTGCCCTCCTAGGGGTACTATCCCCCTCATTGGGCAGGCACCTGCCATTGACATGGGGGTTGAGGAGAAGAGTGGTCCTGTTCTGCAAATGTGGACAATAGTGATATCGAGGCCACAGGATGATTCTGAGTGATGAGGGGACACTGATTGTGAGAGCTCTTTATGAGCCATATACCACTGAGATGTCCATATACCACTGAGATGTCCATATACCACTGAGATGTCCATATACCGCTGACATGTCCATATACCGCTGAGATGTTCATATACTGCTGACATGTCCATATACCGCTGAGATGTCCATATACTGCTGACATGTCCATATACCGCTGACATGTTCATATATCGCTGAGATGTCCATATACCGCTGACATGCCCATATACCGCTGACATGTTCATATACCACTGACATGTCCATATACCACTGAAATGTTAGCTGTCATTGCTTCCCTGAAAAGTTGGTGTGAACCCAGGAGGGCTGGCTGCACACTGCTGGTGTTGGGGGGATGAGAGAGCCAGGGCTTGCTCTTTGTTGTTGTTGCTTGTGCTTAGTGTTCAGGTCACCTGTAGCAGGCAGAGTGTGGTATCGGTCCCCGAATGGAACAGAGTCAGGGCTGGGATGCCTGGTGCAGATGGAGGAGGGAGCCCTTAGCTGGGCCGGAAAACCTCGAAGGGTACTTTGTGTGAAAAGAGGAGTGAAAGAGGAAGTGGAAAGGTACTGTTGACCTGTGTCCTTCCCCAGTCACCTTCCTCTGAAAGCTCCTCCCTTAGTATGAATGAGGTAGGGATGCCGGCCAGCAGGCAGGTGTGTTCCCCAGTGAGGTGAGGTCCTCATGTCACAGCAGAATGACACCCTGGAGAATAAAGTTCGGGAATGAATCAAGGCTCCTCTAGGCTGAAATGGGGAAATAGGGGAGGGGGTATGGAGTAGTCCCAGTGCAGAGAGATGTCTAAGGGTAGGTGATGAGGGAGGTGCCTGTGCCCTAGATTGATGTCACAGCCTGGGCCTCCCAAGATGCTGGTCCACAGGGAGTGGGTGGGAAAGTGGCAGAAGGGGAGGAAATGGGAGAGTGAGCGACTGTGAGTGATGTGACTTCGAAGTAGGAGAAGCGGTAGCAAGGGGGCTTTGTGGTGTGATGGGGGTCTGGGGGAGGGAGAGGGTAATAGGAGAGAGCAGGGCTTATCTGTAATGTCAGGTGTCCTGCAGGTGGGCAGGGATATGATTTCAAAAACGCCCCTTTTTGTTCCAGTGTTGTGGAAGGTGGCAAAGAAGGAAGCTGGGATCTTCTAGCCCACTTGAGTGGACTTTGGACTCACCTGGAGGGCTTGTACATCACAGATTGCTGGGTCTCACCCCCAGCCTTTATGATTCAGTGGCTCTGGCTTGGGGCCCAAGAATTTGCATTTACTATTTTTTAAGAGACAGAGTCTCGCTCTTTTGCCTAGGCTGGAGTGCAGTGGTGCGAACAGAACTCATTGCAGCCTCGAACTCCTGGGCTCAAGTGATCCTCCTACCTTAGCCTCTTGAGGAGTTAGGACTGTAGGCATGTGCCACTAAGCCAGGCTAATTAAAACAATTTTTTTTTTTTTGTAGAGACAGGATATTGATATGTTGTCCAGGCTGATCTTGAACTCCTGGCCTCAAGCAATCCTCCTACCTCAGCCTCCCAAATTGCTGGGATTACAGGAGTAAGCTACAGTGCCTGACCAATAATTTGCATTTCTTAGGGGTTCTCTGGTGATGTCACTGCAGCTGGCTTGGGCACCAGACTTTGAGAACGACTATTTTAGCCAAACTCAGTTCCTGTAGGTAGACACTCCAGATATTTTTAAAAGACTTGGCAAGCATTTTTTTTTTTTTTTGAGACAGGGTCTCATTTTGTTGCTGAGGCTGGAGTGCAGTGGCAAGAACACAGCTCACTGCAGCCTCATCCTCCTGGGCTCAAGCAATTCTTCTGCCTCACCTCCCAAGTAGCTGGGACTACAGGTGTGTGCCACTAGGCCTGGCTAGTTTTTTCTTTTTTTTTTTTTTTGTAATTTTGTAGAGATGGGGTTTCCCCATGTTGCCCATGCTAGTTTCTAACGCTTGAGATCAAGTGGTTCCTGCACCTTGGCCTCCCAAATTGCTGGGATTCCAGGCATGAGCCACCATGCGCCCAGCCCTTGGCAAGCATTTTTTTTTTTCTGATTCCCTATTTGGTTTTTGTGTTTTTTCCTTTATGGAAATATAATTTACCTGCAGTAAATCTCTTTTTTCCCTGCAGTAAATCTTAAATGTGCAGTTAGATCTATTTTGACAAATGCATACATGTGTTACCATTGTTCAAATCAAGATAAAGAATTTCCCTTTCTCCAGAAAATTCCTTCATGCTCCTTATTAGTCAGTCCCCGCCCCCACGACCGCTCATGCTGGTTTCTATCACTATAGATTCATTTTGCCTGCTGACTCCTTCTGTTTTTCAAATTAAAACATCCTTTTATTTGTCTGGGTCAAATTCATGCACATGAATGTTATTATTTTGAAAATGTCATTGTGTTGTGCCTTAAAAGAAATTAAATCTGAAAACTTTCTTTTGCAGAAGAGGAAAAGAAATCCAAGAAACCTCGTAAGTTATGCATTTCTGCAACTGTTCGTTTCTTGAGACTGCCCGAGCACAGAACTAAATGCTGGTAGTGAGAGTCGACCTCTCTCATCAGGGTTCTGTGATGGGTTCTATATGATTCCATTCTGTAATGGCAGCAGGCCTGAGGCTGGAGGGGAGGACAAGCATAAGTGAGATGAATAAGGTGACTTTAGCCTTGTCTGTTTTCCCCTGTGTTGTCCTGCTGTTCAGGCGTGTGTTTGTAGAAGTGGCTCTTAATCAGTGTGGAAGGGAGTAGAGGCCATCCCGTTGCTCTGTATCATATTTCCCTTTCCTTACCCCCAGCCCCTGTCCCTGCCTTACCCAGCAAGCTTCCCACGTTTGGAGCCCCGGAACAGTTAGTGGATTTAAAACAAGCTGGCTTGGAGGGTAAGTTATCATGGGCAAGGAGCTTTGGGGTGTCCACTCTGAGTTTGTTCTGCAAATCACTCTCTGTTTCCTCTCCCAGCTGCAGCCAAAGCCACCAGCTCACATCCGAACTCAACATCTCTCAAGGCCAAGGTGCTGGAGACCTTCCTGGCCAAGTCCAGACCTGAGCTCCTGGAGTGTGAGTAGCTTCGGGGCTGGTGCGCGGTTCCACTGGTTCTGTCTCTCCTGCGCCGCTCTGTGCAGCTCTCTGTGAGGCCAGCTGGCCGGCTATATCAGCCACTCCCCTTCACTTGTCCTCTACTTTGTTGCTCCCTTATTTTCTCCCAGTCATCAGTGCCTTTCTTTACTTTTCCTAACTAGCTCAGATTTCACAATCGGTCCTTTGACTCTCCCTCTTGCCGTCTAGTCTGGCCCAATTGAGCTCACCTTTCTCTGTGGGTCGGCGCCTGCATGTCCTCTGCAGAGAAGGCAGGGCGATTGCGGTCACCGGCCTTCACCGGGCGTCCCGTTGCCGGCATGCCTGCCCTGCATCTCCTGTCTCCTCCCCACCACTCTCCAGAGCCACCATTCCCAAGACTTCCCACTGGCCATAGCTCCATCCTTCTCCCTGTCCCGCCCACCTTCTGCTTCACGAAAAAGACAGACACTGTAGAAGGGGCTCCCCCTGCTCTGTTATTGACATCGCATCTGCATCTACTGTGCCCCCTTCCTCGCCTCCTGGCCCCTTTCCCAAGACCCCCTGGCCCTGGGCTCTGGAGTCTGCTCCCCACACGCTCTCTGGAATCTTCTGCTCTCTCTTAGGCCTTTCCATTCCCATCTCTTCACCCTCAGCATCTCTACCTAGGCTTGCCTATCTGTAGCACGTTTACATCTCTCCAAATCACAAAAACAAACCTAGCAAAACTGTCTCAGCTGCAGCTCTGTTTCCTGCCTCCCTTTCACCCGAATGCTTGTTAAAAATACAAATTACTAGCTGGGTGCGGTGGCTCATGCCTGTAATCCCAGCACTTTGGGAGCCCGAGGCAGGTGGATCACCTGAGGTCAGGAGTTCAAGACCAGCCTGGCCAACATGGCAAAACCCCATCTCTACTAAAAATACAAAAAATTAGCCGGGCGTGGTGGCACATGCCTATAATCCCAGCTACTTGGGAGGCTGAGGCACGAGAATCACTTGAACTTGGGAGGTGGAGGTTGCAGTGAGCCGAGATTGTGCCACTGCACTCCAGTCTGGGCAACAGAGCGAGACTCTGTCTTAAAAAACAAACAAACAAACAAAAAACCCCAAAAACCAAATTCCTGGGCCCTGTTCTAGCCCTACAAGATCAGACTCAGGCAAGCACGGAAAGCTGTATGTTTAGCTCATTTCCTCCATGATCCTTTTGAGGACAGTTGGGGAAAAGCAGCTCTGCAGATTTTCTACATTGGTGGCTCTCAACTGTGGCTGCGTGTTGGAATCCTGGGGAGCTTTTTAAAATCCCCGATGCCCAGGCTGTCCCCCAGACTGGTTCATTCAGAATGTTGGTGTTTGGCTGCCCAGGGTTGCAATGTGGGGCCGAGGTGGGAGCCTGAAGTCTAATCCTCGTGCCACTGCATTCTGACCTCTGTCCTGCCCTTGACCCAGGCAGCTCTGAGGTCATCAGGGTACTCCGTGTCACAAAATCCAGGGACGCCTTTCAGCTTTTATTTAGCTTCACCTGTCAGTGGCATTCCTCCTCCTTCTGACACTCTCTCCCCTTGCCGCTTGAGCTGCTATACCCCCCTGGGTTTCCATCCACCCCTCCTTTGCAAGCTCGTCCAACCTGGAAGTGGGTGGAGTTCCGTTGTCAAGGCCAGGCCTAGGGCCCTCCCACTTTCCGTCTTCTTGTTTCTTCTGCACCCACGTGCAACACTCCAGGCAGCACCTGCCAGTGGTACCCACTTCCATGTGGAGGCCAAAGCCAATCACTGAAAAATATAGCCCTTCCTTTATCATAAGCAGCTGCAGCAGGCTTGGTGGGGATCTGTGGGTCCCTTGCTTTTTCAGGGCTGGCCTTCTTGTAGCCCTCCGCTGTCCCTGCCCCCCAAGAGAGGCCCAGACCAGCCCTGGGCTGCAGCTAACTCTTGCCCAAGCTGCTAGCGGCGGTGCTGAGCCACGTCTTTCAGGAGCTGCTGTGCACTCTGTGGCAGCCGCATAAACAGGGAAAGTAAAATTCTATCAACTTAGGGCCTTTTCCACCCCCAGCTTATTCATTTTGCCTTGGGGGAAACTCGGGCTCCAGTGAAAAGTGTCATGCCCTGAGCCACCTAGCAAATGAGTGCCTCGCTTGGCTCCCTGCTGCCCACCAGTTAAAGTCTAGCCTCCTAAGCCCTTCCCTTTCTAGCCCCAACATGTTTCCCTTCTCCTGCTGCATCTGTGTTCCCAGCCACCCAGCTTCCCCGATCCCAGCACATGCGAATCCCCTTGGCACTCCGTGGCTTCACTCTCACTGTTCCCTCTGTCTGGAACAGCTTTTCTCTCTCTGTTCTCCTCTGTCTAGTTCTCATCTTCTGTTACTTGGCTCCAATTCCAGCCTGCCAGTGAAATGTTCCCCAACTGTAGCATCAGTTGCCTTGTCTCTGTGTCCCTACAGTGTGTGCTTACCCTTTTGGCAGAGTGTGAGTCTCATGGTGTTGTTACTGATGGACTTGCCTTGCTTGTTGGAGTGTGAACTCCATGAGGCCCGGCACCTTGTCTCTCTGGTTCATGGTTGTGCATCTTGTGCCAGAATCTGGTGTCAGTCAGGTGCCTGGTAAATGGTTTTGGATGGATGAATGGACAGACATACGGATGACTGATAGATGATAGATGGCTGGCTGGCTGGACAGAATGGATGGATGAATGGATGGATAGATGAGCTGATGAATAATGGATGGGTGGATAGATGGGTGGATGGATAAATGGACAGATGGATAGATAAGTGGATAGATTAATGAATGAATGAATGGATAAATGGAAAGGCAGAAGGATGGATAGATAAGTGGATAGATGGATGAATGGAAGAATGGATAGATAGGTAGATAGATGGGTATATGGATACATGGGTAGATGGATAGATGGATGGATGGATACATGGATGGATTGATGGATACATGGATAGACAGATAGATGGATGAATAGACAGACAGATGGATAGATGAGTGGATGGATGGACCAATGGGTAGATGGGTGCATGGATGGATAAAACTAGTGAATAAATAGTACCACTTTGGCAAAGGTCTAAAAGAGCACTTTGGGCCCCTTGTAATTAATTCCTTGGGGTGATGTTTTCTCAGATTACATTAAAGTCATCCTGGACTACAACACCGCCCACAACAAAGTGGCTCTGTCAGAGTGCTATACAGTAGCTTCTGTGGCTGAGATGCCTCAGAACTACCGGCCGCATCCCCAGAGGTTCACATACTGCTCTCAGGTGCTGGGCCTGCACTGCTACAAGAAGGGGATCCACTACTGGGAGGTGGAGCTGCAGAAGAACAACTTCTGTGGGGTAGGCATCTGCTACGGAAGCATGAACCGGCAGGGCCCAGAAAGCAGGCTCGGCCGCAACAGCGCCTCCTGGTGCGTGGAGTGGTTCAACACCAAGATCTCTGCCTGGCACAATAACGTGGAGAAAACCCTGCCCTCCACCAAGGCCACGCGGGTGGGCGTGCTTCTCAACTGTGACCACGGCTTTGTCATCTTCTTCGCTGTTGCCGACAAGGTCCACCTGATGTATAAGTTCAGGGTGGACTTTACTGAGGCTTTGTACCCGGCTTTCTGGGTATTTTCTGCTGGTGCCACACTCTCCATCTGCTCCCCCAAGTAGGCAGGCTGTAGGCACTTGGGCTGACTGCCTGCAGAAGTCCCAAGACCCTAGTGAAAATACAGCAGGCAGAACTCTCCTTGGATAATTCCCCAAGAGGTCCCAAGGATTGGGAGCATGGGAGGGGAGCTGGCGGGAGGGTGGGAGGTGGGATTTAGCCAGGAAAGGGGTGAGAGTGATTGTGTTGTGGGCGAGGAGGCGTTTCCACCCCCTGGTGCCTATCAGGGCAGGGTGACCTACTCCCCATTGTTCTGGAAATCTCCAGGCTGCTGGGCAGCTGGGCAGAGCTCTGGGAAGTGAAGTCATGAGTGCCCGATTCCTCTTAGAGAAAATCCATAGCTACTGTAGGTTCTGTCTTGGGCCACTTGGATCTGAAGGCTGCCCCTTTGCTCTCTGGGGTAGCCTTCAGATCTTGGTGTTTTGAATTCTTACTATAGATGTTTTTAAAGTTCCAAAGTCATTGAGTTTCAATGTTACATAAACTCCATTACCCGCATGTTGGGGCTTGATCTCCTGGTTATTATCTGTGCTTGAGGAAACACCCACAGCAGTCTCTACCCAGAACAGTTTCCTAAAGAGGCATACCCTCTTCCTCCACTGGAAAATAGTGCGTTCCCTTCCTACCCTGCACACCCATCGCCCCCACATTGATGGTTTTCAAACAGCAAACTTTTCAGCTAAAGCTTCAAACCATGATTGGAATCAGCCTGTGTTGGATTTGTGATTCAGGGTCATGGTGACCCTGATCCAGTTTGGGTGGAAATCCTTCCTAAGTATCATAAGAAGCATCTTGGCAGAGATGCTTTGGTGGCAGCCATGAGCTTTGCTGGAGGCCTTGCTTCCCATAGCCTTGGCTGTGGGGCAAGGAACTCTGCCAGGCGAGGGGGATGCTGCCCTGGATCAACAGAAGCCTGGTGGGTTTGCTCGTGTTAGAGTGTCCTGCCTTCTTACTGACAACTCTTCTCGGTGATAGCCTCTCTTCCCTGGATTGTGACATATGGAATGACAGTGCAGGTACCACCGAGGCTAGCACAGTCAAGCCTCCAGCTAAGCTGGATCCCTGAAGCCTGCTATCATGCAGACAGGCTATGCGGCTGCCTCGGACCATGCTAGGCCACTTGCTGGGGTGTCAACCTACCACCAAAGGGGTCTTTTAGCAAACCTCATGGGGAACAGGAACATTCCTGTTCATCCCTGGCCACAGGCTGCAGACCCAGCACTGGCCCTTGCGTGAGTCAGAGCCTGGGGCTGGCCCTAGCCCCTTCTACTGACTTCCTCATTTAAGCCAATTATATAAGCTCACATTGATCAGGGAGGGAGGGAAAGAGCTAAAGAGGGTCACACAAGTGGCTATTTTCCCTGCAGTGTTTCTGTGTGGTGAAAATAACCCAGTCCACTAAGGGGCGGGAGTGAATGGATGGCTGGATTTTCCCCAAGCTCCTTATAGCCTAATGTTGTCAGGATGTGAGTATGAGGAATTTAGCCTCTTATAGTGAAATGAGTCCAACTCTGGGCTTTGCTTAGAGGAGAGCTCCTGTCAGGCTTCCTATAATATGAAAAGAAGTCACCATTGGGGAACTAGAGACCCCAGACCTTTTCATATGGATATTTGAGAATGTAATGCATCTCAGGCCTCGTGCTGGAACTCTAGGGCACTCTAGGCAGGCTCAGAACACTTGATATTCCTGACAGCTACACACCTGACATGCAGGTACATACCTGATCGGTGTCATCTCCTAACAAGGATTTTCAGTTCCTCGGGAGAGCAATAATCTTTGTAGGAAAGACATCCCTGCAATAGGTGATATGTGGTCCTTAGAAGTTTTATTCCTTTACTACTTGGAAGAAAAGTTCTTTGGTGATTCTTCTCTGCTTTTGAAGATGATCAAAAGCATCTTCATTGATTTTCTGAAACGAAAGCCTTGTCTGAAACCAATTAATACTTGGGAAACAGCTGGGCTTGGAGGAGTAGAATGCCAGAGATAAATCCATGGCTCCTGCTCTGGCTCTCTTCTGCAGAAATGAGGGCAACAGTGAGGCCACTTCCCTGGCAAATGTGCAGCTCAGGATAGGGAAGCATAAGACCCTCTGTTTAAAAGAGAGTCAAGTAGGTAACCAAAGCCAAGCTCTGTGCAAGGTGCTTTGGAGTTGTAAATTGAGGAGTGCATCCTTGCTGTCTTGAACCATTCTGTTTGCAATGGTGAGACCTTACATAACCTAGCCTTGCAGGGCCGCCACACAACCCTGGAGTCCTAGAGTTGGAGGAACCTTTGTATCCATCTGACTTCTCATTTTGCAGAATATGATGAGAAAGTAGAGGATCGCTCTGTTCACCACTCTTGCTATTCCATTAGTGGGGAGATGCCTGCTAGCATGTGTGAGGGGAACACTCTGATACACTGGGAAGTATCGGAAATTCCCAGAAACACAAACATAAAATAACTCTCCTAGACCCAGGTACTGGGGACTGTCTCAGTCCGTGTGGCATGATAAATAAAAGGTTAGGATCAAGTCTTTGTATTTTTCAAGATGTGGTAGCTGATTATTCCTGTTTTAAGTACTCTGAAATTGATCTGTGATCAATAATACTAATATGTTATCTTTTACCGTATTCTGCCTCTCACTATTGATTTTAATTAGTTAGGAGTATTTGAGCTGTTATTTCTTGAGCTTAATATTTTTTTAGAGTTAACTCTTTAAGGAGATAATCATGGCTGTAGACAAGGCCAGGGCTGGCTGACGTGCCTTAGAAGGTTTGAATGCAATAAAGCGGTGTTTGGCGTTCTCCTGCATTGTAGTGCGGGTACAAAATGCTATTTGTTCGTCATACTGTTGTCAGCAGATGAGCCGCCCACTACAGACGGCTACTGCCCAGGGACCTGCCCAGGCCCCACCCAAGGGCTCCCAAGGGTTGAGATTTCTGCAGACCTATAGCCAGCACACTTAGTCCTGCCCTATATAGAGTTCCTCTTCGGGAAGCTTTTGATAAGGAATTCTCAGACCGATAGGATGTCTGTCTGGGCTTTGCTGCGGGACAGTCTAACTGTGGGGGCTAGGGGAAAGCAGGAGAGTATCGATCAAAGAGTAAGCCACACACGGATAATCAGTTACTAGGGATGGAGGTGTGAGGGTTCATTATATTATTCATTTTACTGTTGTATATGTTTGAAAATGTCTATAATAAAAAGCTTTAAAAAAAAAAAAGAAACAAAAATAGTTCAGGCCAGCAATGGGCCCTCCATGTTCAGTGGATTTTATCCTTGTTTCAATTGGGGTAGGAGTTCCAGGAGGTGTGGATTGGAGGTTGTCTAAAGAATTGAACTGGCCTTTGTCCCTGCTTCCTGGGAGGGAGACTTTCAGTCCTTGACATTTCCAGGGTAATAGGAGTGTCTTTGTTATTTGTGAGGCCATGGGATCACACCTGAGCTTATGCTAAAAGGTGGGATGACTCAGAGCTGGGGCTGGTCACCAGACAGACTGACCATGTGATTAGAGGTTTGAGGCTTTGAGTCAGCCTGACCTATGGGGCGGGGGACTGGAGGCTGAGTTTAATCATCTGGCCAGTGCTTTAATCAGTACATCATGAAACCCTAATAAAAACTCTGGACACTAAAGCTCAGCATAGCTTCCTGGGTGGTGAAGCTGTGGCTATGCCGGCAGGGCAGTGTGCCCTAATTCCACGAAGAGGGGGCATGGGAGCACTGTGCTCAAGACCCTTCCAGACCTTTCCCTGTGTCTTCCTTGGCTTGTGGAGCTGATTTGTATCCTTTATAATAAAACTAATCATAAGTATAGTCCTGAGTTCTGTGATTTTTAGTGAATCATTGAACCTGAGGAAGATCATGGTACCCTCCTGGGATTGTAGGCAGTTGGTCACAAGCGCTGATGGCCTGGGATCCCCACATGGGGCTGGTGTCTGAGGTGAGGGCAGCCCTGTTGGGGACTATGTCCCTTCGCTGGTGGCATCTGATCTAACTCTGCTGGTCGTTGTTAGAATTGTGGTGCGGTACACCAGGTGGTGTCAGAACAGAGGCGGTGGGATCTGCACACCTTGAGTAAGCCCTTCTCGACCAGCCTGTTGGAACAAAACACACTACTCTTCATGGGAGCCTCCTGAGTTTCTTCTCACCTGTGTGAAGTCCCCTTTGTTTACTGTCCTGAGTTTTGTTCTCGCTCATCTCCAACCCCTCTTGTAGTTTTTTCTTCCTCACTGTCACTGTAACCATAAAAATACTCAGTATGTCAGTGATAGACTTGTCTTTCTATTCAGAGATGACTCTTCAACTGTCCGGGGACACTTTTTTCCAATAAAAAGTTCAGGATGGTAATTTGTGACTCCTTACTAAAGGCAAGCTGGGAGTGCGTGTGTGTGTGTGTGTGCACGCATGTGTGGTTTTTAAGTCATTTGTGGTCTGCTGGGGTGACCCATGGGCTAAGTTTGGACTTGCTCATAGGTTTTACATCTGTTTTCTCATCAGTTCCCAGGCAGTCTTGAAATGCCATAGCATCATGAATAACCGAAGGATCTCCAACCGTTATTGACCTTGGAGTTGCAGTCTACCTGTATTTTATTGTAGATCAATTCCAATACATAAAATACAGGAAGACTCTAAAAAAGCAAATCAAAGAGTGAAGGGGAAATGATACATTTAAAAAGCCTATTTTAAAGGGGGCAATTTGGAATAAATGCACACACAAAATGGGTCCTTTTGCTGATGCCTCTGCTGCCTTATTGAGCTGTATGTCCTTATTCCAGGCACATCTCCTTTCTGAGTCTTAACTTTGCCTGCATTAAAGGTTCCATGAGGACCAGATGAAATTTTTGAGGTAAAAATAGGTCGACATTTAAAATATGGTGCATGTGATTACTCTACCTTCTCTACATACCCATACACACACCTGCATTTTGAGGGAAATCTAGTTGGGGGCTGCCTTGGGAACTAGGACACAGCATTATAGCCAAAGGGCCTTTTCTCTTAACCAAGGCATGTTGGCATTGCCACCACTCCCTTCTTGGGGTCACATTCTCCACAGAGTTCCTGCACCCAAGGGCTGTTGACATTAGGTGAGCCCCACCTACTCCCTTCCCTTGTGTATTTGAACTTTGTTCTTCTCCTTTCTGCCTCACTATATCCCCTTCCTCCCTGCCAGCTTCCTGAGCTTGTTCCGTGAACCACAGACAAGCCATTTGCATGCCCAGGCTGTGCTGAGCCCTGTTTGCTGTCCTTGGCACCCTGTCCCTGATCTGGGATGGCAAAGCAGGCAGGTGTTCTCAGATGGCTTCTAGGGATCCAGCCACAGATGCCTCTCCCTGTCTTCCACCCCAAGACTCACTTCTGTTTTATCTGCCCCCTGGAGCTTCATCGATTTGTTTGTTTATTTATTTATTTTCTGAGACTCTAGCTCTATCACCCAGGCTGGAGTGCAGTGGCCTGATTTTGGCTCACTGCAACCTCCGCCTCCTGGGCTCAAGTGATTCTCCTACCTCAGCCTCCTGAGTAGCTGAGATTACAGGCATGTACCACCACGCCCAGCTATTTTTTGTATTTTTAATAGAGATGGGGTTTCACCATGTTGGTCAGGCTAGTCTCGAACTCCTGGCCTCAAGTGATCTGCCCCTTGGCCTCCCAAAGTGCTGAGATTACAGGCGTGAGCCACCGTGCCCAGCCTTCTTCATTGATTTGTTCATTGCCTAGCCATGAATTCAGCATGTGGAAGAAATGTTAATACTTTGAGGTAAACAGACAGACTAGGCCACCTAGAGAGCTGGTTGAGTTTCCCATCAATGGAGGTATAAAGATAAGTTGGACACGTGGTGGGGCACCCAGATCAGCTGTCCTTTTCTCTTAATCACTTCATTATTTTTCTAAGAATGATACATGGTTGATATGGGTAGGCTTTGTGTCCCCACCCACATCTCATCTTGAGTTGTAATGCCCGTAATCCCTGCTTGTCAAGGGAGAGAGCAGGTGGAGGTAACTAAATAATGGGAGTGGTTCCCCCATGCTGTTCTCGTGATAGTGAGTGAGTTTTCACAAGATCTGATGGTTTTGTAAAGGGCTCTTCCTGCTTGGCTCAGCACCTCTCCTTCCTGCTGCCTTGTGAAAAAGATGCCTTGCTTTCCCTTTGACTTCTGGCATAATTGTAACTTTCCTGAGGCCTCCCCAGCCATGCTGAACTGTGAGTCAATTAAACCTCTTTCCTTTATTAATTACCCACTCTCGGGCAGCTCTTTATAGCAGTGTGAAAACGGACTAATACAATGGTCATTATGAAGGAGTAAAGCAGGACAGAAAATTACAAATAAATCATCTCAAATGCTACCATCTGGAAAGAAATATGTCTCTTAGTGGATAAATAGATAAATGCATGCATAAATGATGTTATAAACATGATGGAGAGATGGCAGATAGGTAGAATGATAGATGGTCAGTGGTTTTTAATCCTTCTGGAATCACAGACGTCTTTGGTAATCTAACTATAGCATTGACTTCAGAACTCCCTCACCGGAACAACACATGCATACACATAGAACGCAGCTTTGCACAGTTTTAGGGGATTCATGAAAAGCTGCTGCCACAGAATGATTGATGCTCTTTGTCTAGTCCCATGAAAAGGTATATTTAATTTCATCATAGAAACAAAGAACAACTCAGCAAACATGGAAACAGTGTTATAGGCATGCAATATATTCACAACTAGGAGCAGCTGCCACATTGCCTGCCCCAAAGCACACACACCACATCCACACCCACAATCAAATGAGTGAATCAAGCAAAACCAGCTGCTCTGACCTTTTCCATGAATGTATATTTGCTACTTGTTCATTCGTTCTGTCATCTGCTGGCACTTGCTCTCTAGAAATGTGAAAGGTCATGAGCTCATCCAGGACTTGCTATCCTCCCTGCATTTAGACAGTTCCTACCCACCTGATGCTGGCCTGTCTGATGATGATGAGCCTCCCAATGCCAGCCTGCCCCCCGACCCGCCACTCCTCACTGTGCCCCAGATGCACAGTGTTTGTGACCAGTGGCTGCAGGATGCCTTCCACATCAGCCTCTGAAGAGCTGGGGGTGGGTGGGCATGCACCCATGCAAAAGGCTCAGAGACTCCCCCTTCCATAAGCCCTTAGACTGCAGTGCTTGTGCCTTTCCCCATACTGCCTCACCTCACAGGAGGGCCAGGCACCACTTGTATCTCTCAGATGCAAAACTGCCAACCCCTTTCTCCTGTCTTGGGTTGGCTGGCACTGGGGCGGGCACCTAGGGTATAGTCTCTGCCCATGGCACTGGGCCTCCATTTCTTCCACATATGTGTACCTCCAGCTTGGCCAACCCTCAGCCTGGCTGTGAGGCCCAAAGCATCTTCCCTTCCCCTTGGAGTCTCTGGGATTGGGATGAGTGTCTGGCTCCCATCTCCTTCTCCCCTTTTGTGGCTATTGGCAGCTGCTGGCTCAGGGGCATCCCACTTCCAGGCTCTGGGTTCCACTCTCAGGGAAGGGCTCTAGGACCCATTCCTACACCCACCCACGGCCAGGAGGGCCAAGGTCCCATGCTGGATATTTAAATTTAGAGGCTGGCTTCCAGGGTGCATAGATAAATACTCTCTCAGAGTCAAAAAAAAAAAAAAAAAGAAATGCGAAAGGTCAAAAAAAGGGATAGAAGAATGTTTCCAACTTAAGAGCATTCTATTGGCTATTTTAAATTATTTTCCTGTGAATTGGAGACAGATCAACATTGTAATATTGGGACAAAGCAGTGTGGTGTGTGAGGAAAAGCCCAGCTTCACCATTTCTGTGACCTTGGCAAGTTACTGTATTTCTCTATTTCCTCACCAACAGAATGAGTGTAATGACATCTTAGTGTTATGACACAACTAAACGAGACACAGTAAGCAGTTGACACAGTAAATGCTCAATGCTAGTGGTGGTTGTTATAATAATCATAGTCTAGGCAGCTTAAAGACAGTAATAAATAGGAAGTGCTACATTAATGCTAATTCCCTTAAAAAGCAATGTCAGTCAGTGTTCTGTGGGCACACAATGTGAGAACTATTGGGCTTTTTAGCAAGTTAACATAGGATGGCAAATAGTGCTGTGGCCAGCTTTGAAAAAATAAAATCTGCCCAACTCCCTCAGTCTCTTCATTCTCCTTGAACACTTTTTTTTTTTTCTTTTTTTTGAGTCAGAGTCTCACTCTTGTCACTCAGGCTGGAGTGCAATAGCGCAATCTCGGCTCACTGCAACCTCTGCCTCCTGGGTTCAAGTGATTCTTCTGCCTCAGCCTCCCGTGTAGCTGGGACTACAGGCACACGCCACCACACCCAGCTAATTTTCGTATTTTTAGTAGAGACGGGGTTTCACCATGTTGGCCAGGATGGTCTCGATCTCCTGACCTCGGGATCCGCCTGCCTCGGCCTCCCAAAGTGCTGGGATTACAGGCATGAGCCACTGAGCCCAGCCTGATTCCCCTTGAACACTTAATATACTGGTTTCAGATTGGCCAGCACCTATGTTAATTTACAATTGTTCTGTGAATTTACTATTGTCCTACTCTTGAGGATAGGGGAATGTTCATATGAAAAAAAAAACCACTCAGTTTGTAATTTTACATCACCCTTCTCTACATAAAAAAATTCACAGACAAAGATAGTATTTGACCTCTAATACCAATATCCATGTATTCATTAATAATATTGGATTATTAATCACCCTTTGATGTTACTGGTACCACCAGATGCACAACCCTTGAAATGGCGCGCAGAGTTAGTGTCACCTGTATAAAGCACAGAAACTAAGTTCTTAAAGTGCCCAACTAAATCAATTCTTCTTTAACAGAAATGACTTCCTTTTTTTAAAAAAAAGCTCAGAAACTTATCATTCCCACTTTATAAACTACTCACTGATTATCTCTTTATTTGTACAAGGCTGAAGGCAATTTGTGCTGTGTTTCCTTTTTGGATAATTATTTTTAAAAATAGAAATTGAAATTTACTAATGATTTAGGAAGTACAAACTATCATTAGTTGCCAGCAAAGCTAGGCCTGGTTCCGACTACTTGGAGGCTGAGGTGGGAAGACTGCTTTGAGACCACAAGTTTGAGTCCAGCCCAGGGCGACATCGTGAGACCCAATCTCTAAAAAGAAAAGAAATGTATGCCAGCAATGTAATCTTTTTGTTTGTTTGTTCGTTTGAGACAGAATCGCCCAGGCTGGAGTGCAGTGGTGCGATCTCGGCTCACAGCAACCTCTGCCTCCTGGGTTCAAGTGATTCTCCTGCCTCAGCCTCCCAAGTAGCTGGGACTACAGGCGCCTGCCACCACACCCAGCTAATTTTTGTATTTTTTTGGTAGAGACATGGTTTCACCATGTTGGCCAGGCTGTCTTGAATTCTTGGACTCAAGTGATCCACCCACCTCAGCCTCCCAAAGTGCTGAGATTACAGGCATGAGCCATGGTGCCCAGCCCAGCAATGTAACCTTAACAAATTATACAAGGTGTAAATTTAAAAAGCTTCTGCATTTATGTACTGGATGCAGTTGTTGCATGACTTTGTACTATTCGGTGAGCAGCACTTTGTTCTATGAACAGGAGCACTACCTGGTAGGTGGAGCAGTTTCTGTTTTGCTTTTTCTTGCCTATTCCTAATGGCTCATAATGAGACACTACCCCTTTATGTCCAACTGTTTAATATGCCTCAAGTCAGATTTCTTTAAAACATATTCTGACAATGGCACACATTGATTTTTCATCTGGCCCCTGTCTGGAGGGCAGCCAGTAACCAGTAACTGGGTTCAGCAGGGCACTGCTGTCCACTTTTAGGAATCCGTAGTCTCTATGACAGGGAAAAGGAGAGAGTACTAGAAGCCACCACTCCTGGCCTTATGTCAAGGCGGAGACTAAAAGAAGGTTAAAACAAGGCTGGGTGTGGGAGCTCATGCCTGTAATCTCAACACTTTGGAAGGCTGAGGCAGGTGGATCACCTGAGGTGGGTGGATCACCTGAGGTCAGGAGTTCAAGACCAACCTGGCCAATATTGCAAAACCCTGTCTCTACTAAAAATACAAAAATTAGCCAGGTGTGGTGGTTGGCACCTATAATCCCAGCTACTCGGGAGGCTGGGGCAGGAGAATCACTTGAACTGGGGGCGGAGGTTGCAGTGAGCTGACATCGTGCCACTCCACTCCAGCCTGGCCAAAAGAATGCAACTCTGTCTCAAAAAATAAAATATAATAAAAATAAAAATAAAACATAGATGCTGAAATTCTATTCCATAGTTGTCTTTTTTATATATATATATAATATATATAAATATATATATACATATATTATATATAAATATATATAAATATATATATACATATATTATATATAAATATATATACATATATTATATATAAAAATATATATATACATATACATATACAAATGCATATACATATACATATACAAATACATATACAAATATATATGAAGTTGTACATATTTCATATATACAATTGTATATATTTCATATATACAATTGTATATATATTTCATATATACAATTGTATATATATTTCATATATACAATTGTATATATATTTCATATATACAATTGTATATATATTTCATATATACAATTGTATATATATTTCATATATACAATTGTATATATATTTCATATATACAATTTATATATTTCATATATACAATTTATATATTTCATATATACAATTGTATATATATCTTATTTCATATATATACAATTGTATATATATTTCATATATACAATGAAAACCCTGCCAACTTGCAGAATCTGGTGTGGTCGGACAGTGACCCTGGTCACGGGTCATCTGCTGCTGCTATATTTAGGACAGCTGCTCCTCCAGGTAATTTTTCGTTTCCCCTACCCCTCAAGTATGCCTCTGTGGTTCCCCGCCTGGAACTCCAGCCACGATCCCCTCTGTCAGTACTACTGTTGCCAAACTGACATCAGTGAAGGGGTGACTGATTCGTTCAGTAAATACTTCTTGAGTGCCTACTGGGTGCCAGGCGTTGTCCCTAGATTGGGGAGACAGCAGTGAGAAAAGAAACCCAAATTCCTGCCTCCGTGGTGCCTACATTCTAGTAGAGGAAATAGACAACATTTTAGTCTAGGGAAAAGGGCCATAAAGAAAACAAAGCCAGTTAGGGGCATGGCATGATAGATACATGTGTGTGCTGGTCTAGCTAAGGCATTCAGGAAAGCCCTCTCTGATGGGATAACATTTGCTCAGTGTCCAGAATGAAGTGGGGAGAGGGTTAGACCATGCAAAGCTCTAGGAGAGAGAGAAGGCCCTGGGGCAGCAGTGTGCCTGGTATTTGAAGAACCCCGTGTGTGGTTTTAGGTTCTATTTTAAGTGTGGGGTGATGTAAGGAAGGGCACAGTTCCCTTCATCCTACTCTTTCACTTCCCATTAGAAAGTGAGCTCCATGAGTGCAGGAGTTTCATCTCTTCTGTTCGTTGCTGTTTCCTAAATACTCAGAACAATGCCTGGGACACAGGAGACACACCAGAGATGTTAGTCTAATGTGTCAATGCACATCGTGAACACAAGCCCAGCGTGCATGAGAGATGTGCTGTATGTCTGGGGTCAGCCAGAGGAATTTATAACAGAGGAGAAAAAGTAAAATTTAAAACCCGATGCTAGGTTGGGCATGGTGGCTCATGCCTGGAATCCCAGCTCTTTGGGAGGCTGAAGTGGGTGGATCACATGAGGCCAGGAATTCAAGACCAGCCTGGCCAAATGGTGAAACCCCGTCTCTACTAAAAACACAAAAATTAGCTGGGCATGGTAGTGGGCACTTGTAATCCTAGCTACTCGGGAGGCCGAGACATGAGAATTGCTTGAACCCAGGAGGTGGAGGTTGCAGTGAGCTTTGACTGTACCACTGCACTCCAGCCTGGGCAACAGAGCGAGACTCTGTCTCCAAACACACACACACACACACACACGCTAAATATAACCGTTCCCAGAGTCCTAAAGAAAAAATAGGCCAGGCATGGTGGCTCACGCCTGTAATCTCAGCAATTTGGGAGACTGAGGTGGGTGGATAACTGGAGCTCAACAGTTTGAGACCAGCCTGGGCAACATGGCGAGATCCTGTGTCTAAAAAAAATACAAAAATCAGCCGGTGTGGTGATGTGCATCTGTAGTCCCATGCCACCACCGTGGTGGCAGAGTTGCTTGAGCCTGGGAGGTCGAGTCTGCAGTGAGCTGAAATCGCACCACTGCACTCCAGCCTGGGCGACAGAGGGAGACCTTGTTTCAGCAACAAGAACAGAAATTTAGTCTGGCACCAGGAGGTTGAGTCTGCAGTGAGCTGCATTCCAGCCTCACTCTCTTTTTTCTTTTTTCCTTTTTTTTGAGACTGAGTCTCACTCTGTCACCCAGGCTGGAGTGCAGTGGCGCCATCTCCGCTCACTGCAAGCTCCGCCTCCCGGGTTCATGCCATTCTCCTGCCTCAGCCTCCCCAGTAGCTGGGACTACAGGCGCCCACCACCACGCCCGGCTAATTTTTTGTATTTTTAGTAGAGACGGGGTTTCACTGTGTTAGCCAGGATGGTCTCGATCTCCTGACCTCGTGATCCACCCGCCTTGCCCTCCCAAAGTGCTGGGATTACAGGCATGAGCCACCGCGCCTGGCCACCAGCCTCACTCTCACTCTCCATATATATAAAATAACTAAAAAAAAAACCAGATTCTCAAGCTCCACTCCCAGAGTTTCTGATTCAACAGGTTTAAGGTGGAGCTCGAAAATTCACAAATTCACATTTCTAGCAAGTTCTCAGGTATTGTTGAGGCTGCTGGTCTGGGAACTGCACTTTGAGAATCACTGGCCTAGAAAGACACCTTAAAAGACATCAACTGGTGCAGGGTGTGGTGGCTCATGCCTGTAATCCCAGCATTTTGGGAGGCCGAGGAGGGCAGATCACTTGAGGTCAGGAGTTCAAGACCACCCTGGCCAACATGGTGAAACCTGGTCTCTACTAAAAATACAAAACGTAGCCGGGAGTGGTGGCATGCACCTGTAATCCAAGCTACTCGGGAGGCTGAGGCAGGAGAATCGCTTCAACCCAGGAGGCGGAGGTTGCAGTGAGCCGAGATCGCCCCACCGCACTCCAGCCTGGGTGACAGAGCGAGACTCCATCTCAAAAAAAAAAAAAAAAAAAAAAGACATCCACTGGTACATAAAGGTGAGCCTTTGTGAATCAAATTTGGTTCCCCTTGAGGTCTCCCCCAAAGGGAGAAAGGGAAACAGTCCTCTCTGTGGCATTGCACGTGATGGAACTAGTATTCCTTGTGTATTATTCTCATTCCCTTTGCTTGCATTAAACTTCATTTCCCTTTCCTTTACTGATTATTTGTCATTTCATCCTCTGTCCAGTCTCCCCTAAAGGTGAGTGTTCTCCAAGGTCCAGGATCTCTGCTATTTTCACCTTAGCATTTTGCCCTTCAAGAATCCACCCACTTTTTTTTTTCTTCTTCTTCTCCTTCTCCTTCTTCTTCTTCTTCTTCTTCTTCTTCTTCTTCTTCTTCTTCTTCTTCTTCTTCTTGTTCTTCTTCTTCTTCTTCTTCTTCCTCTTCTTTCTTCTTCTTCTTCCTCTTCCTCTTCCTCTTCCTCTTCTTTCTTCTTCATCATCATCATGTAATAGCTGACATTTATTTCAACTTCCTATGTTCCTGGTAATGTACAGGACTTTACATAAGTATCAGTTAGGATGCTGCTTTTGGTAGCAATGAGCAGAAAACTCAACTGAAAAAAATAAGGGCTGGGTGTGGTGGAGCGTTCCTGTAGCCCCAGTTACTTGGGAGGCTGAGGTGGGAGGATCACTTGAGCCGAGGACTTCAAGGCTGAAGTGAGCTATGATCGCTGCTCCCCAACCTGGGTGATGGAGTAAAACCCTGTCTCAAAATAAATAAATAAATAAATGAATAAAGAAAAATTTCATCTCACATATCCAGTAGTCCCAGCTAGGGCAGCTGTGGGGTTGGTTGACTCAACATTGTCTCAACATTGTCATCAAGGGCTCCTTCCTTCTTTCTACACCACCTTTCTTGGCCTGTTGGCTTTGTCCTCAGCACTGAGTCCCTCATGGTCAGAAGATGGCTGCAATGTTGCAGGCATTGCACCCAGTTATGACATTGTCTCTGTCTTTTTAAGAGCCAGGAAGCCTTTCCTGGAGGCACCCTGCAGATCTCCCCCTCACATCTCATTGGCTAGAGTTAACTTGCACGTCCACCTCCAACTGCAAAGAGAATGGGATTCGCATGTTGGTTACTCCTGAGTTGGGGTGGGTCACCTTCTCTGAGTACTTGGCTGTCATTTGGACCGACGTGGCAGTCTGCTGCAGGGAAAGAGAAGGGAAGTGGGTGTTGGGTGATCAATCAACAGCTGTGCTCTGGTTATCCACTGCTGTGTAACAGCCAAGACAAAGTTGATGAAAACAAAAGCCCCGGTCAATTCCATGTGAATGTCTGAATGTAACTTTACAGTCTATGTATTTAAAACCATGTTTATTTCTTGTTCCTCAAAACCAGCTCTCCCCTGTGTTGGGGAACAGCTCCACCACCGCATCATGGTGACCTTGCATGTATCCACTTAGGCAGAGTCTTGGCAGAACGCCTCATGGTCTTCCTGGATGTGGGAGGCTGGGAAGCCTGTGTACATAGCCATTGTGAGGAGATCTTCTGTTCACCTCCTTATCTCTCCTGGGAAGCTGTCATGAGACAGTTTCTCATATCTTGGGGGTTCTGGTGACGTGGAGGCTTTCTGTCCCGGCTTCCTCAGGATAGAGCTTCTAGGATTAGCACTTCGGCAACGGGGTATCCCACAACTCACACTGCAGTCATGTGGGTCTTTGATTTGGTGTCATACACTTCGTGGTATGTAGGACAAAGATCACAGGAAGCTGGCACATTTATTCTTTTTGCTGTCTACGTAAGTAATAAACTCTCTAAATCTTAAAGTAGCTCCTTGCAACTTGACTGGTTGACTCAGAACTTGGCTTTGGCCTTGACGCCCTGCACCTCCACACTTCTATCATCAATAGAGTGTACACAATAAATAGTTATTGAACACATTCGTTCTTCCAAGGCTGAAAATCTTGAGAGATCCCTTACCCCTTTCCTCTAGGTATCCTACATCTTAGCCTGTCAGTTCTTCCTCCATGAATGTTCTCATTTCTGCTCTACTTCTATCGAATAACTTTCCTCTTTCTAATCCTTCCCCCTTACAACTCATCTTCCACACTGCTCCCAGGATAATCTTAAAATGCCATTTTTGTACATGGCACCCTAAAGTTCATAGTTCACAGATTTATGGCATGCTTTAGGTTCTTTTTTTTTTTTTTTTTTTTTTTTTTGAGATGGAGTTTTGCTCTTGTCACCCAGGCTGGAATGCAATGGTGCGATCTCAGTTCACTGCAACGTCCGCCTCCCGGGTTCAAGGGATTCTCCTGCCTCAGCCTCCTGAGTAGCTGGGACTGCAGGTGTCCGCCACCATACCCGGCTAATTTTTGTGTTTTTAATAGAGACAGGGTTTTGTCATGTTGGCCAGGCTAGTCTTAAACTCCTGACCTCAGGTGATCAGCCCACTTTAGCCTCCCAAAGTGCTGGGATTACAGGCGTGAGCAACCGCACCTGGCCATGCATGAGTCTTTTCTTCTTGCCAGCTTGCCAACATGTTGTTCCCAGAACATGTCAGAATGGCATCTCTTTAGAGGTGCAGCCTAAATGCCACTTTTTTTCTCCAAGAAACGTTTCTCTACCACTAGCTTTTCTGTATATGTGCTGCCAAAGCGAGCATTCTCCACCACTAGCTTTTCTGAACCTGTGTGTTACTGACTTCTCTGTGGGCTTGTGGATGAATCAGAATAGAAAATGGCCAGAGACAGAGGAAGATAACCAGACAGAACAAGCTCATTGCCAGTTTATACTAAATATGTCTGAGATACCTCAGCTAGGACTGGTATCTTTGGTTCAGAGGTTCTTAATTGGAGTCTCGGAGGCCCTCCAAGTTGGCTGCAAAATTCTGCTGTATGCGCCAAACTGCTAGGGTCAGAGGGAGGGAGGAAGTGTCTGTAACTATAGCCAACTTCTTATAGAGGTTGGCTTATGATACAATAAAAGCTAGGAACCCCTGATCTAGGAAAAAGATGGCATAACTTAGTGGGAGAAAAAATAAAGGAACAACAAACTCCACTAAATTTTGGAGTCACAAGACTGGATCAGTATCCTAGCTCTGTGCAATCCTGGCATGTCATCAGCCTTTCTGAATCGCAATGTACTCATTTAGAAAAATTATATCTACTCTGCCTCCTCAATTGGGTTTCTATGGGGAATACTTTATATAAAATTATTTTATAAATGATCATATGCCCTGCTAATATGTATGTTACTTGACTCCAGACCATACGGCTCTGTTTATGTGTTCCCATTTACATAATGTCTCACTTATTTAGAAATAATAGGTTCTTACTTGTCTTTTCTCCCCCTCCCTCCAGTTGTCTGAGGGTTTCATTGGCCCAGAGTCCATTGCCATTACCTAAATCATGGTCAAGATTTAGTATCAGTTTGAAGGTCATGGCTCCTTTCACCAGCCTGATAATGGGAGGCCCACCCTGACCACCTTATTTAATCCTGATTACCTCCCAAAGGCCGTATCTCTAATCAACTTGTGAATTTGGGGATTAAGTTTCAAATACATGAAATTTAAGGGAATACATGCAAACTACAGCATTAACCAATGCATTGCTAGATACATAGTTATCTAGATGAATGGGAAGAATCACAACTAATATTAGAACCTGCTCCTACACATGCTTGAGTGAGTAATTCAGGAAACTGCGTTCATGAAAGGGTTTAGTATCCTTCCCTTGGTAGGTAGCTCAGATCGACAAACAGCACTGGGAAGAAGCAATAGAAGCAAAGGAATGGCCTACAACTACTACTGATTTTATCACTGGTAATTTTTCTCTATGCCTAGAGAAAAATCCGTCAGTGGGGCTGGGTGCTCTGGCTCATGTCTGTAATCCCAACACTTTGGGAGGCCAAGGCAGGCAGATTGCTTGAGCCCAGGAGTTCAAGACCAGCCTGGGCAAAATGGTGAAACCCTGTCTCTACTAAGCAAAAATACAAAAATTAGCCAGGCATGGTGATGCACGCCTGTAGTCCCAGCTACTTGGGAGGCTGCAGTGGGAGGATCACTTAAGCCCTGGAGGGAGAGCCTACAGTGAGCCATGTTTGTTCCACTTAACTCCAGCCTGGGCAACAGATTGAGACTCTGTCTCAAAAAAAAAAAAAAAAAAAAAAGAGAGAGAGAGAAAAGAAAAACTGGGACTAATCTCAGCAGTGGTCCAGACTCCCTCTGTAATCAAAGTCTTTGGTTTGATATAGATTATGGAGACTGAACTACTCTATATAATGATGCAGATATAATACCAGAACATGACCATGATACCCTTAACTATATCATAGAGAGCTCACTGAAATTAGGCATTGGTTCACTGGAAACTCTAGAAGCAAATGGAATGACTCTATAGTACCACTATAGAAAATAACTAGTTTTGTTTATTGGATAAATACTCGGGGCATATTTGAAGAGGAAACAGTCATCCTTAGTTGTTGATGACATACATGAGTTACTTTATCAAGTACAGTGAACTGTTTTTGGTTCCAACTCTCCAATTTTAAAGCATAACCATTCAACGTGGCAATGTGCAAATGCAGATATGACAAAGAATAGCTATGGCATTCATGTCACCCCCAACTGGCGGATAATGGGATTCACTTTACACCTTTCTCTCAATAATACTGGATTGTTCATCTGTTTTTTTTTTTGAGATGGAGTTTTGCTCTTGTTGCCCAGGCTGGAGTGCAATGGCATGATCTTGGCTCACTGAAACCTCCTCCTCCCGAGTTCAAGCAATTCTACTGCCTCAGCCTCCCAAGTAGCTGGGACAACAGGCACCCGCCACCACACCCAGCTAATTTTTTTGTATTTTTAGTAGAGACGGGGTTTCACCATGTTGGCCAGGCTGGTCTTGAACTCCTGACCTCAGGTGATCCACTCGCCTCGGCCTCCCAAAGTGCTGTGATTACAGGCATGAGCAACCGCGCCTGGCCACGCATCAGTCTTTTCTTCTTGCCAGCTTGTCCAGCATGTTGTTCCCAGAACATGTCGAATGGCACCTCCCTAGAGGCGCAACCCTAGTGCCACTGTTTTTTCTCCCGGAAACATTTCTCCACCACTGGCTTTTCTGAACCTGTGTGTTACTGACTTCTCTGTGGGCTTGTGGATGAATCAGAATAGAAAATGGCCACAGACAGAAGATAACCAGACAGAACAAGCTCATTGCCAGTTTATACTAAATATGTCTGAGATACCTCAGCTAGGACTGGTATCTTTGGTTCAGAGGTTCTTAATTGGAGTCTCGGAGGCCCTCCAAGTTGGCTGCAAAATTCTGCTGTATGCGCCAAACTGCTAGGGTCAGAGGGAGGGAGGAAGTGTCTGTAGCTATAGCCAACTTCTTATAGAGGCTGGCTTATGATATAATAAAGGCTAGGAACCCCTGACCTAGGAAAAAGGTGGCATAACTTAGTGGGGGAAAAAAATGAACAACAAACTCCACTAAATTTTGGAGTCACAAGACTGGATCAGTATCCCAGCTCCGTGCAACCCTGGCATGTCATCAGCCTTTCTGAATCGCAATGTACTCATTTAGAAAAATTATATCTACTCTGCCTCCTCCATTGGGTTTCTATGGGGAATACTTTATATAAAATTGTTTTATAAATGATCACATGCCCTGCTAATATGTATGTTACTTGACTCCAGACCATACGGCTCTGTTTATATGTTCCCATTTACATAATGTCTCACTTATTTAGAAATAATAGGTTCTTATTTGTCTGATCTCCCCCTCCGTCCAGTTGTCTGAGGGCTTTATTGGTCCAGAGTCCATTGCCATTACCTAAATCATGGTCAAGATTTAGTATCAGTTTGAAGGTCATGGCTCCTTTCACCAGCCTGATAATGGGAGGCCCACCCTGACCACCTTATTTAATCCTGATTATCTCCCAAAGGCCCTAATCAACTTGTGGATCGTTCATCTTTTTTTTTTTTTTTTTTTGTGAGATGGAGTTTTGCTCTTGTTGCCCAGCTTGGAGTGCAATGGCATGATCTCGGCTCACTGAAACCTCTGCCTCCCAAATTCAAGCGATTTCTCCTGCTTCAGCCTCCCAAGTAGCTGGGATTACAGGCAACTGCCACCATGCCCAGCTAATTTTTTTGTATTTTTAGTAGAGATGGGGTTTCACCATGTTGGCCAGGCTGGTCTCACACTCACAACCTCAGGTGATCCACTCGCCTTGGCCTCCCAAAGTGCTGGGATTACAGGCATGAGCCACCACGCCCAGCCGGATTGTTCATCTTGTATGACAAATATATAAAGGTTTTTCCACCTAAATGATCAGAATGTTTTGGCTATGTCCTACCTAAAATGACCAGATGACTCTAAATGTTAGTCAAATTCTGAACCTCAGGTCACTTGTACATAAAGTGAGCCCTCAGAAATGAGCCTCCTGAGTGATCTCCAGACTCAATCATACAAGGGTTACAGATTTCACTCTTTTGTAAGAGCTCTTTTTCCTCAGCTGGGAGCCTCTGAATTGAAAAAATTGCTTGTTAGTATTTCAGCAACTCTTGAAAAAAGTTTTAGTGATACTTACGAATTTTCTTCAAGCAGTACAATATGAGATGAATAATTTCACCTCAGCAGTACCCCAAAGTAGGAGTTACTGACACTTCAGCTGCTCAGCAGGGAGAAGCTTACGGTGTTTTTATGTTAACAAAACATTAAGTGTTTGTTATATTTGATATTGTTGCCCAAAATGTAAAAGTTCCTAAAGAACACAAGGTTTTCATCTCATTAGCACTGCCTCCCTTGATTTATTCAGTTGGTTAAATCTTGGCTCCTGGGAATCTTTACTCAGGGTTTTCAATCCTTTGCTATTATTCTTCTTGTAGTTATTGTGTTTACCCATACACAGTGGGTACCCATACACAATGGCTTACCCAACACAGTGCATTGTATTTTCTCAATAATTTTTAAAATTTATTTTTGAGCGACAGTGTCGTGCTCTTTGACCCAGGCAGGAGTACAGTGGTGCAATGCTACCTCACTGTAGCCTGGAACTCCTGGACAAAAGTGATCCTCCCACCTCCGTCTCCTGAGTAGCTGGGACTACAGGTGTGCATCACCACACTCAGCTAATTTTTTTTTTTCCAATTTAGAAAGTTTATTTTGCCAAGATTAAGGACATGCATGGGCACGGGACACAGCCTCAGGAGGTCCCTGATGACATGTACTCAAGGTGATCAGGATTCAGCTTGCTTTTATATGTAAAAATATGGAACATTTCATGAATTTGCATGTCATCCTTGTTCAGGGGCCATGCTAACCTTCTCTGTATTGTTCCAATTTTAGTATATGTGCTGCTGTAGTGAGCACTACCCAGCTAATTTGTATTTTTTTGAGATGAGGTCTCAGTCTGTCACCCAGGATGGAGTGCTGTGGCGCAATCTCGGCTCACTGCAACCTCTGCCTCTCAGGCTCAAGTGACCCTCCTCCATCAGCCTCCCGAGCAGCTGGGACCAGAGGTGTGTGCCACCACGCCCGGCTAATTTTTTGTATTTTTGGTAGAGATGGGGTTTCAATATGTTGCTTAGGTTGGTCTCGAACTCCTGAGCTCTAGCAATCCACCTGCCTTGGCCTCCCACAATTCTGGGATTACAGGTGTAAGCCTCCATACCCAGCCCTGCCCAGCTAATTAAAAAAAAATTTTTTTTTTTTTGTAGACATGGGGTCTTGTTACATTGTCTAGCTGGTCTTGAACTCCTGCTCAAGCAATTCCCCTACTCTGGCCTCCAAAGTTCTGAGATTACAGGTGTTATTCACAGAGGCTGGTCCTTTCAAGGATGTTTAAGTGCTTTCCAGTAGTCACTCATATGTCAAAAGATTGCCGTAAGGATCAGACAACTGGAGGAAACCAGCATGGACTATGTCATTCCCGAGGGTGACTCTGAGCCCTAGGGCAGCTATTGATAAACATCTGACTCTTCTTCCTAGACTATGTCAATAGTGGTAACTGAGAGTAATGCTATGCCATTTGGTCACACTCTCAGCTTGCGGACGGGGTGACTAAAAGTGGGGAACTGTCAAAGCAAAATTAAAATGGAAACTAGGCTTGAAACATTCCTGAGCAAACAAACCAACTAGGCCTTAAAAATAGCCCTAACCTACTTAAACTGTAAACATAAATGAAACTTAACTTGGGTCATTTTTGGTAAATGCTTATGTTAGATACAAAACTTAACCTCAGCCAATCATAAGCAGCCAACTAACATGATCATGAGACTGGGGACTTTCCAAGAAAGTAAGCCAAAAAAGGCAACCAATCAAATCATTTCTTAATTTTGCTTCTGTATGCACTCTATGAATACTTGCCTCTGATGTTGTGTCATTGAAACACTAAATCCTCATTGGGTTTGGGGTTTCCCAAGTCACGAATTGCTTCTTAAGTACATTCTAAAATTTTATTGTGCCTGCTTTTTTTTCTTTTACAATAGTCCATGTGTAATACTTTTAGCTCATCATCTCCAAACTCCTTCCATGAGTAACTTTTTGGTATATGATGTTTCCTTGTACAGGGAATTCCTCAGACAGCCGCATAAGCCCTAGTCCTAGTGCTCAGAACAATGACACGTCTGCCAATATTTAACACTTTTAAAATACTGTTGGTGGTGGTTGTGTTGATGATGAAAGGCAGTGGGGAGGATGGCCTGGGTTCAATCTCTAGCTCCGGGCTATCAATGTATATAACATGGAGCCAATAATGTCTACCTCACAGAAATACAGATTATAAAATAAAAAGTAAAAGCATGTGACACCTAACTGTACAATAAATGTGTGAAGCTGTTTAAGTCCAAACATGGATCATTACATGTAAGATGGCCTATGTGTGAACATCAGCAGCTATCACAGCCACGTTCACATATATGTAAATTATCAAGGGGCATTACGCTTGGCACTGTTTAAAAGAAAGCAGGCAAGTGATCAAGTGAATTTTTATTACAAAAATTTTATAAAAATGGATTTCCAGGTAAAGATGGCAGAATAAAGCAGGACTACAGAATATTCTTCCTCTAATGCCTAATAAAATGAATAAAAGATGTTACATGCCACAGTACATTTTTCAGATCGTTACTGATAAATCAGAAAGCTTTATGAAAATCCAGATGGAAGGAAACACACAGTTCTGCCATGCATATTAAGATGCATTCACTCTCCTGCCCTAATAATTATCATATAACCTTATGGTAGACGATAGTCAATTAGTTGCCAACCAATACTTAAAAATTAGATTTCATATACTCTAAACTTCTGTCTTTTCTAGAAAAATAAATTGTTTACACTAGGCCTGCTTCCCAGGAATCATGTGCTCCAGTTTACCGAAGTCTCTACAACTCTTACCTTCGTTGCTTGCCCAGCTCCTGTAAGCACTTGCAACCCGTAGGTGGGCATTAATTCCCATTCTTACAGAGAAAGAAAATTTGAGGCTCAGGAAGAACAAGTGTTAAGTTACAGTAGTAGAGGCTGGGTTTCCATTCAGGTATTTCAAATAAGTGATACATTTTTCCATACTCTACCAACTGAAAATAAGGTGAATTCACCTTTGATCCCACTTACTGCTCTACTCTGCCAGGAGCCAGTTTATATGCGTGAGAATGAATGTTTCTCCTAACACACGTGTATGATTCTGTGCTCTTAGGCTACAAAAGCCATGCAATATGAATTTTTTATTCTTTCTGTCTAAAAGTATGTGATCAGAACTTGCCACATATATGTTTGCCCTGCTGTAGACCAAGAACCACTTTTTGGGACACTAAGTCAAAGCTGCTTATTGTATCTCATGGTTGTGTCAAAAAACTACACAGTATCATACTTACGTGCTGCACTTTTAATTTTATTAAAAAAGAAGCAAGTATCTTCAACATACCAAATGCTTTCACATTTCTGCCTGCAGGCACTGACCACAAAAATACAGACCCAACACAACAAAAGCAATTAACACAAGATAATTAAGTGGTAGTTACAAGTGGTGGGCAGGGGAAAGTGCAAGAGGCCAGCTGGCTGAGCAAGTGGAGTCATCACATGTGTCCTCAACATTGTGGGTTTAGGGATCCAGTGCAATCAGTTCACTTCTAAGAGGACTGGGGTTGAGGACTCGAGCTAGGCTGCTCTAAACTTGTACAAACAGAATTACAAATCAGAGTGCCAATTTATCTGTAGGGTTTGTTTAAGCAGTTCAGATCTGAAAGACTGCTGGCAGAGCCCTGAACTGGACTGAGAACAAACGTTTTTATGAGCCATCATCATCCACCTCCACAAAGTGCCTGCCTTACTCTAGGGTTTTTCTCAGCCAAATCTACTCATCTGATCAGGATGCCCTCTTGCCTGGACAATGTCAGAGGAACAAGGAAAACAACTGAGCTTTCCAGCTCTTCCTTTTCAACATTCCATGTTAGTCACCAAAAAGTAACACATAATGGAAATTCTCTAGATTACAGCTTATTTCCTGTTTAGTGCATTCTGTGTTGATGTCGTCCTTTAACAGTGAGGTAGCTCAGGGCATCCTTAGAGAGACTGAAGTGTTCTTGGTCTGATATCTGATACCAGCAACACATTTCTTTCTTTTTTTTTTTTTTTGAGATGGAGTCTCACTCTTTGGCCCAGGCCCCACTGCAGTGGCACTATCTCGGCTCGCTGCAAGCTCCGCCTCCCTGCAAGCTCTGCCTCCCGGGTTCACGCCATTCTCCTGCCTCAGCCTCCCGAGTAGCTGGGACTACAGGTGCCCGCCACCATGCCCGGCTAAATTTTTGGATTTTTAGTAGAGGCGGGGTGTCACCGTGTTAGCCAGGATAGTCTCGATCTCCTGACCTCGTGATCCACCTGCCTCAGCCTCCCAAAGTGCTGGGATTACAGGCGTGAGCCACCACGCCCGGCCTTTTTTTTTTTGAGATGGAGTCTTGCTCTGTTGCCCAGGCTGGAGTGCAGTCATGTGATCTCCGCTCACTGCAAGCTCTGCCGCCTGGGTTCGAGCAATTCTCGTGCCTCAGCCTCCTGATTAGCTGGGATTAAAGGCATGTGCCAATGTACCTGGCTAATTTTTTTTGTATTTTTAGTAGAGACGGCGTTTCACCATGTTGACCAGGCTTGTCTCAAACTCCTGACCTCAGGTGATACGCCTCCCTTAGCCCCCCAAGTGCTGGGATTACAGGTGTGAGCCACCGTGCCCAGCCTCAGCAGCACATTTCTATTTATAGTTTCTAGGTGATTTATTTTCTGCAGACTTTCTTGCATATGGTTAAGCCCAATCATTTCATTTAAGTTTTATAAACGTCTGTATTAGAGGATGGCATTTTAAAATTCTTTCCCCAGAACCCTGGAATGTACCTTTCTGGGCTATGCAAGCCTCATGCACTGACTACACAGGGCCACATGGGTAAATATATATGTATTGATGTGTATTTACATATCAAAAATTAAATAGACTATATGCTTAAATTAGAAACACAAAGAACAAAGGCTAAGTTCACTGCTTTACTATTCAATAAAATAGCTTTAAAAACTGTGAAACAGCCAAGTGGCCACATTCTAAACAGCGACGGAGACCTCCAAAATATTCTGTCCACCAAAAAAACACGAAGTTTCTGAATATGTAAAAATTAGTAGAAAATCAATTAGGTGACAAAGTCATTATAGTAGTGGCTTTCAAACCCTTTATAAAAAATAGCAGAATCATTTTAAATGTGGAATTATTTTATCTACTGAGATCTGAAGCAGCACTCAGTATACACAAGTGTGGCTGCATTGACTGCAGTGAGAAGGCAGGCGCCTCCATGGCTCACTGCCCCTTGGAGGCGCACTGCACTAACTCCTGAAGCAACTCCTTGTCCCCCAACACTGCATGGGTCACAGTCCAAAAACTGATTCCACATATGAATCATACCAATTTTTATGTAACAGAGTTCAGACAAATATATCAATTTGGGTATGATACAAATAAGTTTTTCATAGAGTTCTTTTAGAAAAGTGATTTTGAGGGAAGAGGACAGCGGAGTAGAAGAAAAACAATTTTAAGAACATACAATTAATTCAATTTTTCGGCATGGTATCCCACCTAGCAAAAGCCCTAGGTGAATACATGAGGTTCAGACCAGAAGCTTTCAAATTTCAGTATGCTTAAGAATCGCCTGAGGCGCTTGTTAATAAAAACAGAGATTTCTATGTTGCATCTCCAGAGACAGGGAATCATTAAGTTAAGGGTTGGGCTCAGGAATCCATACTTTCAACAGCCTGCCCAGGCATTCTGATGCTGCAGATAGCCTGCAGCGCGTACTCTGAAGAACAAGAGAAAGGCTTCAAGGGAAAAATTGAAAAAGACAGGGGGACACTGTTTAAAAGCAAAACCCAAACCACCTTTTCTGTCTTGTTGCTGAGAATGAATTCAGATTGGGATAAACAACCTTTTCTTTCTTTTTAAATATCTAGATATTTTAAATATATCTACTTATATTCCACTGTCCTCAACTGGGTAGAAATATTAAAAAAATTATCAATATAAAATGCTGGTTCTTGCTTCAATATTATCATTTTGAAGGAAAACCACACAAAACCATTACCCATTCTAATGACTTTTTTGGCCAAATTATGTATTTGGGTCCACATTAATCATTAAATTAGTATAACCTTTAAAGTTTTCAAGTTAGTGCAAATTTAAAATTCAATAAATATATTAAATACAATTTTACTTTATATTACAAATGTAAATTATTTTTCTTTTGACATGCTGGTAGTATTCATTTTTACAACGCAAACTGACTTTACAATTTCTGAGTCACAGTATATTTTATAACTCTAAGCAAATGTATTTCACAAAGCAAACACTATATGTTTTTGACATACTCTAAAAAAATAAAAATAAATAATTTTGATTATAAAATTTGTATAAACTTAGCTACATTAGGGGTTCACAGCTAATTGTTGCAGAAAACCTAAAACACACCTAAATCATGTAACTTTACTAGCAGACAACTTGTATTTTAAAACACAAGTCAGTTTGATTTCTATTAAACATGACGAAACACTGAAAATTATCATCATCTGCCTAAGGGATCTTTAAGAGCTGCCAGGTATTCAGTATTTAAGCCACTACGTTTATAGGAATTAGGAATGTATTGGGATAGTAAAAAGATTAGAGAAATCTGGAAACAGACATGGAGATATGATTTACTTCATGTATTTCTTCCTGAGAATGTAGAAGTTATTTTTTTAAATATCAAGACAATTTAAAATGGAACAGGAAAATCTTATGGCAATTTTTTTTGGTAAAGTGTAGAATCCCTGGTAATATAAACAATCACTACCCTAATATGTAACTTGCAAACATGAAGTCTTATAAATTGTACTTAAACAAGGCACATGCCTATACACTTATTTGAAATGCTGGGTAAATGTGCCCAAAAAGTAAGTGAATTTTGCAAAAACAAGATAATGATACATTTTATGAGATGGTATTCTGAAATAGCTTCCCTAAATGAAGTCTAAATAAGTGAATAAGCCAGCAGAAAAACTTCATGACAGACCAGTAGTGATGCAAAAACCTTACTAGATTACAATAACCAAAAAATCAACTTATTTAGATAAATGAGGGCATTTTACATAAGCCTGTTCTAAATACAGTGTAATATTATGGTTGGTATTAAAATTATAATTTTTAATTGTAGTTTTCACAATTAAAAAGCTGTATTAGTTATTGTGATTATTTTCGTTCCAACATCCTAAATTGATTTGCTTCTACTACAATTAGCACTACGAATTATATAACAGGTAAACTATAACCTACAGCAAAGTGGATTTAACAGTGTATTTATAAAATGTGATGTCTTTAACAATTTTGATCATGAATGAAAGGATAAACTTCATAATACTCAGAACATGATTGGCCCATTAAAAAAAAAAAAAACAAAACTCTGCCATCCTCACTGCCATGGTTACTTACCATGAAAGGTATATAAAGAAGCTGAAAACAGATCTGCTCACAAAGTTTCTCAAGACTAGAATTTAAGATCACCTGAGGAGATCTGCAAGAGGTTAATTTAGCAAAATAGAGTATTTCATAAAATGTACTGACTACTGTATACATTACTAAGTTGCTCTTTGAAAACATGGTCTGGGCCTGAGGTGAGGCAAACTTAGGTTTATGGCAATTCATGGATGACAGATTCATAATAGACCCTCAAAGATAGCTAATGGTATTTTGGGGGATACATTCTGATCTTTCAGAGATTAATGTCATGAAAGACCACAAAGCCTGGGCCATGTGTCAGAAAAACACCAGGCTGGATGCCCTCTGGGTCAGCCGACCTGTGGGTCACGACCCTTGGGCTGGTCAACAGCAGCGAACAAGCACCCTCTAATGGGAACCATGAAACTAGCCCTTCAGTAAGTTTGTGGCAATTGAGGGGCAAATAAAACAATGAAACAAAGCTTTCAGTTATCCAAAAGTAGTTCCCTAGTGCTTTTCATGCCCTCCTTCATTTTTCAATACAATGAGGAATATTTGTGAAGAATAAGAATATCTAGATTTCTGTCAGGAGAATTAAATTAGAATTTTAATTAATAGACTAAATTTCTATCTGATTGTGACTAGCAGAATTTATGTGATCAATTTAACTTATTAAATAAAGCTACAGAACGTAAACACTAAACACAGGTACCATACCACAAGGTAAATAATAAATAATTTAAAAATATATCTCTCTCATTTTAAAATAAATATGATATAAACATTTTAGCAAAGATTTCTGTCCACTTACCTCCCTAAGGGGAAATTCTGTTAAAAGACTACTGTATTTCAAAATACTACAAGACCACCAAATTTTTAAAACTTATCAGTCAGCCTTGAGCTTTTTCTAAGCAATTAATCTCACCGTTGTCTCCTTTAAGCACGTTTTTTGAAGTGTTGACACTGTCTTTTAATAAAAAGAGCGGCTGATAAACAGTTCAGCTCAGAACCTATAACTTACAATCCCAAGTGCTCTGAATCTTATTTCTTACCAATTCACTTATCTGTTTCTCTTTTGGCTACACTGGTGTTATAAAAAAGATCCTGAATTGCAGCTCAAATGGTTACCTACAGAATTAAACAACATTTACGTGTCTGAATAAGTTCCTAAAATAAAAATTGTAATACAAATTTTAAGTATGATCTTTTTTTACTATTCTCCTTTTGGGGGTTCCTAGAAATCAATACATACACTTGGTTTGGGTTGTAGAAAATCTTAAGGGGCATGCTGCAGGAGGATGCTCACAATTAACCATGCTGGTTTGACAGTAATCATTTCCTTTCAAAAAAGCAGGTTAATTTGATCTTTCCACCCACACCTTGTTGGAGATATAATGTGTCCATCCATTGTGTGTCCATCATATGCATGGTTCAAAAATAAGACATGAGACAGCACATACTTCAGAGTGAGTCCCACTCTCAAAACAGTCATAACAAATTTTCACTCTCATGTAAGTTTTTGTGACTTTTTGTAAGTTAATACTATTCATTTGAAGTATTTTGCTGAAAAAAGAACAAACATTTGTAAATAACTGAAGGCTGGCTGGTTTGGGGATGCTATTTACAAAAATGTATACCCATTATACTACTAGTGAAATTAAGACTGAATAGCTGATAGAGAATTTCTATTAATACTTTTGGATGAACATGTATCTACTTGCGTGAGGATTCTATGCAAAGTTTTCACTCCCTCATCCATCTATTCAGTCGCCTTTATATCTTCTTGATCCGAAGTACTAGAGATGTCATCATCTGTTTGTTCTCCAGAGAAATATAACATCATTGCATGTGTCTTGTGAGTTATGGTGACAGTGCAGGGCCCTTGGGCCCAAGGCTCCCCATCCACCTGCATTGGCATCATGGAGCACTTCAAAATCAGCTGATATTAGGGAACAAATAATGTTTAAAAGTCAGTCCCCCCAAATTTAGAAAGGTCTTCCTTAATAATACCATCCACAATCCCTTAACCCTTATGCATTTCATTTTTAGAAAATATTAATCTGAATATGTTTTTATTCATTGATTAAGGAATTCTTTTTTCAAGTGAACGTTTTATCTCATGGATCTTGAGCCATGTTTCTGTTTCTTCCTCATCCCACTCTAGCCGCTAGTGTACAGTGACCAGCTGCATGAGCCATAAACCACTGTTTAAAGAAAAGTATAGCATGTATATTTTACATATCAACAGCTTAGAATTGGATTGGGACAAATTAGCCTGTTACAGCTATATTTCACCTACCCTCACTGTATGTGCCTGTCCTATTCGAAAAGGATTAGCCAGTTTTACTTGAATCTGAGCACAGTGGAAAGACCCATATACTCCAACGACTTCCAGCAGACCATCGTCATGCCTAAAATTGGAAAAAGAAAATATGGATTATATGATGCAATAAAAAATCAGTTATGCTAGAGCAATTACTTTTTAACACAGTTGGACCATCAACTTAAAAAATATTTATAACTAATGAGATACACAAAAAAGAAAATTTGAGGAAAAATGTTAAAGTCTATAAACAAGAGATTGCTTTAAATAAAATAGTGACATAAAAAAACAGACCACAAATGTACATACCTGGCTAGAGGGTAAGTCTCGTCCCCCATCCCTTCCCATAGTCTGCAGCCACCGCCCCAGTATCCGATGTTCAGAACTATAATACCTTCCAAGCTGGGCAGTGCTACTCGCTCACCATCCAGTTCTAGCTTTAAAGAAATACAAATAGATAGTGACTACAGGATACACAATTTCCACACACATCCATTTAGAATTCACATCTATTTTCATAAATGTGCTTATATATGAGAGATGCACATGTAGAAGATGCTCCCTACCTCTCACTCAGGGCCTCTCATCTGCCCTTTTCTATCTCTTCAGTAGAACTGCTTCTATCAACATCAACAATAATGTTCTTTTTGTTGAGCCTCGTGATTTTTTCAGGACTTACCTAACTTGCTGTTTCAGTAGCACCTGACACTTGCTGACCCCCTTCCTCTTTTCCTAAAATCTTCTTTCCCTTTGCTTCCTGGGAACCACAGACTCTACTTCCCTGGATGTTCCTTCTCAGGAAAGTAAACTGGGCCAGATCCATCTATCCACTGCCCATAAAACATGTCCATGGACTGGCACCAAAAACTCTTATGTAAAAAATTGATCAAGCAACTTTTCTGCAATTTGCTCCCTGTTCCCCAATGTACTTACCAGGAAAGAGTAACATCTTCCCCTCCTCCTTCTCTTAGCTAACTCTTACTTACTCTTTCCTGGTTAAGTAGGTTAACTCACCCCCAACCCAGGTGTTTAAGCCAGAAACCTGGCAGTTATCTTTGATTTCTTTGACTTTTTACCCTCCACATCCCCTTAATCACTAAAAACTGTTGATGCTATTTCTATGTCTTTCTCTCTCTTCACCATTTCTTCCCTAAAATGTTTCTATCTGGCCTATCTGCCTCTAGCTTTACTTTCTTATGCATCCCTCACAGAGCGGTTGGATCGACACTTAAAAAATGCAAATATGTCATCCTCTAATTACCACCCTTCAGTGGCTTCACTTTAACCCTTCAATGCCCATGATGAAATACAAGATCCAATACCAGGCAAATATGACACTCTGTGATTTGACTTCTGTCCATCTCTCTAGCCTCAGCGCTTGTCTTTCCTTCCTGAAAGCTATGCTCCAGCCTGAACTCACTCAAATATGCCATGTATGCCTCTGGGTCTTTTGCAGATGCTGTTTTTAGCCTACAGCAATCTTCCCCTCCTCCTTCTCTTAGCTAACTCTTACTTATTTTCAGATTCCAGCTTGTCACTTCTTCCAGAAAGACTTGCTTATACTGCCACTTTCCCTAGTCTCTGTAGCTCCTAGGTTACGTATTGCAGTTATTTATTCCTGTAAGACCACATGCTTTTCTTATATAACTTCTCATACTGCATTGCAATGTGATTTAAATATCTTTTTGGTTTCTTCTTGGAGACAGGGTCTCAATCTGTCACCCAGACTGGTGTGCAGTGGTACAATCATGGCTTACTGTAGCCTCTGCCTGCTGGGTTCAAGTGATCTGCCTCCCTCAGCCTCCTGAGCAGCTAGGACCACAGGTACATGCCACTATGCTCAGCTATTTTTATTTTTTATAAAAGTGGAGTCTCACTATGTTGCCCAGGCTAGTCTCCTTGCCTCAAGCAATCCTCCCACCTTGGCCTCCCAAAGTGCTGGGATTACAGGCATGAGCCACTGTGCCCAGACTGGCTTAAATATCTTTCTTCACCCTAGACTGTAAATGTAGAGCAAGGGATTTATCACTGTCTACCTCCAGTATCGAGGACAATGACTATTTTGTAGGTATATAAATAAAATTTATTTTATTTCTGTATAATTAAAAATAATTTGTATTTTTATATAAATAAAATGTCAGACAATAAAATAAAAGTCTTTATTTTATATGCTTGTATGCTTTACTCTACCATCAAAGCCTAGGAAAAATAAAATATGATAAAGTAACATAACACTCTTTTTAACAGAAAATCTTGCTTACTTCTACGCCATGGCAGCCCAGAGACTTTGAGCTAAACATTACGCCTAACGGCAACATTTTTCCTTGACTAATGTATAATCAGTCTCCTTACTCCCTGCTCATTGTCTCTTTTCCCAAACTGTTTATGATCTCTTTTTATTTATTTTATCAGTTCTAGGTTTCTCTGAATTAATGTCTCTGTTGTTGCTATTAACCATTACAGATTCTTTTTGGAATCAAGCAAGGAATACATATAAGACTGCCATATCTGGCTGGGCGCGGTGGCTTACGCCTGTAATCCCAGCACTTTGGGAGGCTGAGTCGGGCAGATCACGAGGTCAGGAGATCGAGACCATCCTGGCTAACACGTGAAACCCCGTCTCTACTAAAAATACAAAAAATTAGCCGGGCGTAGTGGTGGGCGCCTGTAATCCCAGCTGCTTAGGAGGATGAGGCAGGAGAATGGTGTGAACCAGGGAGACAGAGCTTGCAGTGAGCGGAGATCGCACCACTGCACTCCAGCCTGGATGACAGAGTGAGACTCCATCTCAAAAAAAAAAAGACTGCCATATCATGATGTCAGAGATGCTGTTGCAATAAGCAATCATTAATATTCTATTTTTACTATTTATACATTTTTATTATTTTTTATTAGTTTTTTTTGAGACGGAGTCTTGCTCTGTCCCCCAGGCTGGAATGCAGCGTCGCGATCTTGGCTCACTGCAAGCTCCGCCTCCCGGGTCCACGCCATTCTCCTGCCTCAGCCTTCCAAGTAGCTGGGACTACAGGCGCCCGCCACCACGCCTGGCTAATTTTTTTTTTTTTGTATTTATACATTTTTATTTTGGTATGTAAGAGAGATACCCGACAAAAATAATCTGAATTAAACTTTCCATTTAAACTTCCTCTGTGTCTTTATGTTGAGTCAGGCACTGTATTAGATAACTGTAAATTATTTATCATGTATGAATGGAGGCCACTCACCCTAATAGTTAAACAGACTGGATTTACATAAATCTGGGTTCACATCTTGATTACATGTGCATTTAGGCATTAAATGAGAGAATTTGGGCAAATTACTTCATTTAAAATAGTTTTCTTTTCTGCATAATGTGAATATATAATACATACCTTATAGAATTGTGGAGAGAATTTAGAGGGACAATGTGTATAAAGCATGTAGCAAAGTGCCTGGCACACAAATAAATACTCTATGTATGCTGGCAAAATATATTAACAAAGTTTAGCATTTCTGTTTAAAAAGTCTTCATAATCCAGAGACCACCTAAAACTTTAAAAAATAAAAAGTGTTAATAGCTTACCTCAACTTTTTTATTCAAATCTTTACATTCTTGCACTAAACAATCTTTGGTTCCATAGAATAAGTAAACCGCCTATGAAAAATGGACAGAAAATATAATATTAAAACAATCTAACCCTGTAAACAATAAGAAAAAATACGCTGTATCAAAGCTCCCTTTAAGAATGTTGAAGCACACATTCTCCTTATGGTAGACTAGATGCTGATGAAAAGAAGGGCAACCAAAGGGGATACTTTTGGTGTGCAACCTCTGGCCCTATCCAACACCTCCATTCTAGTAATTTTAAAGGGTAAAATTGGAATCCACTAGGAGCAGCAATGGAAATCTATAATCAAAACACAATGTAAAAATAAAAATGCCTTTAACATATTACAGATACTTTTGGCATCATTTGTATTTTACATTTTATTCTCTTAGGCTATTAATAGTTTAAAAGTTCTAGGTGAACTGTGGTACAGTAGATGAAATATTACTCATCCTTCTTTTTTGGAAGATGACAATACAGGCCATTCCATTTAAGTTTAATTATCCTCTTTCTCAGGGGAAATGTGGGATAGAAGTGATTTTTTCTTTTTCTTTTTTTTTTTTTTTTTTGAGATGGAGTCTCGCTCTGTCACCAGGCTGGAGTGCAGCTGCGCGATCTCGGCCCACTGCAACCTCCGCCTCCTGGGTTCAAGTGATTCTCCTGACTCAGTCTCTCAAGTAGCTGGGACTACAGGCGTGCACCACCACATCCGGCTAATTTTTGTATTTTTAGTAGAGATGGGGTTTCACCATGTTGGCCAGGATGGTCTCCATCTCCTGACCTCGTGATCTACCCACCTTGGCCTCTCAAAGTGCTGGGATTACAGGCGTGAGCCACCATGCGCGGCCTAGAAGTGATTTTTTTCTAAATGGTGTTTTCTCCCAATTTATCAAAAAAGTTGTATTTTATAAAGAAAAATATTCGAATTAGAAAATTCCACTTTTTCCTAGTACTTCAGATTACTTAGGAATAGTAATGCGTATTAATCTAACAAACATTTTCTAATCACTTATGAATACAAAAAGGTTGATGTAAGGACTGAGTTAATTATCAATTGTATAAATAGTAATACGTATTACCTTAGTAACTATATTAATAAAAGGGAACTATTTCAAAATTTGAAATATTTGTAAAACAGAACCAGGAATATAATTGCTAGGCATTTATTTTTGATATCCTGTTGGTCAATCACCGAACGTTATTAAAAAAATTCCTAAGCAAAATTCCATCAACGGAATCAACTATACTAGAAACCAGAGATGACCTTAGTTCAAAGCTGTGGCAAACAGGCTGCTCTTTTATCTCATCTGCCTTTTGGAGGTTTTTCAAACCAATGAAATCTACTTTTCCATTAATGACTTCACCAAAAATTTATTCTGCCTAAAATTTCCTTCCAATTTTAGCTGCCATTTAAGATAAACTATCATATATTCCATTTAGTTGCCATCTAAGCAAAATATCCTATAAAACATCCCAAATTTGAATTTAAAAAATTTGTTAGAGTTATATAATACTTTGATAAAGTTGTTTTGTTTTGTTTTTTGAGATGGAGTTTCATTCTGTTGCCCAAGTTGGAGTGCAGTGGTATGATCTCGGCTCACTGCAACTTTTGCCTCCTGGTTTCAAGAGATTCTCCTACCTCAGCCTCCCGAGTGGCTGGGATTACAGACACCTGCCACCATGCCCGGCTAAATTTGTATTTTTAGTAGAGACAGGGTTTCACCATGTTGGCCAGGCTGGTCTTGAACTCCTGACCTCAAGTGATCCACCTGCCTCCGCCTCCCAAAAGTGCTAGGATTACAGGCATGAGCCACTGTGCCTGGCCTGATAAAGCACATTTAAAGATCTAATTAAAAAAAAAAAAGATCTAATTTGACAACCCTACACAAAACAGAGCAGGTAAATATTTCTGTAAGTTAGTTAAATCTGAATCTAGGAGTGCTAAATATAATTGAACTATTGATTTTTACTGTACCTTCGGTGATAAGCAGGAAATGTTATTTTATCCAACACACCTTATTAAGAATTCTGCTAGAAAACAGAGATGGTGCCTTCTCACGATGAGCATGAAAATTGAGAGCCATGAGAGCATCAGGTCCAACAGAAAAATAGTTGTTCATTGTGAATTCCTGTGAGAAAGGGTAAGAATAAGCAACAGACTATGGTTCCACCTAAGCTTGAGTCATAATTAAATGTCAATCTTAGTCTTTGTGTTCTTTTGACAATGGAGATGCTTTCTGCATTTACTTTTCACATGGCTATTTTATACTGTCCAGTGAAGTTACCAGAAATAAAGCTTCCATTTAAGGCTGATAACTACAGATGTGAATCTCATCTTCCATTTCTGTTTTATATGCTACACCTCAGACCTTACCATCTAGAATGGCTCTACTTGATGCTTCCAGGCTTTTCATGCCTGTGTTCCCATTACATTTGCTCTTTACATTTATCACAGCCTCCAAGCTCTCAGCTTCTATTAGTCCCAACCCAGGCTACTGGTCTCACCTTAATTTATCTTACTTCCCAGTGCGGCCTGGATTCCAAGGTCAATCATTTCAATGACTGTACTCAACACCATCCTTCGTTCCAACACACCCTTGACCTCTTCTCAATTTAGCCTTTTTTTTTTTTTTTTGAGATGGAGTCTCGGACTGTCGCCCTGGCTGGAATGCAGTGGCGCGATCTCGGCTCTCTGCAACCTCTGCCTCCCGGGTTCAAGCAATTCTCCTGCCTCAGCCTCCTGAGTAGCTGGGATTACAGGCGCCCGCCACCATGCTCGGCTAATATTTTTGTATTTTTAGTAGAGATGGGGTTTCACCATGTTGGCCAGGCTGGTCTCGAGCTCCTGACCTCGTGATTCGCCTGCCTCTGCCTCCCAAAGTGCTGCGATTACAGGCGTGAGCCACCGCGCCCGGCCAGCCTTACTTGCTAATCTTCTCTAAACCAAACTGTTTTCTCTGCTCTATTTCCAGGTTGCTGGACACTGCTGGTAAGAATCTTATAATTATGATCCTGTTACAAAGTTATTTCTAAGGATGGCTGGACACAATCGCTAATAGGACACAGTAACCCTTTAGATGACTCCTTTCCTGTATTCCCTAGTGGTTTAATTCAAAATTTACCTCTCTTCAAGTCCCTGATAACCAGCTCTCCTGCCTTTGTTATGTTCAGATGATCTTGATTCTTGCCTCACTGAAAAAAGTGAGATCCTCAGGTATGAAAGGTATGAATTCTCATGCTCTCTTTCTGCCATCTAAAAACTCTGACTTTACTCAAGTGCACCTTTCTCCTCCAAATCAAAGACGCTCTTCCTCCTTTTGATGGTTAAGTCTAAATTTGGTCACTTGTTCTTTTCATGCTTTTCCCGTTCATCTCTTATGGAACTAAATGTCTGTCCCTTCACTGCCAAAATATAATTTTCAATCCTAGTTGTTCTTTAAAAAAAAAACCCATAAACACCTTATTTTAAATAAAATATGTCAATGTACATTAATTTGCCTTTATTTTTTAACTGAATTTTTTTTTTCTAGTTTCCTAGGTGTCCTTTATTCAGAAACTAAGAGTGGGGCAATATAAGCTTCATAAGGACAAGGCCTTCATCACTGAAACTCCAGCACCTACGACAGTGCCTGGCACCAGATGGGCACAAAACACTTGCTTGAATGTATAGAGAAATGAAGTTCCTTCTTTTATTTGATTGTTTGGATGTTCTTCTATAGAGGTAAGCAGACCCTACTTGATTGTAGTATATTTATTTTTAATGACATATCTTATTTCTTGACAGCAAATGGCTGAAGAACATGTCTTCTTATTTGAATCATCTAACTGGTGTGAAACTTTGTCCATCTTTCTTTGGAGGAATGATCTCTGATAAGATAAATATTTTTAAATACTCAGCTCTGCTTTATTACTGAATAGTAATACATCCTGGTATGAATGAGAAATACATCATTTTTTTTTGCATATCCATCACCTCAAATGTTTATCATTTATTTGTGGTGAGAACATCTAAAATCCTCTCTTTTAGGCTGAGCACAGTGGTTCACATTTGTAATCCCAGCACTTTGGGAGGCTGAGGGGCGTGGACTGCTTGAGCCCAGGAGTTTGAGACCAGCCCGGGCAACACAGAAAAATCTTGTCTCTATTGAAAATAATAAAAATAAAATTGGCTGGGTGTGGTGGCATGTGCCTGTAGTCCCAGTTACTAATGAGGCTAAGGTGTGAAGATCACTTGAGCCCTAGAGGTCTAGGCTGCAGTGAGCCGTGATCACGCCACTGCATGGTCAAATGAGACCCCGTCTCAAAAAAACACAAAAAAAACAAAAAACAAAAACAAAAAACCTCTCTTTTAGCAATTTGAAAATATGCATTATTATTAACTATAGTCACCAAGCTGTGCAATAGCAGAACTTATTCTTCCTAACTAAAACTTTGTACCTATTAACCAATGTCTCCCCTTTCTCCATCTACTCTACTACTCTCTACAGCCTCTGGTAACCATTATTCTACTCTCGACTTTGAGTTTGATTTTTTAGATTCCACATATAAGTGACATCATACAATATTTGTCTGTGACTGGTTTATTTATTTAACATAATGTCCTCTAGGTTCAGCTATGTTGCCGAGAATGACAGATTTTCCTGTTTTTTTTTTTTTTTAAAGTCTGAATAGTTTTCCATTGTGTATATATGGCATACTTAAAAAAACCATTCATTCACTGATGGGCACTTAGGTTATTTCTGCATCTTGGCTATTGTACATAATGCTGCAATGAACATGGCAGCATGGACATCTGTTTGATATACTGATTTCAATTCCTTTGGGTATATATCTATAAATGGGATTGCTGGAACATATGGTAATTCTAGTTTTAGTTTTTTGAGAAACCTCCATATTGTTTCCCAAAATGGTTGTACTAATTTGCAATGCCAATAGTGTATAAGGATTCTCTCTTTTCCACATCCTTGCCAACATTTGTTATTACTCACCAATGAAATAGGATAGAAAAGCCCCAAATAAATACACATATCTATGGCCAACTGATTTCTGACAAAGGTGCCAAGAACATACAATAGGGAAAGGAGAGTCTCATCAATAAATGGTACTGGGAAAGCTGGATATCCACATGCAGAACAATGAAAATCAACCCTTATTTCACCCATTATAAAGAATCAATTCAAAATGGATTAAAGACTTAAATGTACAACCTGAAACTATAAAAGTACTAAAGGAAAATGTAAGGAAAAAGCTTCATGACATTGGCCTGGGCAGTTATTTGTTTGATATTTGTTTGATATGATCTCAAAAGCATAGGCAATAAAAGTAAAAATAGACAAAAGGGATTGCATCACACTAAAAAGATTCTACACAGCAAAGGAAAACAATAGAGTGAAGAGGCAACCCACAGCTTGGGAGAAAATCTCTGTAAATTATACACTCGATAAGGAACTAATCTCCAAAATGTAGAAGGAACTGAAGTTACTCAATAACAACCAATAATCTTATTAAAAAATGGGCAAAGGACTTGAAGAGACATTTCTCAAAAGACATAAAAATGGCCAACAGACACAGGTTCAGCATCCCTAATATGAACATCTGAAATCTGAAATGTCCCCAAATCTCAAACTTTTTGAACACTGACATGACACTCAGAGGAAATGCTCATGGGAGCATTTTGGATTTCAGCTTTTCAGATTAGAAATGCTCAAGGGGTACATATTCTGCACATATTCCAAAATCCAAAAAAATCAGAAATCTGAAATACTTCTGGTCCCATTTTTTTGGATAAGGGATATTCAACCTGCATATGAAAAAATGCTCAACATTTCTAATCATCAGAGAATTGCAAATGAAAACCACAATGAGCTATATCACCTCACACCTATTAGATTGGCTACTATCAAAAAGAGAAATACATCTTTAATGTTGGCATTTCAGGCACTATGATAACTGACAAATACTTTTAAGCACAGGAACCATTTTAAAGGATCTCTCAATACTTTCTCTATTTTTTTACGTTCAATTTTTTTTTTAAAATAAATCAAAGCAATCCACTTTAATAAGCTATATAGTTCTACAAGGCTTCAAAGGAAACACTGCAGTTTTCTGTCTACTCCTCCTCATTTATAATTCCTGCTCCCAGAGCTCTTTCCGTAGTTTCTTCTGGTATTTATCTCTATATTTCTAAATAACATAATCAGATCATTACTTCTTGATTTTTTTTTTTTTGAGACAGAGTCTTGCTCTGTCGCCCAGGGTAGAGTACAGTGGCGTGATCTTGGCTCACTGCACCCTCTGCCTCTCGGGTTCAAGCAATTCTCCTGCCTCAGCCTCCCGAGTAGCTGGGATTACAGGCACCCACGACCACACCCGGCTAATTTTTGTATTTTTATTAGAGATGGGGTTTCACCATGTTGGCCAGACTGGTCTCGAACACCTGACCTCAGGTGATCCACCTGCCTCAGCCTCCCAGAGTGCTGGGATTACAGGCGTGAGCCACCGCACCCCGCCAATTTGTGATTTTTAAATTTTAAATGTTACTTACTGTATTCTTTTTCTCTTTTTTTAGAGATGGGGTCTTATCTGCACTCTGTCACCCAGGCTGGAGTGCAGTGGCGTGATGATAGCTCACCGCAGCCTTGAACTCTTGGGCTCAAGCAATCTTCCTGCCTCAGCCTCCTGAGTTGCTGGAACTACAGGTGTGTGCCCCCATGTCCAGTTCCTTTGCTTTTTGTTGTATTTTCTGAGTGGTGTCTTCAATTGTACTTTCCAATCTGATACCGAATTTTAGTTTATAAGAGCCTTTTTTGAGGTATGTGTTTCTGAATGTTCCTTTTATAGAACCCTGTTCTATTAATATTTTCATTTTTCTCTGAGAACATTAGTCCCACTCCCTGACTTCCTTCAGCTTCCTGGACTGTGTTTCCTACAATTCTTTCTTGTTGTTTCTTTGGGGCTCTCTCATGGCAGAGGCTTTCCTTAAATGTTTGTTTGTGCCTCCAATCCTTGGCTGTATATATTCATGTTTTAAGAGTAAGGCATAAAAGGCAAACTGTGAACTTTGCATCCAAAAGCAGCTCTTGCTAGGGTATAAGCTTCATTATAGGACTACAGTGCAAAAATCTGGTCCTTTTGCTACGGGACACTCAAATATTGGTACGTGTTAATTTTTATCTTGGGCAAGTTAGCTTCCCCAGAGAGAAATCCTCTCTGCCACTATTCTTGAAGTTGAGTGGATGAAAAGGGCCAGTGATCTCACTTTGCACTAAATCTGTTTTCAGTATGGCGTTAGCTGGCTAGAGTCTCTAAACTTTCCGGAGTAAACCTCCAATCTACTACCTGAGTTGAGGAGGGTAGTAAATGACCATGTGAAGTTGGGGAAAGGGGAAGTGATCTAGGGGACAAACAGCTTCTTTCGCTCACTCCTTCTATTTTCAGAACCACTCTATACTACTGCTCTCTGAGTGATGTGGTGACTCTATACTACTGCTCTCTGAGTGATGTGGTAGAAGCCTCTACCTAGTGCAGGCTTCTAAGCTATTTTCACATTATCTCCAGAGTATCTTTTAAAAATACAGATCTACTCTCTCTGTATTATTTGCTACTTGCTAACCATGCTTTGCACTCTCTCATCTCTTTTCCCTCTGCCTGGAAAGTCCTTTGCTTTTTTTAAGGACCAACTCCCGTATCACTTCCTCTGAATCTTCTCAGCTAGGGCAGAACTAAGCACACCTGCACCCTGTTCTCTCCCATAACACATTTATAGTCTAGCTTGTGAGGTAAGCATAGAATTCCTAAGCCTTTGCTTGGTTCTGCTCAATAAACTGGTTTCTTTCTTGGTTTTCTGCAGTGTAGGCACTTTTGAGCTTTTTTCAATATGCGAACCTTCCTAGTTTTGGCTTCTGAAGACTGCTGTGATCTCTTTCTCCTTAAGGTTTTGTGCCTTCTCAAAGACCTATACAAGATCTTTTAGAGGCACATTTTAGAGGGATTTCAGTGGCAAGGAGATGGAGAAGCAGAGAAACATGCATCAGTGTTCCCCAAATGCTCTTCTTTAAAGTCTGCTTTAATTTTGCTGTTTATCACCCACCTACTGTAATTCTCTTTCTCTGTTTTCTCCTTATTTACTTACTACACTCTTTAGTCTCCTTTAGTGGCCTCTCTTAATCTGTGTCACCTAAATATATCTATTTGCAAGATGTAGTTCATGGCTGGGCACAGTGACTCATGCCTGTAATCCCAACACTTTGGAAGGCTGAGGTGGGAGGATTGCTTGAGCCTAGGAGTTCGAGACCAGCCTGGACAATATAGGGAGACCCTCTCTCTACAAAACAGAAACAAAAACAAAAACTATCTGGGCATGGTGGCACATGCCAGTGGTCCCAGCTACTTCGGAGGCTGAGGTGGGAGGATCGCTTGGGCCCAGAGGTCGAGGCTGCAGTGAGCTGTCATCACAATACCGTACTCCAGCTTGAGTGATAGACTGAGACCTTGTCTCCACAACAAAAGAAAAAAAAAAAAAGAAAAGATGTAGTTCTTGGCCCTCTTTTCCCCTCTCACTCCCCACATTCTCTTATGCATTCTCAGCATTTAAACAATTATCAGAAATAAGGCTTCAGTTCAAAGGCTGATAAATAGGGATGTGAATCCCACAACTTGGGCTACTCCCCCTGCCCCCTCCCCAGTTTATTTTACTTCCTAACCCAGTCTAGATTCCTCAATCTGCATCTCTAGCTCTGTCTTTATTCCTGAGCAATAAGCCTAAACGTCCAACTTCTTGTTTAACACTACGAAAACTTTTAGATTGATATGCCCAATATCTATCTCATTTTCTTCCTACCCAAACCTGAAACTTGGTATTTTTCTTATAGTCATTTCCATATATTCAGTTATAAAAACCAGAAATCTAATAGTAATATGTATTTTCTCTCTCCCCTTTATACTAATCAGTTGTCAAGTATTGATTAATTCTACCTCTAAAATGTCTTTGCATTGTCCTCATCCTGATTCTACCTAGTGCAGGCTTCTGAGCTATTTTCACATTATCTCCAGAGTATCTTTTAAAAATACAGATCTACTCTCTCTGTATTATTTGCTACTTGCTAACCATGCTTTGCACTCTCTCACCTCTTTTCCCTCTGCCTGGAAAGTCCTTTGCTTTTTTAAGGACCAACTCCCGTACCACTTCCTCTGAATCTTCTCAGCTAGGGCAGAACTAAGCATACCTGCACCCTGTTCTCTCCCATAACACATTTACAGTCCAGCTTGTGAGGTAAGCATATAAGCTTCTGTTCTGCTCCACAGCCAGCTCCCTTGAGATAAGCACCAGGTCTCTGTATCCCACCACAGAGTGCCGTATCTTGTGCAATGAAGCTGAAACCACTTGCAACTGAGGCACTAACAACATACCTTGGGTTTTCTTAAGTTGTAGTATCCTTTATTTGTTACTTGAACTTTCCATCTAAAAAACAGAAGTTAAAAAAAACAGCACGTTTTACAATAAACCCCATACTCTGGATGTTTGGATAAATGAGGGTTTTCTATTAAAATACCATCTACAAAAGTAACCACACGTATATGAGCATGCAAATTTAGGGATAAGTACTCAGTGTAACTTATTACTTCGGCTCTTACATAATAAAACAAAACACCAGTATCTGTGTAGGTACAACTAGTATAGTCTTTCACATTTAAATTACATGGCACATTTCATCTACACAAGTCTTCACTTGTTAACCAATTATGGCTAAATCTCAAGAAATCTACTTTTTGGGGAAACGTAACTTACCGATCTAGTTTAATTCCATCTGCTTCCATTACATTTCGCAAAACCTGCGCAACTGGAATTTCTCCAGCATAACCTGTACCCCAACCCAATGTATTGGATAGATCGTTGCCTGTTCCCAGAGGCAAAACTGCAACTTGTGGAATGTACTTTTCTTGTCCCTAGAATATGGAAGATATGTTTTAGATTTTTCTCTCAGACTATTTGCTGGGTAATAATATTTTGTAAAATTTAATAAGACCAAAACAGTAAGGATACAAATATAACAACTGTATGTTGTTTTGCTAAAGCTTGTGCTAATTGCTTAATCAAAACATCTCATTTTTAACTATTTGAAGCTGGCAATGTCTAATATTCATCTGCATAATAAAAAATATAAAGCAAAAATATTCTATATTAGGTTGGGCATAGTGGCTCACCCATGTAATCCCAGCACTTTGGGAGGCCAAGGTGGGAGGATCGCTTGAGCCCAGGAGTTTGACAGCAGCCCAGGCAACATGGTGAAACCCTGTCTCTACAAAAAATACAAAAATTAGCCAGGCATGGTAGCGCACACCTATAGTCTCAGCAACTTTGTAGGCTGAGGTGGGAGGATGGCTTGAACCTGAGAAATGGAGGTTGCAGTTAGCTGTGTCTGCGCCGCTGCACTCCAGCCTGGGTGACAGTGCGAGACTGTATCTCAAGAAAAAACAACAACAACAACAAAACAACAACAAAACCCATATATATATATATATGTATAGTATATTTATCTTAGAAGTCCTTCTGTAGTAGTTCTTAAAGACTAATACCTTAATCTTCATGTCATCAACTGCATCCAGGACCCACCCTACAGTCCCATCCCCTCCACAAACAAGTACTCGAGCTGAATAATATGGGAGAAGAGTACAGAGTTGTAGGGCTTTGATAGGAGGAGTTTTAGTTACATCAAAAACCTAGAAACAAAAGAAAAAGACAAATTATTTTTATCCAACATTTTCCTTCATCTGTAATGATGATTTCCCTCTAGATGAGTAGAGATACAGTTAAATAACATTACTGGCTACTATGTATTTAACAATATGCCAGGCACCCTGCCAGACTCTTTATATTCATTGTAGCTCATCCCCACACTGACTTTACAAAGCAAGAGTTAGCCTCATTCTATTGGGCTGGAAACTGAGGTGCAGGAAGGTTAAATCACTTGCCTGTGATTGTCCAGGTAATTAAGTGCTGAAATACAAGGCTAGGTGTGGTAACTCATGCCTATAATCCCAGCACTTTGGGAGGCCAAGGCGGGTGGATCACTTGACGTCAGGAGTTCGAGACCAGCCTGGCCAACATGGTGAAATCCTGTCTTTACTAAAAATACAAAAATTAGCCAGTGTGGTGTTGTGTGCTTGTGATCCTAGCTACTCGGGAGGCTGAGGTAGGAGAATCACTTGAACCTGGGAGGCAGAGGTTACAGTGAGCCAAGATCATGCCCCTGCACTCCAGCTTCGGCAACAAAGCAAGACTCTGTCTCAAAAAAAAAAAAAAGTTATAGTTTATCTACTATACCACATTGCCTCCTTCTTGTTCACATAAACCACAATGTGCTAAGTTCACCTTTAATTAGTGTTTCATATCTTATACTGGCTTAAAAAAAAATCACCAGTGCAACTTAGCACAAATTTCTGGAAAGCAATTTTGCAATACATAGAAAATGACATAAAAATGCAAGTAACTTTGATTATCCATAATTCTGTCAACGACCCTAGAAAAATATTTCGAAAGACAAAAATGCCTAAAAATATGTATAAAAATATTCACTGTGGCATTATTTATAGTACAATCATAGAGACAGTGTTACCTTTCAACAGTAGAGACTGGATAAATAATGCTATTTCCATTCAATTATTTTAGTCATTAAATATGTAACTATGAGGACTATGTTGAAACAAGGAAAAATATTTATACCATTAAAATTAAAAAAATCAGAATGCAAATTTGTATCTAGATTATTGTTATAGTACTGTTAATATGTAAAGTAAATGCATAGATAATTAATGGAAAGAACAAGAAAAAAGAGAACTGATGTATTTGTATGGAGAAATTGCAAATGATTTTCTCTGTATTTTTTATAATTTTCTTAAACTGTATAATATTGAAAGTGTAAAAAATACAAATTGGAAGGACAAAGTTATTGCACTTCTAATTGCTACACAATGGGTTGTCTTTAAAATTTTTTTGTATTTTTTTGTTTTTTGGTTAATTTTTCAAAGTAAAATTATATTCAATTTTAACGATCCCTTTTATTTTTAAAACTGAGGTATAATTTACATATAAGATTCACCCATTTGAAGTGAACAAGTCAATAATTTTTATTAAGTTCACTGAATTGCACAACCACCACCATCATCCAGTTTAGAACATTTTTGTTGCTTCAATAAGATCCCTCAATGTCCATTCGCAATCACTCCCCATTTCCAGCCCTAGAACCAATAATCTATTCTCTACCTCTACAGACTTGCCTTTTCTAGACAAGTCACATAAGTGGAGTCATACAATATAAGGTCCCTTGTATCTGCCTTCTTTCACTTAGTATGTTTTTGAGGTTCATTTATTGTAATATATACGTATCAGTAGTTTGTTCCTTTTTGTCATTTCATGGTATTCCATTGTAGGGCTACATCACATTTTGTTTATCAACTCATCAGCTGATGAACAGCTGGGCTGTTTATGCTTTTCAGCTATCATGAATAATGCTGCTGTGAACATTTTCATGCAAATGTTTGTGAGAAATATGTTTTCACTTCCCTTGGGTAGATTCCTAGTAGAGGACTTGCTAGAAGATATAATAAATTTATATTTATCTTTTTAAGAAACTGCCAAGATGTCTTCTAAAGAGGTTGTACCATTTTATATTCCCACAAGAGTGCCTGTTTATCCACATATTTAAATGGCTGATCTTTTTGTAATTATTATTCTTTCCTATGATCAGGTGATTAGTGACTTGAAGCATTAATAATCATTGCATTTTGGGGAAAATGAAAACATTAATATAAAAAGTTTTTTTCTTTAGTTACCTGGACTGGATTCAACAAGATCCTAAATTCTCCCAACAGTCCTTCTCCCATATTAGTTCCACTACGAGAGTTGGCCAGGATTATTAATGGGGTCCACTGCTTTCCAAGCTTAGAGGCTAGCTAAAAAAAATTGCCATGAGTGAAAAGGTTTAGTATCTTAAAGATGAAAAGCACATTTTCCATGCCTTGAGAACAATGGTGCTATAATTTGCTGAAATAAAAACTATACTAGTTCTCTCAATTCAATATAAAAATCAAAGAATTCTAAGAATGGAAGGGAACCTCAGAAATTAACTAATTTAAGCTCCCATTCAATGTTTAATTCTCTTCTACATTATTCTAGATAAGTCATCCAGCATATGCTCGCACACTCACATAAGGAACTCACTAGTAATGCAGCCCATTACACTGCTACATCAAATTATTAGAAAGTTTGGACTTAAACTGAGTTGAAAATCTGTCTTTCTATAACTTTCAACCATTCACAGAATAGACACTGATTTTTTTCTCTGACCTTTCACCTTGATTTTCCTTTACTGGATGTATTCTGGTGTGTTTTGCAAGGTTTTATTTCTTTTTTTAAAATGGGGTACTCAGATTAAAAAATCTGGACTTCTAATAGCTCAAAGTCAAATGAAATTAATACTTTTCAAAATGTAACCATTTCTTCTTCCCCTCTCCTTGTAGATGTAACCATTAATGAAGTTATTCTATAGTTTTACTTAGAGATTCTTCTCTCTTGTGATCTCAGGTTGAACTCAGATAAATAAGAGATTGTACATTTAAAAAAACTGTCAAAACAATATTGTTTGAAAAATTTAAAATGTCCCTTCCCTTGCAGGAATATTGACAAAGGTGGCATGTAAGTCATAAAATCTTAATTTGAAAAAGGTACAATTTTAAAATAAAATAGTTCAATTATTTTGGTATATCCAATTAGAAAATAAATCCATAAATTTTTATGATGTTTCCTTAAGAGCTACATAAAGACTGAGAGATTCAATAAGTTACATCAATTTCATACACATATCTACATCTATAAACTGTTAACAGGTTTAGTGTTCACCATTATTTGTGGGAGCATTTAATGTGCAACATAAACTTATCTCTAGGGACCCTGTATAAAGTTCAAAATAGAAAAATAGTTTTAGAAAAAGGTGTGAGGAAAATCTATTTTCTTTTCACTGACAATAATCATGAATCCCAAAACTGACTGTTCATCAGAATCTTCTGAGGACCTTAAAAAAAAAGATGAATTCCTGGACTTACCCTATACCTACTAAATCAAATATGGCAATGAAGGTACTACTCAGAAATCTGTATTTTTAAAAAGCTCCCTAAATCATTCAGATGCAGGCAATGATTTGGAAACCACTAATATAACATTTCCAATTTCCTTTTAGACATGAAAGAACTCAAGAGCCAAAATTTTTGACCCATCTCTAGGAACTAGGTAGGATTTTATGGCTTACCATAATAGCATTTTATTTCTCTCCTTGGTCTTGATCTGTTATTTAAGTTTATTTTATTCCTGGCACCAATTCTTCTTACATACTGTCTTAACTATCTCAAACAATGAGTTAAGCAGCTTTTTAAAAATCAATCATATTAGAGAAATAAACTCTAATTACCACTTCATAATCTGTTTTTTTGTCTTTACGCATCTGATTAATGGATGTTAAATAACTTGGTGGAATGATTAGGTTTTTGAATTCTCCAAAATCACATTTTTCATTCTTTAAACTATTTTTCATGCACTCATCATGTACTGTTTTCTGGCACCAAATGCACCTGAGGGAAGGAAGAAACAAGCATTAACTAATTTTAAACCATAATCTCAATGATAACCCACAAAACAATCATTTTTGTTAAAAAATAAAACATAATTTTATCACTACTTACCATAACATTTGGCAAATAAAATATATGCACTATCTGCACAGTGAAATGGAGCAATAAGGTTTGAACATATTTGGCAGTTTAATCTAACAGCACTTTTTTTTTTTTTTTTTGAGACAGGGTCTCACTCTGTCCACCAGACTGGAGTGCAGTGGCATGATCTCAGCTCACCGCAACCTCTGCCTCCCAGGATCAAGTGATTCTTCTGCCTAGTCTCCCAAGTAGCTGGGATTACAAGTTCGTGCTACTACCGCCTGGGTAATTTTTATATTCTTAGTAGAGATGGGGTTTCACTACGTTGACCAGGCTGGTCTTGACCTCCAGACCTCAAATGATCCACCCACCTCGGCCTCCCATAAGTGCTGGGATTGCTGGAGTGAGCCACTGTGCCCCGCCTAACAGCATTTCTTAAAATGTGGGCCCCAAGATCCATTCAGGGCATCTGTGAGGTTAAAATTTTAATAATAACACTAAAGAGTTATTTCACCCTCAACCTCTCAAAAGCGTACAGTGGAATTTTCCAGAAGCTTTATGACATGTGCTATGACAATAGAAGCAAATATGATACTCTAGCTGAATAATAAGTGAAAGAAATGTGCAAAAATTTAAAACAATGTAACTCTCCTCACTAAATTTTCATAAAAACCATTTGTAACTATTATTTTAAAAATATTTAAAAAATTTATCAGTTTTAATTTATGACATGGTAAATATCAATAGATATGATCCACATAAACAAAAGCTGATCTAAAATGATAGTTTTATATATATTTGTGCTTTGGCTGAAATGTAGGTTCATGAGGCCTAAAGTCCTTGCTGTTTAAATGCCCCACTGACATGGACCCTTGAAGAGTTCCTGAGGGTCCAGCTTGAAAATCTCTTAACCTGTAAATGTAAGTACAACCGTGCATTTCTTTTTGTCAGTTAATACGAAAATAATTCATATGCTTGCTTTTGAAATAGACGTAAGAACATGTGCATTCAGATTTGCAACTATGTTTGGACCCAATTGGTAAAACAAGCAGAGAACAGAGCTGGTAAAGGTCCTGGGTTTCTATTATTAATTTGCTAAGTATTTAATCCACTCACAGATAAGGCAGATCTGACTGAAGAGATAAAGCAGGCCACCAGAAAAGAATGGTTATAATTAAATGAATATAAAAAAGAAAAGAGGATAAACATTCTTTCACCCAGAGGTCCTCTGGTGACCTTCTATTTTAAGCTGTTTTTTCCTTTTGGATATTCAGATTTGTCAAGTACTTAGTGCTGTATACTCGAGTCCTATTTACTGCTAAAAGCAAGAGTTCTCTGCATAATCTGTTACAGAGAAAACTGAAATAATTTGCATAATCACATTTGTTAATTTTAAACTCAACTTGAGAAACTATAATAGACTGGTTATGTGGCTGAAGTATAATATCTTTATTTATTGGTCTACCATAACTTTAAAATAGTATATCACCATCAAAAGCAATCAGAAAGGATACCCACTGAATTATTTCATAATGGTTTCCTCTGGGAAGAAAAGTAGGACTGAGGAATGGGAAGAATATTAAGTTTTTAGGCTATGTTTTTTTTGTATGTATTCCTTGAGATCCTAAAAACCAGAATATAAACATGAACTACTTGTATAAATTTTAAAAATTATTTTAAATACTAGCTTATAAAAATTTAAAAATACAAAAAGGCATAAAATAAAAATCATCCAGAGAGTCACTCTTAACTTTTTGACTTATTTATTCTCAGTTTTATAGTGTATACGTTTGTTTTTCAGCTTAGAAGTATGATGTATATATATCTGGATAATGCTTTTCTACATTGTATCATAAACTTTTTTGTATATCAATTTTTTTAAAACATGGTTTGTAAAGAATGTATATTATTACATCATGTCAATATCGTATAATTTATCTGACCCTGTCCCAAAAAACAAGAAAAATGAACAAAAATTAGCTTGGCGTGGTAACGTGTGCCTGTAGTCCCAGCTCTAGTGAGGCTGAGGTGGGAGGATCACTTGAACCCGGGAAAGGGTGCTGCTGCACTCCAGCCTGGGCATCAGAGTGAGATTTCATCTCAAAAAACAAAACAAAACAAAACAAAAAAAACCTGACCCCTTTTCTGTTTTTTAAAAAAGACATTTAGTTTATTTTTGAAAATATAAATAACATGGGTAAATGAATGAGATTATTTCTTTGCAATCTCAGAAGTTACTGAATCAAAGGGCATGCATTTTCCCAAGGTTCTGGATGTTTGTCCAATATGCTTGTTACGAGTGCATGAAAGTGCCCATCATAACTAACACTTATTAATACCGCTCATTAGTACTTAATTTTTCTTTGATAATTTGATAGAAAAAGGTATCCTATTGTTTTAATCTGGAAGTCTGATTAGTAGGTAAAACTGAGTTTTTCAGCCCCCTTTTGTGAATTCAGTCATGTTCCATATTCATCTTTCACTAGGTTTTAATAATTGCATGTAATTTTATTTAACTAGAATATCAACCTTTTTTCTGGCATATTTATTGCAAACATGCTTCAGTGTTCTTTAAAATTGTCTTTTTAATCTACTTAAGTTTTTAAAAATATATATACAGATATGTATTTCCGTTTGTAGTTGGCTTAAATGCTGTTTCATTTAAAAAAAATTTTTTTTTTTTTTTGAGACAGAGTATCACTCTGTCGCCTAGGCTTGGAGTGCAGTGGTGCAATCTCGGCTCACTGCAACCTCCACATACTGGGTTCAAGTGATTCTCCTGCCTCAGCCTCCTGAGCAGCTGGGACTACAGGTGCATGCTACCACGCCCAGCTAATTTTTGTATTTTTAGTAGAGACGGGGTTTCACCATATCGGTCAGGCTGGTCTCAAAAACTCCCGACCTCATCAGTCTGCCTCGGCCTCCCAAAGTGCTGGGATTACAGGTGTGAGCCACCGAGTCTGGCCAAAAATTTTTTTTTAAGAGACAGTGTCTCACTATGTTGCTCACACTGGCCTGAACTCCTGGGCTCAAGTGATCCTGCCTCAGTCTCCTGAGTAGCTAGGCTACAGGCACCTAATTAAATGCTGTTATGCTTTGAAGTCTTTTACCATCTCCTAGATATTCACCTATAGTTATTCCCCCCCCTCCCAGTTCAGTTGTCATAGTTACATCTTTAATTCAGTGCTTCTTAACCTTCTGGGGCTATAGATTCCATTCAGAATCTCATGGAAGTGTCGGGCTTTTCCATCCTCTGTATTGGCTGGACGCAGTGGGGCATGCGTATAATCCCAGGATTTGGGAGGCCAGGCGGGCGGATCACCTGAGGTCAGAAGTTTGAGACCAGCCTGAGTAACATGGTGAAACCCTGTCTCTCCTGAAAATATAAAAAATAATTGGCCAGGTGTGGTGGTGCATGCCTGTAATCCCAGCTACTCGGGAGGCTGAGGCGGGTGAATCACTTGAGCCTGGGAGGTAGAGGTAGCAGTGAGCCGAGATCATGTCACTGCACTGCAACCTGAGCGACAGAGTGAGACTGTCTCAAAAAACAACAACAACAACAACAACAACAAAACAAACTACTGCATTAATCTACCCATAATAAATCTGGCGTATTATGAAGAGTTAACCTTCTCCCCTCCCCCAAGAGCACTTGTCCTAACACGATTCATAAAACCATCTTTTCTACCCCCAATAATTTGTGACAGAACACTTATCATTTATTAAATTCTCATAAATTTCAGAAAAGATTATTATTATTACTATTATTTTTTGAGATGGAGTTTCGCTCTTGTTGCCCAGACTGGAGTGCAATGGCGCGATCTCGGCTCACAGCAACCTCCGCCTCCTGGGTTCAAGCAATTCTCCTGCCTCAGCCTCCCGAGTAGCTGGGATTACAGGCATGCGCCACCACACTCGGCTAATTTTGTACTTTTAGTAGAGATGGGGTTTCTCCATATTGGTCAGGCTGGTCTCGAACTCTGCCCGCCTTGGCCTCCCAAAGTGCTGGGATTACAGGCATGAGCCACTGCGCTCAGCCCAGAAAAGATTATTTTAACCAAGATAATAGCTATTATGAGCCTTTGCTCTATAAAGGTACAGCTAAAATGCTTACTAGGGCCAGGCATGGTGGCTTACGCCTGCAATCCCAGCACTTTGGGAGGCCAAGATGCGAGGATTGCTTGAGCCCAGGAATTTGAGACCAGCCTGGGCAATATGGTGATACTCCTATCTCTACAAAAAAGAAAAAAAAAATATCAGGCATGGTGGTGCATGTCTGTAGTCCCAGCTACTTGGAAGGCTGAGGTGGGAGGATTGCTTGAACCTGGGAGGCTAAGGCTGCAGTAAGCCATAATCTTGCCACCGTCTTCCAGCCTAGGCAATATAGAGTAAGACCCTGTCTCAAAAAACAAAATAAAATAAAATGCTTACTAATTACTCAGTATTACATTCTTCTTTAGAAATACCATATTCAAACCTGAATCCTATTGTCTTTACCTATGTTGTAATTGGTATTTAACAACCTAGATTTCAAACTCACTGGGAAGATAAGACATTACTAAAATGTCTTGGTATTTCAGCTTTAGCATCATGTCATTGGGTAACAGCTTATCATCTTTTTTCTTTTTATTTTGAAAAATTCCAAACTTTCAGAGAAGTCAAAAGGATAGCAAAATGAATACCCTAAGCCCACCCTTCACGCTGATTCTTAATGACATTTTCTCCCACAATATTCTCTTTCCATATAAATTCATATTTTTTTGATCATTTGAAAGTAAACTGCAGACAGTATGAGATCTCACCCTTCAATATTTTAGCAAATATATTCTAAAAGCAAGAATAGTTTACTTGCTTTTTAAAATATTTTACTTAAAAATATTTTTTACAGGTATGCCTACCACCTACATTCTACCATTAACATCTTACTGTAATTGCTTTGTCACATTTCTATCCATTAATTCATCTTATTTTTAGTACATTTCCAAGTAAACTGAAGACATCAGAATACTTCCTGAATACATCAGCAAATAGGCTTATCACTACCTAGAATTCATGATGTTTTTTCCTTTTCATGTAAAATTTACATACAATGAAATGTACGTATATACTTCCTGAGTTTTGATAAATGAACATACGTAACTAAAACCCTTATCAAGATATAGAACATTACTCTAGAAAGTTCCTTCATATGAAAATATGGAATGCCTCATGAATTTATATGCCGTTCTTGTGCAGTAGTATTTATAGAAAAAAAAAAGGTTTAACAAGGCTTGTTTTCTCTAAAAAATTACCTGGTCACAATAGCTCTCTTTTTTAGTGTGCTGAAGGAGGCAGCTGAATTATACATAAAGTTGAGATGGTCATTTATAAGATTCACTAGAACAGGGTTCTGCAAACTGCAAATATGTCTGCCATCTGATTTTGTGAATGAAGTTTTACTGGAACACAGGTAAGCTCATTCATTTATGTATTGTCCATGGCTGGTTTTGCACTGCAACTATGGCAGAGTTAAGTAATTATGACAGACGAAATGGTTGGGAAAGCCGAAAATTCTTTTGGCTCTTTACAGTAAGTTTGCCCACCTCTGCTCTAGAAGATGATTTGGTATCTTTCACTGTTTCAGATAATTAATGAAATGAATAAACACACACCAATAGAATATAGAAACAAAATTTATGATCAAAGCTGAGACTAGTTACACTGAGGCCAATCTAACTGCCTTCTGAGAGTCAGCAGCTTTGTTTTACTAATCACAGTAATTGTGTGTGAGGCGTGGGGTAGATGTAATGAATAAAAAGTCCAATAAATTAAAAAGCACTTTAAGTTCTTTTTCTCTTAATGAGATAGAACACTACAAGAAACAAAGGTTCATTTAATAAATATATTGAATATGTAAAAATATAACCTAATTCCCTATTTTAGTCAGAGGAGAGATAAGAAGAAGAAAAAGAAGATGTAGTGGTTGGGGGTAGAAACAGGAGCACACAAAAAGAAAAAATCTACAGACAAAGTAGACTCTAGCAGTGTCTAGAACAAAAATAGATGCTCAATAAGTATAATGATCGAATGAGTATAAATTAAAGGGCCTTTCTCACTTATTCTGCAGGCTTTAAACTCAGTCATCATCTCTCATTAGTGTCCTTTGAAATGTAACTTGTCTGCAGAGTTCACTCACTTCCCTAAGAATGAGATGCAGACAGGGAAGGAGCTCTCCTCAGGGCTAGATAAAATCCAGAGGACTGTCTGGTCTGTGTTTAAAGGTTCTAAGTAGCTATTTATTTTGTTTCTCCTTCCAAAATATCTCATTCCTACAGAAGGTCACAGGAGACTGTAATCCTGTATACAATTATTGGCCAACATAAATCAGTTCAGAACACTGTAGAATATGTACAACTTCAGGACACTGTGGTCTCTTCTCTTGGGAATAATAAACATCTCCTAAATTACACAGAGACAATTTCTATCATGGGGTAAGGGGTTACTCTGTAAAAATGCACTAATGAAGAAAAGAAGATTTATTATCACACAGATTCAGTGTGCTCAATGGGAGGATACAAAATTAAGAGACGGAGGTGCATGTTTTTAAAGATATGTAAATATAGCAGTGGTTCTCCATCTTTAGAAGGACCTGTAGGGCCTGTTAAAACCAAGACTGCTGATGTCCAGCCCAAGTTTCTGATTTAGTAGGTCTGGGGTTGGGCTAGGGTTGCCAGAAAAAAAAAACAAAAAAACGGCAATGCCTAGTTGAATTTGAATTTCAGAGAAACTTTTTATGTTCCAAATTCTGCAATATTTTATTTTTATCTGCTAAATCTAGCAACCCTAGAATTTGCATTTCTAACAGATTTTGAAGAGATGCTGATGCTGCTGGTCTAGGGACCTTACTTTGAGAACCACTGAGATATAGGATATTACGTTATCACCAAAAAGGAAAAACTGGGGGAGGAGGGAAGCTGAGTAGATCAGGTAAGAGTTCCTGAAGGAAAGGACAAGGACATGGGATGGGTCTTTAAGGGTGCCTAGAAGCTAGCCAGAAGAATACTGAGAGGAAAGCTTTGAGCAAAGGGGCAGAAATGTCAGAAAATGCCTGACGTTTTAAGGAAATTACAAGAAGCTTAGTGTTGCTGGTGCATAAAGTTTAATGCAGGTGGTGGTAGATAAAACTAAAAGGACAGAGGCCAGAAAGTACTAGGACCTTATGTACCCTGTGAAAAAGCACTTAGGGGTTTACACTGTAAAACAGTCAGCTTACCCGATGGGGAGCAATTTAAAGGATTTTAAGCAGAGCAGGGACTTGATCAGATTTGCATTTTTAGAAAGATCATTTGGGTGGAGGATCAGAAGCATGATTATGTGTTCAAGAGTATTTGAAATACGGTTATTTATGGAAACCATTTTTAATATAATTCTGCACAGACACAGACTGCTGGAGGCTACACCAGAGAAGGGAAGGAAATAGAACAATACTCAATTCATTATGAAATTTATTTAAAGTCCCTGCTAACTTGGCTCTCACTGATGCCAGAAGGACAGCATTTAATTTTTAAAGATACCAAATAAAAATGCATGGTTACAAAACTTTGTAGTTGTCTAGAATACATTATTTTGAACATTTATTCTTAAGCCTCTTTGATAATGTGTAAAATTATTTAAAATAAGACTTAAAAACAGGTATTGACATTATAATAGCGTTCATGCTAATGAAAGAATTTCTGCAAAAAAAATTAAAAAAATTAAAAAGCAGCTTCCTATTTACTGCCTATTTCATTTCTTAAGCATGTTTATGCGCCTTTCTACTTGTCAGAAATAAAACCCATTACAATGAAGATGTCCAGACTTAAGGCTCAAAGGAGGCTAAGTGTTAGTCCAGAGCTGGAAATCCTGGAGGCCAGTCCTATTTTACCAGAGTGGACCTAACGGGCTTTAATTTTCTCAACTGTGAACTGAGTTAGAATAGATCATTTGCAAAGCAGCATTCTCCTTTACCAATTTCCAACATCAGCAAAGGACATCTTCACCTATTTTCAAACAATATTTAAGGACAAAAATGTGTTGTCCAGTGTGTATATAAAAGACATTAAAATATTCTTGGCTTAATCAAGGTCACTTATCTAAGATTCTACATGTCCTGAAAGACCAAGCGTCAAAAGGAATATTCCTTTCAGTGTTCTTTTTGAGTATATTTCGCTATGGTACCAACAGCTATATTAGCAAAAGACATAAAAGTGCTGCCTTGGAATGACACTTGTTTTCACTGCACATTCATAGTACAAAACCTGTGACCCATCAGTTTTGCGGCTGAAGGGAAAAGTTAATTTGTCCATATTTCATTTTTCCTTATTTAAAATAAGGAGATAATCGATAGGAACAAAAGCTAAAATATACAGTGGCCATGAAGCAGGCACCACTTAGAAACCTCTGTATTAACGTTAGGAGCCAAGTTTTATTACCCAAAAGGGCAGGCTGGCTGAGGAGTGGAGGCTGGATGCATCGTCTCAGCAAATGACTACTGCAAAGCTGCCACGCTTGCACAAACTCAGGGATGTTTATTTATTAGCTTGTTTCCTCAAAATGAGTTTAGGTCATCAGCAGAGATTAAAGCAGGCCTCTACACCACTCTATGAAATCCTGATTCCCACGGCGCATTCTGGGACAGTGAGTGTCCACGAAGACCATACCTGTAATCGCAAAGCTTGGGTTGACAGCCACACTGCTGCTTGCAAACCATACAGTAACTGCACAGGGGCACGTTGCCCCGGATCCAGTGGTGGGGCATGGCGTCCAGGACCTTGGTGTCATTCTTGAGCATAATCTCCTTGCACTGGAAGCGCTTGTCGGCCTTCCTGAGGCAGCCCTCGTCCACGCGGAGCCCGCAGCAGTCGCAGAAGGCGCCCTGCAGAATGTGCTGCGCGCACACGCAGCAGTAGGTGGGCTGGCTGAACAGGTCCGTGTCGCGCCACCCGTGCTTGCTCTTGCGGAAGATGTCCCTGCGGTGCAGCTGCCGGCGCGACCGCTGGAGGCTACACCAGAAGGTGATGAACACCGGCAGCAGGACCGAGCACAGCGTCCACAAGATCAGGTGCCCGTCCGCAAACAGGCCCTCGGAGGGCGAGCCCGGCGCCGGCCGCCTCTCCGCTTCCATCTTCTCCAAGGACGATACCTAACCAGAAAAGAAACAGGCGGTGCACCCCGAGCTCGCCATCCCTTCCCCGCCCCCTTCCTGCCTTTCCGGGGCCAAACCGGGCGCCCTCAGTGAAGGTGGCTCCGCTCTCCCGAGGGCGGGACTGCGCCTCGTCCCCCCGTCTCCCGGGACCTGCCGCGCCGAGAAGGCGACGTCCAGCCATCACGCTCCAATCCCCACTCCCCAACCCGCCCCACCTCGGGAGCGCGTCCAGGAGCCCAAGGCGGCTGCTGCTGCCGCCGCCGCCTCACCTTGCCGCCGGTCTGACCCACGGAAGGGCGCAACATACAGGGGCAAGCTGCCCTCCACCGAAAGGCCGGGCGTTCAGGCCAGGCAACGCCGGTCGGCGCCCGTAACCGTCGGCCCAGGCCTCGCACTCCCCTCCGGGGCGCCGTCTCCTCCCGGGCCCCACCCGCTCCCACGCGCGGCCCGGCGACCCTAGCCCCTCTCGGGAGGCCTCCGGAGACCTGCGCCGCGCCGGTCCTCGAAGCCCTACCTCGCGCGGGTGGAGGCGCGGCTCCGGGCCAGCAGGCCTTGGCCGCCTCGCGCAGGAGGAGAACGACGCTGGGCCGCCAGCAGGGATGAAGCCGGGCGGGGGAAACGCTTAAGGCTCCAGCCGCACGCACGCCGATCCGGCGCGCGGGGCCGCGAGCTGGAGGCGGGGCCTGTGGCGGCGAGCCCCGTGGCTGGGCGGAGCCAGGGCTGACGGGCGGGGCGGAGGTGTGAGGTGGGAGGGGAGACGGACCGGCCTGAGGGGGCGGGGCCGTGGAGGAGGCTGGAGACGGATGGAAGAGGCAGGGCACTGCGGCTGGGGGCGGGGCCTAGGGGAAGGGGGCGGAGTAACAGTGGGGCGTTTGAGAGGATGGAGGGTTGAATGCCAAAACTTCGTAATCGTAGAAAATTCTGGAAAGCCGCCGGCGGGGCAAGGCCACGAGGATCCTCCTCGCAGCACCGCGCCGCGCGGGGCCCAGGGGCCGCGCTCACGCCCGCCGCTCGGCGCAGACACGAGTGCCCCCGACTTGAGCCGAACCTCTAGCCGATGCCGGCGCCGCCGCCGCCGGGGATGCGTAAGCCGACTGGGAAGCGAGGGGGGGAGGCGGCCTGCGCGGCACCGCCCGACCTGGCCGCGGCGGGCTGAGGTAGGTGTGGCGGCCGCAGTAACGCAAACCTGAGGGCTCCTCCGCTGCGGAGCGGCGGGCGGGCGCGGAGGCCGAGGGCGAGCGGGGCAGCCGCCCGCTCGTCGCCGCTGACCCCGAGCCCGGCCGCGGTTTCCGCCCCCTGCCGTGGCGGGCGGGCCTCCCCTGCGCTACCCCCTCGCCCGCGCCCGCCAGCGCCCGAGGCCGGGGAGAAAGGGGAGCAGCGGGAGCCGGGGACTACCGGAGATGGGAGCACGCCTCCTGCTGCTGTCGTCCAGCCCCAGGTTCCGGAGGAATGCTCGCTCCCCGCTGGAGTCCTACCAGCCCAACACGGACCTGAGCCGCGACCACGCGGGCTGCAGCCTGCAGCACATCAGCTACCCGGAGAACGCGGACGCGGAAGCACCGCTGCTCAGCACCCCCGAAGAAACACGGAATCCAGAGAGGCACAGGCACCGCCCCGGCGCGCACAGCTGCACTCAGCGGCTTCCTTCCTACTACATACATACATAGGAGTGGGAGCCGAGGACCACTTGTTGCTTGCGGACTTCCTCTAGCATAAAAGATGGAAAGAAAACACACACCGAAGCAAGGGACCAAAGGAACAGAAAAGAAACGCAGAGATCATAGGAAAACTGCAAAGAAATACTTGATAATATCTTCCAAACGATTAGAGAAGACATAACATTCATTAAGAATACACATATAGATGTATATATACGTGTATGTGTGTATGTATATATTATTATGTGTGCATATATATGCATGTGTATGTGCGTATATTTGTATTAACTGTAGAAGATAAAGCTAGACACTAGTAAAAGTGGTAAAGCAGATTTTAATAATATACTATTGTAATAGGGAAGAAGGTACCTCGTGAACGGAACTGAACTTTGTGCAGAAGTGACTAGGTGTTTAAGAGGGAGGAGGAGGGAATGTGAAGGGGATGAGCAGGAACTCAGTAGTCAGGAAAGTGAAACTTGTGAAGGGTGGGTCAGTGTAAGTAAGGTTAGGCGACAGTGCCTGTTAGATGGCTGTTATGGGAGTCAGGGTCCTATCCTCCCACAGTAACTGGGAGATAGGCCCTTTGCTTCCTGGTGATTGCATGTTGGAGGAATGGCTTTCAGGTTCTTGAGAAGGATACTCCTGATGTGTAGGAGACATTACATCCCAGAGAGACAGAGGAAGGATTCACAATTGTTTAGTTTTTTGTTGTTGTTGTTAACTCTTTAAGAAAGGGACATCAGGGGCTGCTTGTAAGGTGTTGGCAATAGCCAACAGTGAGTTCTTTTGGCAGCTTTCCCAGGAAGATACTTTAGGGGGTCTGGGGTCATCCTATGGATGCAGCTTTGAGCAGTTAAAAACTATGTGTTTAGGCCGGGCGCTGTGGCTCACGCCTGTAACCCCAACACTTTGGGAGGCCGAGGCAGGTGCATCACGGGGTCAGGAATTCAAGATCAGCCTGGTCAAGATGGTGAAACCCCGTCTCTACTAAAAATACAAAAAATTAGCTGGGCATCGTGGTGAGTGCCTGTAGTCCCAGCTACTTGGGAGGCTTGAGGCAGAGAATTGCTTAACCCAGGAGGCGGAGGTTGCAGTGAGCTGAGATCGCACCAATGTATTCCAGCCGGGGCGACAGAGCGAAACTCCGTCTCAAAAAAAAAGAAAGAAAAAGAAACTGTGTGTTTAAGCGTTTTGATATAGGGGGAAGGATGGACCCGATCCTTTTTGCTGAAGTCTGCAGATTTCATAGGCCAAGGTGGAGGCCTAGTTGAAAAGGGGGCTCAGGGAAGCCTGGCTAGAGCTTGGTCAAGGAGGGGATCTTCATCAGTCGTACGTATGTACATGGCACGTGGACCTGCATAGACACGTGTTTGGTGGAGGCTGTCTTATACGGATTCTGCACAACTCAAGTCCCCTAATGGGAACAGACTTGGGGAGGTCACTCTTGAGGCTTTTTGTGGTATTGTGGCTACTGGGAGACCTGAGGAGGGTTCTGGTCACTAGCAGACTCATTTCATTCACCCCTTGGAATCTGCCCAGGACTTGGACTTCTGTGTAATAGTAACTTCACGCCCCAATGATCCTCCACGTTCCTTGCTGATGCTGTGATTGCTCCTCCAAGTTCTCCACCTATGTCCATCTGAGCACTTGGTATTTCTACTCTAGTGTCAAAAGGTCCTGTTCCCAAGTCTCCTCCCAAACATTTATTCCAATTTATCATCCAGATGCCCGTCCTTTGCCATCCCTCTCTGTTCCAGCAAAGGACACCACCCCTCAGGGAGATGCTCACAGTGGACTCCTTGTCCTCATCCTGACTCCCCTTTTCTCTGGCACCCGCAGGCCTCAGTGAGTCTCTCGGTCTCTGGCAGCAGCACAGGTCCTGGACTCGAGCCCATCTCTCCATCCCCCCCTCCACTACTCCCCTGGTCCAGCTGTCACCATTCTCACCCTTGAATGACTGTCACAGCCTCCCACCTGGTCTTCCTGCTTTACTATGTTCCCTGCAGGCTGCCTCTGAACTTTTATATTGAAATGAAACTCTTACTGTGGGGAAAACCCCTCCATTCTCAGACCCCTGGTACCCTTCACTCATTTACCACTCTGGCCATCGTTCACTGAGTTCAGGCCACTCTGGCCTCTGCATGGTCCTCACGCCCACCAGACTCATGCCCCCTTCAGGGCTATTGTCAGTTCTACCCCCTTTTCCTACAAAGTTCTTCCCTATGTCTTCGTTGCCCAGGTGCTCCCTCCCGACAGAGGCCTTGCTGACCACCCCTACCAAGATTGCCCCACATTTATGTAAATCCAGTCTGTTTAACTATTAGGGTGAGTGACCTCCATTCATACTTGATAAATAATTTACAGTTATCTAAATACAGTGCCTGACTCAACATAAAGACACAGAGGAAGTTTAAATGGAAAGTTTAATTCAGGTTACTTTTGTCAGGTATCTCTCTTACATACCAAAATAAAAATGTATAAATACAAAAAAAAAATTAGCCAGGCGTGGTGGCTAATTGAGAGGAGATGGGGAAAAGTGATGTGGGGTTCCCCAATGTTGTCCAAGGGGATTTCTTCTTAGAAATCTCTCCCTACATCACTCTTGTAGTGAAATAAAACCATCTCCATGTAATTTATTAATTTTGTTTTTTGAAAAATATCCACTATTTGAATCTAAATATTATAGAAATTTCTCTTTAAACATTCCCTTTTACTTTATCCCAAAATAAATCTCCCTTTGCATAAATTTTTTCTTTTTCTTTTTTTTTTTTTGAGACGGAGTCTCGCTCTGTCACCCAGACTGGAGTGCAGTGGTGCGATCTTGGCTCACTGCAAGCTCCGCCTCCCAGGTTCACGCCATTCTCTTGCCTCAGCCTCCCGAGTAGCTGGGACTACAGGTGCCCGCCACCACGCCCGGCTAATTTTTTTTGTGTTTTTAGTGGAGACGGGATTTCACCATGTTAGCGAGGATGGTCCTGATCTCCTGACCTCATGATCCGCCTGCCTCAGCCTCCCAAAGTGCTGGGATTACAGGTGTGAGCCACCACGCCCGGCCAAATTTTTCAACAAATACATACTCAAGCCAAAAAATGGTGCTTTAACTTATGACTTAAAATTGTTGGGACTATAACTCTAGAAAAAATATTGCAGTTGAGTACCGAAAGTATTGATAAATGAAATCTGTTTTCAAAGTGCAATAATTTTGTAGAGGATAAAATAGAAATTGTTCACCTAGGAGATTAATACATAAATAATATTTACAGAGCATTGTCTTGAGAAATGCAGTTTGATGATGTTTCAGTTTGAGCAAAAGATGAGGCTCTAAAGTATGGCATTTCTTTTGCTGCTAATGAGAGAGAATCCAGACTTTGCTGATGTGCTCCAGGGTCTCCTGTATTCTTTAGATTTGGAGGAATCAACCATGAAGGAGCTGGCTGCAGTGTCAGAAGGGGAAGGTGGAAACTTCAACACAAAAAGGGGCTCCCCTAGATCCACTGGCCTCAGGGACCCTCGGATGGAGTCAACATGGGAGAACCTGGCCTGGCAGCTCTGGAGGCCTGAGTGGAGGGGAGAGAACAGCGCTGCCCTAAGACCCAAGCCCTCCTGGGGAAGGGAGCAGCAGGGCTTGGCTCTTGGCTGCCTGGCTGGTGTGGAAAAGCTCCTTGTGATGGGGTGACTCCCATGGCCTCTTCCAGGGACTCCAGCATAGATAACGTCTCTGCCAGCCCTTCTTGTTGCTTAGAGAGTCTGGATCTCTCTTCTTTTTTCTTTTCTTCTTTAAACCTCTCTTCTTTGAGTTCTTGAACCAGGGATGTGATTTTTATTTTATTTTATTTTTTTGCAATGGAGTCTTGCTCTTGTTGCCCAGGCTGGAGTGTAATGGTGCGATCTCAGCTCACTGCAATCTCCACCTCCCAGGTTCAAGCAATTCTCCTGCTCCAGCCTGCTGAGTAGCTGGGATTACAGGCGCCCGCCACCATGCCTGGCTAATTTTTGTATTGTTAGTAGAGATGGGTTTCACTGCTGGCCAGGCTGGTCTTGAACTCCTGACTCAGGTGATCTGTCCACCTCGGCCTCCCAAAGTGTTGAAATTACAGGTGTGAGCAGCTGTGCCCCGCTGGGATGTGAATTTCTGCATCAGCATTGCGTTGGTGCTGTTCACCTTATAAGCATCTACAAAACTGGGGATGTTTAAATACTTTTTCATACACCGACATCCTCTAAGGATCCCTCAATCTCTGCAGTGTTTTTTTTTTTTTTTTTGTCATCACTGTGCTTGCCTGTGAGTTGGCATTTCTCCTCCATGTGTGAATCCAGTGTTTCTGCAAGCTGCTTTTCGTATGTTACATGGAGTCGATTCCTAACAGGTTGACTAAGGAAATGAAAGCCACGAAAGTTAGGATAGTAGTTCCCTGTGATGGGGGAGAAGGTGTACCAAACAACTGGGCACACCAGAGCTCCCAATCTTCAATATGTTAACCTGGGTAGTGGGTACACAGGTGTTTGTTTAATTTTTATGTTAGAAACTATGTATATATGGTTTATAAACTCTTCTGTATGTGTGACAGATTTCAAAATATAAACAACATCAAAAAAGTTTTGAATAAAGAATTACCTAGGGAACTTGTTAAGAAGGCGGATTCCTAGTTGCATTTCATATTCTGATTCCAGAGACCTGGTCAGGACCACAGAATCCACATTTTTTTTTTTGAGACAAGAGTTTTGCTCTTGTTGCCCAGGCTGGAGTGCAATGGTGTGATCCCGGCTCACCACAACCTCCGCCTCCTGGGTTCAAGCGATTCTCCTACCTCAGCCTCCCGAGTAGCTGGGATTACACGCATGCGCCACCACGTCCAGCTAATTTTGTATTTTTAGCAGAGATGGGATTTCTCCATGTTGGTCAGGCTGGTCTAGAACTCCCAACCTCAGATGATCCACCCACCCTGTCCTCCCAAAGTGCTGGGATTACAAGCGTGAGCCGCCGTGCCTGGCTTTTTTTTTTTTTTTTTGAGACTGAGTCTTGTTCTGTCGCCAGGCTGGAGTGCGGGTACACTGAGCTAATTTTTGTATTTTTAGTAGAGATGGGGTTTCACCATATTGGCTGGGATGATCTCGAACTCCTGATCTCGCGATCCGCCTGCCTTGGCCTCCCAAAGTGCTGGGATTACAGGTGTGAGCCACTGCGACCGGCCCAGCATCCACATTTTTAAATGATGCTAATGGAGGCGGTTCGAAAACCACAGTCTGAGGTGTGTTAAATACTCCATGCCCACGTTACACGGAGTCCATTCCTAATACATTGACTAAGTCTGAATAAAACTAAGACCCATCACTAAGCCCGTGAGGTGTGGACACACCAGTGTCTTCCCATGGAGGCTGTGGAAAGTGACTTGAGGACTTGGGTCATGGGGCGGCAGCCCCACCATCTCCTCATCCAGCTTCCCAGGGTTCAGTCCAGGGTCCACCTCCACAGAGGATCGCAGCCCCTCCATGACACTGCAGTCCCACACGGCCAATAGTGGGACTGAGATCACTGTTTTAACTTGGTCAATCAAGTCAGCTTCAACTGAAATTAAACCATTAAAGATACTCTGCTACTTCTCTGAGAACCTTGCCCTGGGAATCTTGTTAAAATGCAGATTCTGATTTCCTTTCTCAGGGAAGAGGCCTGATAACCTGCATTTCTAAGAAGCTCCAAGGTGCTGCCACAGGGCTCTGCCTAGTAACCATGGATTCCACAGCCACAACAGACACCAGAGAACACCCCACCATTCTGCCTGTACTCAATCAGCAGTGGGCATCCTGGATTGGTTAATTTTATGATCACTTAGAGGGAGAAATTTGTAAATAAAATCTACTTGTCTCAAAAAAAATTCTGGTAGGAATGATTTACAGTATGAGTTAAGCTTATCTATGACCTTCAGCCTCCGCACTTTCTCACCATCTGGTGAGAGCTGGCACAGTTTTGAATGTTGGGATGCAGAAAACTGGCAGTTTTGAGAATGTTATATACTAAAGAATGGGACAGTTCAAGTCAAAAATTGATAAATGATAACCTATGCTCTTGTTGGTTATTTATTAAACACGTACTGGCTGAGCACTTAACTATGTGCCAAGCATTGCACAGCTTGTGCAGAGCGCCAGGCCTGTCAAAACATAACCAACAAGAAGCATTATTTACAGGCACTGTTTACAGGTACTGCACCCTGCTTCCATCTCTGCACTTGCTATGCACCATGTAGGTTTATGATCCCCATTTTACAGATGAAAAAACCCAGGCACAGAGAGGTTGAGAAACATGCTTCATGTCACACAGCCAATGGTGGGACTGAGATCACTGTTTTAACTTGGTCAACTAAGTCAGCTTCAACTGAAATTAAACCATTAAAGAAAGACTTTCTCTTATTCTGCTACTTCTCTGAGAACCTTGCCCTGGGAATCTTGTTAAAATGCAGATTCTGATTTCCTTTCTCAGGGAAGAGGCCTGATAACCTGCGTTTCTAAGAAGCTCCAAGGTGCTGCTGCTAGTTCCAGGACCACACTTTTGAGTTTGGAGGCTGAAGTATTTAACAGTCTGTATTGTGAAAACGCAGGGGCAGTGTAATGAAGTGGGAGGAGTGTTAGATGGGATTGTGAGGCCTGGGAAGAGAACCTGGACCTCAGACATCTGTGTCCCCTTGTGCTTGTCAGTTCACCTCCTTGGGCTCAGGTTAGATGAGATCTCTAAAGCATAACTTCTGCTTCAGTAGCCTGCACAGTGTGTGAAAGTGTCATTGTCTTTTATGAATCCTAGCTGATGCAGAACGCTTAAATTAGTTTAGATTTGAAGATATAACAAAATAATACACTTTTAAAAAGTGACAGACTGGGCATGGTGGCTCACACCTGTAATCCCAGCACTTTGGGAGACTAAGGCAGGTGGATCCCTTGAGGCCAGGAGTTGAAGACAAGCCTGGCCAACATGGTGAAACCCCATCTCTACTAAAAATAAAAAATTAGCTGGGTGTGGTGGTGCGTGCCTGTAATCCCAGCTACTCGGGAGCCTGAGGCAGGAGAATCACATGAGTTCAGGAGGTGGAGGTTGCAGTGAGCCGAGATTGTGCCACTGCACTCCAGCCTGGGTGACAGAGCGAGACTCCGTCACACACACGCGTGCACACACACACACACACTCACAGGTTTCCCCCAATCCCCATTATAGAGTATTTGAAAAAGTAAAAAGGAAGAAAAGAATCACCATCTCTCACTCCAAAGACACCCTGTGTTTGAACATTTTGGTCTATTCCATTATTTTCTATGGAAACTGATTTACTTTTTTTTAATGCATACTTTTGATGATGTGGTAGATAATAGTGTCTATCTGGCTCTTATTTAGCATTACAAAATAACTTTTATATGTTATTAAAAAGTCCTATTTAATGGCTACATTATACTCCATTCTATGAATATAGCTTACAGTGTGTATAACCTTACTTTTGTTGTAGCTATTTCTAATATTTTGCTATTATAAATAATTCCTTTGTTTAGGGTTATTTCCTTAGATTCTCAGATTTAGTTAAAGAATTTGAAAAGTTTAAGGCTTATGGGAAAGCTTTTAAGAATAGTAGTCTCTCTTTGCTAAGTAAATTTTTATCTGGAAAATTTACCTGTGTAGGGACAGATTAATAGAAATTGCCACACCTGAGGAGATACACTCTTAATTCACTAAAAGTAATAATAATATTTGTGGCCAACATGTGTTGATGAGTTAGTAGGTCCTAGGCACTGTGTTAAGTTTATCATCCTTATTTTACAGATGAAGAAAACCTGCTTGATATCACACAGTCAGGAGTCAACTGAGTTGGGGCTTTGAACTTAGGTTTATCTGATGCCAAAGTTTGTGATGCTCTTCAACCATTTAGGGTACCGCAGAGTGTGGATTTTGAATCACCTGCATCAGCATCATTTTAAAATATAGATTCTGTGGTCCTGACCAGGTCTCTGAAGTCAGAATATGAAGTGGAGCTAGGAATCTAACTTCTTAACAAGTTCCCTAGGTAATTCTTTATTCAAACTTTTTTTGTTTATATTTTGAAATGTGTCACACATGCAGAAGAGTTTATAAAACACATATACGGTTTTAAAAATAATAGTAAAAACCTGGTTAACATATTGAAGATTTGAGAGCTCTTGTGTGCTCACTTGTTTGATACACCTTCTCCCCCATCAGAAGGAACTACTATCGTAACTTTTGTGGCCTTCATTTCTTTGCTTTTCTTTATAGATGCCTAAGGGTATCCCTGAATGATACAGTTTTGTTTGAAAGACTGAAAAGCCCAAAGCTGGCCCTTTTGGGAAATAGCAGTAAATCATTGATATGTGAAGGTTCCCAGCAGGAGGTAAGTTGAGCAATGTCTTTGGGACAGAGTCTGGATTCAGTTTCTTTGAGAAGATTCCACCTGGGGAAGTCAGTGGGCAAGGTCTTGGGAAGATTGTTAATCACAGTGAGGGCATCTGAGCAGGGCTGTGGTTTGAACAGCTGGCAAAAATATGGCTGAAGAGGAAGGAGGCTGCTTTTAATCTTTGCAGCTCAGCTCAGGGAGACATGAGTATCTTTAGCTAATCCATGCAATGGGGTGTGGGAATGGGGACATGGGAGAATGGGGAGCCCATCAGCTCCTGGTTCTTGTCTTAATCTGTTTTCTGTTGCTATAGCAGAATACCTGAGACTTGGAAATTTAGAAAGAAAAATGGTTCATCTGGCTCATAGCTCTGGAGGCTGGGAAGTCTAAGGGCATGGTGGCAGCCTCTGGTGAGGGCTTTTGCTCTGTGTCATAACATGAACAAAAAGCTGAAGGGCAAGCCAGTGTGTGCAAAAGAGACCACAAGAGTGATCCAGGCTCAATTTTATAACAACCCGCTTTCAGGAGAACTAACTCACTCCTATAAGAACTAATTTACTCCCAAGAGAACAAACTCACTCCCCAAATAACAGTCTTATCCATTCAGGAGGGTGGTGCTCCCGTGACTTAATCAACTCTTAAAGGCCCCACCTCCCAACACCATCAGTGGCAATAAAATTTCAACATGAGTTTTGGCAGGGGCACTCCAATCATAGCAGTCATTAAGATAAAGTACAAATAAGCTTTTGTATCAGGCTCAACAGGCAGCCTGTCCTTAGACTGACTTCTTTCATTGAGTAATATGCATTTAAGTTTTCTCCATATCTTTTCATGGCCTGATAGCTCATTTTTTTTTAGTGCTGAATAATATTCCATTGTCTGGATGTGCCACAGTTTATTTATCCATTCACCTCCAGAAGAACATCTTGGTTGCTTCCAAGTTTTGCCAGCTATGAATAAAACTGTTATAAACATCTGTGTGCAGGTTTTTGTGTGGACATGAGTTTTCAACTCATTTAGGTAAATGTCCTGTCTTTTAAAAATATGTTTTTCTCTCTTGTTTTTTTAAAACTTTCCTCCTCATTTTTGCTCTATTTTTCTAAAAGATTTCCTTAGCTTTTTTCTTGACTCAACTGAGTTTTAAATTTCTGCTATTATGGTTTTTCATTTCTAAGAAGTATTTTGGTTAATTTGTTTTCTGAACATTCCTTTTTTACAGCATCTTGTTCATGTTCCACACAAGCAAAACTTTGGTCTCTTAGAGGATATTAATGTTATTTATTTATTTTCTCCAATTGCATGGTGTCTGATTTCCCCAAGTTGCTTTTTCTTTTATCTTTTTTGTCTTTACTTTTCATGTCAGAGGCGTTCTAGATGTCTGTTGAACCTCAGGTGATTCTAATGCACCTAATGGCCTGAGAAGCAGTGCTAGAGAGTCTCCTAACCTCTCCGAAGCTTAATCATCCCAACAGAGATCCCACCAAGAAAAGTGACACAGTTCAGTATTTTTCCCCAGAACTAGAGCTTTTCTCTTCCAATTAGAGGCCTAGCACTTTTCCTGAATGTAATGTCGTATGACAGTAGCCTTAGAAGTGGTTTCATAAATTATTTTGTGCATGGTTCACTCCCCTAGTATGTTTATTCATACCCATCTTACGTGATTCTGCCTGTGCCAATGCTCCTTTGTCCCTGTTTAAGTTGGAGAGAAGCCTGACACTGGCCATCAGGAACATGATGCTGACCTTGGCTGTCCTCACCTGCTGGGCAGACATAGTTGAGGCCAACATCCTGGACCCAGAGTAGAAATTAGAGTCCACTTGTGGAGGCGTGCAGCAGGCCGGAAAGGCCCCTGTCCAAGGCCAAAACATCTTACCATTGTATTGCTGCTGCAGACAGGAAGGGGTGTATGCCTGTAGAAGTGCTGAGGATATGTAAAGGGAAGCCAGGGCCTGCGGTGTTGACACGGGGCAAGTCAACTCACATTAGAAATGAACCATATTTTCTTTTCTAATATATATATTTCAACAATAAAGTTGTGTGTCTTAATACGTGTGATTAATCTATCTTTAGTCATTCAAAACATTTTTACAAAATAGAGTGCATATGCAAAGAGATTTGGCATAGAGAAGGAGGAGAAATAATAACAATGATCTCCAAGTAGTAGACTTTTATTATGTGTCACGAACTTTACACATACCTCTTTTAAATATTAACCTTATGAGGTGAATTTTATTATAATTCTTTTTTTTTATAAGTGAGAAAACAGTGATTTGGAAAGTTAAGAAATTTCCCCAATGTCACTCAGCTCCAACGTAACACAGGCAATAAGTTTGAGAATCAGCATTCAAGGCCAGGTCTGTTGATGACTCTGCTGCCCACAGTCATAACCATTATACCACACTGCCTACACAGTAGAAACTCAGTCACTTTTGAATGAATGTTCTGGCAGGAGCCTATTATTAACTTAGATGCAATAGCACCCAGATTTGGACACACTAACCATCCCATTAGAATCCTCTGTATCAGTTAGCTATTGTCAGAGTAATGCTATGAAACAAACCACTCCTAGTCTTAGTGGCTTAAAATAACTGTCATTTATTCTGAGGGATCTGCAGGTGATGTGGCTCTGCTTCAGGCTGTGGTAGCTGGAAGTCAGCTGAAATAGACCGGGCTGGGTTGAGTGGGTCTCTTTTAAGCTACAGATCTGCATAAACTTGGCTCCTTTCTTAGCTACTTTGCATGTAAGCTAATTCTGAGACTCAGCTTGAAGGGGCAGTAGCCAACGGGGGGAAGGTCTTTTTGTAGCAATGACAGACATGTCAGAGGGCACACTTAACTGCACAAACCATTTCACACCCTTGTTAGTGTCATGTCTGCCACCATCCCACTGCCCAAAACAAGTCATCTGGTTGAGTCCAAAGTCAAGACATGGGGCTGCAAAGTCATGTGGCAGAGAGCATAAATTTGGGGTGGTAGTGAAGAATTGATGCTAATAATTCAACCTACCACACCTGCCCAGACCTAACATATGTCTGCACAGTATGCCTGTAAATAAATGTTTACAGGGAAGCAAAGTGACGAGGTCTAACATATTTCCTATGTCTATTTCATGAAGATCATCATTGCTGCTGCATAGAGAATAGATTGAAGGAACAGGGAGGGAAGCTGAGATGCCAGCTGGGAGCCTGGTGCTGGGTGAGAGATAACAGTGGCCTAGATGTGGGTGGTGACAATAGAGATGGAAGGATCTAGACCCATAAGCACCACACACAGCTTATGGAGTTACTATCATTGCTTTAAAGTTACTATCATTATTTTAAAAAATACTGTAGTCTAGTCTACCAACTATACTATAAATTCCATATTTTTACAATGTATATATAATTCTTTACAATGTACATGTGAGGTAGACAGTAAAAAAGATGAAAGCAAATATGGAGAGGACTGTTAGAATTTATTTAATTTACCCTGGGCCTAAAAAATGTCGACACATTATAATTCTCTTGATGGGGACAGATTTGGCATTTTTCTATACTTAAAAAAATGTTCCTTTGGGAGGCCAAGGGGGTAGGATTACTTGAGCCCAGGAGTTTAAGAGCAGCCTGGACAACATAGCAAGACCCTGTTTCTAAAATAAATAAATAAATAAATAAAAATAATTAGCTGGGCATGGTAGTGCACGCCTGTGGTTCCAGCTATTTGAGAAGCTGAGGCAGGAGGATCATTGGAACCCAGGAGGGTGAGGCTGCAGTGAGCTATGCTTGTGCCACTGCACTCCAGCCTGGGCGACAGAGCAAGACCCTCTCTCAAAAAACAAAAACAAAACGAAGTTCTCTTGTCTCTAAAGTTTCTATAGTTCAGTGTGATGACATTTAGAACTCTAGAATGTTGGGTTTGTCATTTGTCAATGACACTTAAATATCTGTGTAATGGGACAGTTCCTTCCAAAAAAAAAAAAAAAAAAAAAAGGGAAACTCACCCAAACAAAAAGTTGTGTTTGGGTGTTGTGAATATGGGTGGTAGCATTATTCCTTTATAGGCTTTTAAATGTTATCAAATAGTTAACACAACAGGTCCTCAAATAACATTGTTTCCTTCAACGTTGTTTCATTACAATGTTGATGAGAAAAAAAATTGATTCCAGCCCCGGGCCACTGTCTGTGTGGAGTTTGCATGTTCTTTCCATGTCTGCGTGGGTTTTCTCTGGGTACTTCGGTTTCTTCCCACATCCTAAAGCTGTGCACGTTATGTTCATTGGTGTGTCTGAATTGTCCCCGCGTGAGTGTGTGTGGGTGGGTGTGTGAGAGTGTGCCCTGCGATGGAATGGTGTCTTCTCCAGGGCTGGTTTCTGCCTGGTGCCCTGAGCTGCTGGGACACGCTCCAGCCACCACGGCCCTGAACTAGAATAAGTGGGTAAATATTAATAACTATCTTACTTGTTTTTATTAATCTTTCTTAAATACATGTATAGCCTTCAACGTTTGATATTAGAAATGTTTTGGGTCCTTATTTAGAAGTTTGGTGATGTTTTGTGACCAGAAATATGCCATAGGAACTCACCTCTTGTGTATATCAATTAGCTTATGGTAAAATTGGTTCATTCTGGACCATTTGGCTTAAAGTCTCAGTTTCCAAGAATTTATCAGCAATAATGTTATGAGGACTTACTGTACCGCTTTCCTAGGCCACAACATCTGATGAATGCCTTCAATAGTACATCAATTAAAATAAAAGTACGGAAATAGTTTTAGGTGCAGCAGCACCCTCTCTCTCCACCTCCAGTAGATTCTCTGGAATCGCTGGCAACTTCTTGAATAATTAACCTTAGTGGCCTTGAGCTCTTTCCCCTGATCTTAGTTGTCCCTGGTTCCACCTTCTGCTCTGCCACCTTGTGGATTTATTGGGAATTGCGTCTTCTACTGGGAGCCTTGCCGACTCACCTCGTTACCCCGCTGGGGCTTTTCCTGAGAACCGGGATGGGGTTTAGAAGAGAATTCTCACCGCCTGAGTGACACTCACAATAAGACACTTTGCTCTTTCGGTCTTTCTATATTCCTCCCCCTCTCGCTTCTTTTAGGACAACATCCAGAGGCCAAGCTGAAGGGCATTTGATGGCCCTGCCAGTATCACACCTGAACGGCCCTCCCCACCCGAGACTTGCAGCAGCCTCCCAGGGTGTGATACAGGCTCCGACTCTCTCCAGTCTCACCACCTCAGTCCACCAGAGGTTGCCTTATGCTTTAAAAAATTATAAAAATAATACAAGCTTGCTTAAAGCTTACCAGTGAAGGAGACAGATTTTTAAAAAGTAAATAAATGCAATACGTATAAATTATGGTGAGTGCTGTGAGATGGAGAGTGGTGGTGGTGGGGGCAGGGAACTTTTTATTAAGAAGGCTGGTAAGGGCAGGCTTTCCTGAGTAGGAGAAATTTCAAATTGAAACCTGAAGGATGAGATAGATCCAGTCATTAAAAGAGGGAGAAAAAGCACATGCAAAGGTCCTGAGGCGGGAGTGGGCTTGTTAAGCTGAAAGTGAGTGAGTGTGGCCAGATGGCAGTGAGCAGGAGGGGAGTGGTTGGAGTAAGGTTGGAAAGGGCAGTAGGCACAAAAAACACAGGGTCCTGTTGTGCTTGGTAGGGATTTTAATTTTATTCTGACTCTCATGGGAAGATGAGGAAAGATCTTATGCATGGAAGTGATGAGGTCTAACTGATACTTTCTATTTCATCCTTGCTGCTACCTGGAGAACAGATTGAAGTGAACAGGGAGGGAAACTAGAATCCCATTTGGGAGCCTGGTGCCAGAAGCTGGGTGAGGGAAACAATGGCCTAGACTTGGGTGGTGGCATTAGAGACGGAAGGATCTAGATCCATGTTGTCTAATATGGTAGCACTAGCCACATGTGGCTACCGAGCACTTGAAATGTATAAGTGTAAAATCTACACCAGATCTTGAAGGTTTAGTACAAAAAAAGGCATAAAATCTCTCATTGACAACTTGTTTATATTGATTATGTGTTAAAATAATAATATTTTGGATATTTCATCATGTTAAAATATAATATTAAAATATTTAACCTTTTTACTTAAAAAAAGTGGCTACTGAAAAAATTTAAATTACATATGTTGTTTGCATCTGTGGCTTTATGTTTTTATCGGACAGTGCTGATATAGACAAAAGTTGCAAAATTTAAAAAAATATTTTTTTTTGGAGACAGGGTCTTGTTCTGTTGTCCAGACTTGAGTGTAGTGGCATAATCATTGCTCACTGCAGGCTTGAACTCCCGGGCTCAAGTGATCCTCTGACCTTGGAATCCCAAAGTGTTAAGATTATAGGTGTGAGCTACTATGTCTGGCCAAAAAATACTTCTATTGTAAATTTACATTGGACACATTAGAAATTTATAGCTAAGTATAGATTTTGTTTCTGGCCCACAGAAGATATTTATTTGATATGATAAAACAAAATAGTGTTCTATCCAACCACAAAGAGTAAAAGGAGTGAAAAATTTGAATATACACATACAAAACTCAAGCTGTTTAACGTGACAATTTTTCTTTTTTCTTTTTTTTTTTTTTAAATAATGCTACTAGCTGCACGTGTTGGCTCACATCTGTAATTCAAGCATTTTTGGAGGCCAAGGTAGGAGAATTGCTTGAGCTCAAGAGTTTGAGACCAGCCTGGGCAATATGGCAAAACCCATTTCTACAAAAATATACAAAAATTAGCTGGGCATGGTGGCACATGCGTGTAGTCCCAGCTACTAGTGAGGCTGAGGTAGGAAGATCACTTAAGCCTGGGAGGTTGAGGCTGTACTGAGCCAAGTTCGTGCACTCCAGCCTAGGTGACAGAGGGAGACCATGTTTCAAAAAAAAAAATGCTCTAAAATTCCTTAGTTATTGAAAATTATGTGAAAACAGAAGGATGTTAATAGCAGCAGAGTGCATGAAATCAAATATTGAATTTTGAGCAAATGGGCCAGGTGCAGTAATTCTTTCTTGCCTGTAATTCCAGCACTTTGGGAGGCTGAAGCAGGAGGATCACTTGAGCCTGCGAGTTTGAGACCAGCCTGGCTAACATAGTGAGCCCCTATCTCTGCAAGGAAGAAAAAAAATCAGCTGGGCATGGAGATGCACACTTGTAGTCCCAGATACTCAGGAGGCTGAGATGGGAGATCATGAGCTCAGGAGGTTGAGGCTGTAGTGGGCTGTGATTGCACCACTGCACTTCTGCCTGGGCAACAGAATGAGACCCTGTCTCAAAAAAAAAATTTACTTATATATATATATATTTGAGCAAATGAACATGTGAGACAACTTTGCTAACATTGCATGATCTTTTTTTTCTTGTTTACAATCTGCTCAAAATATCTTTATGTTGACTGTGTGGGCAGCACATTCAGGTTTAATATCAGTTACACATTAGCATAAATTTGGAGAAATACACATAGGGTATTGTTTTCTTTTGAGCTGGCAAAGTGACCACAGAAACATCAGATCATCTCTCTGAATACAGAATTTTATCCAAATAAATGTCACATGCTTTCCAGACATATTTTAATCATGTATTGAATTTCTTAGGCTGAGAGCAGTGTCTCATGCCTGTAATCCCAGCACTTTGGGAGGCTGAGGCAGGAGGATCACTTGAGCCCAGGAGTTTGAAACCAACCTGGTCAAAATAGTGAGACCCTGTCTCTACAAAATAAAAAAATAAAAAAGTTAATTGAGTGTTGTGGTGCGTGCCTGTAGTCCCAGCTACTCGGGAGGCTGAGGTGGAAGGATCGCTTGAGTCTGGGAGTTAGAGGCTGCAGTGAGCCTCTGCACACCAGCCTGAAGTGAGACCCAGAGTGAGACCCCCATCTCAAAACCAAACCAAACCAAACCAAGCCAAACCAAACCAAAACAAAACAAGAAACTTTCTTCATGTGATATTTATAGATGATTTGAATTTGAAATGACTTCAGCTTCTTAAACTTTTGTTGTCCTTATAAAAATACCCTTGAATCTGGAGCATGGCTGGTTCCAGTCTTATGACAGCATGTTGCGTGAGGCCCTGTAAAAGATGAGGAGTTGTCCCTGAGGTTATGGGGCTTACTGGGAAGAGCACATGATCTAGGTTTGAAGACAGAAGACGTAGGCTCTACCTTGGCATCCATAATGTGTGAACTTGAACTTGATTTCACATCTTTGAATCTCACTTTTCTTACTGTAAGATGGAAGTGGACGATGAATAGTACTAGCTGCCATGAAGGTCATAGCTTTCCCCTCATCCTTTATTGCACCCCACAAGGTAGGTGCTCTTATCTCCTTTTGACAGGGGAGGAAACTGAAGTTCAGAAAGGGTAAGTCACTTACCTAAGGCTACATTGCTAGAAAAAATTGAAGCTAGGATTTGAACTCTGTTTTTCTGTCTCTAAAGTCAGCTGAAAATTGTTTTTCCCCACTCATCATGCCCCTTGCTAATTTCCCTGCCTACCTCTGAGATTATTGGGAAGATCAAATTAGACTGGTGAATGGGCTTTAGAAAAATGTCCTAAAAGATACAAATGTGTAATAGATCATGAATTCTCAATGAAACAGGAGCATAAATGGAAGCTCCAGAGAAACACTCACAAACATCTGTCTGGTGCTTATCTGTCTGTTTAAATGAAGTGAATATCACATGTTGCTTTTTCAGATTCAAGCTCTGAAAGTCATATTACAGAGGAACAATTTCCTTCCTCAGGATGAAAATTTACAGGAATTCGGAGGAAAATATTTCAGTGGTCATTACTAAAACGCTCAGAGTCAGATACATTCAGCATCATACCGTAAGTCCCGTTAGTCAAAGCATAAACAAGCGCAGGGCCTGGCATGGCTTCCTTCAAGTTGGCTGACTCAGTCTGGGAGGATTCACTCAGCAAGAGGCAGAGGAACCAAGGCAGGATGAAGACATTGCCTGTGCTCGTGCTGTCTCTTACCTTACTGACTGTCTTCTCAGGTGGGCACTGACTCCAAAAACAGCCTATTTCTATGCTGACATGATAAATAATAGTCTATTTGATATTTAATTTTTTAATTTTAAATAATATATAGTGTATATAGATATTTCAATGCTCTTTCTTTTCTTATTTTTCCATAAGAGTAGGCTTCCAGAATTTTTATCATTAAAGATGTTATATATTTTTTAAAAATCTTTAAATGTATTTGAGCACTAATTCTCAAAAATGCTGATAAATCTTCAGCTTCTAATAGCTTATTTTAGAGTTTATATGAGATCACCAAAATTTGATATATTTTTATGATGATAATATCTTTTAGAATTTGCAAGTAATTATCAAAGCACTTTTATACTATCTTCTTTGAGGGGTTGTGATGATCAAGTTTAACATAATCTTATTATCACTGGGCATCTTCCAGTAATGACTTTAAACTTGATTTAGTGTAGTGAGGATTAAAAAAAACTTCCATGAAAGCAAACCTAAGACACACAGACCAGTGAACTGAAGATTCATTAAATTAATACCCACTTTCAAAGAGATGGACCATTGCAATCAGTAAATATGTTTAGGTTGTGCAGCTTTTGCTCTGAGTAATCATGTTAGAAACAATTCAAAATTCCTTCCTGAGCCCTCTGGAATGCTGCATCCTTTGGGACAGGTCCCCGGGAAAGAACTTTCATGTTTTAACCAAAATTGAACTTGCAAATCTTTTGCCTTGGACTGTTGAGATGGCTCATGAACTCCTGAGCCTGAGTGTCCTTAAGGCACCTTCCCGACTTTTCCAGAGACCTCCCCGATTTTGACAGAGAAGCAGGCCAAACAGCTCCTAAGATCTCGGCGACAGGATAGACCAAGCAAACCCGGATTCCCCGATGAGCCAATGCGGGTGAGTGCTTTGCTCTGGCAGTTTTAAAGAAAATGTGATCATTTGAATGCCATTCACTATGAAACTAGGTGTTGGTCCCAGCATGGGCTGCTAGTTAGGGGTTTGGTTAGAGTTTCAGGTAGAAGATAGCTGCAATCTCAATCTTTTACCTATGCATTTTCTCCTTTGGAGGTGCCAGCCCGACTCACCTGTTATGAACAGGGTAACTTAAAATAGAAAATAATGAGGCCAATGGTGGGAGTTCTAGAATCTGGAGAGGGCTGCTGAATGTCACCCCTGTCCTGCTTGCTGGGGAGCTGTTCCCTTTAGCCAACGCTAACCCCATCTCCTGCCTCTTCCCTTGGGCCCCGGAGCAGGCTGGACCAGCATCCTTGGTCAATGATGGTCTGTCCAGGCAGGGAGAATCTCTGCCCCAGCTGCCTGAGGGGTTCTGCTCTGATCTCATCCCTCTGATTTTGGTCTCTGGCCTTACTTCTGCCCTGTGGGGTCATGATATCCACCTGTCTAGTCTTTCTGAACCAGGCTCCCTCTGTGAGTAGATGTTACTAGACCCTGCTATGCTGGCCCCGGACCCAATTCAGGCCTGGCTTGGTTCCTCCTGTTGCTAAAATGATACTGACTTTGGTGGCATTTTAGCCCCACCCAGTGAAGGGAAGTAGCAGTGACCCAGCAAAGTTAGAATGTCTGGGAAGCCTGTCTGTCAGGCTGGTCTCCCATCCTGGCCCCTTCATCTGGGCACGATGCTTATCCTGTTTTCCCTGAATCTCCATGTTGAGGCTCAGAAGGAGCTGCAGTAGCATTTACCTTCATTCACTGCAAAATCTCGTGCATAATTAGATTATTTCATTTAAAGGCTCTTATTAAGATATAGTATTGCACAGTGACGAAGAGTGCTGACTTTGGGGTCAGACTGGGTTTGAATCTCCCTGTTTACTAACTGGGTAAGTTTGGGGAAGTTTCTTCACATTTCTGCAGCTCAGTACTTTCATCTATAAAATGGGGATAATAAATACTATTGCTGATATTACTATAATATTATTATTATAAATAATAATGTAAAATAATTATTTTATGATGATAAAACAAAGTACTTTTTAAGAAAGCACTTAGAAAGTGCTCAGCAAATGGTAAGTACTCCTCTGAGTATTAAGTACCTGGTACCTGCTAGGTGCCGGGGCTGTAGGTTTCTGCTCAAAGTCTGTGGTGGAGACAGAAGTAAGCAAATGGCTGCTATGCAGTATGATTTAAGAACAGATGACTTCAGGCTCTTAGGGATAGATGTGGCTTTTAATTTTTTTTTTTTTGTAGAATAAGAGGTATCTTGGGTTTTATCTTGTATCTAGTAGAGAACAACTGAAGGATTTTTCAAGTTGGGGAGTACAGATCTGGGTGTTAGAGAGTTTGAGACAATGAGAGAAGGGGCCCATGATTGAAGTCTGGGATCACCAACACTCAGAGGTGGGCAGGGGAAGAGGAACCCTGAAAGGGCTGAGAAGGAATGCAGAGAGATAGAGAAGCCAAGAGAGTGGGGGTGGCAGAGCAAGGCGGGGAGGCATAGGAGGGGCTGGGGTGAAGGAAGGGCAGCATGTGCACAACTGTGATGGGGAGGAGGATGCCTGGAGGGAGGGATCCTGTTGGCGGCTGGCGGGTTGGGGGTGGGGGCTCTGGCTGGCCCCCTGTGCTTTTGGCATGATGCCTGGAGCGGCCATTCTGCAGCTCTTCCTCAGGGACCCGGCAGGGGCTGGGGGAGCTGGTTGAAGAGTCCTCAAAGCAGTGGCTCCTGCTCAAGGTGCTCGAGAGGCAGCTCTAATGACTCCCACATCTGCCCCCTGACATTTTCTGTGCCAGCATCTGCACCTGGCTCTTTTGAACTCTGTCTGTGGAATAACAGTCTTTGTCCTAACTGAGGCATTGTAGATGTGGGTGAACAGGTGGGTTTGAATTGCTGCAGCCCGTTGTTGCAACTGTTGTTGCCAGGCTAGACTCTGGCCCTAAAACCCTGTTTTGTGTGGTCCTTCCCCTGCTCAAAAACTTCTGAAAGCTTCTCCTCTGTTTGCTTTTTCCCACTTGTGGTCATCACCTCCCTTAATCCTTGACAGCCCTCTGCTTGCTTCCAACTTTGCAATTTTACTGAATATCTGGCTTTTTCTGGTTTGTTTTGCTCATCTTTTATAGGCTTGACCACCACCTGCTCCTCTTAACTGCCTCGAACCTACCTGATTAGTTTCCATGTAACTCCTTCTTGCCTCAGAACCTATTGCTGAGCCACCATCCCATCCTCCATGTCCCTCTCAGAGACACTTCATCCAATGTCCAGAATCCTCAGGCATTCAGTCCAGTTTGGAAAAGTGGTCATATGTTTTACAATTGAAATGTGAAACAAACATGCAGTCAATTATTGGGTGGCTAGTCTACACCAGTAGTTCTCATCCATAGGTGATTATGCCCCCTCATCCCCAGGGACATTTGACAATATCTGAAGACATTTTTGGTGGTTACACCTGTGTGGGGCATTGCTTTTGGCACCCAGTGGGTACAGACCAGGGATGCTGCTAAACACCCTACACAGGGCACAGGGCAGCCTCCACCACCCTCTGGCCCAAAATGTCAGTAGTGCCAAAGGAGAGGAACCAAGTCTACACATTGCCAAGTAAACTTTTTCTTGTTTACTCTCTGTCACGCTGTGTGTGTCTCTCTCTGTCTCTCTCTATAATTGCACTCACTTGAACACACACAGAATTGGTTGAATTAACAAATAGTTTCTGGTATCGTATTTTTTCTAGAAATGTGTTTCTTAACTTTGGTTACATTCTGGAACCACCTGGGGAATTTAAATTCCGATGCCTGGGTCCCACTCCCAGAGGGGTGGCCTGGGGTGGGACCTGGGTATGGGGGATGGGGCCAAAGCCCCAGTGATGCCAACCTGCAGCCGAGGCTGAGAACCACTGGGCTAGGCCATCTGGGAGAAATCAGCCACGTGTGTACCAGCTCCTGTGGTCTAGTTGGGAACATAAAAGCATTTAGAAAGCTGTTAAATGTTGAACTGGGTGGTATGGAGAGTATCTTAGTTGTTTAGACAAAAAGAGAGAGTGAGAGGGTCAAGTGGTGCGTGCTGATCAAGATGTGCACTTAATTAGATTTTATATTGACCATGCCCTACTAAGCACCAGGGACTGAGGATGAAAGATAAACCAGACATTCTTCCTTACTCAAGGTGCCCATTGTGTGGAGGTGGAGCCAGAGTGCCCCAGCCTGATTTGGGCTCACTAACGAGGTTATCTGGTACAATGGACTGCGGCTCTGCAAGAAGAGAGTCTCGAGCCCCAGCCTGATTTGGGCTCACTAACGAGGTTATCTGGTACAATGGACTGCGGCTCTGCAAGAAGAGAGTCTCGAGCTCCAACTGGAAGGAAAGGGGAGGCTGGGAAGGCTTCCCAGAGGAGGTGCCCACCCAGCTGTGGCTTGAAGGATGACCAGGAGTTCTCAGGCAGGGCAGGGGGTAGGGATGAGGCAGGAAGAATATTCCACCCAGTGCATTTCCAGTCCATATTCTGCCGCTAACTAGTTGTGGACTTTGGGTAAGTCACTTCCTCTTTTGGAAGCCTAGTTTTTTCATCTATAAAATGCAGAGTTTGGCTGGAATCTGGCCTAGATTCCAGAATGTCTAATTCCAGGTCTCATATTGTAGGGCTCTGGATAGAACCTTGGGGCTGACACAGGTTTCCTGGTGCCAGTCTGCAATGTGACAGAAGAGCCAGAGGCAGCAGGATACCAACCCAAGCGAGGAGTCAGGCAGTTTATTCTGAGGCCCCTGGAGGGGTATCCCTAGAAACCACAGGCCTCCTCACCTCATGCTGGCCCTGCGGCTGGGAGTACTCCACATCCTCGACTTACCATTTGACCCACTCACGCCTCTTGGGTCTCCTTGTTGACTTCTTCTTTTATGGATTTACTGAAAGCAAAATTAATAATGCCAGTCAGTGGCATGTAAAAAGAGGTAATTTACTGCATTTAACTGTGACTGTCAAAATGATCCTGGCCCTGCACTCCCAGTTGGAGCATAAGAGGCAGTGGCCTCAGGTTTGTCCTTGGGTGGTGAGGAGCCGATAAGCCTGGACCTCTGGCCAGGGGAGGCCAGAGGCTGGCATTAGAGCTGCCATACGGGCCCACATCTTCATAGCCTGGGAAGGAGGGAGTTCAGAGGCTAAGGCCTTTGCCTCCTGGGAGCCAGCCCTTCTGGCTCTTTGCCTTTTGCCAAGACCTCCTCACCCTCCCTGTTTCTGAGTGTAGGCCAAGAACAGCTGCGCACAGATGTCCCTTTGCTTGGGAAGAGGGTGGGATGGATGCACCATGCTGTGAATTTGGCTGCCAGTATTGTGTATGTGTGTATGTGTGTGTGAATGTGTGTGAGGGGTGTGTGTATGAGGGTATGTATGAGGGTGTGTGTGAGGGGTGTGTGTGAGGGGTTTGTGCATGTGAGGGGTTTGTGTGTGTGAGGGATGTGTGAGGGGTGTGTGTGTGAGGGTGTGTGTATTCGAATGTGAGAATTGTATGAGGGGTATGTGTGTGAGGAGTATGTGAAGGTGTGTGAGGGTGCATGAGGAGTGTGGGAGAGCGATGCATGTGTGTGAGGATGTATGTGAGGGGTGTGATGGTGTGTGTGAGAGTGTGTGTGTGAAGGGTGTGTTCAAGGAGTGTGTGTGAGGTGGGGGTGTGAGGGGTGTGCGTGAGGGGTCTGTGCAAGGAGTGTGAGGGTGTGTGTCAGAAGTGTGAGGGGTGTGTGAGGGTGTGTGTCAGAAGTGTGAGGGGTGTGTGAGGGGTGTGTGTGAGGGATGCATGTGTGAGGGTGTATGAGGGATGTCTGGGGTGTGTGTGTGAAGGGTCTGTGCAAGGATTGTGTGTGAGGTGAGTGAGGAGTATGTGTGAGGAGTATGTGTGAGGGGTGTGTGAGGGTGTGTGTAAGGGTGTGTGTAAGGGGTGTGTGTGAGAGGTGTGTGAAGGTGCAGGTGTGTGTGAGGGTGTATGTGTAAGGGGTGTGTGAGTGTGTGAGGGTGTATGTGTAAGGGGTGTGTGAGGGGTCTGTGTATGAGGTGTGTGTGTAGAGGGGTGTGTGTGAGGGTGTATGTGTGTAGAGGGGTGTGAGGGTGTATGTGTGAGGAGTGTGTGAATGTGTGTAATAGGTGTGTGTGAGGGTCTGTGTGTGAGCAGTCTGTGAGGGGTCTGTGTGTGAGGGTGTGTGTGTGGGTGTGTGTGCGCGTGAGGGTTGTGTGTGAGGGGTGTGTGTGAGGGGTGTGTGTGAGGCTGTGTATGTGTGAGGGTGTGTGTGAGGGGTGTACGTGAGGGTGTATGTGTGAGGGGTGTGTGAGGGTTCGTGTGTGTGTGTGTTTTGAAAAGGCCTTACTGAGTATTTTTTCAGAAGGTCTGAGTTCCAGCCCCCTCTTCTACTTTCGCCTTGACTTGCGGACCTGGGTTTTGTGGAATGATGGCAGATGGCATCGCCAGGTTGTTGTGAGGCTGGGTTGGAAGGTACTTGGATGCCACAGCAGAGTTGGGTTTCTGTACACAGTAGGGAGCTGTGCAGGGATTTCAAGCAGGGGAATGATGTGATTAGATCTTGTTTCCAGGGGCCCTTTAGAGGTTCAGGACACAGCCTCTTAAATGCTTGCCTTTAGATGCTGTCATACCTGGGAAATAGGAAGTGACGTTTTGGATGCGCTATTGCACCTTCTTGCCATGGTACCCAGGAGACAAACAAGTGGACTTGGGCAAATGAGTAGAGTTAGTGATCATTGGAGAATGCATGTGCCCTTGAGAACAGAGCCACATACCCTCACACTCACCCCTCCACACTAAATCACCGAGAGATGACTGGTCAGGTTATTTTATTTTGCTTCTCCATGTTAAGGGACTGTGCAAAAGAAAACACTTCCAGAGAGGGAAGAGGCCATTGATGAGGGTAAACAAATGGTGCTTTAGGGGAGGTGTTAAGAATTCAAAATGAAAACAAGTATGAAGATTTGCAGAAGTCTCTCCTCATGAAGATCTACTGAGCCATGTTTATACACTTAACACTTGGCTTAAATATTGGCAGAGGTTGGCTTCTGTGGATTTATAGGCTTTTTGAAAACAGGTTGAGACAAGCTGTGCCCGTGCACACAAAGGGCTAGACTGTTTGACATAGATCCTGCTGATTCACTGCAACAAGCTGTTCTTTTCTGACTTGGTGGTGGGAAGGACAAAGTGCTTTTGAGAAGATTGCTGGGTAACCCTGTACTGTAGGGAGGGCCAGTATTCAACCCAGAGGAGCACGGACATCTTGCGGGGAACCTAGATGAAGGAAGGCAAGGCCCAGAGGGGATGGAGAGGGAGATCAGAGGGAGACAGATGGCTCTGGGTAAGAGAGAAGGAGGGATTTTGAGTGTATGGAGGCAGCATATGGAGGTAGCGTATGAAGAGAAAGGTGGGAAGGTAGAACCCAAGGAGGGCAACCCACTGAAATTCCCAGCAGCAGGAATAACGGATACATTTATTTTATGGTAACTCTGGACACTGAGTTTAAATTTGCTTTCTGCTCTGTGCTGTTATTACCCACTGCTACCCCCAAACCTTAGGACAAGTCCGCTACATACAGAAACTTTGTGTTAGTAGTTCCTTGAGGGAATGGTGGATGGCAGGGATGTGTTGTATGGGGTGGTGGGGGCTGACAAGAGAGCAAGGGAATGGCTAGAATGTGGAAGTGGCAGGGGTAGAGAAATTGGTTATGAGAATATTCAGAATAAACTTGACCCCACATTTTCAGAGATTTTGGAGAGTAGGATTCTAGACTTCATAGGAATGGGATGAACCCTCTCCGAAGGCTGGAACTAATTTGCTTGGAGACATCCCTTTTGGAGGCATGTAGGTTTCAGCTGAATTGACTTTCTACTATTTATTTATTTATTTATTTATTTATTTATTTATTTATTATTTATTTATTTTTGAGACAGGGTCTCACTGTGTTGCCCAGGCTGGAGTGCAGTGGTGCGATCATGGCTCACTGGAGTCTGGGCCTCCTGGGCTCAAGCGATCCTCTTGACTTTCTACTTTAGACAAAGTGGCCCCATCATGTTAGAGAGCTCATGGTATAATGAAGGCTCAAGATCCTGACAGAGAAAAAACCTCTGTTTGGGGAGAAATTAATGAAGATCAGGCTGTGCGAAAAGAAGGGCTAGGTTTGTGTTTAGAGGGAAGAAGGTGGAAAAATATTCTGAGCTTTCCTTGAAGGTTTCCTTAGTGATGAATGTGCTTATGTTGATTTTCAGGATTGTGGTCTAAACTCTTGCTGTTCAAAATATGATCCCCAGCTGGGCTGCACGGGCCTTACCTGGGATCCCGTCAGACATGCAGACCCAGGCTCCTCTCCATACTTCCCAAAGGCAAATCTGTGCCTCCCTAACCCCCAGGTGATCCCTGTTCACCTTCAAGTCAAGAAGTGCTGTCTTGGAGAACTGCAAAGGTGGTCCATCTCTGCTCCTGGCATCCTAGGACTGGGAACCAGTACACGTTAGTTTTGTTTTGACACAATTGATCTCTCTTCCTTCCTTCTGGGCACTCTGCTCACTTGGTTTCCACTTTCCCAGCATGCCTCGCCCAGGCTTCTCATTCCACTTGGTGGCTCCCGCTGCTAGGTTTCCTTTACTGGATTCTTGGCCTCTGACAGCTGTTTAAATGTCAGGAGGTCCCAGGGCTCTGCCCTCCATGTGGCTTTAAAGCTCACCTCCCTGCTGACGGCACACACTTCTATCTCCAGCCTGACCTCTTCCTGGTCATTTACATGACTGTCTACTCCACACCACTGTTTGTACTGGAATATTTAACAAGCATTTCAGATCTAACAGCCCCAAACAAAATACACTGTTTTACCCTCATAATGGCTGCTGCCTTAGCGTTCCACATTGGGCTAAGGGGACAACCTCCAAATCCAGAACCTGACTACTTCTCGCCCTCCACTGCCACCTCCACCACAATTATCTGTAGAGTGGACTAAGCAATAATCTCTTAATGGTCTCCCTACTTCCTGTCTTGCTGTCAATGGAGCAGTCAGAGTCATTTCTTAAAGTGTAAACAAGATCCTGACCCTCTCCTGCTCAAAACCTGCCAATGACTTCCTGTCTTACTCTGAATAAAATTCACAGTCCTGGTCAGGTGGGGTGGCATGCACCTGTAGTTCCAGCTACTCAGGAGAGGCTGAGGTGGGAGATCGATTGAGCCCAGGAGTTCAAGGCTGAAGTGAGCTATGATTGCTGCACTCCAACCTGGGTAACAGTAAAATTCTGCCTTCCTAGGACTCACACCCAAAACAATACTATATGCAGTATTTATATAGGTACATGGATATGCATGTAAATTTCTAAAAGAAGATCTAGAGAGGTAATCAGTTGACGTTTAACTGTATCATCTCATTTAGGAGACTAGGATTAAAGGTGGTGATTTGATGTTTGAATTGTATACTAGAGTAATTACTTGTATAATTAAAAATATTTAAACCTTTCACACGTACTATTGAAAAATTGGAAACCAAGAAAGAGTCAAAAGAATAAAAGAAAATCAACTGTAGGCCGGGTGCGGTGGCTCACGCCTGCAATCCCAGCACTTTGGGAGGCTGAGGCGGCCGGATCATGAGGTCAGGAGATCGAGACCATCCTGGCTAACATAGTGAAACCCCGTCTCTATTAAAAATACAAAAAATTAGCCAGGTGTGGTGGTGGGTACCTGTAGTCCCAGCTACTCGGGAGGCTGAGGCAGGGGAATGGCGTGAACCTGGGAGGCGGAGCTTGCAGTGAGCCAAGATCACACCACTGCACTCCAGCCTGGACGACAGAGCGAGACTCTGTCTCAAAAAAAAAAAAAAAAAAAAAGGAAAATCAACTGTAGTCCTGTCCCTTCTCCCCAAAGACAGGCATTTAAAAAATGTATTTCTTTTTAGTCTTTGTATATATTTAAAAAAAGTATCTACAATTTTCTATCCTGTTTTTTCCCTTAATATTAACATACACATGTCCTCATATTATTATAATCTATTTGTAACCATGAATTATCCTCTTTTGTTAGATAGTTGGATCATTTCCAATATCTTTCTATTATAAACAACACTCAGAACATTTTTGTGCATAAAGTACTTTTAATATTTTAAGTTATTTTCTATGGGTATATTCCGAGAAAATGAATTACTAGGTCCAAGAATCAGAATATTTTTAAAGCTTTTAGTATACATTATTGAATTGCTTTCCAAAAGACTTTAAACAATTCATGTTATTTTTAATATTCAATGTCACTGTCTTCTGAGAGAGTATTGTAGTAGAGGTTTTAAGGTAGAGATATCATGGGAACATGATTATGGTATCTTGAATTGGAGACCAGTGGGCTGTTGCTGGGGCAGGAGGAGTGGGTGCAGGGAGGGAGGAATAGGGATAAAAAATGACGTGTAGGGTTTTGTATAGGCAACTTAGTGCCATTCATTGGCAGTGGAAATCCATGAGTAGAAACAATGTATGTGGGATGATGGTGTGTTGCAAGTTCTCCTCCCATGGCACCTGCTTTTGTAGTTGTATCTTCTGCTCTTGTTTACCTGGTTAACTCTTATTCATCCCCAAAAACTCACCTTAAATGATGTCGTTTTTGAGAGGCCTTTCTGGTGCCTCCCCCTAGTAAATCAGAACGTCCCGCTAGCATAGCAATTGCAGCGCAAGGTTGCTATTTTTGACTCTTTTATGTCTGTCTACTAGACTGTTCTAAATTACTTGAGGAGATGGACTAGTTGTTTTACTTCTGGGTCCCCACCACCAAGCACCGTACAGTATTGGCATTTACTAAATGATTGTTACTTCTTTCCATTCCTTCCTTTGCTTCTCTCCAGGGTAGAAATTTTGTGGGATATAGCTCTGCTGTAAAACCTGGAGGTTATTCCAAATAAATATTTTCTATCGCCTCACTTAGACTCATTAAATTTCTCTTAATCTACTCAAATTTTAGGAAAGAGGTTGTTTGCCAATTGCTCGGGTGAGCTGTGGAAATTCTTTAAAAAGATGAATGTCTTGAAGCTTGAATAAAGCTTGAATGTCTTCAAGCTTAAATTATTTCTTTTGTGATTATATTTGTAAGTGCTTGTGAAACCTGGGAATACACTTTTCTTGGAAGTGTTCCATTTTGGCCTGTGATCCTTTAAGGAGTGTTCTTGTTGGGCAAATATAAATCATTTTAGCTTTATTGTAAGTAGTCTTTGTAAAATATGCTTTCATGTTTAGCTCTTTGACAAATGTATGTAGTAACTCCATTACCCTTTTGTTCCCCATTACCTCAAAGGCCAGTTTGGAGTGACCGAGGTGTAAATTGCCCACAGCACTGTTCTGCCTTTCTTTAGGACGGAGCCTTCAGTATTCCAGTGCAGTTAAGTTCTGAGCCACCATTCTATATATAGGATTACCTTGCTTGTACTAATGAGCAAAATAATTTTTCCAAATGCTGATGGATCTTTAATTCTGCAAAAATGTCACAGGAAGTATTTTGCCTTCTTGGAAAAAGGTCCTGCCTTGATAGAATAACTGTCCACTTTATGATTCTCAGCATAGGTCAAGTTCTGGTGGGTATTTAAGTTCATTATCACACCACTCCAGAGCCATAATAAAGGACTACTTTTAATTTCTGCTCTAATTACTGAGAAATAATTTACTTAAATCATTATAGTTGGCATTTGACATGGAACACAGATACTGGTTTTTGTTTTGCTTTGATTTACACCCCCCCACTTGGAGAAAGGAATCTGAAGAAATTAAAACTCATTTTCCATATACCCCTTCTTCCTTGGTCCAGGAACATTTGAGATTATCCTTAATGTTGGGCCATTTCTAACTCAGCCAGTGCAATTGTTGAATTTGTGGTTTTCAGCAGATTTGCAATTTGCCTTTTGATTTGACTAATGATTGCTTTTTAAGCCTTTGTGGCATATTCGTTTTCCTAATATTTTAAATAAATAGTGAAATGTCATGGAAACCAGTGCTCATTTCTTTCTTATTCTCAGTGTGTGTCTGTTTTGGTTGTTTTTCTTCAATGATTATTTCAGTTGGTGTTTAGGAGTGTGAAATATATATTACTTTTTGGTGCTTTTAATGTACATTTGGCCTAGGCTGTTATAATGAGCAGACTGACACAGATATCAAGAAAATTTCCAAGGAGGATTTAGCAAGATTATAGGGAAAGAACAGTTATTTCATTTATTCATTTGCTCCTTTATACATTTTTCCAGTGAGCTTTGTTGTGGTCCTACTGTGTGCCAAGCACTAAATCACAGACCAGATATACTTTGGTCACTGCCATAAAAAAACTGGGTGGATATTTGGCTGAGAGGGACAGAGATTAAATGAGTAAAGATGCAAATGAGTATATAATTATAAAAGGTACTGTGTATCAGTAGTGACATTCGTTAATATCACCAGTGATCTCATTATAAAAGTCTTTAAGTATTGGGAAGTTGCCAGCCTTCTGTAGCAGATGTAAGTTTTCCAAAATCTGGTTTCCTCTGGGAAGTTCTATTTAATAAATACTGTAAATTGTTTTTCTTGAGGTGACAGGCTCACTTCATTCATTGTCAAGATGTCTGCCCAACATGCACATAAAACATGCATAGCCAGTTCAACACCAGCAATTGCACACATGCTTTTCCTTGTGAAACCCCATTGCACTTTGTCATACAGCAGAAGTACTGCCTGCATATGCCCTTTTGGGTCACTCTATACTGTTTCACCAGGGCATTCTTCAGGGCAACTGGCATTTTAAGAATGTTTTATTTTTATTTTCGTACTGTAAGTGCGTGGTGGGGAAGGATACGATGACCGCTAATAGAATTGGGTACCACTGCCTGGATTCCTGCTAAGGCGCCAGTCATTTTACCTGCCACTGCCTTGGCACATCAGTGAAAATGCCAATACAGCAGGAAGACAAATAATGTCTGAGTATTATTCTAAAAATAGTTTGGCCTTATGGGCCTCTGAGGGGAGCACAGCTCACGCTTTGAAGAATGATGCTGTAGTCTTTTCTTCAACAAGCCTTTACGGAAAGTTTCCTGTGTACCAGTTCCTGGGAAAGATGCTCTCCTTCACAATCTTGATGTGTACTCAGATCTTTGTTATCTAATAGTAGCCAAAGTTAACAGCTAGCATTTAATGCATTCTTACTATGTGCCAAGAATCATGTGCCAAGGCCCTGTAGTATTGGGATCCCAGCAGGAGACTGGGTACCTGAAGAGTGTTTAATAAAGAGACTTTTTACAAAGGCGTGGGCAGGATTAAGGCAAACCAACAAGAAATAATAAAAGATCAGGGTTAACAACCTCTAGACCATAAAGGGGTAAGGGAGGCAGACGGTTCCCGGAGCTGGAGAGGACAGCCTCCTAGGAGCTGTGGCCTTCAGGAGAGGGATGCAGCCAATTGCTGAGGTGAACTGTGGAAATTCTTTAAAAAGATGACATTCAAGCTGAAATGATTTCTTTTGAGATTGTATTTATGCTTGGTGTGGCTGTGACTCCTTGGTGAGGAACTAGGGGATTGAATACCCTGGCCTCTCCCTCCTCCTACCTTCTAATCCGTTCTGGTGTCTCCCACTGATGAAACTCAACCAGAAGCCACAGGCCAAGGGAGTCTACGGCGACAATTAATCTGGGTCCCACGGCCAGGCGAAAAGGGAGACAGACAGGATCTGGAGGGACAAATGCAGGCTACTTATTTGGCACAAAACTTTATTTGCACCATTTCATTTAGTATCTAACCCAAGGAAGCAAGTTAACTAACTTAAGGAAGCAAGTGCTAGTGCAATCCCCATCTTGCAGATGAACAAACTGAGGCTGGAGAGGTAAAGCAATAATGACAGGGTCCAGGTTTGAAGGAGACTCAGACTCTTAGCTTCTATTCCTCCCTGTCTGGCAAACAGGCCAGCAAGAAGCAGGCAGCAGGGGTTCCTTCAGTGTGCTGCTTCCACAGAATAGTTGAACAAGTAAAGTTATATGCTGGGAACTTGTTGTTCCTTATTTACAAGACTGCACACGGCCTTCCTGTTCCTCCCAATTACTATTCTTCTGGCCAAAGACTCCCTGGATAGGGAAGGAACTCAGCCCCAAATCCGCAAACATGTTCAGAAAGCAGCCAGGGAATCACTGTTGGATCCCACAAGGAGCCCTCTCACCATCTGCCCTCTACCCCAGCTGACCCAGAGACTCCCTGCCAGAACACTGAGTGTATTTTGATGAGTTAAATGAAAACAACAACCATAACCAAAACAAATCCAAACTGCATGGGTCTTGGGGGAAAGAAAAAAAAAATCAGAAAAATTGGACACTTCATAATTCCTTCCTTTGCACATTCTTTTTCTTTTTAAATGAGTACATTTGATGTAGAATGCAGAGTTCCTAGAGGGTGTTCTAAAAACTTAAAAACTTAGAGTTCTATAGTGGACCCGACCCTTTGTTAAAGCCTTCTTAATGCCATAGGAAGGTTTCCATGATTTAGAGTTTTTATGATATTGATACATGCCAAAAACAATTTAATCACATCACAAATATGACTGAGTATGTCTACTCTTTCCTAAGGTGAAATGCCACTTCTCTGATTATTGGCCTGCTGTTTGTATGGACCTGTTCTATGCATACTTTGTAATGGTTCACATCCTATAATTACAGCACCAACATTTCCTTCAGGGCAATATAAAAAACACACTCCAAGTTAAAAATCATTCCCATCTCTATCCATTCTCTTTGGAGGGAACATAAAAGAACAAGTTTTTTGTTTTGAGTTTTGTTTGAGCCTCACCCTGTTGCCTGCGCTGGAGTGCGGTGGCACGATCATAGCTCACTGAAGCCTCAAACTCCTGGGCTTAAGTAATTCTCTCGCCTTAGCCTCCTGAGTAGCAAGGACTACAAGTGTGCACCACCACACCCAGCTGGAACATCCAATTTTGATACCAATATATGAGCGAACCCACCTACGACCTCCACTAAACAGTATGAGGCAGGCCAATGAAGTCCCCACTCTCAGGGAGAGCTCACTGCCACACAGAATGACCAGGGAGGGCTATGCTGGGAAAAGTCTATGGAGCTTTGGAGACCCAGAGAAGTGGGGTCACAGGGAATCTGAGAAGGCTTCCTAGAGGAAGTAACATCTAAGCTGAGGCCTGAAAAGTCAGGTAAGAGTGAGATGGGAAAATAAGAAGGTACAGGGGTGTTCTAGGCAGAGCAAACAACAGGTGCTTTGGAAGCCTTAGAAAGAACAGCAAGCATGGCCCGTTCAGGGAAAGATGGAGAACAAAGCTCAAGTGTATTGATGGTGAGAGAAGAGGCTCAGGAGATGGGTGTAGCTGGGTCATGGAAAGACCTTAGCCATATTAAGGAATCAGAACTTTCTCCTGAGACCAGTGGGAGGCATACAGACATTTTAAGTGAAGAAGCAACGTGGGTAAATTAAAAAAATATATCACTTTGCTGCCGGGCGCAGTGGCTCACGCCTGTAATCCCAGCACTTTGGGAGGCTGAGGCGGGTGGATCACGAGGTCAGGAGATTGAGACCATCCTGGCTAACACGGTGAAACCCCGTCTCTACTAAAAATTCAAAAAATTAGCCGGGTGTGATGGTGGGTGCCTGTAGTTCCAGCTACTCGGGAGGCTAAGGCAGGAGAATGGCGTGAACCCGGGAAGCGGAGCTTGCAGTGAGCCGCGATGGCGCCACTGCACTCCAGCCTGGGCGACAGAGCGAGACTCCGTCTCAAAAAAAAAAAAAAAAAAAAAAAAATTAGTTTGCAACAGGATACAGAAAAATCAAGAGGGATTTTTCAACCTCTTCTTTATAACTTTCTTTTTTTTTTTCATGACTTTAAGAAAGTAATATGTATCACTGTTGTGATAAAAATAAAAACCAGTAAAGCTATTTTTGTTCTTTATATTTTAAAAACCCATTCTGACAAAAGACTTGAATAGACATCTACTGAAGAAGATATACAGATGGCAAGTAAGCATGTGAAACATCGTACATCATTAGGGAAATGCAACTTAAAACAACGAGATGCCACTATACACCTATTAGAATGGCCAAAATCTGGAACATGGACAACACCAAATGCTGGTGAGGATGTGAAGCAACAGAACTCTCACTCATTGCTGGTGGAAATGCAAAATGGTGCAGCTACTTTGGAAGACAGTTTGGCAGTTTCTTACAAAACCAGACGTACTCTTAACATACGATTCAATAATCACACTCCCTGGTGTTTACCCAAAGGAGTTGAAAACTTACATCCACACAAAACCTGCCCCCAGATGTTTATAGCAATTTTATTCATAATTACTCCAATTTGGAAGCAACCAAGATGTCCAGGTGAATGAATAAATAAACTATGATACATGCAGACAATGGAATATTATTCAACCCTAAAACAAAATGAGCTATCAAGCCACGGAAAGACATGGAGTTAAACTTAAATGCATATTACTAAAGAAAAGAAACCAATCTGAAAATTCAATTACATGTTCTGTGATTCTAACTGTATGACATTCTGGGAAAGGCAAAACTATAGAGACAGTATAAAGATCAGTGGTTGCCAGGGGTTAGGCAGATGAGCAGGCAGAGCAAAGCAGATTTTTAGGGCAGTGAAACTGTTCCGTGTGATATTGCAATGGTAGTGCTAGGGTTTGTGTGTGGTTTGTTCGGCCCCATCAAGTCTCATGTTGAAATTTGATCCCCAGTGTTGGAGGTGTGGCCTTATGGGAGGTGTTTGGGTCATGGAGGTGGATCCCTCATGAATAGCGGTAATGAGGGAGTTTTCACTCTTAGTTCCCATGAGAACGGATTTCTGCAAAGAGCCTGGCACCTTCTCTCTTTCTTGCCTCCTGTCTCACCATGTGATCTGTGTATATCAGCTCCCCTTCACCTTCTGCCATGAGTGGAAACTTCCTGAGGCCCTCATCAGAAGGAGATGTTGGTGCCATGCTTTTATTTTTATTTGTGTTTATTTATCTTTTTTGAGACAAAGGCTCGTACTGTCTCCGAGGGCTGGAGTGCCATGGTGCGATCTCAGCTCACTGCAACCTCTACCTCCTGGGCTCAAGAGATCCTCTCACCTCAGCTTCCTGAGTAGCTGGGACTACAGGCATGCACCACCACATCTAGCTATTTTTTTTTTTGTATTTTTGGTAGAGACAGAGTTTCACCACGTCGCCCAGGCTGGTCTCGAACTCCAGAGCTTGAGTGATCTGCCCACCTCAGCCTCCCAAATTGCTGGGATTACAGATGTGAGCCATGATGCCCGACTGCCATGCATTTGTGTAATACCAAGAGTGAGCCCTAATATCAACTATGGACTGGTGATGGTGCTGTGTCAATGCAGGTGCATCAACTGTAAAAAATATCCCATGCTGGTGGGGGATGTTGGTAGTGGGGGAGGCTGTGCCTGTGTGAAGACAGGGGATATATGGGAATGCTATATTTCTGCTCAATTTTGCTGTGAACCTAAAACTGCTGTAAACAATAATGCCTATTAAGAAAACAAAATAAAACAATAAAAAAAACCCCACAAGAAGAAGAAGGTAGGACAAGGGGTAGTAAGAGCCTGCAGAGGTTGTGGCAGGGGTCTAGCCCCAGGGCTGGGGCCTAAGCTGGGCAGAGGCAGTCGGGCTGGGTAGAAGGGATTCAGGAGCATTCACAGGAGTTAGGCTGCTTAGATGGTGGGAGGGCAAGGAAGAGGAGTGCGCTGAAGCTTCTTGCTTAACTAGCAATGTGGTGCCATGAAGAGAGATATGATGAACCACCTTCAGTATGATAGGCAGTACCTGTAGGCCAGAGATTGCACTAGAAGATGGAGAGGGAAGGAGGAGAGCTTATAACTGACTAAGACAAGAGAAATCACATTTTATTCTTTTATTTAAGAGAGGTCCTGTTGTTTTATCATTTTTCTGTTTTATGCATCACTTATAGGACATAATGCCATGAGTAACCCATATACAGAAAATTCACAGCCTGAACTGGCTTCGGGGAAGACCAAGGCGCATTTGGAGGAGAAGGCCAGCCCTAAAGGCTGGAAGTGACATTCCTGTTGATAAAGGGCAGAGCACGAGCCAACTGAGAGAGGAGATGCAAAGACAAAAATTTCATGCAAAGGATGGGTGTGTTCAGAGGCTGATGAGCTGCAGGTTGCAGAGAGGCCCTATCATGGCCCTCTGTTATTTGTGCTGTCTGCTCCCTTCTCTGGTGGTAGCACACCTGCCACTCCTCATCATCCTGGTATGGACGCGGTTTTTCTCTGCCCTGACCCCAGTCCGTTCTCCACCCTGCTGTGCCCCACTCTGTGCTCAAGGAGACTGACTCCTGCAGACTGAATCCCTTGGTTCCCTGGCCAGCTGGCTTCTGATTGGGCCCTGCAGGATATTGAGGGGAAGAGGAGGGAGAGGATGGGCTGTTTGTTCCCTGTTCCCTCCTTGCCTTGCAAAGGTTGTGCTGTGCCCCCAAGACCACAGCAGCCCCACCCACCTGGCCCCAGGCCTAATGGCTCCTCTAAGGGTTCTCCACCCTTGGCCCTGCAAACTTAGACATGGTCATGACTTCCCTCTATTGCTAGTCCCTGGGTGCTAGAATATTCTTTGATAGTTCCCTTAACCCTACTCACATGGCTATGAATGTTCCCTTCATTAAAGTCTCTTCAGGCAACCATTTCAGGGAGAAATTGCGTTTTTGAGAAGCATAGAGATTAACAAAGGCTGTCAATGACCATTGTAGACCAAGGTGGGAGGGCAGGGCCACTCCCTGCTGTTGGGAGGAGTGGGGGAAGGAGGGGAATCCTACCCAAAGCTGCACTCATCTGCTGGCTTGCAAGTACATTATCCAGAGCCACAGACAAAACCCGTGGGTAGAGGCAGATGCTGACTCCTTGCAGGTAGACAGCACTGGTGAAGGCTTCGAGGAGGAAGGTGGCCCTGGTGGGCCACCTTTGACCCCTTTTGGGTCACTCTGTCAGAGTGGAGCAGGGATGGGGGAGGGAGGAGGCATGGGGTGGGAGGAATGCAACACGCAGGGGTGGGACAGAGAGAGGGGTGAGGAGTCTGCGGCAGCCTTGGTGGACAATGGTGAAGACCTGACCTAGGGAAGTGGCAGAGACGAGGGAGGGCATCTGAGAACTATTCCGGAGATAGCCTCAACGTCCCGATGCTCAGTCTTATGTTGAGTTTGAGGGTGAGTGAGGCAATGACAGTTGGTGTTCTGGAGCGGGTTCCTGAGTAGATGGAGATGCTGGCCACAGTAAGGGGCAGGACTGGTCAGGGCAAGGAGCTGCTTTCTGTTGTGGACAGATTAATGTATGGGGCTGGCCACCTTTCATATGAACAGAATCATACACCGTGTGGTCCTTTGTGACATAAGTGTCCTAAGTGGCTTCTGTCACTTAGCATAATGTTCTCAAGGTTCATCCATGTTGTAGCAGGGATCACTGCTTCATTCATTTTAATTGCCAAATAATATTCCATTATATGGAAGTAGCATATTTTATTTATCCACTCATTTATTGGTGGACATTTGGGTTGCTTCTGGTTTTTGGCTGTGACAAATGATGTTGGTGTGAACATCTGTATACAAGTTTTTGTGTGGACATCCATTTTTGTTTCTCTTGGGTATATACCTACAAGTACAGTTGCTAGCCAGGAGTACGAATGGTAATTCTAGGTTTAATATTGTAAGGAACTGCCAGACTATTTTTACAAAATGCTTCTCTATTTCTAGTAACATTTTTATATTTTAAAGTCTTTTTGTTTGATATTAGCATAGCAACCCTAGCTTTCTTCTGCTTATCCCTTGTCTTTTAAAAAAGATGATTTTATCAGAAATGCATATAGCCATAAGTAATATATTACATGATTTAGTTACACATATTTGAACTTTATAAAAATAGTGTCACACTATAAATGTAGTTACTTGGACTTTTCACTCAGTATGCTATTTCTAAGACCCATCTATGTTGTTGTATATAGCTACAGTATAATTTATGTTCTCTGCTGTATAATAGTCCATGGCATAACCCTAACATAATTTATTGATTCATTCTCCTGTAAGTGGCTATTTGGCATGTTTCCAGTGTTTTGCTATGACAAATTTATTGCTGCTATAAACATTTTTATATGCCTTTCCTGATATAAGAGTTTCTTTTGTTCTCAGAGCAACTAGCAATATAACTATTAGCTAGGAACTTGTTAGAAATGCAACTTCTCAAGTCCCACCCAAGACCCACTGAGTCAGAAACTGTAAGATAGGCCCAGCAATCTGTGTTGTAATATCAGATATCAGGTGACTCTGATATCTGATAAAGTTTGACGTCCACTGCGCTAGGGTATAAAGTAGGAGTGAAATTTCTAGATTGCAGGCAATCAGATGTTTTCTGAAGTTGTTGTCCCATGTTTTCATGGAAATCCACCCGCTCAGCACTTAGTATTGTCAGACTTCTTTATTTTGCCCACTGGGTGGGTCAGTCTGACTGGTCTTCCCTACAGAGAGGCATGGGTGTGGCCGTTGATTTCTTCTCCCTGCCTGTCCTCCCATCCTGCCCTGTCTAGGGAGCCAGAGCCACACCACGCATATTGATCCCTTGGCTGTCACTGTGGGTGAAGCCTTCTTCAGTGTGGTTTGTTTTGACAGGAATACATGCACCACCTGCTCGCCCTGGAGCATCGCGCTGAGGAGCAGTTCCTGGAGCACTGGCTGAACCCTCACTGCAAACCCCACTGTGACAGGAACAGGATTCATCCTGTGTAAGGGGATCAGGACCAGCCTCGGTACGTCTCCTTCTCTCTCCCGGACCTCTGTCTGAGGGAGTGGTGGGGGACAGCATGGCATGGGCTGGGAGACTTTCCAGACCATGCCTCAGGGGGGCCAGCTGGTTAGCTGGTTATGGGTTTGGAATGGGGGTGGCAAGAGTGAGGCAGGAGACATAGTGGGGAGCCAGGTTGAGAGGAGCACTGGGGGACAAATGGGGGAGCCCAACTTTTATTGAATCACAAAGTGATCCCGAATGGGGAGGGACGTGACCCTATTTGCCATGCAGAAAAGCTCTCTCTGGACCCCAAATGTGGAGAAGTGTGTTTTGTTGAGACTTGGGTCTCTTCAGGTGGGCTCAGCATTCGTGGAGTCAACCTGTGACATCTACCATGATCATCACCACTGTCATCAGGATCAACAACTTCTTTCCCAGATCTCGCTCCTGTTCCCTACTGCCTTCCTGCAGCCTTCAAGGCTGCCAATCTGCCCAGCCCACCCTCTGTCTTTCCCTTTCCCTGGGGCTTCTGTTTTCAGCCCACCAGCAGGGTACTGCCCAGCTTTCCCCCCACACCCTGCATGCCCCCAACTCTGTACCTCTGTGCCTAGATGAGGCTGTTTGCTTCTCCCTGTCTGTCCTCATCATCTTCCCCCCTTTCCAAATCCTGTTAGATAAGGTAGCAAAATTCCTTCAGAGGGTAAGCCCAGTGAATTTCATTTCTCCTCTGTAAGTTTTGTGGACCAAGCAGGACAAGATATAATCAGGTAGTTTATCTTTGTGGTTAAGAGAAATCTTATACCTTTGTTGTTTATTTTGTGCTACTGTGAATTGACACAGGGACGCTCCTATTAATCACTCTTTATAATGTAACATAAATTGCCTCACATGATCCTCTTAATACCCTGGTGTCATTGCAGGGCATGCACTTTAACCCCATTTTAAAGAGGAACTAATTGAGCATGATTAAGCTACTAACTCAGGCTAAGCAGTGGTTGGTATGCTAGGCTTCTGACCACCGTAAATCTGCATGCTTTATGTGGACCGTGTTGCACAGTCCTGTGTGTGTGTGGGCATGAAATCACTCTGAGGGAGCTTTCACAGATAATGAGAGGATCACCTGCTGGCAGTGGAATAGAAGTTCTGCTTTTGAGGGGTAGGGATGGGCTACATCCCTCTTCTAATTCTTCCAGCTGCTGGAGCTCTATTCTAGGTCAGGGTTCTGGTGTGTCTGGGCTTGGCTCCCAACTCCCAGGGTGCTGGCCTCCCCTGCACCAAGGGCCTTTGTCTTTTAGCACTGGAAGCCCTCACTTGGCTTCTTCCAGAAAACAGCACTGTGGAGTAATTGGATGCTTAGGCTCTGGAACTGGCCAGAGCTGAGTTTGACTTTCTGATTTCCAGCTCTGTGCCCTTGGGCAAGTTGCCTAACCTCACTGACTCTTTGCTTCTGCCTCTGTAAGTTGGGGTAATAATGATGTCTAGGGAGCCTGGTGCATAGTAAGTGACTCTAAATATAAAAGCACTTATTACTGTTGTGCAGTTGAAGTTAAAGGAGAGGTTTCTGGGTTCAGCCCCACAGTAGTACCCTCCAAGGGTGACTGAGGCCTCTGATTCTTGGTAGGACAGGCACTGCTGGTGAGCTTGGGTGCCTAGCTCCTGCAAACACAGGGTTCCTCAGAGGCCTCACTCCAGGCAGCTCCCACTTACATAAAGACAAGGAAGCGGTGGCTGGAGAAATGTGTTAACTTGGAATTGGGAGTCAGACAGCCTTCAGATAATGAGTCCTCCAGTCACTGGCTGAATAACCTTAGAAAAAAATGCCTAATTGAATAATTTCCTCATTTGTAAAATGAGGATAGTAATGGCTCCTTCCTTATGATTCTAGGATTAAAAAAGTCAATGCCTGGAAAATAGTTAGTGTTGCCCTGGCACACAAAGGAAGTGCTCAGAAAATGATAGCTGGATGGTGTTTGTTCTTCCTTGGTCTACTCGTCCTCTTCCTTAGTCTCCTCCTTTTCCCCTCTCCTCCTCCTCCTTCTTGTTCTTCATCATCATCATCACAATCACCACCACCAACATCATCACCATCACTATCACCATCACCATCACCACCATCGCCACCATCATCACCATTACCCACACCATCATCACCACCACCATCACCCCCACCACCATCACCACCACCACCACCACCACCACCATCACCACCACCACCACCACCACCACCACCACCACCACCACCACCACCACCACCACCACCACCACCACCACCACCACCACCACCACCACCACCACCACCACCACCACCACCACCACCACCACCACCACCACCACCTCACCATCACCACCATCATCATCGTCACCATTGCCACCATCATCACCATCAACCCCATCATCACCATCACCACCATCAGCACCATCACCACCACCACCACATCACCATTATCACCACCACCACCATAACCATCATCACTATTACCATCACCACAATCACCATCATCACCATCACTGCCACACCATCATCACCACCACCACCACCACCACCACCACTATCATCATTATCATCACCACCACCACCATCATAACCATCATCACTATTACCACCACCACAATCACCATCATCACCATCACTGCCACACCATCATCACCACCACCACCACTACCATCACAATCATTATCATTATCCTAATGTTATTTTCTTGTTCTTTTTCAGCAAGCATTTTAATAGACAACAAGCTGGATAATGTCGAAGCAAGACAAGGCTGCTTCTTTCACTTGTTTTTAAATTGCAGAAATGGATGTCTTCAGACCTCGTGAACTGTGGGCATATCAAAGATTGCCTTGGAAATGGCAAATATATATACTGCTTCATTTTACTAACCTGCATAGATCACTAAAACCAATAGCTTAAAGCATAGACACCTCCCAAAGGTCTTCCCATCAGTTTGCAAGAGTGGGAACAACCAGAATCTTACCTGGGGTTGATGGAGCTGGAACTCCCAGACCAGGAGTTGGGGCAGGCTGCCTGCCCTAAGGAATTTGGGGAATCCTTGTTCAGAGTAGTGAAGCATACCACTTGGGGTTGCTGAGTTGTTTTGTCCTCTATTTTTTTCCTCTTCTTTTCTGCCCTAATAAACATTGGTATTAAATTTACTTTTAGTGGTCTCTTCCTTTCTCTCTCTCTCTCCCCCCCACTTTTTTTTTTTTGAGATGGAGTCTCACTCTGTCACTCAGTCTGGAGTACAGTGGCATGATCTTGGCTCACTGCAACCTCCGCCTCCCAGGTTCAAGTGATTTTCCTGCCTCAGCCTCCAGAGTAGCTGGGACTACAGGTGCACACCACCATGCTCAGCTAACTTTTGTATTTTTAGTAGAGACGGGGTTTCACCATGTTGACCAGGCTGGTCTCAACCTCCTGACCTCAGGTGATCCACCCGCCTTGGCCTCCCAAAGTGCTGGGATTACAGGTGTGAGCCACTGCGCCTGGCCTCTTTCTTTCTCTGTAAGTAGTGAAACAGAGATTTCCCTCTTTTGTTTATCTTTGCAAATCCAGCATCAGAAAGCTTACTGTTCTTTGAATGAATGAAAATACAAACACCCTGCAATTTTGCACAAGGGTTATGTATATATTTATATACGTACATGTATATATATGAGATTATTTGCCTAAGGCCAGTTCTGGAACTAGGGCCATTGCTTAATACCAGTTTTACACCCTGGTCTTTTAGCAAAGGCAACATTTCTTGTGAAAAGTGGGTTGTAGTTCCTGTATCCCGGAGGCCCTCACCTGCCCCACAACCTTGGAATCAGATTGGACAATTAGAGGCCAAGAAAAGCAGAAATTTGGAGGGCAAGGGAAGGTGGGCCAAATGGTTCTGGGGAAAGAAGAATCTGGCATCCTCAAAAAAAGGTAAGGAGGGATGCCCACACACCCTGGGCTACAGAGGAGGGCTTGTCCCAAGGGAGGTTGGGTGGTGTATTAGTTCATTATTGCATTCCTATAAAGAAATATCTAAGACTGGGTAATTTATACAGAAAAGAGGTTTAATTGGCTCACAGTTCTGCAGGCTGTACAGGAAGCATGATGATGGCACCTGCTTGGCTTCTGGGGAGGCCTCAGGAAACTTACAATTATGGTGAAAGGTGAAGTGGGAGCAGTCACATGGCCAGAGCAAGAGCAAGAGAAGAAGCAGGAAGATGCCACACACTTTTAAACAACCAGATCTTGTGAGAACCCACTCACTATTGTGAGAACAGTACCAAGGGGATGGTACTACACCATTAATGAGAAACTGCCCCCATGATCTAATTAGCTCCCACCAGGCCCCACTTCCAACATTGGGGATTAAATTTCAACATGCAATTTGGGTAGGGACATAGATCCAAACTATATTAGGTGTGTTCATCTAGGGATAAAGGCACTGAATCTCTCAATAACAATACCAACATTTTGGGTCAAACTCCGTACAGATGGTCCCTGAGTTCTAGTGGTGTGAAAGTGATATGCCCTCAGCCAAAACCATACTTCAAGAACCCATACAACCGTTCTGGTTCTCACTTTTAGTACAGCATTCAATAAATTACATGAGCTCTTCAACACTTATTATAAAATAGGCTTTGTGTTAGATGATCTTGCCCAACTGTAGGCTAATGTAAGGGTTCTGAGCACATTTACAGGCTAAGCTGTGATGTTTGGTAGGTTAGGTGTATTAAATGCACCTTCAATTTCCAGTGGGTTTATTAGGATGTAACTGCTTTGTAAGTCTAGGAGCATCTGTACTATCCCCAACTTATAAATGAGGAAACTGAAGTTTACAGAATTTAGGCAGTGTATTAGTTTTCTATTTTGACTGTAATTACTTAGTGGGTTAAAACAACACATTAATTATCTTATGTTCTGTATGTTAGAAGTTCAAAAGGAGTCTCCTGGGTTAAATCAATGTGTCAGCAGGGCTGCATTCTTCTCCTCTCTGGAGGCTCTTGGGGTGAATCTATTTCCTTGTCTTTTCCAGCTACCCGCCTTTCTTAGCTCATGACTCCTTCCATCTCAAAGCCACCAATGGTGAGTTGAGCCTCACATCATATCACTCTGCCTTTCTCTTCTGCCTCCATCTTCCACTTTTAAGGGCCTTTATGATTACACTGGGCCCTTTAGATAACTCAGAATAATTTCTCTATCTTAAGGTCAGTTGATTAACAACTTTAATTCCACCCACAATGCTAATTCCCCCTTGCCATATAAGGTAACATTTTCGCAAGTTCCAGGGATTAGGACCTGGACATCTTTGGGGAAGCCATCATTCTGCCTACCCTAGGCAGTTTGTTCAGGTTCATACAGCTGGTGGGTAGAGGACCTGGGATTTGAACCTGGGAAGCCCCTCACTACTATGCCCGCCCTCCCCCCATCCACAAACACTCTGCACTTCTGCCCTAAACCTGATATTCTTATGCCTTGAATGAAGTAGTTTTCTAAACCGAGTTCCTTAAGGGATGAGGATGTGTCTTATTAAGACTCAACTGTACTCCTTACCTAGCTGGGATGTCATCTGAGCACAGGCACCTTCCATGGGCTCTGATATTTAGTGCTAGGAGTTGCCCAGGGTACATGGAACAAGGGTGGACAGAAGGCTCCCTTGTCCACCTCCCCACCTGCCTCTCAGAGTGGTTTACAAGAAGTAGGAGCTGAATCTGTGCATGTGGGACAGACTGCACAGGAACGAGACTAGCACGTCCCAAAAGAGAGAAGGAGGGAAGCAGAATTAAAAATAAATCAGACCCACAGGGAGCCAGGTTCCTGCATCCAGGTAGAGAAGGAAGGGCTTCCTTGAGGCTCTAAGGACCCTGGGTATGGCTCACATATCAGGGGCAAAAACTTCCTTTAAGAACAGAGAGGATTCTTCATCAGTCACATACAGCCTGGTTCTCAGCCTCCTCCCCTTGACACACAAAATGCATGTGTTTACCCAGAACACACTCTCCTGAGGCCCACAGATGACGGGGCTGAAGCGCAGCAATTCACAGTGAGCTTGCTGCAACTTCACACCCCATTTGCCCACCACCAAAGTTTCTCAGAAGGCAGGTGAGTGACAGGAATCTTCAAAGTGGTGGACAGCAGTAATTCATAATCCAGGCTTGGAGCCAGACTACCTGCATTCAAATTCTGGCTCCACCGACTAGCTGTGTGTCCTTGGGCAAGCTGATTAACCTCTTTGGGCCTGAGTTTCCTTACTGTAGAATGGGAATGATTACAGTTCTTAGTTCAAAATGCCATTGTGATAATTAGTTTATTGGGTAAGCTCTCCATGAAACTAGCTATTACTGTTTTTAAAATTCTTGGGCATTATTCTATTAATCAAGACAAATGGTCTGTCTCTGTCTCTCTCTATATTTTTTAAAAAACTATTATTTTGAGAAGAGGTGGAGAGTGTTTGGGAGACCTAGAGTCAAAAGGCCTCCCTACTTGAGAAAGGGTTGCTTTCTTTACAGTATTGCATCTTCCTATCTATGAACCTGGTCTATCTCTCCATTTACTTAGGCCATTTTTATGTCCATCATTAAAATTTTGTAATTTTCTTTGTAAAGATCATATATATGTTTTTAAAACAGCACTAATCCTAGATATATTATGGATCTTTATGAATTATAACTGGAATTTTCTTAAATTTACATTTTCTAGTTGGTTATTCTGGTATGTGTAGGAATAATATTGATTTTTATACGTTGTTCGTATCCAAAAACATCCCTCCTGGGAAGGTTCTATGGTGGAGCAGAAACAACTTTACCAAGAGTACCTCCAGTGGGGCAGCTCATAGGCTTCCGAGCTACTGGCAGAAGCATTCAGTCTTATTGACTAATACATGTGCTTCCTGAAACAGACAGAGACCATTGGCTCCTATGGTCTGGGTTTGGGGTCAGAAAAAATGGGCAGAAGGATTTCCAGAGGGAATTGCATTTCATATTTCATCTAACCAACACTGAGACCCTTGCAAAAAAGTGTGCTTATTCTTCCTAGAGGTTCAAAGAGAAATAAGATCCCAGTTCAAATGAACTTACTGTCTAGTGGTGGAGACAGATATATAAGCAGGTAGCTGCTCTATAGATCAGGGGTTGGTAAACTTTTTCTGTAAAGGGCCTGATAGCAAGTATTTTTATCTTGTGGGCCATGTCATCTCTGTCATACAACTACTTTGCTATTGTATTTGTAAAGCAGCCAAAGACAGTAAGTAAACAGACGGGCATGGCTACTATAGAGAGGGATAAGTAGGGGACAAGAATGGGGTAAATGGTGGACTGGAAAGAAACCTAGTTTTCGAGTAAGACAGATTCTAATTGCAATTTAACCTTCTGCTGAGTGCTGTGATTGGGTGAATCACTTAATTTCTCCAAGTCTACTGCTCCCCTATCTTTATATGGGATAGTCATATTGGTCTCTATGTTGCTGGGAGTATTAAATGGGACAACTGCTAACATTCTATTGAGCACTTGAAATGTACCAACCACCATGCTAATTCCTTCACTGTATTCATTTAATCTTCGCAATAATCCTGTGAGGTAGGTACAATTATTATCCCCATTTTACAGATGTGGGCTCTTGACGTTTCGTGATGGACCCAAAGTCATTAAGTCACAAAATTAGGAAGTGACTTGACCCAGAAGCCACAGTGTTAGCTCTGTGCTGTGCTTCTTCCTCAGGGCCCATAGAAAGTGTCCATCTCAGAGGCTGGCACACGTGAGCTGGCCAAAAAACATTGCAGTAGTTCCCCCATCTGTGGTTTCTCTTTCTGAGGTTTCAGTTACCCAAGGTCAACCACAGTCTGAAAACATTTAATGGAAAATTCCAGAAATAAACAATTCATCAGTTGTAAATTACGCACCGTCCTGAGTAACGTGATGAAATCTCACGCCATCCTGCTGCTTCCTGCCTGGGGCATGAATCACTCCTCTGTGTGTACTACCTGCCCTCTTAGTCAGTTAGTAGCTGGCTCAATTATCAGATTGACTGTCAGGTGGCATTATGGCAGTGCTTGTGTTCAAGGAACCCTTCTTTTACTTAATAATGCCCCCACATTGCAAGAGTAATGATGCTGGCAATTCAGATATGCCAAAGAGAAACCATAATGTGCTACCTTTAAGTGAAAAGGCGAAGGTTTTCAACTTAGTTTAGAAAAAAAAAACGTGTGCTGAGATTGCCAAGATCTGTGGTAAGAACAAATCTTCTATCTGAGAAATTGTGAAGAAGGAAAAATAAATTTGTGCTAGTTTTGCTGTTGCACCTTGAACTGCAAAAGTTAATGGCTACAGTGAAAAATGCTTCGTTAAGATGGAAAAGTTCTAAAACATGTGGGTGGAAGATGTGAACAGAAATGTGGTCGGCAATTGGGTTCAGTACTATGCTTGGTTTCAGACATCCACTGGGGGGTCCTGGCATTCCCCGTGGATAAGGGAGGTGGCTGTTGTTTGCTGGAGCAGTAGCTGAGAGGCACAGACAATTTCAGTGTACTGCATCTCCATGCCTAGCTCATTGCTCTGCGCATAGGTAGCACTCACTAATATTTATTTGTTGAGAGGTGAGTTCTTTCCATGTCCTGCCCCGCCCCACCCCAGCACCGAATTGCAAACATGGTACGATGATAACTCTTTCCCTGAGGCAGGGGGTTAGGGATGGCTCAAGACAAGGCATTACTGGAAGCTTACTTAGCAGGAGGGGTAAGAAGCCGTCTTCCAGGTGGAAAAGGGGAGGAAGGGCATTTCAGTCCGAAGGAAAAGCTCTTTGCAAAGGTGCACTTTTCTATACCACCTGGACTTTGTTCCAAACCCTTACTCCTCCTTCCTCTGGCAGCTTTCTGTCATGGACAGTGCTCTGATGCCAGATGCTGGCTGGCCTTGATTGCTTTTGGCTTCTGGACCTGGTTTCTTGGTTTGTTTGTTCTTTGCTTATTTATTCCCTATGTGTTAGGCACTGCACTAGGTACTGGAGACGACTCCTGAAACTCCCACTTAAACAGAGGCCAGTACGGAAGAACACATTGTATGCTGAATGTTAGGAAGGAGCAGTCAAGATGACCAGGTATGTGGCCATTGACAGGTACCCCACCCAGAGCTGCTTGTCAGGAAAGGCTCTAGGAAGAGGGGGTACCTTCAGTGATTTGTCAAGGAATTAGCTTGACAAAGGAGATGGAGGTGGGGATACAAGGCAGGGAAGGGTGGGGGTAGAAGGAGTGGCACAGGATGGAGGTGGAGAGAGTTGTTGCAGGCAGAGGCAGCAGCAAGTGCAAAGACCCTGAGGTGGGGAAGGAGCAGGTTTGTCCTAGGAGCTTCCAGAAGGTCACCGTGGCCTTCCCTAAAGAGTGAGGGGACAGTGTCTACAATGAGCCTGGGAGGCAGGCAGGGGCCAGGTTTATGGGCCTCACAGACCTTTGTAAGGAATTTGGATGTTATCCCAATGATACAGGGAAACAGATGGGCGTGGAGGCAGGAAGCCACAGTGAGTTCTCTGATTTCAAATCAGAACATGACTCTACTCCCACGATCCAGCAAGTGTCATACAGCCAAGTTACCCTCCCCCAAAACCTGTAAACTCACCGGAGAGCAAATAAGCTCCTGCTTCAGAGGTTCTTCAATTGATTAAAATCGACAAGTTATTTCTTGTGAGGTTCAGTTTTCAGGTGGTTGAAATCTCTCTTTCTCTTTCTAATTACATGTGGGCCCTGCTTTTCCTCCATCCAGGTCATGTCAATATGTGTCTTGTCTTCTCTTGTGGTTTAATGAGTAGCTACAGCTTCTGTTCTCAAAGTGTGTCCCCCAGACAACCTGTTAGACATGCAAACTCTCAGGCCCAACTCAGATCTTCTGTTACCAGAAAGGAGTCTCGACCCAGACCCCAAGAGTGGGTTCTTGGATCTCATGCAAGAAAGAATTTACAGCAAGTTGCAGAGTGCAGTGTAGTGAAGATAGCTTATTAAAGACTGCTCTATTTCAGAGTAGGCTGTCCTCCAAAAGCAAGAGAAGGAACGCCCCTACCTCAAATACAGTGCTTGCTTGTATAGGATAACAGAGCTGAAAATAATGGCCTTATGTGCTTTACTACAAAGGCTCATGACAAGCTTGTGACAGGCTGTTAGTATTGTTATTCTCTTGTGTAACTATTGATTTTTGCAAAAATTTATGAACCTACTATTATCTCTAAAGCAAAACCTATTCTTAAACTAAGAATGCTTTTTGTTCTTAAGATATTGGGACATCAGGAGATTTCCTTAAGTTCTGAGTCCTGTTCCATTAGTAAGCATCATTAATCTGTTCCCTCAGCCATAAACATCTTGTGACTAGGAGTGCATAGCCTCCTGGGATTGTAACCCAGCAGGTCTGACTTTCTTCAATTCTTATTCAAGATGGAGTTACCCTGGTTCGGATGTCTGTGACACTTCTGAATCAGAAACTCTGGGGCTGAGGCCCAGCCATCTGGATTTTCATAAGCCCTCCTGGTGATTCTGATGCATGCTGGAGTTTGGGAACCACCAGCATAGAGCTTCCTGAAGCTTCATGTGTGGAAAGAACCTCAGGCTGACAAGAAACAACAGATGCTATTGAGGTTGTGGAGAAATAGGAACGCTTTTACACTGTTGGTGGGAGTGTAAATTAGTTCAACCATTGTGGAAGACAGTGTGGCAATTCCTCAAATATCTAGAACCAGAAATACCATTTGACCCAGCAATCCCATTACTGGGTACATACCCCCCAAAATATAAATAATTCTATCATAAAGATACATGGACTCGTATGTTCATTGCAGCGCTATTCGCAATAGCAAAGACGTGGAATCAACCAAAATGCCCATCAATGATAGACTTGATAAAGAAAATGTGCTACATATACACCATGAAATACTATGCAGCCATAAAAAGGAACAAGATCATGTCCTTTGCAGGAACATGGATGGAGCTGGAAGCTATTATCCTTAGCAAACTAATGCAGGAGCAGAAAACCAAACACCACATATTCTCACTTACAAGTGGGAGCTGAACAATGAGAACGCATGGACACAGGGAAGGGAGCAACACACACTGGGGCCTGTCAGGGGGTGGGATGGGGGAGGAAGAGCATTAAGAAAAATAGCTAAAGCATGCTGGGCTTAATACCCAGGTGATGGGTTGATAGGTGCATCAAACCACCATGGCACACGTTTACCTATGTAACAAACCTGTACATCCTGCACATGTACCCCAGAACTTAAAAATAAAAATTAAAAACAAAAGGAACCTGAGACTGAGACCTGGGAGACCTGGGTTCTCTTCCCCTTTACTCATTTCTCTAAAAAATAAAAAATATATTCTGAGACCTACTGTGTACCTTGTACTGCTCTAGGCTCTAGGAGTGCAGTGATGAACCAGACAGACAAGGCTGATTTAAAAAAAAAGGTTGTAAAATTCATATAACATAAAATTAACCATTTTAACCATTTTAAAGTATACGATTCAGTGGTGTTTAGTACATTTGCAATGTTGCACAACCATCACCACCATTTATCCCAGAACTTTTTTTTTGTTTTTTTTTTTTTGTTTTTTGAGACAGAGTCTTGCTCTGTCTCTCAGGCTGAAGTGCAGTGGCATGATCTCAGCTCACTGCAACCTTCGCCTCCTGGGTTTAAGCAATTCTCTGCCTCAGTCTCCTGAGTAGAGTAGCTGGGACTATGGGCGCATGCCACCGTGCCCAGCTAATTTTTGTATTTGTAGTAGAGACGGTGTTTCACCGTGTTGGCCAGGCTGGTCCTGAACTCCTGAGCTCAGGTGATCCACCCGCCTCGGCCTCCCAAAGTGCGGGGATTATAGGCGTGAGTCACTGCGCCTTGCCTATCCCAGAACATTTTGCTACCCCTAAATGAAACCCCTTACTCATTAGGCAGTCACTCCCCATTTCTCCCTCCTTCCAGCCCCTGGCAACCACCAATCTACTTTCTATCCTTATGCATTTGCCTATTTGGGGTATTTCACATAAGTTGAATCATACAATATGTGGCCTTTTGTATCTGACTTCTTTTACTCAGCACATGTTCTTAAGGTCAGCAATGTTGTAGCATGTATCAGCACTTCATTCCTTTCTAGGACTGAATAATATTCCATTGTATGGTTATACCACATTTTATTTATCCACTCTTCAGTTGATAGACATTTGGGTTGCTTCCACCTTTTAGCTATTGTGAGCCATGCTGCTATGAACATTCTTGTACAGGTTTTTGTTTGAGAACCTGTTTGCAATTCCTTAGGGTATATACCTTGGAGTAGAATTGCTGGATCGAATGGTAATTCTCTGTTTAACTTTTGAGGAAACAACAAACTATTTTCCACAGTGGCTGCCCCATTTTACATTCCCATTAGCAAGGTACAAGTGTTACAATTTCTCTATGCCCTTGTCAACAACTTATTTCCCCCTGCCACCCCCTTTTTTTAAATTAAAAATTAAGCCATATGGGTGTGAAGTGGTAGCTTACTGTGGTTTTGATTTGCATTCCCCTAACAACTAATAATGTCAGCATCTTTTCATGTGCTCATTGGCCATTTGCATATTTTCTTTGGAGAAATGTCTATTTAAGTCCTTTATCCATTTACAAATTCTGCTGATGTTTTTGTAGTGACTAGAGCACAGCTTACTCAGGGTGAAATCTTGGACAGGTTACTGAACCTTTCCTGCCTCAGTTCCCTCTTCTGTAAAATGAGGGTTAAGGACAGCATCCACAGTAAAGGGTGGTTGTGAAAATTTCATGGCTCACTGTGAGTAAAGCTTTTGGAACTTTGCTTAGGACATTATCGGTTTGCACTCTGTAATTGATACCCCTTATTATACATGAGATGAGTCTAACAATAGTAACTGAATAAGAAATTACCGGAGATTAATACCTGCTGGGAAATATATAAAACCGTGATGCAACAGAGTGACTGGAAGGCTATTTTAGGTTGGGTGGACAAGGAAGGCTTTTTGGAGGAGGTGACATTTGAGCTGACACCGGAATGACAGGAAGGAGCCGACTGTGTGAAGACCCACGTACAGGAAGGGCATTTCAGGCTGAGGGAATGGCTCAGGGAAAGGTCTTAGGCAGGAACAAGCCTGGCCAGTTCAAGGGGCTGCTTGAGAGAAGGCCAGAGCTGCTTGGGTGGGGGATGGAGAGGCTGGGCTTTCTGCGCATGGGGTCCTGGCTGACAGCAACAGCATGAGAAGGGATAAGCTTTGGAGTCAGGAAGCCAGGGTTGCAGGTCTTTGCTTATTAGGAAAACCTGAGACACATTACTTAGTCCATTTGGAAAAGGCCTCCATCTTCTCATGTTAAAATAGAGGCTGGTTATACCTACTTCATGGGGCTACTGTGAAATGCAAATAAGAAAAACTAAAGTGGGGACACACATTTTAGGTGGCATTAATCGCATCACTGTGGAGTAGGAGCTGCTCAGTTGCAGTTAGCTCATCCCCTCGTCCTGGCCAAAAAGAGAATATGCAGTGTGGGTGTGTCTGAAAATGTGTTTTCACGGAGTGCTAGGGGACCTGTGTTTCTCTACGGCAGTGTTGTGGTTCTTGCAACTTGCTTAGCCTCCCTCCTGCCTTCACACCTTCCTTGGACCTTCCCTCAAGGTCCAGTCCAGTTCAGCTTTTATTAAGCACCCACTGTGCGCCAGGCGCGAATGAGGCTCTGAAGGTGATGACACGGTCTATGTCTTCAAGGAGTTCATCAGACACCTCTTCCACAAGTTGCCTTCCTTTTGCGACAGCCAGAATTACTGCCGCCTGTCCTGCATTGCTGTAGCACTTCATCCTTAGGGAACAAAGGAGGTACACGCAGAACAGCTTGGGTTTTTGAGCCCGTGATGTGCAGACTAGAATCCTGGTCTCCTTTTAACTAGTATCCATGGGGTACACACACACACATACACACACAGCCCAGTGCAGTGGCTGAGAGCACTCTGAAGCCAGGCTGCCTAGATTAAACACTAGACTCACGCTCACTAGTTACTTAACCTCTCTGTGTGCCTCGGTTTTCTCATCTGGGAAATGGAGGCAATAGTAGTACTTACAGGGTTGTGATGAGGATTCCACACAGGTAATTTTAATATAGGTAAAGCACTAGAAGAAAGCCTGGCAGACAAGAGCTATGTAAACATTTGTTTATTAAAATCAACACAAATGAATAAAAACATCAGCTTTGTGACCTGGACAAGCCATGTGACAGCTGGGGCCTCAGTTTCCAAATCTGGGGCTATCATCAGGCTCCAAGGGATAACCGTGTGCACAGTGTCTGGTACTGGGAGTCTCCACAAACGCCACCCCCTTCCTTCCTCTCAGCCCTGTGTCACACTGGGACCCTGTCTGTCTTTCCCGTCACTCCTCAAGAGCAGAGGCACATGCCTGAGCAACAGCACAGAGGCACACTGCTTAAGGTTCTCAGGCATCTGTGTTCTCTGGAATTGGACAAGGAGAGCAGAAATTGCTTCTCTGGTTTGGAAGAGCAAATGGACATGGGGTGTATGTGCGCGCGTGCTTGCGTTGGGGCGGGCGGTGGAGACACAGCACCGGCCACACCCCCGCCAGTCCACACAGAGCTGCTCTGTGCAAAGAGCGACTTGACTGCGACTCTGGCCGCCCGGAGCGAGGGCGGGCGCGGGGGCTGCGAGGGCCCGGTCGGCCACTAGGGGTCAGTGTGTCTCCGCCGCAGGCGCCCGCGCGCCGCTTACCTGATTGGGGCAGGCGCCCGCTGACAGCTCTTGACAGTTTGCAACATTTCCTGCCTAACATTAAAAAAAAAAATTAATTAATGTATCTTTCTCCGTAGTAAAGAAGGGAGCCCAGACAACCGAAATAACAAGCCGGCTCTCTTTGCAGGAAAATGCAGAAGGCGGTTAAACCGTCCCGTCCTTCGCATTCCTGGGCTGGAGGAATAAGGATCCAATTGTGGTTTCTGCGCTGGTTATCTTGGTGCCGCCGAGGGGGCCACCGGGGAAAATCTGCTGAATTCTTCCTTTTCTATTTTCTGCCTCGGCGAGGAGGAGGGCGTTAATGCCGGTTGGCAGTTACATGAAACTGAGATGGATGGTAATGGGGTGTGTTAGCAAACAAGGGCAGGAAATAAAGTGTCATATTTTCTGGAGGGTGAACCGCTCCCCGGAGACAGAGCTGCACCAGGCGTCTGCAGAGGAGACACTTTGAAGGAAAAAAAAAAAAACCCTGTATAATCTCTCTCTCTCTTCACTTTCCTGTGCCTCCTTGGTGAGACATAAATTCAGTTTTATCCTCAGTCTAGCTAACAGGCAAATAACAGGGCACAAAAAAAGAAAAGAAAAACCCACTTGGATTTCTACTTCAATGTTCAGTACTTATTCTCTTGTCTCAAGCTGAGTCTGGAGGTAAAGAGAACTTCAGGACTTGGAGGCAGACTTCACAACATCAGAGCTACCTGCCTGGAATCTCGAACTGAGTGTCCCTGGAATCAACTGTGTGTGGTCATCAAGGCCCATCCCCAATCCTACCCACTTGGCAGATAGGAAGCCCTGAAGCTGCCTGCTTGCCGTTGCTTTGTACATGTGGGAAACACCCTCACCCCATTCCTGCATTCCCGTCACCCTCCTCCAAGGCACCCTCTCCGATTCTTTTTGCAAGGACTCAAGACTCCTACTGTCCTGGCAGCCTGCCTCCCCCACTGTCCCTTTCTCTGGAGGATGAGCTTTTTGAAAGCCTGGCTACTGTCTCATTCTTCTTTGTAGCCCTAGCACCTGGCACAGTTCCTAGTGCATTGTTAGGAGGTGCTTAATATATGTTTGTGAGTGAATATATGATATCCCGAACTCCTCTGCTAGAAATAAGGGCCGGTGCATACTGAACATATCATATCCCTGTCCTAAATGCTTTGCATGCTTTCTCTCATTTAATCCTTACATCAGCCCTGTGAGATAGGAACTAGAAATGACGTCATCATCGTCATCATCATCATCATCATCATCCCATTTTACAGATTGGAAAGTTTATCCTTAGCGGGGGCAACCGACTTGCCCACAGTTACAGAACCTGGCAACGGCAGAGCAGGAAGACAGACCCATCAGTCGATGCTTCAGACCTCTCTCTCCTTGGGCAGCGTCTAAATCCCTTGCATGGCATTTCACACTTACTAATTTATGTTACTGTAAATACATTGTGCTCTTGTTTGATCTCCTTGCAAAAATGTAAACTCCTTGAGGTCAGCACTGTGGCTATGGTTTCTCTGTGGCCCTCAAGAGAGAAAAGACCAAATTAGGGCAGTAGTCTGAGTCCTCTGGAAGTGGGCCTTTGGGTTTGTCTTTGCTTTGGACTGGATGGATCTCCATGGGGCCCGACTACTTCTGAACTGTGGAGTTTGAGTTCCTGGGTGAAAATTCCAACTCTACTGCTTGCTAAACTGGACTGTCACTTAAGCCTCTCTGGGTCTTGGTTTCCTCATTTGCAAAATGGGGGTAATAGTAGCCCCTACCTCTCAGAGGTATCATGAGGATGAAATGAATTAGTGTATTTGTTTTGAATGGTGCTTGGCACAAATCTCCACTAAGTGTTAGTGGTTCTTATTTTGAGACACTGGACACAGAATTTGCATTCTTTGCTGCCACTTGTGACCTGGATGTTTGTCCTTATTCAGTTCATCAAATGACTGTGGGCCTCATAACTCCCTCTTTCTCTTTTAAAAAGTCATTCTTCCATGAAAAACGAACAGTACACCAAACCAACAACCTTGCACGTTTGAGAAGACAAAGGAAGACAAACATTTGGCATCCCACCTTAGGCATTCACTTCTTGTTGCTTATTAACAATATATAAATCAACAAGGATATCCATATTAGGCTTGATACTCGATATATTTGGTATATGGCTGCTTTGAGTGGACACACGCTCACAATTAATGATGCCAGCCGGCTTCTCCGGATGGATATAAATACTCTAGGAAGAGAAACCCAAGACCAAAGGCTTGGGACACCCCACGCTGTCAGCACCAGCTCATGCTCTTCCTGTGGATGATGCAGCATGACCTGACACTTATTCCTTCCTGAGAGCTGGGTGAACCCACTACAGCCACATTTTTGTCAGTATTCCCAGTGGTGTCACGAGACACCACGTTCTCCAAGACCAAAATGCATACTGTTGAGTTTTCTTCAGAAAGTGGATGGAGAGGAAGACTCAGATCTCTTTGTGGGGGTGGGGACTCAGGCTGCTTGGGAGTGATTCTCACAGTTACCACTCAGTCTCCAAATATTTAGGAACCACTTGCTATATTCATGGACACAGTACTAGGTGTGGGGATATTGGTGGGTCCATCTCCATGGAGGATGCAGCCTAACGGGGAAAAATAATTACTGTTCTGCTGAGTGTTGGGAAGGAGAAGGAGAAGGCCAGTGTGCTCAGAGTGCTATGGAGTTTATATAGGGGTGAGGGGACCCTATTTTGGCCCAGAGATCAGGGAAGGCCTCCAGAGGATTGCTGTCTGGAATGAACAGCAGGTAGCTAGGCAGAGAGGAGGTGGAGTGTTCCAAGCTTGTGCTAGACCCTGAAATTGAACATGTGGAAGGTTTGAGAAAACAGAGAAAAGCCCTGCAGGGTTGGAGTGGAGAGAACAACAGGGAAGGGAGAGTGAGTTGAGGTGAGCTTGCAGAGATGGGGCAGGGGTGGGGTAGGCCATCCATAGCCTTGATTGATAGCCACAGTAAGGCTTTGAGGATTCATTACAAGGGTAATAGGATTCAGCAGAAGTATTTTAAACAAGGAGAAGAAGGTAATGAGATTTACATCTAAAAAATGCCTCTTGTACCTATCTGCAGTATGGAGCGGAGAGGGTTAGAGAGAAGCCAAGGCAGCATGGGAGATTAACTAGGAACCTCTGTAGTAGGTGGCGGGGAGAGATGAATGTGGCCTGGAGTAGGGTGGGAGGGGTCAGGGCAGAGAAGGTGGGTGGATTCTACAAACATTTAGGTGACAGAATTGATAGGATGTGGGAACAAGGGAGAAAGAGGAAGCACAGAAGACTTCCAGGTTTTGAGTTTGAACAGAAGAGTGGATGGTGGAAGGGAGTGGGTTTGGGGCAGAGCAGGTCATGTGTTCAATTGACATTGAGGTCCTAGTGAGATGTCCAGGGGCAGGTGTCAGGTAGGGTCTGGCATGCAGCTGATAGGCTGGGCTGGTCTTGTAGATTGTGAATCATTGGCTTATAGATGGTATTTAATGCCATGGAGTGGGTGAGGTCCCAACCGAGTGAGCAGGGCAGTGCTGGAATGGAGAAGGTGAATGGCGTTCCTGGAATTGGAGGGGCCATATAAGGGAAGACCACACATGGCGGGGTTAGGCTCTCCTACAGGATGATTTGGCATTTGTTTGGGAAACCAATCTTAGGTGGCAAACCATTTCTTATACTTTTATGTTTTTGGAAGAAATAGTAGTGACTTGAAATTTCAGCCACATGATGTATCTTCAGTCATTCTTAGCTTGCTTTGGGGAGTTGGCAGAACCTTGTTGAGGTCGAAAAGCCATAGGTCCTTTGCTGCTGCTTTGTTTTGCTGAAATTCTTCCCATGTGATCTTGTTGGAACAAGGACCTTTCTTGGGTGCTCCTCTCTGTCCTTTAGCCCATTATAGTACTTCCTAGGTAGCCTTTGGGGCAAGGCGAAAATTCCTGAAAAAAGCAAGTTTGTAAGGGCATCTTCTCTCAATTGATGTCCTGTCTGACTTGGTGTGTGTGTGTGTGTGTGTGTGTGTGTGTGTGTGTATATATATATATATAGTGTATTATACATATTTGTATATATGTTATGTATACTAATATAATAAATAATATATTAATATATATAATTTATTTAAGTAAATTAATATAACATGTAGTATTATATATAATAATATATAATATAATATTATATATATATAAAAATGGAGACAGAGTCTCACTCTATTGCTTAGGCTGAAGTGCAGTGGCAGGATGATAGCTCACTGCAGGCTTGAACTCCTGGGCTCAAGTGACACACCTGCCTCAGCCTCCCGAGTAGCTAGGACTACAGGTGCATGCCACCATGCCTGGCTAATTTTTAAATTTCTTTGTAGAGATAGGGAGCTCAATATGTTGCCCAGGTTAGTCTTGAACCCGTGGGCTCAAGGGGTCCTCCTGCCTCAGACTCCCGAGTGGCTGAGATTACAGGCGTGAGCCACCTCGCCCTGTCTGGATTAGGTATTAATTAGTGGGAAGAGCTGCTTTGGAAGGAGGAGTGCCCCTAAATTTAAATGGATGACCGAGCCTTCATCCTCTCACCTTTACACTCTCTCTGATTCCAACTTCCCAAATGTGTGTGAGGTGCTCTGCTGATGGCAGGGAGATAATGTTAAGTAGCAAACAGACATGGCATTAAATTACATTAAATCACAGAGTGATGAACTTACTTCATTTTTAATCCTGCTCTGAAAAGGAGAAAATTCCAGGATTTTTTAATGCTTACTTATCTCTCCTTTTTAACAAACAGTGAGCAGGCCCCTGGGGCCAGACGGAACCTCAGCCAGCACTGCTACCTAGTGATAGTTGTTTTATTTTCATCAATTTTTTATTTTTCCTTCACTTTATGGCAAGCGACGCTAGTTTGCTTTTACAATTGTAGTGCTGTTCACTGCATATTCCAGCCCCCTACTTTGTGGGGCTGTCTGTTGCCTCAGCTAACCTGGTCTATCCTGACTATGGCAGTAGTGATGTAATATATTCTTCTGAAGTAAATGTATTTGAGTAATTTTACAGTTCCCTACACAGCTATGGCAAAATATATGGTGGTGGTAACATAAGCAGCAAAGTTTGGGAAAATGATGGACTAGATGATATAATTTTTTACCTAATTAGGATGATCAACCATCCTGGTTTTTCTGGAATTATGTTCCTGGGATATGAAACTTTCATTTTAGAACTAGGAAAGTCCCAGGCAAACCAGGATGAGCTGGTCAACCTGGTCTTAAGTGGGTATCTTCACTAGTCAGTCTTAATTCAAGTGGGGTGGCTGGGTGTACCCCTCGGAGTCTACAGGGGCACTGGATGACATGAGGGAGTCAGTGGACATTTGCTAGGCCTCCCCTACCCAATCTGGTTGACTTTTCTCATCTGACAGATGAGGAAACCTAAATGGAGTAAAGTGACTGATTGGTTCAAGATTGCACAGATGGTAAGTGGCAGAATGAGGAATAGAACCACATCTCTTGACTGTTAGTTTCAGTTAGTTTTCTTCCCCGTGGGGGAGGTAGGCCTCTTTGCTCAACTCTGTCCTGCCCTTCACAGCCTCTGTTTGCTTTCAGGTGCATCTATAATAATGTTAAGACAAATAACAATTAGATGATATTAATTAAATTGAAACACTGTCCTAAGAGCTTTATGTATATTAGTCATTGATTTCCACAGTCATCCTCTGAGGTAGGTACTATTATTAACCCCTTTTTAGCCATAAGGAAACTGATCTATCAAGAGGTTAAGTCACTTGCCCAAGGTCATCCAGCTGGTGAGTGTCAGAGGCAAGTTTTAGAGCCAAGGCTGTCTAATTTAAGAGTCCGTGTGCTTAACCACCAAGCTTCCCCACCCTCTGTGCTTGTGGTGTGTTTCTATGAACGCTGCTGTTCTGTGGCAGCTCCCGGAAGGCCATGTCCACATTTATTTTGTGGGTGGTAGTGGAAAGGGTTCCGGTTTATGTATCACAAGACTGGGGTTGAATTCTGGCTCCAGCATTCACTTAATGTGCCTGGATCTTACTTGTGGGTAAAATAGGAAAATAATAATAATAAACAATATTATATCTATTTTTCTTTTCTTTGCTGTGTTTTCATAAGGATGACATGAGTAAGTGTATGTGAAGGGACTTTGTGAACAGCCAAATAACAACAGATATCAGTTAGTTTTTGTAAAACAGACAGTAGCATAACGAGATGCTTGTTAAAGGCATGATAATGATGTGTAAAGCCCACTGTGAAGAGGCGATGAATTGGCTAATCATAAAGGCTCTGATTAAAAGTCTAAATGGCAGAGACATAAATAGAAAGTACTCAATAACACTGTGGAATGGACAAATGAATGACGAGAGTTGGAAATAAGAACCATGACCTGGTCAAAAAAGACAAAGTGAAAAAGTGAAAAACAAAAACAAAAAGCCCTTGAAGCCTTGGTATTATATTGTTACTAGGTCCATTCACTTTACAGGTAAGGAAACCCAGGCATAGAGCGCCCAAGAGACTTGCACAGATCATACCTCTGCTCCCGGCTCTGTCCTCACCAGCTGCTGACACTGGACGTGGCTGTGAGCTCTTTGATCCTCATTTTCCTCCTCTGGCATCCAGGGTGGTGAGGAATAGATGATATATTTCACCTAACACTGAAATATGTCTTGAATATAACACTGAATATAACTTGAGCACATCAAGTGCTCAGCATAGTGCCTGGGAATAGTCGATATTAGCTATTATGATTACTGATGGAAGGGCCTGGGTTAAGGTGAACCAATAGTTACTACCTGGAAGATATTGATTTGTATTTCTCCATCTCTGCAGAGATGCTGAAAAAAGTTGCCACGAGAGGCTGTGAAATCTTCCTCTGGGTTCAAAACCTCTCTGATCCTTCCTGGAGGCAGAAGGATGCCTTCAAGATGCCTTGCAGTCTCTCTTTGACTCCAGCCCATCCTCTGGGTTTGAACCTGTCTTTTAGCCAATCCTTTCACATCTTCAACCTTTAGTAAAGAGGCTACCCAATAAAAAAAATTATCTGCTGCTCCCTTCAGCAATGAAATGCTTGGTGCTAACAAAGTGTCTTTCAGATGACCAGAGACACAGATCGCCCACAGGCTGTGCTTCTGGGAGCAATAGCAGGCTGTCTTGCTCCTCCCCCTCTCCCGCCACCCCCAGCATATTATCTATGGGGACTGGAAAACATTATCAAAACAGGCCCCATCTGTTCCTGAAGTTGTGGAAGAGTACTTGTGAGATAAATTTACAGGGTCACTGGAAGACCCTCTAATTTTCTGGGAAATGACAAGGCATCTGTGGCCACGTTGTGTAAAATTTCCTCTTTTATACCCAAGTTACATGCCACGGACTATTTACTTGGAGTCTGAGGATATATTTACCATTCAGGCAACATCACAAGCTGTCAAAGAAATCTACTCAGAGTAGGATGTGTTGGGTGTCTCGCCTTTCTAAAAATGACACTCGCCCCCTGCTTTTTAATTTTTTTTAATAAATCTTTTTAGGCGCTGTGTTCACAGTGCAAATAGCTCAGAAAGGACACTGGAGTCAAAGTTTAAGTCAGGGCAGAAGTGTTGCATGGAAAGAGGACTCAATCCGGCGGCTTTGCCAAGACAGGAAGCAGGCTGTATGTTGGATTTGCTCTACGATGTTCAACCAATGTATGCAGATGATGGGGGTGATGATATATTGATCCGCTGAGTAAGCACCTCCGGTGTTTGAAGGCTCTGTGTCATTCAGAGCAAACAATGGACAGCTACATAGTATAGAGAAGTTGCCTCCAAAGTCAATAGCTGAAGGAATGCTTTGGGGAGATATTAGAGACCATGTTTTTCCAAATTTAGAACCCGCTCACATTTCGTGGGTTCTGACATTAATATTGAGCTTGAACATCAAGTTCTGGCAAAATAAAATTTCCTGATTCAAAACAAGAAGCTGTCTAAGGGATCCTGCGAGGGTGTCTTGGAAGTCTAGGGTCTCTTACAAAACAGCCTATTTGAGGATTCAAAGGTGAATGAACCAGGACCAGACTGATTCCATTTCCCTTGTAGTGCATGTGGCTTGTACAATTAGCAGCAGCTGGGTGGGAGTGGGGATGTGAAGGGGAGGAAAGGACTCTGGAAAAAGTGCATGTGAGATTTTGCTGACCAAAGACATTTGAAAATGAGTATGAATTCTCTGACCAGGTCTCGTGAATCTTGCGGACCTAGTTTTTGGTCTGATACATACCCAAGAAAAGTTGTTAGAAAACAGAGTGGGCATTAGGCCACCTCCCCGGGGACACAAGGACGGCCACTCTGGGCTCTGACTGTCTGTCTTTATCACAAAACCTTAATCTCCAGGACTGGTCTGGTTCCATACCTACTCCTTGGAAGGGGAAATGACTGCTGCCTTGTAATGATTTTGGCCTTGAGCTGGAGGCTCCCACAGCCTTGAGGTTAGGGTTGAGTGACCCCATATGCCAGCCCCTACAGTCTTCCTAAGATTCTCAAATCAAGCCACTTCTAGGCTTAGGAGCTCTCAGTAGCAGTTCTGCTGCTGTAGCTTAGAGTCCAGAGTCCCGAGCATGGACTGCCCCACCTTTTATGGGCAACCCCCTCCTGCCTCCCTCTCCAGTGTTGTCTGCTGCTGCTCCCCGTACTGTATCCTCTAGTCCTATTGAACCACTTTTGTCCCCATTGCAAAGCACAGTAAACTTTCTGATGTCTTTGTCCTTGTTATTTGTTGTGCTTGAAATATCCTCTTCATCACTCCTCTCTTTATCTAAGAATCTTTCCCAGAAGCCACTCTCGAAGCCCAAGACTAGTTTAGTTTGGCTTTTCTCTGCCACCTCTGTGTGTGCATCCTGAACTTACCTCTGTTGTAGAGCTCTCTGTTCTCTGTATTGTAGCAGTCTATTTACATGTGTCATGAGTTGGAGCGCATTATATTTACCAGATTCGAGGGACAGCTGACTGTCCTGGGGCAGGGGCAGTATGTCATATTAGGGAGTGAGGACTAGATTACACTTCGAGGAGTCTGTGCAGCAGGGAGGGTTCCATGTCAATAGCTTGGGCTTTGGGGAACTGGACAATTATTGGTGGGAAAGCAGCAAGATGGTGGAAGGCTGTAGCATGTAGAACATAATCCTTTATAGTAGCTTCTCAGATCTACAGTCAAATCACTAAACCCACAACATCACTGCTGGATTTGTATTTCTTGTGGAAAAATGGTAAAGGGGCTTAGAACTGTGTCCCAGCTGCCTCAAGACCATCCTGGGATGACACCTATAGACACAGGAATGGAGACAGGATCAAGAAGAAGAAAGTGGAATTTCCATAAGTTGTGAGAAGGGAGTCTGGATTCATACAGGTTATGAAATTGGGGATTCAAGCTATGGGTGATATTTGTTTGTCCTGTGAGCTCTGTTGTGGGGAGGAAGTGTAGCTTATTCATTGATGGATCTCCAGTGCCTCACATAGTGCCTGGCATATAGCATATGAGACTAAGTGAATAATTGTTGAATGAATGGAAAGATGGATGGGTGGGTGAGTGGAAATATGGATGGATGGATGAAGGGATAGAGGGATGGAAAGATGATTGGATGGATGGGTGGATGTATGCATGTATGGGTGGATAGATGGATTGAAGGGTAGATGGATAGGTGAATGAATAGATGAATGGGTGGGTAGGTGGGTGGATGAATAGATAGATGGATGGATGGATAGATGGATGATGGATAGATGAATGAATGGAAGGATGGATGAATAGATGGATGAAAGGGTGGATGGATGAGTGTATGAATAGATGGATGATGGATAGATGGATGGAGGAAAGATGGATGGATGGATAGATGAGTGGAAGGGGGATGGGTCTATAGGTGAAAGGGTAGATGGAAAAATGAATAGGTGATAGGTGGATGGGTGGATGGAAAGGTGGATGGATGGCAGGATGTATAACTGTTCCAAAGATGCAGAAAAATTAGTCATGATTTCCCTGTGCCTCAGCTGCCTTTCCTCATCCCGCTGCCTTCCTCAGCTGGCTTACTTGTAGTCCCCCTTCATAACACAGCATCTGAGGCAGAGAGAGGGCCAGGAACAAAGGCTTGGAGGCCAGAAGGAGCAAGGCCCAGCTGGGAAATGGCAAGAAGGTGTATGTTGTAAAGCACATTTTGAAGGAGCGGGCAGAGTTGGGCAGTGCAGCTGGAAAATTTTAATCAGGGGTCAGACCAGGAAAGGACTCTGTGCATCAGTCTAAGCCTTTAGGCTTTGTCCTAAAGCAGTGGGAATTGTTGAAAGGTTTCACACGGGGCAGCATCCTGAACATTTCCCTTCAATTTCTTTGTCTATATCACCTTTTAAACAGATGCTTCAAACTGCCCTTCCAGGAACACTGCAACTCAGGCACAAACCAGGGCAGTCCTGTTTCAGCAGGAAGTCAGAAGTCCTGGGTTTATTTTGAGGCCTCACTCTTTCAGTGAGCTGAGTGACACTGACAGAGTCACTCTACCATGTGCCTTGGTTTTCTCATCTGTAAAGTGAATGAAATAGAACTTACTCAGGGCTGGCTTTATGTATGCACAACTCGTGCAGCGACACTGGATCCCTTGCCCACAACAGTCCTGCACTTAGTTTAATGCTCTGCTGTCATTGTCTTGAAATTCTTATTAATTGGACAAAGAGCTCCACATTTCATTTTGAACTTGGCTCCGCAAACTATGTAGCCAGTGCTGAATTCACCTCATATCCACAACATTAACAGGGATATTGTGGGGGTAAAATAAGATCCAGTATGTGAAAGGTCTTTAAAGATGATAGAACATGAAACAAAAATTAGGCCTTGTTGATACTTCTCTTATTGATATTTCCCAAGGTGACATAATCATTCTAAGTTTGCTGGTTCTCCTGCATGTCAGGTGATGGGTCCCAGACATAATTAAACTCAGTCATTGTCCTCATGAAACTCTAGTTGTTCAATAAAAGGTAGAATTGAAACTTGAACCTATGTCTTTAATACTCAAGTCCAGTGCTCTTTCCTCTATAGTTAACAGTTGCTAATATGTCTATCTGCTCCACTATTCTGTAAGAGACTTTGTGGCTGGGGAAAATTCTCTATCCTCATGTGTCTTGAACAGTCTTTTGTACGTACAAAGCACCCAGTAAATGTTTGTTGAATGAATTAATACATTTGAGAGACTGGCAAAATTATATTCCAAGCATCCTGCTTAAATCTCCTTTAATGCTTCTTACTATTCTCAGAATAAAACTCAAACTCCCTATCTTGGCACAAGGATCTTAGTGGTCCAGCCTCTGCTCAGTTATTCACACCCACCGTGCGCCTGCCATCCCAGGGTCTTAAGACATGCCATTCCTTCTGCCTGGAACACTGTCCTTTGCTTCTCATCCATTGCCTGGCTACCCCCAGCTCATCATGTAACATCCCAAGCTTTACTTTCTCAGGGAGACCTAATGCTGCCTGTGCTGATCTCCCTGACCAAGTCACTGAAATCCTGATGGTCTCTCAAAGTACTGCAAATCCCCCTCTCCTAGTACTTGTTGATGACAATTTTGCACTTTTTTTTAAATGTGGCTATGTGGATAGTTGCCTGCCTCTGCATTTGTAGGGCTACATTTGTGTTTGTTCTCTGAGATATTTCTGGTGATCAGTGCAAGCGCCTTTCACAGAACGAGTGCTCAATAAATATTTGGCGAGTGCATGAAGAAGAGTAAAGTGTTTGCAGTGTTTGTGCATGGATGTTTTCTCCAGCATGATGAGGGAAGTTCCTTTAGGCCTGGAACTATATAATAATCATATAACAATGACCCTGTAACGGGGCTTTTCATATGCACCTGATATTGTGCTAAGTCTTCCCGATGCACCATCTCATACCCGCCCCACAGTACATCTATGGGGTGGGACTGTGATCTCACTTCACAGATGGTGAGATTGAAGCTCACAGAGATTAAATGATGTCTCCAAGGTCATAGATGTAATAAGGGGCAGTGTGAACTTGAGGTTAGCTCTGGCTAACACTGAAGTCTGGGTTCTTCATTCTTCTCTTTTACCACCTTCTGCTGCTGTTGCTTTTTTTCCAAACTTGACTCCTCCATGAGGGGCCACGCTGGTCTCCGGGGGTCACTAAATGTGCAGGAATCAGCTGGAGGGTCTGTGCTGCACACACGTGAGCCTTGACACATGTGACAGATATGAACAGTGGAGTGACACTACACAGGAGTGTCCACAGGCACAGGGACCTGTCCTGGCTCTGCTCCCGATTGTTGGGTCACCCTGAGAGAGTCACACTTTCTCTGTGAGCTTCAGATTTTCCAAGTGTAAATCTGGGAATTGAATCCAGTGACCTCTAAATTTCTAGCTGGCACTAATTCTGGGTTAAGTTCCAGCTGGATCTATATGATTCTTTCCAACTCTGCCCCTTCCCTATGCCCTAGCCACCCTGTCCTTCTTCTGTTCCTTGAACATGCCAAGCTCCTTTTTGCTCCGTGGCCTTGGCGCCTGGCAGGTTCTCTGTCTGGAGCTTCTTCCCCTGACTTCAGGAGCCAGGCTGGCTCCTGGACATGCAGGAGGTGTCAGCGTACGTGTCACAGAGAGGCCTTTCCCACCCACCTGAGCTAATATTGGATCCCACTCCAGTCACTCTCTATTACCTGAGCCTGGTTTGTTCTCTTCATAGCACTCAACACCATTTAAAATTATTTGATACATACATAAATTTAATCATTTTTCTATTGATAAATATAAGCATTCTTCTATCTATGTATCTCTATTATATATCATTGTTCATTGTTTATGGGTGTCCTGTCACTAGGATGTGAGGCCCATAGGAGCAGGGCAGTGGGCGGGAAATGTCTTATTCCTTGCTGTATTTTTAGCTCTTGGGAAGAGTGCAATGAGTATTTACTGAAGGCATTGAATAATTGAATGAATGAATGAATGAATAGTTCTGTGCTCTCCAAAGCACCAAGGATAGGGACATAACAGGGAGGGAAGATCAGGTAAGATCAGGGCCACTGGTGCCACCATCAGAAGCCCAGCTCCAACCCCTTATCTCACTTCCTGAAGCAATGCAAGGGCCCAATAAATATTCATTAAATACGTGGACTCATCTAACCAAGTAGGCTGTGGCATCTGCTCTGTGTGGCAATTGTGCTTACAAGCCCATTGAGAATTATCCTGGAGGAGGATCACAAATCCCAACAGCCCAGATGAAAGGGCTCCATCCTACCCCATCCTCCCACCCTTTCTCTCTTCTTCAAACCAGTGAATATCAGTGTCCAGCTGCCGGAGGCCAGCCTGCTTGCATCTGACTGGGTCACCCAGGGAGTTTGTATTCAAATTTTGGGAGCATTTCCAAAACTCTCAGACATTCTTCTGATACAAAATCTATAGCTCCCCAGGACTCTGAGGGTTTGGATCTGATTATTTTAAAAAAATGTTCCACAACAGGAAGAAAATGCACTTTCTGCCCCAACCTTTCCTGCCAAGCCCCCAACCTCTCACCTTCTACCTCCCACCTCCCATCATCCAGATTGACCATTTGATACTTTAGAGCTGCCCAGGGGCCGGAGAGAAATGGATTTTATTTTACGTCCCACAGCTGTTGCAATGCTGGAGAAACCCCACGTATTTAAAATATTAAAATGGTTTCCAGCCTGACAACATTTCTTATTTAGTGTTTGAAGATTTGGAGCCTGCTACCCAGTTGACCCATCTCTGGAAAGTAAAAGAAGAAAGTAAAAAATGAAGGCTTAATCCTACTCCTGTTGCCCCCAAGGACATTAGAGCAATTTAGGCAGAGTTTAATATTTGCTGCCCCTGCTGGTTTTCTGGACCCAATGATCTACCCAGAAAGGGGGAAACCTCAGTTCTCAGGCTGGAAAGTGCCTCCTGGGGTGAGATGGAGTGGCCTGAGAATTCATCAAACCTCTCTGCCAGCCTCTGGGCTGGCCCTCAATCCACTGCCTCCCCTCCCCACCACCAAAAAAAAAAAAAAAAAAAAAAAATCTAAAAACTTTGAAAGAAGGCAATTTCACAGTCTCTCTAGGAGTCCGCTTTCATGGTCCAATAAGCCCTTACAGTCAGGAAGTCATTTCTTGGTCTGACCTAAGGCTCTTATGCTGCATTAAACCGTGTTGATCTTAAAGAGTCTGGGTTTCCTGGATGGCACCTATCTTAGGCTTTCCCGGGGCCCATGAAGGCAAATGAGCTCCCTTTAAAGGCACATTTTAGAGGAAATCTGTCTTCTCCTGTCTGATGGCTGGAGCGTTCCTGCTGCTGGAGCCTTTGATGATTTCCTTGCCCGCCAAGGATGCCTGCCCCACAGCAGGGAGGCCGCCCCGAGTTCCGCAGTGCCCTGGGGTTGGTCTCTTTGGCGAGGTTTAGATGAGGCTCTCTGTGCTCTATTCCAATCCGTAACCTTCCTTGGGGGCCAGTGCTGAGAATGCTCTTTATTTTGTTCTTTAATTGTTTTACTAACCTACTGGCTCCATCTCATTCTTCATGCCACTCTTTAGGATACCCCAGCTGGAGAGGGATCTCTAATGGAGACCCTGCCTCCAGGCTACACTCAACCACATTGTCTAGACTGAAGGCACTTTCCCTTATTCTAACCACTCTGACCACCACTGGTTATCCTTTTTCAGTTCTGAATGAAACTTCTAGACCTGAAAGCCCTCACACTGCGGTGGACAGAAAACAGATATTTGTGAATGGAGAGATTAATGAATGAACGGGGTAGTGCATTACCGTGTACTTGACTAGACATGCTGGCATTTTGGGTTTTCAGTTGCTTCCCTGTTTAGCAGTGGGTTTTCTGCTTCGCACTAGCTGAGATCACAAAGCACATTTAGTAAGTAGAGAAAATGCCAGTAATCCAGGACAGGGGAGACCCAGCTGGAAATCCGGGAAAGAGTTTGACCAAATTTTGGCTTCAGCACTCAGCCACGGGCCAGGCAGAACACAGGCTGAGGAGACAAAACTGCCCCTTGTATTGGTGACATCAGCTCCTAGGTGGTTTTACAACTTTACCTCTTGGATCCAGTAAACTCTCCTGTCTTCCTTCCTCTGATCCCCCACCTCCACTTCAAGCCCAACAGAGTCAAATTAAGGAGGATAGTGTCATACTCAAGGTAGCTCCGAACTAAGTTCACTTCTCTGAAATTCCTAACAAAGGATATGCCATAAATATGATGTCTGCATCTCCCCGTCCTCCTCTGACAAAGCAGCCCCCAGAATTTTGAAGCCTGGCTTCTAGAACAAAATGTAATAATATAAACTACTGGACTGGAGGGGTTGGCACTGTTTTACAAAGGCCCCGAATAGGCAGTGAGTTTGGGAATGGGTTGTCCCAGGAACCAAATCTCATTCCATATGGTGAAAGAAAATTTTAACACAAGAAGCTTCTCTTTTTTAACTTTTCTTCTTTTCTTTCTTCTTTTTGTTTTTTTTGAGACTGGATCTCATTTTGTTGCCCAGGCTTGAGTGCAGTGATCCTGGCTCACTGCAGCTTCAACCTCCTGGGCTCAAGCTATCCTCCTGCCTCAGCCTCCCCAGTAGCTGGGATTAAAGGCACACACCACCACACCCAGCTAATTTTAAATTTTTTGTAGAGACAGGGTCTTCCTATGTTGCCCAGGCTGGTCTCAAAGTCCTGGGCTCAAGTGGTCCTGCCACCTCTGCCTCCCAAAGTGGTGGGATCACAGATGTGAGCCACGCCCAGCCTCTTTCGAACATTTTCTATTACTAGTGTCATAACTCTCCTTTTCTGGCATCCTGCCCCTCCAGGCTGGAAGAGACATTATAGCCTCTTGCTCGTGGGCCAGAGTGGTTGACTATTCCCTAAACCTGATGTAGGAGTACCGAGGATCTTGGCTCCCTAACACACTCAAAAAACAAATCTCTGCATCAGCCCTCAGCCATCAGACCAAGTAATATCCCCAAGTCGTTAGAGTACAAATGATAAAACCTGCAAATTAACAAGTCATGAAACTGAAATAATACATCTTCTTCCTTGCTCTCTAGTTAACTAAGCTAAATAATTTTATGATTCTCCTCAGCTTTTTGCAGCTTGAAAAACAAAATAAAATACATTTTGGTAAATCTTGAGTTTTTCTCTCTTGGAAGATGCTTTGAATGCTTTTTCTTTTTCCCTCATCCCAAGTTCCAATCTCCCCCACAAAATAGAATGCTGCCTTTAGGATATAAAGCCTTAGCTTGAGGTTCTCATGAACTCTGAAAGGCCCTTCTTTTTTTATTTTTATTTATTTATTTTTGTGTGTGAGATGGAGTCTCGCTCTGTTGCCCAGGCTAGAGTGCAGTGGTGCGATCTCGGCTCACTGCATGCTCCGCCTCTGGGGTTCACGCCATTCTCCTGCCTCAGCCTCCTGAGTAGCTGGGACTGCAAGGCAGCCAACTCCATGCCTGGCTAATTTTTTGTATTTTTAGTAGAGATGGGATTCACTGTGTTAGCCAGGATAGTCTCAATCTCCTGACCTCGTGCTCTGCCTGCCTCGGCCTCCCAAAGTGTTGGGATTACAGGCGTGAGCCCCTGTGCCCGGCAAGGCCCTTCTTTTTAATCCCAAGGTAATTATTGAGCTCACAGGCCTGTGGGACGTTGTCTTCACTGTAGGAAGTTTTCTGCATCTGAATTTTATCTTGCTTACTGTACTTGATGGTCCTTAGGAAAAAAGGTGCCTCAATTAACAAACTAGAATGCATATTTTAATTGTGCATCTCATTATGTTTTCCTTTGGCCACAAGGAAACCCTCAGTAAAACTTTTTGCTCAATTGCACTAGCTTTCCTTAAAGTTTTTGATTCTGACATCCGCTAGGATGCAGCTCCTGTTAAGGTGCAAGTGTCCAGTGTACCCTTTCAGCTAGACAAAGGAACTCATAGAAAAATTAAGAGTGTGAGTCTACAGACAAAGAGAAGCATGTCTCCAAGAAATTGTGAATTTTGTGCTTTTGGTGCCTGGAGTTGAATGGAATCTAATGCACAGAAAACCCACAAAATTTTTGAGAGAGTTTACTGTCAAAACTACCACCAGGCTTGTCTAAAACAAAATGAAACTGTTGGAGATAAAAACAAATTTCTGGGGCCCCACCTTCTTATAGACAGGAAGCAGACTAAGAGTATGGTCATTGTCATATTCTCCGATGTGCTCTTTTGAAGTGATCAAGGCTGATGGGAAGAGAAAACCTCTCACAGGGCAGAGCCAAGAACCCAGAGAAGAAAGGACTGAGTGTGGAACAGGGGGCCAGGCAAGGAAAATTCTCAACTCCTGGATTAGGAGGACCTGGCCAAAAATTCCCAGCAGAACATCAGAATTGCTGCAGCCCAGTGAGTGCTGAGTGACTCTCATTCCTTTTCTTTCCAAGTAGCAGTGTTTTTCTGATTCTACACCTGTTCCACCGCACCTGGATACATATGGAAAACAACTTGTCTTTTTGATTTTTTGGGTCCTTATCAAATCAAGAGAAGCCTCAGTGAGATCTGGCATGGAACATGGATTTCCAGTTCAATACCAGCATTGGATAAGATTTTTGGAGTGTCCTAGGGATGCAGTGAGTGTATTTTGCGTGTGGGAAAGGAGTGAATATTTGTGACCAAAAGGGCAAACAGTGGCCATTGTCTGTAGATATTCACTCCTTCCCCTTCAACCTATCTCCAGGGGGCACGCACACTTCCCTGCCCTTGACTTTGGGCCTTGCCATTTTACTTGTTTTTGCAAATGAGATGTTAATGGAGGTGACATGAGCAGGAGTTGAAATGTGCTTGTGCTGTAGGGCTTGCTGTCTTGCATTTCTGCCATTGCCACGAGAAAAACACGATATAAGCCCAGTAGGATGAAAGGTATTTGGAACAAAGCTGCCCCAGGTGACCTGTAGACCTGTGGCCGGAAGCCAAGCCACCCCATGTGACCCTCAGGCACAGGAGCGAGAAATACCTCCTGCTGTACGGCACTGTGATGTTTGTGGTTGTTTGTTACACAGTAGTGGCTGACTGAGACAACCTACAATAGCAACCAGGAGCCCCATGGTTTCCTTAAAGACAGGACTTACAAAAGTAAATGGCAAACAATTTGGGAGTGGGCTGATACCAACAGAAAGGAGAAATGATCATAGACTTTGGGATGAACTGACAAAGTTCTCATGACTGCCTGGAAAACTCAGCATACCTAGTGGGTCCTGGAAAAGGTGGGAGGCTATACATACAGAAGCAAGTGTATCTCAAAGTCTCCCGTGCCAGTCAAAGAAAAAGAATAAAGAGTCGGTTGAGGTTGTGGGTGAGGTGAATGGGTTTATAGACTGAGGTTGCCCAGGAATTCGCAGTGTACATATACAGTGTACATACTTACTGTTTGATATATTTATTATACAGTAATTTTCTGATAATTAAACTTCTTAATATAACTTTGTGGTAAGAGTGCTTTTCCCACATTCCAGAGATTACCAGGAGTCTGACTTTTAAAAAATCGTGTTGTATTGTATGTATTTTTAGAAAGAGGTAGAGTAAAAATAAATAGATTAACTAGGACTGCTGGAAAAGGGGGTTGGGTGGGAAAGAAAAATGCCATTCAGAAATAGACCATGAAACTAATTACCTGGATAAGCCAATGTAAAAAAAAAATATTGTTTCAGACAGGTCATAAACTCAAATGCCTTAGGGGACTGGCAGGTGACACAAACAAGTGAGGTAGGCATGGTGGGGAGTGTGGTGATGTGGGAGTGTGCGCCCTGTCCCAGAAGGGCAGCTATGACTGGGCTCCCTCTAATTGTTGCTATGTGGGAGTGGCATCTAGCGTTGCCAGCTCTTCTGAGGAAGCAGGGCTGCCATGTTTGCTTCTGCAGATTGTACACTGCACAAGAGTGCTCAGCTGAGAGGGTAGCTGGAGCCTAAAATTCAGTACAAGCTCCATGTACCAAGCCCTGGGCCAGGACACAGGACTCGAAGAGCAGAAGTAGGCTGGGTTTCAGCCCCTATGTATCCTCTTTAGCCTACCTTTGTGTAATACACAGTCACACAGGGTGGCCTGGGATGGAGGATCTTGCTTCCCATTGTGGAAGGTGAATAAGAAATACCTCTTTATCTTTGCTCCTGACAGCTCAGACACAGGTGCCCTTTCTAGGCTCAGCCAATAGATGCTCCTTTCTAAGGCCTGGAACCTTGTGTGAGTGACAAAAGCACAGAGGTGGAGAGATTACATGGGGTGGCATCCACTGTGTTTAGGTATGTCTGAATGGTGACACATAGAGCACTTCTGAGAACACTGAGCTACTATTGAACAAAACTCTCAGGCATGCTGATTGACCTAGTGGGTCTCCAGCTAGCCATCTCTGGATTAAGACATTCCAGGTCCAGGAAGGTGTATGAGGGTACTCACTTGTTCCCAATAACCTTTGCACATGCATAAGTTTCTCTCTCCTTCCTTCCTTCCTTCTTCCTTCCTCCCCTCCCTCCTCCTCCTTTTCTGTTTCTCTTTCTCTTTCTTTTCTCTTTTCTTTTCTTTCCTTCTTTCCTTCCTTCCTTCCTTCCTTCCTTCCTTCCTTCCTTCCTTCCTTCCTTCCTTCCCTTCTCTTCTCTTCTCCTTGTCCTTCTTCGACAGGGTCTTTCTCTGTCACCCAGGCTGGAGTGCAGTGTCACTATTGAAGCTCATTGCAACCTCAACCTCCCAGACCCAAATGACCCTCCCACCTCAGCCTCCCAATTAGCTGGGACCACAGGTGTGCCCCACCATGCCTGACTAGTTTTTTATATTTTTTGTAAAGATGGAGTCTCCTATTTGCCCAGGCAGGTCTCATGCTCCTAAGCTCAAGTGATCCTCCTGCTTTGGCCTCCCAAAGTGCTGGGATTACAGGCACGAGCCACCACGCTTGACCCTGAGATGTCCTTTCTTGGCATCACAGTGCAGGGCAGTGACAAGCTTCCTGTCTCAGAAGGTTTGGATTTGGTTCCAGTTCTACTAGAGCTTGGTCTCAGAGCTTCCCAGCTCTGTGATTTTGATCATGTTTGCATCATGCTGACTCTTAATTTCCTTGTCTATAAAATGGAAATTTGGATGCTGGTACTCCTTGCCTCTCAGGGATATTGGAAGACTCAAATCCAATAAGATAATGCATGAGAAAGCATGTTGCAAGCCTAACAAACTATGTAAACGTAAGGTATTATTATACTGCTGCAGAGACATGAGAATTCATGTTGCTGATGCTTGAACCAGAGATGGTGGGAATCTAGCATGGAGCAGGCCCATCTAATTATTTTCAAAATGCTGAAAAAGGCTTTTCCAATTCTTTGCCTTCCCTGGTTACCCATCCTGTCTGCTGCTGTAAATTTTCACTTTCCCCTAACAATAAACATTTATATTGTGCCTTACCATTATTTTATTTGACCCTCACAACATTCCTATGGGATAAGGGTTATTCCCCTTTGCTGATGAGGAAACTGAGGCTCAGGGAATTCTGGGAGATACAATTCAAGTTGAGATTTGGGTAAGAACACAGCCAAACCACATCATTCTGCCCCTGCACCCTCCAAATCTCATGTCCTTACTTTTTTTTTTTTTTTTTTGAGACAGAGTCTCACTCTGTCACCCAGCCTGGAGTGCAGTGGCGCGATCTCGGCTCACTGCAAGCTCCACCTCCCGGGTTCACGCTACTATCCCGCTTCAGCCTCCCAAGTAGCTGGAACTACAGGTGCCCGCCACTACGCCTGGCTAATTTTTTGTATTTTTAGTAGAGACAGGGTTTCACCGTGTTAGCTAGGATGGTCTCGATCTCCTGACCTCATGATCCGCCCGCCTTGGCCTCCCAAAGTGCTGGGATTACAGGCGTGAGCCACTGCACCTGGCCCATGTCCACACATTTTAAAACTTATCATGCCTTCACAACAGTCCCCCAAAGTCTTAACTCATTTCAGCATTAACCCAAAAGTCCACAGTCCAAAGTCTCATCTGAGACAAGGCAAGTCCCTTCTGCCTATGAGCTGTAAAATCAAAAGCAAGCTAGTTACTTCCTAGATAAAATGGGGGTATAGGAATTGAATAAATACAGCTGTTCCAAATGGGAGAAATTGGCCAAAACAAAGGGATTACATACAGGGCCCATGCAAGCCTGAAATCCAGCGGGGCAGTCAAGTTTTAAAGCTTCAAAATGATCTCCTTTGACTCCAGGTCTCACATCCAGGTCACGCTGATGCAAAAGGTAGGTTCCCATGGTCTTGGGCAGCTCCGCTCCTGTGGCTTTGCAGGTTACAGCCTCCGTCCCAGCTGCTCTCACAGGCTGGTGTTGAGTGTCTGCGGCTTTTCCAGGCACATGGTGCAAGCTGTCAGTGGATTTACCATTCTGGGGTCTGGAGGACGGTGGCCCTCTTCTCACAGCTCCACTAGGCAGTGCCACAGTAGAAACTATCTGTGGGGGCTCTGACTCCACATTTCCCTTCTGCACTGCCCTAGCAAGGTTCTCCGTGAGGGCCCTGCCCCTGCAGCAAACTTTTGCCTGGGTATCCGGGCGTTTCCATACATCTTCTGAAATCTAGGTGGAGATTCCCAAACCTCAATTCTTGACTTCTGTGCACCTGCAGGCTCATCACCACATGGAAGCTGCCAAGGCTTGGGGCTTCCACCCTCCGAAGCCACAGCCTGAGCTGAAGGTTGGCCCCTTTCAGCCGTGGCTAGACAGCTAGGACACAGGGCACCAAGTCCCTAGGCTGCACACAGCACGGGAACCTTGGGCCTGGCCCACAAAACCATGTTTTCCTCCTAGGCCTCTGGGCCTGTGATGGGAGGGGGCTGCTGTGAAGGTCTCTGACAGGGCCTGGAGACATTTTCCCTGTGGTCTTGGGGATTAACATTAGGCTCCTTGCTACTTATACAAATTTCTGCAGGTGGCTTGAATTTCTCCCCAGAAAATGGTTTTTTCTTTTCTATAACATAGTCAGGCTGCAAATTTTCTAAACTTTTACACTCTGCTTGCCTTATAAAATGGAATGCCTTTAATAATACCCAAGTCACCTCTTGAATGCTTTGCTGTTTAGAAATTTCTTCTGCCAGATACCCTAAATCATCTTTCTCAAGTTCAAATTCCCACAAATCTCCAGGGTAGGGGCAAAATGCCACCAGTCTCTTTGCTAAAACATAACAAGAGTCACCTTTATTCCAGTTCCCAATAAGTTCCTCATCTCCATCTGAGACTACCTCAGCCTAAACCTTATTGTCCATTTCACTATCAGGCTTTCGGTCAAAGCCGTTCAACAAGTCTCTAGGAAGTTCCAAACTTTCCCACGTTTTCCTGTCTTCTTCTGAGCCCTCCAAACTGTTCCAACCTCTGCCTGTTACCCAGTTCCAAAGTTGCTGCCACATTTCCGGGTATCTTTTCAGCAATGCCCCGCTCTATAGGTACCAATTTACTGTATTAGTCAGTTTTCACGCTGCTGATAAAGACATACCTGAGACTGGGAGGAAAAAGAGGTTTAATTGGACTTATAGTTCCACATGGCTAGGGAGGCCTTAGAGTCATGGCGGGGGGTGAAAGGCACTTCTTACATGGCAGCAGCAAAAGAAAATGAGGAAGAAGCAAAAGCGGAAATCCCTGATAAACCCATCAGATCTCATGAGACTTATTCACTATCACAAAAATAGGACGGGAAGAAGACTGGCCCCTATGATTCAATTACCCCCCTCCCCCCGGGTCCCTCCCACAATATGTGGGAATTCTGGGAGATATAATTCAAGTTGAGATTTGGGTGGGGACACAGCCAAACCATATCAACTTATATTTGCAAATATAATAGTGATATAATTATTTGGGGCAAATAAAGGAGGTGAGAGTGATGTAAAACAGTAAAATTTGCTTCCTGATGTCATAAGAAAGAATTAATAACCACTATATAAAATTAACAAATCAAGAAACAGGTAAATAAAAATACTCAGAGATTTGAAATCAGCTACCAGAAGAAACAAATAAAAGAGATAAAAAGTAGTTATCTTTGGAGTATGGAACTAAGGGTGGCAAGGGATGAAACACTTCTATATTTATCTTATTTTTTAACTGTGTGCATTCTTAATTTTACTTAAAACAAAAGGCAAAAGGCATAGGTTTTAGTTAAGCAATTCATATGCTATTCTAGTGGATTTGAAATCCCTCTTTGACACTTGCTAACCGTGTAGGTGCCTGGCCCAGATGTGGGGGGTAGGAAATGTTAATTTCCTTTCCCACCTTCTGAGGGTTCGTTCCTGTAATCACCAGAAATGTACACTTCCTGGGCTATTTCATTCAGCCCCCAACCTTGTCCACTGAACAAGACAACTGAGTCGCTACACCAAATTCTAGGATCCACTTTGTCACACCAGGCCTCCTTACACATATGACTCCACCTCCAGATACATAATAGCACTCAGTGAACATTTGGTGAAACTGAATAAAAATGCCTGTAGAGACCAAATGCCTCATGCAGAGACCAAATGCCTAGAGATACCCAGTGCACACTGTCTGTGAACTTCTCTTTTGATGCTGCATAGAAACAGCACCATGCTTATTCCTTCAGCATGTGTCTGTGCAGCTTCTACTATGTCCGTGGTAAGCAAGTGAGTCATGGCCTCAGCCTTCATGGAGACAGACATTCAGTAAGTCGGTATGTAATTACACACTGCAATAGGTGCTATGAAAGAAAAGAACTGGACTCTTAAGAAAAAATAACTTTATTGGAAGGTCAAGGGGGACTTTTCAGAGGAAGTGACATTATGAGCTCAGGACATATGAATCTCAGAGTTCAAGATTTAAAAAAAGGAGTGTGGCTGGGCGCGGTGGCTCACGCCTGTAATCCTAGCACTTTGGGAGGCTGAGGCGGGCAGATCATGAGGTCAAGAGATGGAAACCATCCTGGCCAACATGGTGAAACCCCGTCTCTACTAAAAATACAAAAAAATTAGCTGGGCGTAGTGGCGCATGCCTGTAGTCCCAGCTACTCGGGAGGCTGAGGCAGGAGAATCACTTGAACCCGGGAGGGTGGATGTTGCGGTGAGCTGAGATTGCACCACTGCATTCCAGCCTGGCGACAGAGCAAGACTCTGTCTCAAAAAAAAAAAAAAAAAAAAAAAAAAAAGGAGTGTTCTAGGCAGAGAGAGCTGCATGTGCAAAGGTCCCGAGGTGGAAAAGCTGAATGTGCAAGAGTGCTGCTTCTCACACTTCACTGTGCACCTGGGGGTCTTATTAAAAGGCAGACTCTGTCTCAGTAGTTCTGGAGTGGGGCAGAACTCCTGAATTTCCAACCCACTCCTAGGTGATGCCAGTAGCATCATGTTTGAGGAACTGAGAGATTTATGGACAGCATAGTGAGCAAGGGTGAGAGCAAGGAGATGGGACTGGAGGAGGCAGAGACCAAATCATGCAGGAGCTTGGGGGCCACCTCCTAAATGTCAGCAGGAGAGTCACACAGTCTGATGTGGCAATTGACAAAATGCCTCTTAAATTTTTAAAGTGCTCTGTAACGTTGCTGACAATGGTGGTGGTTGAATTAGACCCACTCTTGGGAGTTTACAATCTTGGGCTTGTTCCTTGTTGCTGGAGAACCCTAAAGAGCCAAGGGGTTGCTAGAAGTATTTATACTAGAGGCTGGCAAATCACACAGCCAGGAAGTCCACCCTGCCTCTCTCCTCTCCCCTTTCGTGCCCCACTGGACCTGTTGTTGAGTTCACGAAGGAGGCAGTGGGGCATGTTGGAAAGACTCACGGTGAAACCTCAGCCCGCTACTTGCCTCCTATGTATCTTCCTAAGCTTGAGCACGCTCTTAATGTGCCTGAGCCTCAGTTTCCATATCTGTAAAATGGGGATGCATAAACCTCTCTGGCAGGGATGTTGGGATGATTGGAGATAATGTAGGAAAAGCATGGCCATTCAGTAACTATTAAGATGGGTTATTCCTGATTTCTATTCCCAAGTGCTGAATTTAGGAAAAGCTCACAACACCTTCTGCACAAAGTTTAATGAGTTGAGGCTGTCAGGACCCCCCCCCTTTTTTTTTAACATTGAAATGCCATCCCCCAGCAAAGTTCAGGTGAAAAGGATTCCCTGGTCTTAAGTAAACCAGTAGTATCTTGGGTTAGACTGGCAAAATACAGGCCAAAAGAAAAAAAAAAACCGTAAATTTTTTCTTTCTGAAAAAGCAAATTCTTAATAGAAAAAAAAAAAAACAGCTGAGCTCCACTGCTTGGGTCTCTGCTGACCTCTCCCTCTGCTGTCTGTCTGTCTGTCCATTGGCCTCTGTCATTTCTACTCAACAACAGGATGCCTTCCTTCTCCCTCCCCCTCCTCTCTGCTGCAAACAACCCCGGAGCCACTCTGTCTGCCCTGTGCTCTGTTTAAAGGAACAGACACCCATTTCTCACAGAAGAACTGTTAGGTAAACAATAACATATTTTTTTAAACCCAGAAAGTGGCTCAACACACTCAGCATGGACTGACTGTCTCTAGCATTCCCCGGCTAGCTTCAGGACAAAGGTCTCCAGAGGAAGGATGCTTCTTTTCTTTTCTTTAAAAGAGTAAAAGAGGACAACAGGAAACCCAGGCAAGAAAGGCCCTCAGACTTGAGGCCAGCAGACAGGAGCCTGGCCTCGGCCTAAAGAGCCCTGGGAAGCTGCTCTTGGCAGCCCCGGCCTGAGTGGCAGGAGAGGATGGCTTTTGCTCCCTGAGGCCCTGTCCCTAAATGCACCTCCCAGCAGTGTGTGAAGTCTCCCCCAAGCCCTGACTTCACTGCACCCTCCTAACGACACCGGGAGTTATACCTTATTACCTCTGTTTCACCGATGGGGAAACTGAGGACCAGAAGGATGAAGAAAGTTGCCCAAGGTCACATAGAATAAAGTTCACCTCAGGACTCACACCCAAGTCTAGCTGACTCCAAAGCTCATTTTGGAATCACCCACAACATGGACTTCCTGGATCCCAGACTTTTGGATGACTTGACTTCATCCTATAGCCTTTCAAGAGAGAAAAGGCTCTACTTTCTAGATCTGTAGGATGGGACCTGGGGAAGTGAGCAGCTTTGGGTTACTGGTGGGCCAGGAATAGGGCTGGGGTTCCCAGGGTCCTGACTCAAAACCCAAGGCTGGCCATTTCAATAAGAGAAAAAACCAGACCGGGTGTGGTGGCTCACACCTGTAATCCCAGCACTTTGGGAGGCTGAGGCTGGTGGATCACTTGAGGTCAGGAGTTCGAGACCAGTCTGGGCAACATAGTGAAAACCCGTCTCTACTAAAAATACAAAAATTAGCCAGGCGTGGTGGAAAGTGCCTGTAATCCCAGCTACTTGGGAGGCTGAGGCGGGAGAATTGCTTGAACCCGGGAGGCAGAGGTTGCAGTGAGCCGAGATTGTGCCACTGCACTCCAGCCTGGGCGACAGAGCCAGAGTCCGTCTCAAAAACAAAAAACAAAAAAACCTTAAAAAATCAATAAAAGAAAAATCCAAAGAACAGGCTGCGGTCAGCCCCTCCGTTTCCTTGCTTGGATGTGCTTCTCTGAAGAAGCAGAAGTCTTCCCTCCTGCTACCCTATGTTTTTCTGAGCTGCGTCCACAGCTGCCATCCACAGAGGCCAATGGCTGCACACCCATGTTCCCATCTGTCCGTAACAACAGAATAATTCCCAGAAAAATAAAAATACAGAATATGTTCTCAAACCAAGAAGGAAGAAAATGTTTTTGGTTTCTTTGAAACACTGCACCTATCTGCTGATGGGGATAAGTCGACTGGGAGAGACAATGTGGGGTGCAGAGCAGAATGCCACTGGCTTTGGGCCAAGGCAAACCTGGGTTCAAGAGCAGCTTGCTAGTGTGGGTCCAGGGAAAATCCCTTGTGTATTCTGATGCTCATTTCTTCATCTGTCACACCTGCACCGACAGGTTATGGAAGGTCTTCTCTGTGCCAGGCCTTCTCCAACTATCCTCACAGCAGCGTGCAGGATGGCAGCAGGCTTATTTTTGCAGGGACGAAACGGAGGCTAGAGAAGTTTACTAGCTGGCCTAAGATTGGCCTGGCTCCAAAGTGAATGCCCTTAACTACTAAGCTGAATCGGGTATGAGCATAGAATGTGCAGGGGACAGCATAGGCGCTCAGTCAATGCTGATTGATTTCCTTGATTCCTTGACAAATCAAATGGAATCAATAAATCAATTCTGAGCAAAGGGTTCTAAGTAAGGCTTTGGTGAGGATAAAGGAGCACTTGGTGTCTCAGCTCCCTTTGTCCCTAGCACCCTAATAAACTCTGTAAAGTGAGACCAGAGATGAGATTTGATCATTAGAATGGAGCTGAATGTTGTCATCTTTATTTTTCCTCCCTAAGAAGACAAGGTATTGCCAGTGGAGGGTCTTGACTATGAGTCATCCAGGTTCTTGGTGCATTGAACAAGGAATTGGACAAAATGCACAAACAAAGCAACGAAAGAATGAAGCAACAAAAGCACAGATTTATTGATGTGAAAATATACTCCACAGAGTGGGAGCGGGCTCAAGCGAGCAGCTCAGGAGCACGGGTTGCAAAATCTTTAAGTACCTTTTAGAGATTTCTTATTGGTTTCACCCTATTGGAGGCTGAAGTAAAGTTACACCCTATGCAAATGAAGACTGGGCCCATGAAAAATCAGCCCTATGCAAATGAAGAATTGGCCCACGACCAATCAGAGGCTGAAGTGAAGGCTTCCTGTCTCCAGACCCTATTCTCCTGCCTCAAAGGGATACCCAAGTTAATTCCCTAGACTGGAGGAAGAGGGAACAGAAGAACAGAGCTGTAGGGAAGAGGCAGTTTTCATGCCAAACAATGCAATTGACAATGATGACAACAGGAACCAGAATGCACTGAGTGCTTACTATGGGCAGGCACTGTGCCAAGTGTTTCACTTAATGGACATGCTTTGAGAGGGTGTGATGGCTGTTCCCCTTCCAGATCCATGCTTTGCCCTTCCTTCTATGCAGGGGAGGCTGGACCCTTATAGACCACATTAACTGGGCTAGCTTGCCCTCTGGCTTCCTTTTGGGCTTGTCCAAGGGGAGATACTATTAGGAAATCAGAGGGCGAGAAGAGAGGTTGGGGTATTTCCTTTCTGCCCCGTCTATGCCACAGCTCTGTGTCTCTCACAGTGACAGCTCTTAGCGGTGGGTCCCTCCCTGTCACCAGCAAGAGCTGGTGGCCTCTCAGCCCTGAGGGAGGTAACAGCTTTACATTATCTAGTCCTTGGGCGTCTCAGCATCCCACATTGGGTCCCTTAGCCCTGCTCCCACCTCCATAAACAGTTCCTTCATGAAGTTCTCTTCAAACCCACCCTACCCTGCATCTTCTGTTTCCTACAACCCACCAAATCCTTCTTTCTCTGTTTTGCAGAGGAGGAGGCTGAGGCTCAGGGTAACAGATCTTGCCAGGGCTGCAGTGCTTGTAGGAGACATAGTGGTCTTTCCAATTTCACTATCTCATACAAGCTGGCAGGCTGGATGGGCTTCCCCTGGTCCTACAGGGGAGTATACATTGGGCATATGGAATATACATGGCTTCCGAAACAAACTCCTGGGTGCCTGACATCAGGGCTGCAGGGAGGCCAGAGGCAGGTGAAAGTAGGTATGTGGGGTGCAGGGTGGGGGTGTTGGGGAGCATGTGGGGTAGGGGCTTAGACCAGCTGGCCATGTCTTCTCACCGTGACTTGTTCTGAGAACAGATCACATCACTCTGCCTGGCTGATGGATTCTGCATGAATGTGCCCTGCATCTATTTATTTCCTTCCTGTACAAAGCAGCAGGATGTCTGGGAGCAGTGAAAGTAAACAAACACCAAATTCTGCTGCCCAAAGCTATTACTGGTGTTGCTCATGCTATTAAATATTTTAAATGCTTTTTCACACTTACAAAGAGTTTCCCTCTTGCTCCTCTGTCCACAACTTCTTCCTCCTCCGTCCGCACCCTCTTCCTCCTCCGTCCGCACCCTCTTCCTCCTCCTTGTGGCCAAGCTGGGAGACAGCTGGGCATTATCCCCTCAACCCACTTTCCAGTTTGGGGCACTGAGGTGCTGACAGAGGTAGAGCTGGCCTGGAGGGCAGGAGGTGACACGGGGTGGGGGTGTGTTGCTCCTCTGGGGGATTAGCTCCAATAGGAGCCAGTGACATCTGCTCCAAGAACCACCAGCAGAGATGAGCAGTGAGTCTGGCAAGGAAAACCTAAAGCTTTGGCAGGAACAAAAAGGCAGGAAAGAGGGAAGAGTGGGAGCAGCAGCATTTTTTGGAACAAATGTAATAATACTGTATGCAGTCACCTTGCTGTCTCTGCTTGACTAACTTATATCATTATACCAATTGTCCAGATGAGAAAACAGAGGCTTGGAGGGAAACCAACATATAGTAGGTACTCAATAAATACATGTTGATGGACCAGATTAAGTAACTTTACCCAGATCATCAGTAGCAAAGCTGAAGCTGAAACCCCAAAGCCCTGTGCCTGCCCCAGCAATGCTGTCTGTGCCAGAAAGAAAGAAAGAAAGAAAGAAAGAAAGAAAAAAAAAAAAAAAAAGAGAAAGGATGAACGACTGAGAAAAGTAAGAGAAAGCCAAGAGCTGAGACAGCTCTAGGGGAGGTGCTATAACATTGCAGTTAAGATTGTGGGCTCAGGGGACAGGCTTCCCTCTCCAAGATCAGCTGTTTGATCTTGGGCAAGTTGCTTAACTTTTCTGTGCTTCTTCATGTGTAAGTGGGGATGAGAAAGGTGCCTGTGCTGGTCCTGGGCCTATTTGCTTTGATATCCATTCTATGCCTTTTCCTTGCTCTGCATCAAAGTGGCGGCAGGGGGTTGGGGAGGCTGACCCTTTCAGGCTGTGTTTGCAGGCTCCTGTGACATCTGGTCTCCAGCAGAGTTTTACCAGTAGGAGGCATTGGCAGGAGGTTGGGGGGTAGAGTAAGAGAGGAGCCAGAGGGTTTCTTCTTTCTCTCTCTCTCTGCCTTGGGCCTACTTTCTAGAAGCAGTTACTTCTCCTTCAGGACTCTGACTTCTGCTGGACAGGGATGCTGTGATTCCAGCTTCCGGGTGACCCCAGAGCCAAATGCCCAGCTGTGCCTAGGGGGGAGGGGTGGTGGTTTCTTCCTATTGCTCATCTCTGGGCCCTCTCACTATCCTTATATGGCTTCTTTGCTCTTCTGTCACCAAGAAAGCCAATTTCCTGCATGAAGTTCCCTCTATTTTAAGGACTCAGAGTGGTTTCTATTTCCTAGTTGGTGCCTCATGGGGGTTTATGTGAGAAATAAGTTAATCAAGTCCTGGGCACTCAACACATGGTGGCCTCTATTCTTGTCATTACTTAGGCCCCAGTTCGTCCAGCCTAGCTGGCAGGTTCCTGAATCTTCTGCTCCTCTGTGGACTTTTCCATGGGAGGCAGAATACTGCACATCCATCATAGTTGCGAGAGTGATGGCAGCTGCCATTTGTTCCTCCCCGCCGAAGCACCCGTGCCAGCAAATCACTACAGTGGTGGCACCTCAAATGAACCCTCCAAGTCAGCGAGTGTTACCCCCATTTTACAGATAGGGAAGCAGGCTCAGAGCCCTTGTGTGGCTTGCTTGAGATCAGACAGTGGGGAGATTAAACCCAGGTCTGTGAGATACTAGAGCTGATGTCCTCACCACCAGTCCTCATGGCTGCCAGGTCACGGTGGAGCCACTGTGGTCACATTGCCATAGTCGGTAGGTAGGGTCTTGTCCCTGGACCTTCTCTGAGGTTCTCTTTTGATGCTGTTGCCACTGGCAATGGTGTGTGTGTGTGTTGTGTTTGCACCTTCCCTGAGTCCTGCTGGAATGGGTGTAACCTTTGCCATCCATCCGAGAAGATGGTGGAGGCAGAGGCTGATCTGCATCAGAGTTGTGAGTGAACAGTGTGGTCACTGGGGAGCAAATGTAAAGGCTGCGTAGACTCAGGAGCCATGATCGTGTATGTGCGTGCACTTGACAGGCCAGGGCCTGTGATGAGGAGCAGGAAGAATTAAATGATGCTCAGGAAAAAGCGGAGATGGGAGACCATTCAAGTGGAGAGTGTGGGAGAGAGCAAGAGAGAAGAGAGGTGTCTATGCTTTCTGCAATTGAATTCTGAGAGATTCCCTTGAATGCTTAAAATGAGTTTCTGTTCTACTTGACAGGAAGGAGAGTTAGGTGGGGAAGTGTAAATGACAAACTCAAACCCCCATCAACAGGAACGAGTTCAATAAATGATGGTAAGTCTACGAAACAGGATGCTAGTAGCCATCAATAATGATATAGCTCCACATTTGTTGACATGGAAAAACACCCACAGCCTATTGTGTAGTGAGAAAGGCAGGTTACAGGATGACCCACCGACTGGGGACCCATCTGTGCAGCACTCGGCGCATGGACCTATCTATGAATAGACAGAAGCCTGAGAGCAAGTCGTGCAGCATCATGCAAAACCTTGTTTTCTCTGCAGAAGAAATTCCGACTTTGGTTTTTAAATGTTCCCGCAATGTTTGACTCTTTCGTAAATAAGTGATGAGCATATTCCCTTATACTAACAGAAAGAAAAAGCCCTAAAATATTTTCACATTTAAAATCTGTAAGTGGCAAATAAGGAAGAAGTCGCAGACCGGTTCTGGCTTTCAGGTCTCTCAGACAGGGAGGTAAGTGGGGAAATAAGTTGCTACTAAGGGCAAGGACAAAGGTCTAGGACTTTCTCTTTTTTCCAGAAAGAAGAGACATGACTGATCATATGTGCTGACAGAAAGGTGCCTACGGTTGGGGGAAAGGACACAGATAGAGTAGAGGGGGTGGTGCTTCTTGGTTGGACAAGGACTTAGGGAGAAAGGGGTGGGGTGGAATCTTGGGCACAGGAGGTAGGATTAGCCCTTGACAGGTGGAGGAGCATCCCTTTCATGCAGCAGGAGGGAAGGCAGGAAGGACGGTGCACATGTGCACAGCTGTAGGTGGGGTGGCAGGAAGATGAGGGCATCCTTTCCTGATTGCCTCTATTTTCTCTTCAAAGTAGGAGGCGAGGTCATCCCATGAGAGTGAGATGGTCAGCTTCCCAGGCTGGGGGCCTGAAGTTCCTGGGAGGAGGTTTGGAAGGCACGGTGTGGGGCTGGGGGTGGGGGTAGAGGAAGGGCTGGTGGGGACAGTTGGGAGGATGGTCAGTCTCTGTTGGGGGCCAGCTGCTGTTGTAGGCCATCTATTTGTGTTGGCATGTGTCCACACAGTTGACTGGTCTCTCTCTAGTGAAGTTCTGGTGTCCAGAGTTGGGAATGGAAAAGGTTCGTTGTTGGATTGACTACAAAGCTGCAAGGCTTGATGGGTTATATGTGACCAGGGGACAAGGTGGCGAGGGATTGACAGTGACAGCAGGAGAGTGGTTTAAATGAATAATAAGGACCTATAGGCCTGCAAGGAAGGGAGGGAAATTAGCATGCAGGAAAAAGGTTATCTTAATCAAGACAAAGGGTGGGCATTGCAGGAGTTAGTGAAAAAGAAATATGAGAGGATGATGGCTACTGTGGCTAGGAGGGAAGTGTTGATGGGGAGACTTCAGAGGTGGTCATTGGAGGGCTGTGACTCTGATCATGGGAGAGGGGCGTTGAAATGGAAGGGATTCAAGTTCATTGACTGAGGCCAGGGTGATGCATGGGTTGACTTGGGATGGAGACAGAAAATGGGAGCAGGAGCCCTTGTTGGATAAATATTGGGGAGGTACTGTGGGGTCAATAGAGCAAAGCAATGAGTGGGAAAGGGGAAGGCTCAAGATGGCAAGGGGAGACAGTTTTGTTCAAGGCAAGAAGATAAAGAACACTTAAGGTCTGGAAAGTGAATTCACAGGATAAAGAGTAGGTCTTGGGTCAGACTGTCAGAGGGTCCCCAGACACCTTTAAGTACATTTCACAGTGGAGGAAATTGAGGCTGGGAGAAGTGAAGTGAACTGCTCATGGCTAATAAGCAGCAGAACCCTTATTGCCCTAATGCACCTTCACTGTGTTGAAGGTGCCTAGTGCACCTTCACTGTGTTGAGATTGCAGAACCACGAGTCTTAAGTGTGAAAAGTCATCTTAGAAATCATTGATGGGCCAATCCTTTCATTTTAAAGCTGAACAAACAGAAATCTAAGAAAATTAAGTCAGATTTCGTATAACTGGGACCAAACCAAGGTTTCTTGACTCCCAGTTGCTGAGCATTGGTGATGGAATAGGGAAGAAAGTATGTTAGAAAGGGAACATAGACATAGAAGGCTAGTGTATGTGTGCATGTGTGTGTGTGTGTGTGTGTGTGTGCACATGCACGCACATTCTCACTCACGTGTCTGTGTTTGTAAGAAAGCTGAACCAGGACAGTGTTCCTTTTTGCAAAGAAAAACATGCTGCTGCCTTTGTAGAGGTGATAGTAAATGCTTTTATTTGCCAGGAGTAGAGATGGAAGAAATGAATCACCCGTTCCATATGTCCTGATTCCAGTGGATGCACACTGAAGAGGCAGCCAACCCATGCCAAGAGAATACTTCATGTCTTGCAGCACACTGGAGCTACCTAGGCTTGGGCCATACCCTGCTCTAACTAGTAGGCTTGCAGGGCCAGACTCCCTATTGCTTGTATTAGCACCAAGATACATACACTGGCATATTTGTTTTGTCAGGGCTTGTATTAGTGAGCTAGGGCTACCATAACAAAGTACCACAGACTGGGTGGCTTAAACAACAGAAATTAATTTCTCATAGTTCTGGGGGCTGGAAGTACAAAATCAAAGTGTGGGCAGGGGCAGTTTCTGCTGGGACCTCTTTCTTTGGCTTGTAGATGGCCATCTTCTTCTCCCCATGTCTTTTTTTTTCTTTTTTTTATTATACTTTAAATTTTAGGGTGCATGTGCACAACGTGCAGGTTTGTTATGTATGTATACGTGTGCCATGTTGGTGTGCTGCACCCATTAACTCGTCATTTAACATTAGGTATATCTCCTAATGCTGTCCCTCCCCCCTCCCCCCACCCCACAACAGGCCCCATTGTGTGATGTTCCCCTTCCTGTGTCCATGTGTTCTCATTGTTTGATTCCCACCTATGAGTGAGAACATGCGGTGTTTGGTTTTTGGTCCTCCCTCTGTGTTTAAATTTCATTTTTTTTTTCTTTTGTCTCCCAGGCTGGAGTGCAGTGGCGCCTCGACCTCCCCACTGCCTGGCTCAAGCAATCCTTCCGCCTCAGCCTCTCAAGCAGCTGGGATCCCACTGGGCTAATGGTTTTTTTACTTTTTCTTTCTTTCTTTCTTTTTTTTTTTTTTTAAAGAGACAAGGTCTCATTATGTTGCCCAGGCTGGTCTCAAACTTCTGGGCTCAAGTGATCCTCCTGCCTCAGCCTCCCAAAGTACTGGGATTACACGTATGAACCACTGTGCCCATCCTAAATTTCCTCTCCTTGTAAGGACACTGATTATATTAGGTAAAGGCCCATGCTAATGAGCTCATTTTAACTTAACCTCTTTAAACACCCTATCTCCAAATACAGTTACATTTTGAAGTACTCGAGGTTAGGTCTTCAATATATGAATATTTGAGAGACAGAATTTTGCCCATAATAGGACTACTTTGGTTGCAGGAACAGACACCTACTGACGTTAGCCAAGCAAAAACAGGGTTTATTATTATTATTGTTATTTTTTGAGACAGAGTTTCTCTCTTGTTGCCCAGGCTGGAGTGCAATGGTGCGACCTCGGCTCACCACAACCTCTTCCTCCCGGGTTCAAGCGATTCTCCTGCCTCGGCCTCCTGAATAGCTGGGATCACAGGCATGTGCCACCACGCCCGGCTAATTTTGTATTTTTAGTAGAGATGGGGTTTCTCCATGTTGGTCAGGCTGGTCTCGAACTCCCGACCTCAGGTCATCTGCCTGCCTCGGCCTCCCAAAGTGCTGGGATTACAGGCATGAGCCACTGCGCCCTGCCAAGAGGGTTTATTTTTAAGGATGAGGCTATCTCATGAGAACTGTGAAGTAGAAAGCAACTCTTCCTATCTCTTTTTCCTCCCTGGATGGATGGTGGTTTTAAATCATGGTCACAAATTATTTGACCCTCCTCCCATAGAGAGGTGGGACCTATATCGCTGCCTCTGGAATCTGGATGGGCTTATGACTGCTTCAACAAATAGAGTATCTCAGAAGTGATGCCATGTGACTTCTAAGGCTGGGCCTTACAAGGCCATGCAAATTCTACTTTCTTTACTGAAACACTGGCTCTTGGAACCCTGACCCATCTCATAAGAAGTCCAGCTACCCTGAGAGGCCATGTTGGAAAGACCACAGGGAGGCACTCTGGTTTACAGCCTCAGCTGAGCCAGGCCTTTCAGCTGTCCCTGCCATGGTGCCAGATGTGAATGAAGTCATCCTGGACATGCTGCACCAGCCCATCTGCCAGCTGACTACGATGGAGTGACTTCTGCTATTCCACGTAGAACAGAAGACCCACCCAGCTGAGCCTTGTCTGAATTCCTAACCCACACATTCATGAAACAGAAGGAAATGGTTTTTTTTTGAGACGGCGTCTTGCTTTGTCACCCAGGCTGGAGTGCAATGGCGCAATCTCAGCTCACTGCAACCTCTGCCTCCCGGGTTGGTTCTCGATTCTACTGCCTCAGCCTCCAAAGTAGTTGGGATTACAGGCGCGCCCCACCATGCCTGGCTAATTTTTGTATTTTTAGTAGAGACAGGGTTTGGCCGTGTTGGCCAGCTGGTCTTGAACTCCTGACCTCAGCTGATCTTCCCGCCTCGGCCTTCCAAAGTGCTGGGGTTACGGGCGTGAGCCACCAAGCCCAGCAGAAAAAGTTGTTGTTTTGAGCCACTAAGTTTCAGAGTAGTTTGATATGCAAAAATAAATAAGCAGAGCACTGGAAGTCTGTTTCTTTCTGCTCTTTCCTGGCTTTTTTTGGTTTGCTTGTTTACTCATATTTCCTGCTTACCTTTAAATTTAACTTGCACATGGCTATAACTTGTTGTGGTCCCAGTTATACAACCAACTTTCTGCTGTAGCCCCTGCAGCAATATGGGTACTCTCCACATTAGTCAAAACAGTTGAGACTCTGATCAGCCAAGGCTAGGGACACGGTCATGTGTTATGGAAAGAGGGCCATGTCTTCTGGAGGTCAGGGCCCAGCAGACCCTGATTCTCACCTGTATCTAGTCCACGTCAGTGTCCCACCTGTATATGGTCTGCGTCAGTGTCCCATCCGTATATGGTCTGTGTTGTATACAGTCCGTGTTGGCATCCCATGCATATACAGTTTGCATCAGTGTCCCATCCATATAAGGTCCCCGTCAGTGTCCCATCCATATGCGGTCCGCGTCAGTGTTCCATCCGTATACGGTCCGAGTCAGTGTCCTGTCCGAATACTGTCCGCGTCAGTGTCCCGTCCGTATAAGGTCCGCGTCAGTGTCCCATCTGTATACGGTCCGCGTCAGTGTCCCGTAAGTATACGGTCCGCGTCAGTGTCCCATCCGTATACGTCCGTGTCAGTGTCCTATCCATATATGGTCTGTGTCAGTGTCCCATCTGTATACCGTCCGCATCAGTGTCCCATCCGTATACCATCTGTGTCAGTGTCCCATCTGTATATGGCCCATGTCGTATATGGTCTGTGTCGGCGTTCCACCTGTATACAATCTGTCGGTGTCTCATCCGTATACGGTCCACATCAGGGTCTCATCTGTATACAGTCTGTGTCAGTGTCCTATCGGTATACAGTCTGTGTCAGTGTCCCATCTGTATAAGGTCCGCATCCGTGTCCCATCCATATACTGTCTGCGTCAGTGTCCCATCTGTATAAGTTCTGCATCAGTGTCCCATCCATATATGATCCATGTCAGTGTCTCATCTGAGTCTGGCCTGTGAGAGAGTCACTGTCTCCCTCAACCTCTTCAGAGTGTGCTGCCTTCTATTCTGACTCAGAATCAAATAGTCAGCTTTCAGATGGAAGAGGGCCCTGCGACCATCCAGTTTATTTTCCTTTTTGAATAGAAATTCCTTTGATGATGGCAGAAATCCCCCTAACTTCCTTATGATGCCCCCAGGACCAGCTTTCATTAGAGGCATGCATGCCAGGCATCCCTCTTACCATGGATCAGTTCTGCTTGTCCAACAATTCTACAAGCAGAGTTGAAATTTGTTTTCCTCTCTTTTACTGTTTGGTCTTTACCCTGTCCTCAAAAGTCACCCAGAATAAGTAGTTCCCTCTTTTATAGGACAATATTTGAATTACTTAAACCCTTCATTTTAAGGCTGTACCTTTTCATAGGAAACCTGGGGCTCCAGTTACCAGAATGGGCAACTGAGAGCGGGGAAGGTGAGGGAAGCTGATATGATTTCACGAACAACGGGGAGAGTGGATAGGGAAGCTGCCCCTAAGTTCATGTTCTCAACTGCAGACTTTTTTTGATCACGTGTCTTTACAGATTTTTTACAAGAATGCATGCCTGGTTTGGCACTTCCTTTCTGTATCAGTCCCCTAGGGCTGCAATAACAAATTGCCACATACTAGGTGGCTTAAAACAACAGGAATGTATTCTCTCACAGTTCTGGAGACCTGGAGTCCGAAATCAAGAGGCTGGTGGGGTTGATTCATCTGGAGGCTCTGAAGGAGCATCTGTTCCATGCCTCTCTCCTAGCTTCTTGTGATCAAAGGCAGCTTGTAGACACATTGCTCAATCCCTACTTCCATCTTTACATAGTGTTTGATATGGTTTGGCTGTGTCCCCACCCAAATCTCATTTTGAATTGTAATAATCCCCACATGTCAAGGATGGGGCCAGGTGGAGATAATTGAATCATGGGGGCACATTCCCCATACTGTTCTTGTGATAGTGAATAAGTCTCATGAGATCTGATGGTTTTATAAAGGGGAGTTCCACTGCACATGCTCTTTTTTGCCCACCCCGATGTAGGACATCTCTTTGCTCTTCCTTCATCCTCAGCCATGATTGTGAGACCTCCCCAGCCATGTGGAACTGTGAATCCATTAAACTTCTTTCCTTTATAAATTACCCAGGCTCTGGTATGTCTTTATTAGCAGTGTGAGAATGGACTAATACGGTGTTCTTACTTGTGTCTTCTGTGTGTGTCCACATATCTTTCTTTTAAGGACATCAGTCATTGGTTTAGGGCCCACGACAATGTCCTTATCTTAACTAATTACATGTGCAAAAACTCTAGTTTTAAATAAGTTCACATTCTGAGGCTCTGGGTGAACATAAGTTTTGTGGGGTGGGGCACTATTGAACCTGGTATGTTTTTTTTCCTTCCTCCTTTCCCTCCCTCCCTCCCTCCCTCCTTCCTTCCCTGCCTCCTCCTTTTCTAGTGACCTCTCTCCCTCCTCCTCCTTTTCTAGTGCCCGGTGTTCTTGGAGGGATCATTATTTCTGCCCTGTGCCTCATGTAGCACTATGTATAATTAGGGTGCAGTTCAAAAAGTAGACCAAGTTGCTGCTTGTAGATAACTGCTAATCACTCAGTGCTAATATCTGGATTAGATGTTTTAGCAGATGATGATTAAAGAAGAGAAGAAGGAAAAGAGGATGGAAAGAAGAGGAAAAATACAGTTTGTCAACTGAAATAATTTTTGTACCTTGTCTGAATGTCTAGAAAGAGGTGAAGTTGAGATGAAAGTTTTTCCTCTTAATGAATAAAGTTGAATCAAGCAATGATCCTGCTTTCCTCTCTTTGAGGTTTTTCTCAAAAAATACACTTGGCATCAAAGACACTGTCAAGTCCTTGTAGATTTGGGCTGGCCAGTAACATAGCCATCAGCCACATGTGGCTAGTCTAAAATGAGGTGTGCTCAAAGTGAAAAATACCCATCAGATTTCAAATATCTAGTATGAAAACAAAGAATGTAAAACATCACATTAATGACAACTGCATTGATTACATGTTGAAATGATAATATTTTGGATATATTGGGTTATATTATATATACTTGCTTTCTTATAACCTTAAAAATGTGGCTGCTGGAAAATATTAAATGCCATATGTAGATTGCATTACCACTCTCTTGGACCGTGCTGTTCAGAGTTCAAGTCAACATGGTGTAAAGCTGATTTGCAGGGTTTGGCATTGGCAAGTTGTGTTCTCTTGGGCAAGACACTTTGTCTCTGTGGGCTTCATTTTCCTCTGTGAAATGGGTGTGATGTGATATGATACCTGATCTGCCTCCCATGGAGAGTCACTATGAGCATCGAAGGAGAGAATGTATACAGAGAGGCTTCATAACTAAAACATAACATGCAGCGCATAAAAAAAAATCAGCATCAGCTGCAGTAACAACAGCAATATCTGGATCACCACCACAACCATCACCATCATTAACATCAGCATCCTTGCCTCCTCTTGCAGCCGAGCGAATTAGGCCACCAGGGCAGGAGCATAATACCACACTCAGGGCAGAGCGCAGCCTGCAAGAATTTCTGCTTTCAGCTCTTCCCAAACCTTGTGACTGGGTTATAAGTGACTTACATTCTGCCAGCTGCCAACAGTGCTTTTGTCTTCTTGGAGAGGGTTGGGTGGGGGGAAGGTCTCTGAGAAGAACGTGCATTCTACCTGGTACTCTTCAATCAATACAGCATTTATGCATGCTTTTGGATTAGAATAAAACATCCAGCTTCCTTCCCCCACCAAAGGAATTCTGTTGCATCAGACCACCAAAGCATTTCTCCTCTCTTTTTTTGGCCACCAAATATTTTTATGATTTTCCACATAAACAGCTAGGGAAAATGCTAGCAGCCACTCAGGCGGCAGTGGCGGGCACACTATATCTCCCATGGGAGTAAGGGATTATAAAACAACAACAACAACAACAAGACAACAAAACCAAAGTCTAGGAGTTGCGGGTGGCAAGGGAGTGGGAATGAGTCTAAGATACAAGGATTTCTATGAATTCTTCTTGGGAATTCTGGGATCCTAAGCTAGAATTCACTGTGCGGCTTTGGGCAGTGAGTGCTCACTTTTGAGAGATTCAAACATTTGCAGATGAAATTAGCCATCGGTGAGGTTAGGAGGTGGGTGTGGAGCAGTCCTACCCATCTGAGGGCTAACCCTGGGTCCACCAGACCTGGCTCTTTCTGGCGTCCTCTCTTCCCAGCTGGACTTTCTGCCTCCTCCTCGTCCTTTTACTATGTGTGACTCACAATAAAGTTAGGGACCAGCCTCCTGAGCAATACCGTGTGATAGCCAAGAGCGCATGGTAACTATTGATTATTTGGTCTTCCCTTTTACTCTTTCTTATTTCCATCCCTGGCCAGCTTTCCCAGAGACATAGCGGGGCCTCTTGTTGCCAGCCAGCTGCTCTGTGCTGAGAGATTTAAAATCCTGCAATTGATTCTGACTGTGTCCAGAACAATAGGCGTCTGAATCTGATTTATTAATCTTCTGGGGAGTGAGGGAGGCAGCCTTCGGGTCCAGGCTGTTTACTGTGATGACAATGGGCAGGGCTTGGGCTTGCATTTCAGCTGGGTTTATTATGGCCCAACGCTTGGGAGTGGGGGATGGAGGGTCTGCAGTGGGGACCTACCAGCACAGAATTAGGGGAGACATGCTGCAGGAGCACTAGGAGGGATGGGAGGCTGATTTAGGGAAGATCCCCAAATGGGTGACTGCAAGTAATGTAACTAGATGGTGCACATGGTTCCTGGTGATGCTCAGCATAGTTTATTTCACTATCTCTCTTTTGTGGTTGAATCTCTAAGGCCTCTGAAAGACATAAAGTGGACATTCATGGTTAAGGCATTCCTGCTTAAAAGCAGGGGGCTGGATGGGATGACCTTTGAGAAGGTATTTGAAGATTTGCCAATGGAAGACAGAGAAAAACCAGTGCATCCTGGTGGTTAAGAGAACTGGCTTTTGCATCAGGCTACCTGGGTCCAATTCCTAGCTCTGCTACCTGTTGACTGTGAAACATGGGGCAAGTTACTTAATCCTCCTGAGCCTCCGATTCTCCATATCTAAAATGGGGATAGCAAAAGAACCTATTCCATAGGGTAGCTAGGGCCCCAGAGGGCAGACATAGGAGCAAATCAATGGAGGTCATAAGGACATTGATAGTGCTTCAACTCAAAAAAGAATATTCTGTTAAATTGTAGAAACAAGGAATAGGAAGAAGAGAGGGAGGAAAGAAAAAGGTAAGGAAGGAGGGAGGGAGGGGCTGACATACATACTTATGGGCAAGGGTAGGCCTGCAAAGGACAATGACATGCCAAATGAAAGTAGGAGATGACCACAACTCCAGCCTCGGTTAACTTCAGCCTATGTCGGGGCATTGAGAGAACAAAGCTCAGGAAAGCCTCCCTAGGCCGCTGTTCATTGACAACAAGAGAAGTCTTATGGCTACCTCTCCCATCTCCTCTCCCCAAGGTGGTTGGATCCTACCTCAGGGAATTCTGTGAAATGGTGAGGAAATGATGGACTGACATTCCTGAAGCACGTCCAGGGCAGCTGTTTGGGCCATGTCTTCAATGTGAGCTTCCAGATCAGATCCCTTAGGAAGCTGAGACTGGCACTGTCTAAGAGTAAGCACCTTGCCCAACCAGGAGCAGCCTGTGCCCCCAGGGTGGCATCTTCCTCTCATTACAGCCTCCTGAATGGCCTTTGCCCCACTCTTAATTGGAAAAAGACTGACTGTCCTCTATAAATAGCTCTTTCTCTGGCTTGGAGGCATCCTTCTTTTCCTCTTCCTTCTCCCTCATCCTGCCAAGCTACCTGGTTGATGTTGAGTCTATGCCAATCATCCCCTTCTCTCTATTTGGCCATTGCTGGCCTAGTGATGGCCTCCATGTCTTTCTCCTGCACCCAGAGGCCCTTCCAGCATGGCATGTGCAGCTCAGGGAGCCCCAACCAATCTGCCAACCTTGACCTCTTCAGTCCTAATCTCCCCACCAAATGACCCTCTTACAGTCTTAGGTTCCTTGTTTGTAAAACGGGGCCTCCATGTGTATTCAGCGAGATAATGGACATGAAATGCCTAGCACAGAAATTGCAAGCTATGATTATGTTGTTGTTGTTCTTATCATCAGATGGGGTGTGATGAGGCCAAGCCCTCCATGCAGTCTTGAGGATAAGACCCCAGCCTGGAAAGAGGCACCCCAAACTGAGAGTAAGACAAGGCAGGAGATGAGAGGGACTGAAAAGGAGTGGAGGGGGGCAAAGTGAACGAAGTTCATGCTAAAGATACTTGGCAGTAGCAAGGCCACAGGCCTGTGGCTGGGCGCCAGGCAAACCGCGAGCCTCATTTCCATATGCAGGTCAGCCTGCGGCATGTTTATGGCTGCCTCTCACACAGCTTTACCAGGAAGGTCCGGCCCCCAAGGGCCGTGGGAGGTAGCAGGCGCTGGCTGTGGGAGGTGGGCTGCATGCCTTTGGCTGGCAGGGCACAGTTCCCATCAGAGTCAATTAGCAGGCCCACAGCCCCCGATGTGAGGTCAGGAAGCAGGCCCCAGGCACCTCGGGGATGTGTGAAGTGATGGAGGTGAGATCTATATGTGGGGCTGTCCACACATGGCTGTGTGGTTATAAATACACACAGACCGCTCGTGGAGCACTGCGGGTGCCCACACAGCTCTGCACGGGGCTATATATGAGATGTAAACATACACAGACAAGGGCCTGTGGTGCAGGGGGATTGGAAGGCTGGGGGCTTGGCCATAGCAGCACCTCCTCGGGTGATCTTAGACAAGGGTTCTGTGCCTCCTGCTGCTGCGCCAGCTGCCAGGGGCCTGGGGCTCGGAGCTCTCACACTTACTTCTGGGGTTGTCCAATGAGAAGGCGTGTGGAGGAAGTGCCGAGCCAAGTCTAGTTCTCAAAGTGCTTCTTTATAAATAGCTTTCTCGGGCTTGGAGGTATCCTTCTCTTCCGCTTCTTCCTCATTCCTCCAAAGCTACCCGGTTGAGTCTAATTCTATCCCAGTTATCCCCCTTCTCTCCACTTTTGCCATCATTACTTAAGTCCTGGACTTAATTTTCTTTTGCTTGCAGTCAGTGGTAAAGGCTTAACCACTGATTCTCTGGGGGACTAAAAAGAAGCCCTACATTGTAGCGTTTGTCAATTCCTGCAGTGTAAATATCCCCATCATGGCCAATGTCAAGCTACCCATGTGAAGTAGCAGAATACAGAGTTGGGAAGAGAAACACAGTAGCATGTCATGGCATCTCCATTATGTGGACGCACTCGAGGTAAATAATCTCAAAGGCAAAGATAATAGTAAAATATCAGAAATAATGAGGAAGTGATGAGTTTTTGAGTATTTATTACCTTTGTTTTGTGTGTGTGTTTTCTTGTTTTGAGACAGGTTCTTCTCTGTCATCCAGGCTAGAGTGCAGTGGCGTGATCACAGCTCACCGCAACCTTCATCTCCTGGGCTTAAGCCATCCTCCCAGCTCAGCCTCCCAAGTAGCTTGGACTACAGGCACACCAACACTCCTGGATAATTTTTGTAATTTTAGTAAAGACGAGGTTTTGCTATGTTGCCCAGGCTGGTCTTGGGCTCAAGCAATCTGCCTATCTTGGCCTCTCAAAGTGTTGGGATTATGGCGTGAGCCACTGAACCCGGCCAGTTTTCTTTTAAATGTAATTTATTTAATTGTAATTTTATGTAGTAATATTTTAAAATAATGATGTGTTCAACAGTGGGCATATAAAAACTGTTGACTATTGACTTTTCCAGTTTCGATCCGGACCCCAGGCCTCACTCTCACAACGACCTCAATTTCCCAAATAGACTCAATCTTTATGTGTTTCTGAGACTTTGCTAAGGACCTTACACTGCAGAGACCCCCCTTTACTCTCGTTACTAACTCATACCTCCATCTTCACCAGGGGTATGCCAATTCAGCCTTTAAGACAGGGGTCTGCAAATCACAGCCCGTGGATCACATCTGTCCCTCTACCTGGTTTCCTGTGGCCCAAGAGCCAAGAAAGTTTTTGTATTTTCATTTTTAAGCATCAGGTTGGTGAAAAATGTATTTTTTAATGGCCGAAAAAATACCAGAAGAAAAATGACGTTTCATGACTCATGAAAGTTATAGAGAATTTAAATTTCTGTGTCCATAAATAATGTCATTTTGGTGCACAGTTGCACCCATTCATTTATCTATTGTCTATGGCTGACCTCGTGTTACAGTGGCAGAGTTGAGTAGTTGCAGCAGAGACTGTACGGCCTGCAAAGCTTCAGATATTTACTGTATGGTCCTTTACAGAAAAAAACCCAAGATTCAGTTCAGAGGTTGCTTCTACCTTGAGGTCTTATCTGGCTTCTCTGGCAGTTAGCCATTTCCTCCTCTGCACCTGTGTCACCTTCTTCCATTACAGCGATCACCACCAGTAGTTATTTGTTCACACATCTATCAGCCCAAAGCATGGTTGTTGGAGAGTCTTAGCCAACTTGATATCGCTTGCGTCTAGCATCGTGCTTAAGAACATAATAGGTGCTCAACCAATATCAGCTGCATGAATGAAAAAAAACAAGTGGTGTCTTTTTTCATCCTTTTCACCAGCCATAGAATAAAATGCCATCTTTCATATTCCATTCTGTAATTTTACAGAGTTGGAAGACATGTTAAACATGAAACAGCTCAGATGAATGTTGTCAAACATCATGAGATGGCTGCTTTGGCATTCTTGCTGGACCCCCATCTGCCTCCACTGAAGCTCTGGGAAGTGTAAAAGAAAAAAAAGAATAAATGTGTGGTACCAACTTCACTTGTTATTAACCCCCTATTTGAGCCCAGGGTTTGCCCCACATGGGTGAAGCTCCATCCTGATTCCATGTCTTTGTTCCTGTGGGCTCTCCTCATTGAATTTTCTCCCTGCTTTTTCTCTGTTTTACTATGCTTCCTTCAGAATCTAGCTCAAAAGCCTTTTCTTCCAGGAAGCCCTCATGGCTTTTCTCTACCCAACTTTGAGGGCTTTCTTTGGGCCAAATATCTATGAAACTTAAAAGAGATATAAAACTAAAAACTATGCGTTTGCTCATGTGCTTTGTGATGATGATTCTTCAGGTATTTCACAAGAGATTGAAATCTTTCAATCTTTCACTGAAAGAATCAACCAATACATACATATATTCTGTATTGAGCTGGGGGCTGGGGACAGAAAGATGAAAAAGACATAAACTTGCCCATAGGGCACTCATGGTCCGAGATGGTGGGTTTCAAACGGGGATCTATGGGGTCCTATGGTTTCTGTGCAGAGCCTGATTCTCCTGGGGGTGGGGGATGGCAAGGCCTGGAAGGATAAACAGATGAACAGAGGACCCCCCCACCTCCATCTCTTGCTTCAACCATCCCCTGATCACCATCATGAGCTGTTTTACACTTAGGCCTCAGCAGAAAGGCTTCTGCCACTAGAACAAACTTGGAAATAATATAGTTGGTTGTAAGCTCTCTGAGGGCAAGCATCAGGCCTCCTATATAATTGACTTCCTCCATCCTGCTTCTCAAAGAGTAATAGATACAATAGCAGCACTGGTGATTCAACAACAGCAGACACTTACTAAAGTGTCCTACTGAAAGGCAAGCACGGTGCTAGACTTTTCTGGGGTATGCAAGGGTTGCTAAGACTTAAGGTCACTGGTTTATCATGGGCATCTCTGGGCTTGTCTGCCCAGCTTCCCCTCCCCCCATGCCCTCATCTTTTGGGCACTATCCTTCCCTCCCTCCCTTATTCACATGAAGGCTGTGGCACTGCCCCGGCCCACAGTTGATTGGTCCAGGGATGGATGCCTGACCTGAGCAGCATGCATCAGTTTTCTTCCTTGGGATTTTTGGAAATGAAACTGAGTGACTTATTCTCTGGCAGCTCAAGCTATTAGATATAAACCTTGAGAATTGCCACCTTCTGTATCTCCTGCCATGTGGACTCTGTCTATGGATTCCTTGAGCCAATCCATGTCCCTTCTTGTTTGGGCTAGTTTAAATTGGCTTTCTGTCCTGGCAAGCCAAAATATTTCTTACTAACATCATATAGTGAGGGGAAACAGATGTGTGCATCATTCATTCATTCACTCCACAATAATAACTGGGCATCTCCTATGAGCCAAGTGCTGTTTTTGGCCCTGGAAAAAACAGCTAATAAAATGAGGTCTCTGCTCTCAGGGAGCTGAAACTCTGATCCCCGTCAACAAACACTAAGAGAGAAACACATAGCATATTAGGGGCTGTAGGCGCTGTGGAGAACTAAGCAGGAAAGTGGAGTATGAGGGGAGGGTTGAGGAGAAATGCGGTAAAGCCTCTCTTACGATGCATGAGAATGAATGACTCAGAGGAGCAGCAAGAAGAGGAGTCAGGACTTGCCAGGTGGAGGGAACAGCAAACATCAAGGCTCTGAAGTGGTAGCGTGATCATGTTGGTGTGGTTGAGGACTCACCCAGGGGCTAAGGGTCCACATGAATGAGTTGGGGCTGGATGGAGGCAGGAGCTGAGGTCAGAGAGATGGCTGGCCCTTGCTGAGGAGAAGCCTGTAGAGAGGTGACAGGGCCCTGTCCCGTAGGACCTTGTAGAGAGGTGACAGGGCCCTGTCCTATAGGACCCTGTAGACAGGTGACAGGGCCCATCCCATAGGACCTTGTAGACAAGTGACAGGGCCCATCCCATAGGACCTTGTAGAGAGGTGACAGGGCCCTGTCCCATAGGACCTTGTAGACAGGTGACAGGGCCCTGTCCCATAGGACCTTGTAGAGAGGTGACAGGGCCCTGTCCCATAGGACTTTGTAGAGAGGTGACAGGGCCCTGTCCCATAGGACTTTGTAGACAAGTGACAGGGCCCTGTCCCATAGGACCCTGTAGACAGGTGATAGGGCTCTGTCCCATAGGACCTTGTAGAGAGGTGACAGAGCCCTGTCCCATAGGACTTTGTAGAGAGGTGACAGGGCCCTGTCCCATAGGACTTTGTAGACAAGTGACAGGGCGCTGTCCCATAGGACGTTGTAGACAGGTGACAGGGCCCATCCCATAGGACTTTGCAGAGAGGTGACAGGGCCCTGTCTCATAGGACCTTGTAGACAGGTGACAGGGCCCATCCCATAAGACCTTGTAGAGAGGTGACAGAGCCCTATCCCATAGGACCTTGTAAACAGGTGACAGGGCTTATCCCATAGGACTTTGTAGAGAGGTGACTAGGCCCATCCCATAAGACCTTGTAGTGAGGTGATAGGAACCCATCCCATGGGACCTTGGAGACAGGCCACAGGGCCCCTTCCTGTAGGACCTTGCAGAGAGATGACTGGGCCCTGTCTCACAGGACCTTGTAGAGAGGTGACTGGGCCCCTTCCTTTAGGACCTTATAGAGAGGTGATAGGAACCCATCCCATAGGACCTTGGAGACAGGTAACAAGGACCTGTCCTATAGGACCTTGTAGAGAGGTGATAGGGACCTGTCCCATAGGACCTCATAGAGATGTGACTGGGTCCTGTTCTATAGGACCTTGTAGAGAGGTGACTGGGCCCATCCCATGGGACCTTGTAGAGAGGTGACTGGGCTCTGTCTCATAGGACCTTGTAGAGAAGTGACTGGACCCATCCTATAGGACCTTGTGGAAAGGTAACTGGGCCCATCCTACAGGATCTTGTAGAGAGGTGAGTGGGACCCATCCTTGGAGAGAAGTGACTGGACCCATCCTATAGGACCTTGTGGAAAGGTAACTGGGCCCATCCTATAGGATCTTGTAGAGAGGTGAGTGGCACCCATCCTTGGAGAGAAGTGACTGGACCCATCCTATAGGATGAAATGGGGCTGGGTGGAGGCAGGAGCTGAGGTCAGAGAGATGGCTGGCCCTTGCTGAGGAGAAGCCTGTAGAGAGGTGACAGGGCCCTGTCCCATAGGACCTTGTAGAGAGGTGACAGGACCCTGTCCTATAGGACCCTGTAGACAGGTGACAGGGCCCATCCCATAGGACCTTGTAGACAAGCGACAGGGCCCATCCCATAGGACCTTGTAGAGAGGTGACAGGGCCCTGTCCCATAGGACCTTGGAGACAGGTGACCATCCTATAGGACCTTGTGGAAAGGTAACTGGGACCCATCCTATAGGACCTTGGAGAGAGGTGACTGGGACCCATCCTGTAGGACCTTGGAGAGAGTTGCCTTGGTTTTGGTTTATGGATCCAGGAACCTTGCATCCCATGGTGAGGACTTGGGATTTTATTCTGAGAGAGACTTTGCACTGAAGATTAATATGCCCTGAGATCTTTAGCAGCACCAGTCTTTAAAGAAGAGATCTTGTGGAAGAGGAGGCCAGAATAAAAGGAGAACAATTAGGGGACAATTGTGAAAATCCCAGCAAGAGATGTGATGGCTTGGACAGAGTGTCCAGCAGTCTTGGAAGTGGCTGGAAAGGTCCAGCTTCTGGAACTATCTTGTAGGGAGACCCAGCTGGTGTTTCTGATTGTGTAACAATCATGGCAAGACAAGGCAAAATGGTATTAAAGGACTACCAGCATGTGGTAGATGCTGAGTGAAGAGGCAATTAAGGCTGACCAAGGGATTAGGGAAGGCTTCTCAAAGGAGGTCACTTCTGAGCAGAGCACTGGAGGCTGAGGGAAGTGTCAAAAGATGGGGAAGTGGGGAGAGTATCTGGTATTGGAAGAATAGTGTGAGCCAAGTCATGGAAATAAAAATGTATTACATGTCCATGGGGGAGTGGAGAGTGGCCCATAATAGTCAGTGGTAGGTGAATGGAGGAATGCAGTGGGAGGTGCACTTGGATCACGAAGGGCCTTGTTGGCAAGTAAAGGGATGTAGACCCTCTCCCCATGGGCAGTCAGGAGGCATTGATGGTCTTGGATGATGAATGACCCTATCTCTGATGATGGCATAGGAAGTTGTATTAGTCCATTCTCATGCTGCTAATAAAGATATACCTGAGACTGGGTAATTTATAAAGGAAAGAGGTTTAAATGACTCACAGATCCACATGGCTGGGGAGGCCTCACAACCATGGTGGAAGGCGAAGGAAGAGTAAAGTTATGTCTTACGTGGCAGCAGGCAAAGAGAATATGTGCAGGGGAACTCCCCTTTATAAAACCGTCAGATCTTGTGAGACTTATTCACCATCACGAGAACAGCACGGGAAAGACCTGCCCCCATGACACAATTACCTCCCACTGAGTCCCTCCCACAACATGTGGAAATTATGGGAGCTATAACTCAAGATGAGATTTGGGTGGGGACACAGCCAAACCATATCAGAGGTCATCTTCAAGGCCATGAAGGCTGCAGACAGAGATACAAGGTAGGAGGCCACTGTAATGACCCATGTGTGAGAGTATGAGGGACACGCCCTGCGGTTGGAGAGGAAGAGATGGAGTCTGATGAATTTTCCAAAGCAGAATTTGGAGCATAACTGATTGGTTCTTGTAAACCAGGAAGGTGGGGTAGACTAGAGGTGGAATCACAACTCCTGGACTCTGTGTCTGGGTAGATGGTGATGTATTGGCTCATGGAGGTCAGGCAGGTTTCAGGGTAAGGGATGGGGAGTCCAGTTTAGCATCTGATGAGTATAAACATGTGGTGCATATAAACATGTGAAATGAATGAAAGAATGAATCAAGGTCAGACTCTGAGTTTTGTAGTGAAAGAGTAAGATATCCCATGGGAGTCCTGACTGGCCTGACCCAATCTCTCGATAACTTGGATTAAACTGGACAATTTATAGCCAGGCATGCTGGCATGCACCTGTAGTCCCAGCCACTTTGGAGGCTGAGATGGGAGGATCGCTTGAGCCCAGGAGTTTGAGGCTGCAGTGAGCTATGCACTCCAGCCTAGGCAACAGAATGGGATTCTGTTTCTTAAGTAGATCAATAAACAAACTGGACAATTTACAGCAACAGCTGCAAGGATGCTCATCTCTGCCTAGCAGGTTGGGTGCAGGGAAGAATCCAGAGGTTGGGTGCAGGGAAGAATCCAGAGGTTGTGTGGGAGGGTATTTGGTTTTTGGTGATTTTTAAAAAGAAATCTTTAATCAAAGTGTAAGTGCAGAAAACTGCACAAATCCTAAATATACAACCTGAGGATTTTTTAGAAAGTTATCACACCTTTGTAACCAGCACCCAGATTGAGAACAGAACATTACTAGCTCCCTGGAACCCAGCTCTTTAATATACCTGGTGGCTTCCTCTGCATAGCCCAGGTGCTCTGCTATTCATCTTGCCCTTAGCCAGCCTGGACTGGGGAAAGTCTAAACTTCTGTCCCTGGGATCTGGGGAGGGTCAAAGTCATAAATAAGAGTAGGCAGCTCTCTTCTGAACTGTGCCTGCCCTCCTCTATCCCCTGCCCTCTTCCACAACACCTGGGACTGCAGTCCACCAATGAGACTGCTAGTGACTGGGGATTCTGGCCCCAGCCATGGAATTGAGTGACAAGCTGTGAATGTCAGGCCGTTTCTCTGCATCCCTGGACGCTGATGTGAGTGGGGTAAGACACAGCCCTGGGAAAGTCCCTTTTAACTTCTATGATGTTTAAAGCAGAGTCATTATAAACTTCATTTTGATAAAAATAATAATTGCAGCTACTTTTTGAGCATTCACTCAAAGCCAGGAGCCTTGGGCACCTGTCTCCTTTAACCCTCTCATCCCTCTCTGAGGTTGCTGCTTGTGTGTTTTCAGTGGGGGCATACATTTTCTTGTACTAAAATTATATATGCAGTGAAATTATAGTTCAAGGACAATTCTGTATAATAGATTTTCTCTTCCTCATGAGGCCCTTTTATTCCTGGAAGGTGGGGTTGGACAGAAACCATACATTTTAGTTCAATCAGGTAACCTTAGCCCAAGCCAGCAACTAACAGTCTCTTTGGGAACTAACCTTCTGCCTGGATGATTTAGGCACCTACTCTATCCGTTAGGGTGACCCCCCACCCCCACCTCCTTGTTCCTTTCTAACATGTCCCTGGGTGAAGAGCCTGCAGGGAAGGTGGAGGGCCTGGCAAACCACAGGATCACTTGGCGGTGATGTGTTTGCAAGGGGAGTGGGTGTGCTTATCACAGAGATGGGCTCCAGGTTAAACTGGATGGAAGTGATTCCAGAGCAGTGCACCTACCTTCATGTCCTTATAAAATGCATGTTTTTCTGGAACCGACAGCACAGAGGTGGCATCCAGGAGAAGGCAGCACTGAAGCAGAGGTAATGGAATTCCTGGGAGAAGGTTGGATCAGGGCCTCTGGGAAAGAGAAGCCAGTGACAAAGGTAAAGTGAGTAGCAAGTGACATGACATCAGCCTCTGGATATGCTTCAAATGCATGGTATAGGGGATAACTCATGACTGACAAGCTGCCTTTTCCCTAAGCCAGGGCTGCTTGTCATCAGTGTCTGTCTGCACAGACCTGACCTTCAGCCAGGTGAGAGCTGATGCCCTCCCATTAAATCTATAATTGCTAATTAGCATCCTACTACCCAGAACTCTTATGAAACATAGGCTGTTCTTTCCAGAAACTGAGGCTGGGATGTTAAAAGAGACAAAGACCCATTAATGCCACCACAGTCTAAACCTGGCCTCAGTATTATCCCCAGTTGTGGGAAAAAAAGCCAAGTCCACGTTTCTATCTTCCCCACCAGGTATAAAACTGGGAGGGTGACATGCACGATCCCCTGAGAACTTGGACCTGAGGTTTTCTTGGTATTGCTGCATCTGTAAGAGGAAGGGGGCAGACTCTCTAAGGTATCAGGTAGATTTTCTGCGACTGGTCATGGTGAGAGCAGTCTATGATGGTATATTGGTGGGTGCATGACTGTGCCAGACTGGCAGCCCTGACCTTGGGAATCCAGCTATACCTGTTGCAGCTGGAGGACTGCATTGGCTTCTAGGAAGCCATCGCATGCCATGGCTCCATGCTCTGCTGGAGCCACTGCCAATGGAGGGCGACAGAGCCTCAGGCTGGGTTTGCTCCTGGCTCCTGTGTAGGCAGAACACAGAGCACTTAGGACTGTGCATGAAACAACCTCAGTGCGTGGCTGGAGTCTGGCCATGGAATGCCAAGACACACAGGAACCACTGTTCCAGCCCAGGTCTCCAGGGACCAGGGCTTCAGGGAATGCATACCTGGACATTACCTCCTTCCCAACAGCCGTACCACACTGTGCACAGGCTGGGGTTTTGGAGGATAGTACTGGGAACTGGGATGGAACTGGCCCATGGATGTAGAGTGTGGCTCTAAAACTGTTCAGAGGAAGAGCAAGAGTCAAGAACTACCAGATAGTGGAACAATGCATCATTGCAAAGGGGCTGAGGAGACAGACAACAACGAGGTTATCTGGCAGGATGAGTCACGGGTTTGAAAGAATGAGGAGGAGTCAAAGACTGGAGTGTTCCTTGAGGTGTTGAAATGAGACATGTAGAGGTGTATGATGGAATATTTTATAAGGAGTTGACAAATTTAGACCATCCATCTATCTGTCCATCTGTCCATTTGTCCATTCATCTATCCATCCATCCATCCATCCATCCATCCATCCATCCATCCATCCATCCATCTTCCCACCAATTGAGCCATCCACGAATCATTCATTCAACAGCACTTGCTATGTGCATGGAAATGTGTTGAGAGCAGTGAGGGATATGAAACAAAGTAAGGCCAGTTGCTCTGATGGTCTCCATCTCCCAAATAGAGCCACTCTGAGGCTCAAGGAATAGCCCATAATGGCACCACATCTTGCTTGAACATCTTACAACATGCTGCCTCTTGTACGCATCTTAATAACAATTGCTGTATTTTTGAATACCTACTGTAATGCTGCACTAGGTGTTGTGCATACATTATCTCATTTAACATTCACAGAAGCCCTATGAAGGAAACAAGATCTGGAAAGTTTAAGAAGTTTGCTGAAGTAACTTCCCCTATTGTTGAGGGATGGAGTTGGAATATGAGTGAGATCTGACTCTGAAGTGAATGCTCAATCTACCCTGTCCCACTGCCTCCCTACTAGCAGGCCCCTGGCAGTGGAGCCTCCTAGGGGCATGGAGTGGTGTCCACAAAGCAAGTCCTTTTATTTCCAACACTGAGATCCTAGAGTGAGAGCTGTGAGGTGGAGCAGACCCACCCTTTCATCCACAAAAGGAGCTGTGCTATTATCTGGTTCCTTAACTGGCTTTTTGGGTATGTGACTTATTATTTAACGTTTGCTTATCTGTAGTACAGTAGTCTTCCCTTATTCATGGGTTTGCTTTCCACGGTTTCAGTTATCCTTGATCAACTGTGATCCAAAAATATTAAATGGAAAATTCCAGAAATAAACAGTTTGTAAGTTTTAAATTGTGTGCCATTCTGAGTAGTGTGATGAAATCTCGCACTCTCCCGCTCAGTTCACCCTGAATCATCCCCTCGTCCAGCTTATTTGTGCTGTAGACACTCCCTGCCCGTTATTCATTTAGAAGCTGTCTTGGTTATCAGATTGACAGGTCACAAGAAGAAGGGTGAGTCCAGTACAATAAGATATTTTGAGAGAGAGAAAGAGAGAGAGAGAGACAGAAAGAGATAGATACAAAGAGAGAGAGACCACATTCATGTAATTTTTATTACAGTATATTGATATAATTCTCCTATTAATTATTGTTGTTAATCTCTTACTGTGCCAATTTATAAATTAAACTTTGTCATAGTTATGTATGTATAGGAAAAAACATTGTATACAGAGTTCGGTACTATCCAAGGTTTCAGGTATCCACTGGGGTCTTGCAACGTGTCCCCCGTGGATGGCTATAAGTACCTGTTATGGGGTTGCTGTGAGGATTAAGTGAATTAACACATGTGAAACACGTAGACCTGTGCCTAATGTGTAGTAAGTGCTCAGTAAATGTGGGCCACTAACACCGCCCAAGATGCTTCCACAGAGGTTCTTATGGCTAACACATGTGCAGACCTGGTGGGGCAGCCCCTTCTGATTAGAAATGAGGAAACCCAGAGAAGCAGATCCCTCCCAGGGGTGTTCAGTGAACCCTGTGACCATATACCTTTGCAGTCTGTGTGTTGGGAGAAGTGTTTTGGGACAGGGGAGCCAGACCTGCTGGATAGATGAAGGCACAGAGTGGCTGGACCCATGAGTGGAGCTGGGTTACTTCCAGGAGCTGTCCCCTTCCTTCTAGCTCTCCTTGGAGGGCACCTGGAACCACAGCCAGCTTCCCTCACCTGGGAGCAAGTGTCTCCTTTGTGGTTTATCTGCAGTCCCGTTCCTCTTCCTCCTCTGCTGGGTCCAGGCTGAGTTCTTGCAGAGCAAGGGCAATGTCTCAGGATCTCCAATCCACAGGCATTGGCACCAAGTAGGTATCCGGTAAATCTGTCTTTGGGGACAAGAGGGAATTTCTCCAGCACTAAAGAAGTGACTGGGTGGCATGTTTACATGTGATGTCAATTTGAGGTTAAACCAATGGTAGCTAATTGGGGTGCATCCAATATTTGGGATTCTCCTTCAACAGAGAGAATGACAAAAGTGAGTTGATAGACAGGATCCAGACGCCTAACCAAGGGTCAGGTGGGGCAAGAAGGACCTTAAGACAATTTGATTGGAATTGCTTGTTTCTGTTGCTCTTTCATTGAATTCCAGGGTTCTTGGAATCATGGAGCATTGGCAATGTGTCTCTGTGTCCCAGCACCTTAACACAGGGCCAGGCACAGGATGGGCAAGTCCATGAATGGCTGTGGCCTGGAAAACCGCATGTGAGTCTGCAGCCCCCAAGCCAGTAGAGACCCCTCTGTTGTCCCTCAAGTGTTGTTTCTAATCCAACCAGACAGGCCTCTTCTTTCCAAGCCATCCCTGGCTACTTCATTATCCTTTCTGTCCCCTCTCCCTGAGTACCCCCTCAATCCCTAATAGAAACACAGGGAGACAGGGCTCTGAAGAAAAAGTCGCCTGCCCAGATTTGATCAAGACACAAGTGAGAGGCAATGATTTGTGAAGAAATCCCAGTGCTGTCTAATGGAATTTTCCCAAAATAAATTCATGTAAACAACTTCCCACAAAGAGGCAGTCAGCGGAGCTGGGTGTGTAAACAGCGTGAACAGTCACAAGTACTATGGGCTCCAGGGGTGCTGTGTCGTCTGGAGTGGGGGCTGTGGGGAGACTCCCTTTAGCAAAACACCTTTGGCTCCAGTCCTTCTGACATCATAATGTCAGCCAATTCATTAACTTTAAAAAAAAAAGTCCTTATTTTACTATCATCTCCAAAACATAGCAATACCACTTTGTAGCTAAAATGTCTGCAGGATGGAGTCTGTTTAAAATTTTTATTCCACTTCAAACCCAATCAGGCAGGAGACCATCTTCATGTCTAGAGAAAGTGGGAGGGGGCAGGAATGGGGTGGGTGGAGAGCAAGGGCGGCTGGAGAAAAGGCCCTGGAGAAATGGAAAACAACGCCGCTTTGGGCCTAGTGATGGACGTGAATAAACTCATACAGTTCCTAGAATTCAGATGCAAATCGGCTCTTCTTAAGACACTCAGAAGGACACTGAATTCTTGTAGCCCAGATGCTTCTGGCCACGTCCCAGTGGAGGACTTTGAGAGCTGGACTATGTTCAGCTGTGCCGACCAAACTTCCGGAGGGAAGTGTGTGCAGGGAATCTTCGTGGGACACACCTTTTCCCAGACGTTTCTCCCAACCGAGTCTGACTTGTCCAAACCCTAGCTGTTTTCAGGATCTGGGTTTGATGATTTTTCCTTCCTCCCATTACCAGGGCCTGGAGAGAGAAGAACTGTATTCAAGTTTGGGCTGGGCACTTTGACGCTCCCATGAGACTTTTAGCAAATCGTATCTTCTCTGAGCTTCAATATTCCCACCCATACAGTGGGAACCTGGAAAACAAGTCCAGCCCTGCGTACTTCATACAGTTATGAAGTTTAAGTCAGGAAATAGCTGCACAGCTGAGGGACTCTATTTACTTTGTGAATTGGCTTTTGAATTTTGCTGCAGTCCTGTTTTGGGTCAACTGGGTTTTGATGAGAACCTGTCTCTGCAATAGCCAGAGCCAAGGAAAGGGAAGGAGTTGAGAGGAGGGTGCCTGGAGGCAGAGGGAGAAGCCAAGATATCACTGGGAAGGAGGAGGAGGTGGAAGGGAGGAGGCCATCTGTAATCTCTTAGGCTGATGTATCCCCTGCAGCCCTCAGAAGGATATCAGGACTGCTCTCTGCCAACCTATTAACCAAGCTAGAAGCCTGCTGGTAATGATGGTGAAGACACTGACTGTGGCTGACTGGCTCTGGGTCTTATTTTTTTACCCCCTGCAATAGGATTGTATATCTCTACCTTTTTCCATGTGACTTTACAGTGCCCCCCAACTGTGAGTGGAGTACACGTTCCCACCTCATTGATGTCAGCTTGGCTAGCTGACTTGTTTTGCCCAATGGGATGCTAAGAGTGTTCGGAGGCCTTAAATGTTCTAGAACAACTTGGCCTCTTGTACAGAACTCCTAGGATCTTCCACGAGAAGAATACGCCCTGCTACCTGCTGGTCCAAGAAGAAGGTGCAGACACACGCATAGGTATGAACCCAACCCAGAGTTTGGAGCCAAGCACAGCTGCCCTGCAGCCTGACACAGAGCTGCCCCAGCCACCTCAGACACCCAAGAGTGACACAGATCAAATGCTTTCGGTGGTAGGTCACTGAGTTTTGGAAAGGCCTGTTATGCAGCATGATTGCAGTCTGATACTCTGATAATGGCAACGAGGATAACACAGGCTGTTCTCACTTTGCACAGCTCCATGGCAACTGAAAATTGTAAAGTGAGAGCATGGTGATGATATCCGTGAGTTTCAGTTAACATGGTACCATGCAAAACAAGGAGGCCGATGAGACTTGATAATAATGTTTCTCTTTTAAAAAGCATCAGATGCCCTACATGTGTAGAACAGATGGCCGATGCCTGTAACAACATAAACAGAAAATAAGATGCCATATAGCTTACTGAGTAAAAGAGCTTGGCCTCTGAAGTCAAGCAGTCATAGATTTGAATTCTGACTTTGCCACAATCAAGCTTTGTGATTTAGGACAAATCACCTGGCCTCTCTGAGTCTTAGGTGCTTCATCTTTGAAATGAGGATAATAAGGGCAAGCGCAGTGCCTCACGCCTATAATCCCAGCACTTTGGGAGGCCAAGGCGGGCGGATCACTTGAGGTCAGGAGTTCGAGACCAGCCTGGCCAACATGGTGAAACCCCTTCTCTACTAAAAATACAAAAATTTGCCTGGCCATTGTGGTGAGTGCCTGTAATCCCAGCTACTCAGGAGGCTGAGACAGAAGAGTCGCTTGAACCTCGGAGGTGGAGGTTGCAGTGAGCCGAGATCATGCTACTGCACTCCAACCTGGGTGACTGAGTGAGACTGTCTCAAAAGAAAAAAAAAAAAGAAATGAGGATAATGATAATTTTTGTGAGGACACATGGTATTAACATTTTTAATAAAGTCCCTGCCACCCAGTGAGTGCTTAATAAATGTACTAATTATTTTAAGCTATGATTATGGATGTGAAATAATTATTGTTTATTTCCATAAAGCAATGTCTCCATTAAGGACCAAATATAGTGAAGAAGGTAAGTTGCCATGGGGGGATGTAGGTCCCATTTGCTGAGAGCCTCCTTTGGAGGGGGAGATCAGCTTGTTCCTACGTGGGGCGTGGGCTCCAGGCAGCCTGGACTGAGTGAAGTGGACTCAGCCCTGCCTCCTGGGTGAGGTGGTAACACCCTTCACGTTCTCGGGTTCTGTTCTCCATCAGAAGTCCTCTTTCTCTTTTGTCATCAGGAGCATCTGACAGATCTCTAGGAAACAAGGCTGCTTTTGCTTGAGGAAGGGCATAGGGGTTGAGGAATAGAGAAGGAGCCATTTCTTCAGGATTTGTGAATTGGGATTATAGGCCTTTATCCAAGGAGTGGACATTCCCCCTTTTCCTTGGGCTGGCAGAAGGGTCTGGCCTTCCTGCTATAAATGTCCCCTGATCTGGACCCTTGAGATTCCTTCCCCATCAACTTTGGCCAAAGTTAATAATGATGATGACAGTAATGATATATTATATTTCAGAATAATTTACAGTTTACTATGAAGTACATTATTTGGTTTTGATTCTTACAACTCTCTGAGGAAGGAAGGACCACATTTTTAGCTCCATTATTGGAGAAGCAGCAAGAAAAAAATCTTAGTCCACAGACTCCAATGTGCAAATAGTCAACTTCAATTTCTATTTTGAGCTCCCATCGTTTTGTGGGGATAAAACTGGAATGTTGGCCAGTTCTATTTCCCTGTGGCCGCCTGCACTGCCTTGCAGTGTTTCCCTTGGGGTTTCGTCTCAAATTGTATTATTGAAGGCAGTATTAGATGCGAACGCCAAGAACATATGATAGTTTAAACACTGTAGAAGCTTCTTCATCAGTCATATGAAAGCCAAAATGGGTGTTCCTAATTGGCAGGTGGCTCTCTAGATACCTTCCATCTGTAGCTCCCTCATCCTCAACACGTGGCTTTCAAAGTTGCTGGGTATAACGGCATCAGGTCCTGAATTAAGCAAGAGTGTGGAAGAATCGAACTTGGAACACTTTCCAGGTCCAAGCCTGAAAGAAGTGCACACATCGGTGCCAATCACGTTCTGTTGGCTGGAACTCAGTCCCATGGCTATGTCTACCTGCAAAGGTATCTGGGAAGTGTAGTCTACCTGCACGCCCAGGACCATGGAGAAAATGAACTTGGTAAACAGCTGGTCTGTCTTTGCCTGGCATTGATTGATTGATTGATTGATTGAGATAGGGTCTCACTTTGTTGCCCAGGAAAGAGTGCAGTGGCATGATCATAGTTCACTACAGCCTCCGAATTCTTGGGCTCAAGCAATCCTCCAGCCTCAGACTCTAGAGTAGCTGTTATTCTGAATGTGAAATAATGGTTGCAACTACAGGTGCATGGCCAATTTTTTTCTTTTTTGCACAGATGAGGTCTTGCTATGTTACCCAGGCTGGTCTCCAACTCCTGGCTTCAAGTGATCCTCTTGCCTCCACCTCCCAAAGTGCGTGAGCCACCATGGCTGGCTCCACCATTTCTTCTTCATATGGAGGGATTCTTTAATCAATCTTGGCTCAATAACCTAATTCTGATGTATCATGTAATTGCTATGTCCTGAGATTCCAGGGTCTATCTATTTTTGAAAATCAAAAATGTTTGCTTTGCTTCTGATGTAGCTTTCTTTCTCTGAAGAAATAGATGCTGCAAAATCCTGTGTCTAATGGGATAATGGACCTGACAGACAGGAAATACTAGAGGAAAACCCGTCAATGAGTGTTTCATAATCTTAGAGATAAAGTGAGCTGGTGACAACTACAGAGCTAGCGAGTGATAGAGCTGGAGCTTGATCCAGAATCCAGGGCTGCATAATACCGGGGGGCCTCTACCTCTGCTGGGAATTCCCAATCCGTGACATCTGGCAAGCTAGGAATCCAGCGGAACCCCAGGTCATCTGTATTCTGGTGTGTGGTGTCTGGATCAAGGATGTCTAGGAAGTGTAGTCTACCTGCATGCCCAGGACCAAGGGAAAATGGGCTTGGCAAACAGCTAGCCTGTCTCTGCCCCACTGTTACTTTTTAGTGTAGTGGGATGAAAGAGGTGAGCTCAGAGACCGGAGAATTTCCAGAGGCCTTAGTGGAGATCTGCATCCCAGTGGATTTATGCTGGTCGGTTCCTCTTTTACCCACCTTTCCACCCTGGTCTCATCTTAGCTCTCCCTACTCCTTTCTAAGCAACCCCTCTCTACCAGCCCCTCTTATTCCCTGGGGATTCCATGCTCTGCTGCTGCCAAGATCCAGATCAACATCAAAACAGTTTGGGGTCAGTTTGTGCTTATAACTAAGACTTCATCCAACGAACACTTAGTGAGCTCCCCCTCTGTAATGAGTACTTTTTTGTGAGCTTTTCAGGGTAACATGCTGAAGAAGGCAGAGTCTTTTAAGTTGGACAAAGTCCAGTTTGAATTCTGGTTCGGCTACTCAACAACAGGACAATGGGCCAAGCAACTTAACATTCCTGGGCTGCGTCCCCCTCATTTCTCAAGTTGGGGAAATAAAGCCAATTTCCTAGGATATATGTTGAGGATTAAATGTGAAAGGACCGGCCTGGCCCGGTGGATCATGCCTGTAATCCCAGCACTTTGGCAGGCCGAGGCAGGCGGATCACGAGGTCAGGAGACCGAGACCATCCTGGCTAACACGTTGAAACCCCGTCTTTACTGAAAAATACAAAAAGTTAGCCAGGCATGGTGGCGGGATCTTGTAGTCCCAGCTACCTGGGAGGCTAAGGCAGGAGAACGGGGTGAACCCGGGAGGCGGAGCTTGCAGCCAAGATCGCGCCACTGCACTCTAGCCTAGGCGACAGAGCGAGACTCCGTCTCAAAAAAAAAAAAAATGTAGAAGGGCCTTGCACAGAGCTGGGGTCTCACTTCTCTACAGTTCAATTTGACAGACCTATCTCCATCGGCCACCAGCTTCTCCTCTATCTCCTTATAGGCCCATCCGCCCACACGTGCTCTGGACCCAGCCCCATATGACCTCTCAGGCCCTCTCTCTACTATTATCTCCTCTTTTGCTGTGTTGTTCTTTTGCTTTCTCTAATAGATCATCCCAGCCAGTGCTCTAACAACTGCTGAATTTTTTGAACTTTTTAAAGGGGTGAAAAACAGCTTTTGACCCCTTCCATCCCTATCTAGCTACTACCCTTCTTTTACTCCCTACCCATGCCAGACTCAAGCTGCTACACAGAACTGCCCACACATCTGCCCCTGTACCCACCCAGTCTAATCTAGCATCCACTCTGCCACTCCATGAGGCTGCTCTTTCCGAGGTCATCAACAACTGCCGTGATGCCAAATACAGTGGCTCCTTCTCTCTCTGTCTTTTTAAAAGTAGAGAAAGTGGTCTTGCTATGTTGTCCAGGCTGGCTCTCAAACGCCTGGGCTGAAGCCTCCTAAAGTGCTGGGATTACAGGCGTCAGCCAACATACCCATCCAATAGCTTCTTATTTGTCTTCATCTTACTTAACGTGGAAGTAGCTATAGACCCTGTGGCCCATTGCCTCCTTTTTGAAACATGAGTTTCTCCTGGTTTTCCTTATCTCTTTGGCTTCTCCTCGATCTCTTTTGCCAGTTCTTGTTTCTCTACTTGCTTTCTAAATGTTGAAGTCTTTAATCCTGATCCCACTTCTATTCTCTCTCTATAATTTCTCCCCAAGTAATTTTGTTCATTCCCATGACTTGACATGAAATCTATGTGCTCTCACTCTTAGACGTATTGCTCCTAAATGTACATTTCTTTGGAATTCCACATTTGCATCTCTAAAGTTGATTCTTGGTCTTGCTTGACATCTGTGCCTCCTTCAGTCTCTCCCCAGGTTAAATGTGATCTTCATCCTCCCTCTCCCTTATCTCTGGTATCTGTTCTGTCACCATATTCATTGATTATATCTGCAGGTGTATCTCCAGTGTCCCTGCACTAGCCCTGGCCACCTCCCTATTTATAATCACTTCACTTCTGATGCCCCCAGTTCTATTCTTATGGTAATCAGCAGAGTGATCTTCTGAAAATGTAAATTAAGTCACGTGTGAAAGTATACCTTGTCAGGAAACACGTCACTGGTTTCCCACTGACTGAGAGTAAAGTGCTCATTTCCTCGAGCCTTAGGGCCCAGGTGCAGCCGACTTCTACCTGCCTCTCCAGCCCTAGCTGGAGGGTCCTTTCTCTCTTGTTCACTGCAAGGCAGCCACACTGGCCCTCTCCCTCCAGTTCCTGATGGCTCAGTGTTCTTGGCTGCCTCAGGACCTTGGCATCCATTCCTACAGCTCCTCATTTCATTCCTACACATCCTTTCGGTCTCAGCTTAAATTTCACTACCCCCAAAATATTAACAATTCCATTGCCTCTCTTTATTCCTTTTATTTTCTCCATTAATACTACCCATTTTCTTCATAACGCCCATCACAGTGGTGATTATAGCAACATTTGTGTCTTACTTTCATGGCTTGTCTCTCGACCAGGTCTTTTTGGTTCACAGCTGCAGCTTCAGTCCTGGCTCATGGTAGATGCTCAAGAAATAATTATTGTTGTACAATAGCTAATGGTTAATGAGCTCTTGCTCTGTACCAGGCAGCCTTCTAAGTACTTTATGTTATTTAATCTTCACAAAAGCCCTAGTCTACACTTTACAGAAAAAGAAATGGAGGCACTGAGAGTCGAAGTGACTTATCCAAGCCCACCCAGCCAGGAAGTGATACAACTTGGATGTGAAATCCAGGCCCTAAGCCCTTAATTGCCTTGCTCGGCTGCCACTGAAGAGTGAATGAACACAGTAGGCTCTCAGGAAATGAAGCTGCCTGGGTGGTAGTTTCCACTCACTTCTCTTGGAACTGATCAGCAAGGGCACCTAGAACCTGTGGGCCCCTCTTCTACCATAGCACCCTTATAACATGGCCCTCCATCCCAGCCTCCTCCAGCTGGTAGGGCAGAAGGACACTGGAGCCTCAGGTAGTTTGGGGGTTGAGGGAGGACAGTGGTGTAGACACTTGGGGAAGCTGTCCCAGGCCATTGGTGAGAAGTTCACCTTGGAGAGAGGATTCACAACCGAGGGGGTTGGGGATGGAGGTGTCGCCCGTGCCAGGGCAACATAAGTAGGGAGTGGGCTTGCCTGGGCATGTTCTGGGTGATGTGATTCAGGCCTTGCACATCTGCAACCCCAGGGAAAAGGGACCAGAGTGGAGGATAAGCAGGCTTAAAAAATGGCATTGAATTTTAAAAATTGCATTTCCTGAATCCCAAAGCAGAGGAAGCACCTCAGAAGACACAAAGGATGAGTGTGGAGAAGGCACTTGGTGGACACTGCTCCGTCTCTACTCTAAGTCTTTCTTTGCTCAGGCTGTTCACTTTGCCTCAAGCTCCCCTAACCAACACCCCTGCAGTCCCAGACCACACATCATGTTCTCTCTGCATCTTTCCCTTACCCGGGTTGACCACAACCTCTTTGGGCAAGGGATTGGGTTTTACTCATCCTTGAATCTCCAGGTCCTCCCATTGTGCTCCACGCTTGGTAGGTTCTTTCCTGTGTTTGTTGAAATGTTCGATCCATCAGACTCCCCCAGGATGAATTGGCTACTTTCTCCTCTGTGCTATCTTTCTAAACAGTACACATTTCTGTCAGAGTACCTGGCCTGTCGCAATTCAATATTTCTTTCTCTCTCTCTCTCTCTCTTTCTTTCTTTCTTTTTTTTTTTTTTTTTTTGAGACAGAGTTTCACTCTTGTTGCCCAGGCTGGAGTGCAATGGCGCAATCTCTGCTCACCACAACCTCGGTCTCCCGGGTTCAAGCGATTCTCCTACCTCAGCCTCCCGAGTAGCTGGGATTACAGGCATGCGCCACCACGCCCAGCTAATTTTTTGTATTTTTATTGGAGACGGGGTTTCTCCATGGTGATCAGGCTGGTCTCAACTCCCAACCTCAGGTGATCCGCCCACCTTGGCCTCTCAAAGTACTGGAATTACAGGTGCGAGCCACTGCGCCTGGTCAGCAATTAAGTATTTCTTTATTATTCTGCTGTCTCGGTTAGAATGCAAGCTCCTTGGGGACAGGAGCCATGTCAAAACCATCCTTGTATCTCAAATGTTCAGTGCTTTTGTTAGATGAATGAATGAATGGGTGATCTCCTTCTTTGCCAGTGCCCGAGAACCCTAGCTTCTCACAGGTGCTCCCCAAGCAGGTCTGACCCTGAAGCAGTGGCCCCAGAGGCAGAGGGTGGCTTCAGAGGTAGGGAGCTGGGCCCAGGAGAGGGCTCGCTACTGAGTGTTTCTTCTTGAAAACTTGCCCCAAACACACAAGACATAATGTTGTCTAAAGATTAGGTAAAGCTTTTAGGGATCAGACACATGCAGTTGCTTCCTAAACATAAAAAATTGCCATGAGTGTTCACTAGATGCCTGCCACTAGACCTAGATTTATTTCATTTTTGATACTTACAAATAAAGTATCATTGTTTTCATTATACAAATAAAGAAATGGAAGCTCAGAGAAGTGAAATGTCTTACCTAAGGTGGATGGAACCCAGTGTTCAGTTTCTTGGACACTACCAGGTTTTCTTCTCTTAGGGAAGAAAATAGGTCAGGTTATGCTTCCTTCCTGACTGTGGGGCCTCTTTCAACCAGGTTCCTCTTTATGGGACAGTCTTTTTTTGTGTGTGTGACGCCAGCCTCCCTAGGACCAGACTAGGTCTGAAGCCCCGGGCGAGATTTGCCAGATCTTATACTGACCACCAGGTGGTGCTGTTGGCCCAACGTATAGTCTTACAGCATCGGCCTGGGAAACGCTAGACTTGATCAGGAAAAAAGCTTGCCCTGTTGAAATAAGAGCTACCAGTCCTTGAGTCCTGCCATCTGTCTAAACTGTGTTTCCACAAGTCACCTCATTTGGGCTCTAAACAGCCCAAGAAAGTTGTCATCTCCATTCAACTGAGGGCTCAGAGAATTTATTATAAATAATTGGAGCTAGGTTCTCAGTTACAGGTTGAAGAGCCAGGGACTTGAAGCCAGGTCTGCTTGATTCCAAATCTTCAGATTCTTGGGGTTCAAAGGAAGTGAGGCCTCGCCTGTGAGTTGCACAGCTCCCTTCCAGCCTCTACCTTACCTGGACTGGGTGGGGATAGATTGTCTGGAAAATGCCTGTGCAATGACAGGCCCCTGGGCCAAGTTTTAAAGAACTCGGGTTTGCCAGGGTCCTGTGAGGGATGTGGGCCCCTCTATGCTACCGTAGGGCACTGTACCATTTCTTTTCTTGAGAGATGACATTATGCATTGACCTTTACCCACCTCAGCGATTCTCTAGGTGGAAACAGTATGCTCACCTTATAGTTATGGGATAATTCATGTGGCCCCTCTGGTAAATATCACCTGCATCTTCTTGTTTCTGGACTTATAAGTCATCTTTTCATTTTCCTCATTTTTCAAGCATGTTTTGGCCTGGATTGACTGTTGTCATTGCATAAATGGAAATTTAAAAAATCAATATTTTTTGGCCCTGTGTAAGACAATGGGAGATATAGGAAAGGCATTACCATTTAGTAGAATGAGAGTATAACACAGCATTAACAAAGTGAGTGCCCAGCCATTGACATCCTGGGAGACAATATGAGGCTGTTCTTGTGTTGCTATAAAGAAGTATCTGTGACTGGGTAATTTATGAAGAAAAGAGTTTTAATTGGCTCCCAGTTCCACAGGCTTTACAGGAGGCATGGGAATGCCTTAGGAAGCTTACAGTCATGGCGGAAGACGAAGAGGGAGCAGGTATTTCACATGGTGAAAGCAGGAGCCAGAGAGTGAGAGTGCGGGGAAGGAGGTGTCGCACGCTTTTAAATGACTGGACTCTCCTGTGAACTCGGAGAGGAGCACACTTAGCACCAAAGGGATGGCCTAAACCATGCATGAGGGATCCACCGCTATGATCCAAACACCTCCCACCAGGCTCTACTTCCAACATTGGGGATTACATTTCAACATGATATTTGGGTGGGGACAAATATCCAAATTATAGCAGAAACTGATGGGAATGTGGCCCAGGCATGGTCCCACTGGCCATGATGAAAGCTTTGGTGTATGGTCTAGGATGTGCTAGGGAAGGTGAGTGGGTTGTTTCTAATTCCCAAAACAGCCTGTGAGAAAGGTGTTATTGTCCTCATTTTATAGATGAGGAGGGAACACCCAGTATCCTTGTTCAGAGTATGGGATCTGGAGTTGGGTACCTAGATTTAAACCTACCTCTTCCACTGATTGACAGGCTGAGGTCTGCCTGGCCCATCTCTGTACTTGTAGGTGCTCCAAGGTGCCTCCTACTTCTGCAGCCATCAGCCTCGGACCCTCAGGAGCCCCAAGGGGGTTACTTAGAAGGGGAGGTCCAGGCAAGAGAGGGGTCAGCCTGGCGAAGATCAGACTTGAGCTGAGTGTTTTCAGGTGCCCTCAGGGCGGCCTTTGGGATCTGGGACTTTTGACTGCCTGTTTTGCATCCTACACATTTCCCACCTCCTGTGGCCCCTGGATTCTTAGCCTTCCTATGTCTCTTTGCCCAGACTGGTAATTCCCATCTTCTTTTCCCAACTACCTGGAATCCCTACGACTTCTTGCTCTTTATACTCTTCCCTGCAACCTCAAAAAAGGGGCTGGGTATGGTAGCTCATGCCTGTAATCCTAGCACTTTGGGAGGCCGAGGCGAGAGGATCACTTGAGGCCAAGAGTTCAAGACCAACCTGGGCAACATGGTGGGATGTCATCTGTATGAAACATGAAAACAATAACCTGGTGTGGTGATGCATGCTTGTGGTCCCAGCTACTTGGGAGGCTGAGGCAGGAGGATCGCTCGATTCCAGGAGTTTGAGGCTGCAGTGAGCTATAATTGTGCCCCTGCACTCCAGCCTCGGTGACAGAGCAAGAGCTTGTCCCCCCATAAATGGAAAAAAGAGTCACTTGAGGTTGTCCTGCCCATCCTGTGGCCTCTTTGCGGGTCTGACCCTTCTGCTGGGACTTCATGAAGATGCTCTTCCTTCTCTTCCCTCAACTCCCCATATTCTCTTTGTCTAAATAATCAAATAGAAAATATCTGAAAAGAATCAAATGTTTGCTTGATTTTTCGGAAGAAAGTGGACCCCAGGTTTTTTCCAAGGGGACTCCTGGATGCTCCAGGCCTTTTGGCCAAGATGAACACTGCCTCCTAGTTGGGAATCTTTCTCAAATTCACTCCCTTTAGAGCTGGCTCCTCTCCTCAAAACTCCAGGCATCCCATCTTGTCCCCAAATGTCAGGACCAGGCTACACAGGAATCTGAGCAAGGAAGAGGCCTGTGTTCGGCTCAATTCCTGGAGCCCAACAGGACTTGATGATTCCCTCTGTTGTTAAACCCGAGCTAGGCATTTTCTAGTTATTATTTCTAATCCTCTAAACAACCCTGTAAGGTAGAGATAGTTGTCCCCATTTTACATATGAGTTAATAGGGTACAGAAAAGTATGGTTCTAGGAATCACACAAGGGTTTGCCAGGGTTTCTGTGGGGGGTATGTGGACATCTCTATGCCACTATAGAGCACTGTACCATTTTTTTTTCTTGAGAGATGATGTTATTCATTGGCCTTTTCCCACCTCAGCGACTCTCTTGGTGCAAACAACATGTTCACCTTATACTTACGGGATAATTCATGTGACCCTTCTGGAAAATATCACTTGCATTTTCTTGTTTCTGGACTTATAAGTCATCTTTCCTTTTAATTTTCCTTCTTTTTCAAGGAGATACATGTTGGCCTAGATTGTCAGTTGTAATTACATAAATGGAAATAAAAAATTCAATACTTTTTTATCCCTTGTAGGACAATTTACTCAGATACTCACTGGCAGAGTCAGATTCAGAGCCTACTTTGAAGCGCTTGTTCTTTCTACAGCTCCACAAGGCAGGAGCCTGGGGCAGGAGCACTGTGGAATGGACGATATATTTGTTTCCTAGGGCTGTTGTGACAAATAACTGCAGATCGAGTGGCTTACAACAGAAATTTGTTCCCTCACAGTTCAGGAGGCCAGAAGTCTGAAATCAAGGTGTCGGCAAGGCCAGACTCCCTCCAATGGCTCCAGCAGGATGTGTTAGTCTCTGCTAACTGCTCTAAAGAACTACCTGAAACTGGGTAATTTATGAAGAAATGAGGTTTCATTGACTCACAGTTCCACCGGCTTAACAGGAAGCATGACTGGGAGGCCTCAGGAAACTTACAATCATGACGGAAGGTGAAGGGAACCCAGCACCTTCTTCACATGGCGGTAGGAGAGAGTGAAGGGGGAAGTGCCACACACTTTTAAACCATCCGATGTTGTGAGAACTCGCTATCATGAGAACAGCAAGGGGGAAATCTGTGATCCAGTCACCTCCCACCTGGCCACTCCTCCAATTTGACATGAGATTTGGGTGGGGACGCAAATCCAAACCATCTCGGCAGGGATCCTTCCTTGCTTCTTCCAGCCTCTGGTGGCTGCAGGCCTTGCTTGGCTTGAGGCTGCATCACTCCAGTCTCTGCCTCCATCTTTACAGCGTCTTGTCTTCTCCCAGCATGCCTTCTCTGTGTGTTTCTTATACATGTATTGTCATTGGATTTAGGGCCTACCTGGATAATCTCAGGATGATTTCACATGGGGATACTTAATTATATCTTTGGAGACCCTTTTTCCAAATATGGCAACATTCAGATGTTCTGGGACGTGGACATATCTTTGGGGGCCACCATTCCACCCACTACAGACAGCTGACCTCCTACAGGACAGCAGGAGCTTTCTTTTCTCTGTACTTAAGATTGGGGCCAAAGACAGTGGAAGCTCAAGGGACACACGTTTTTCTCACTGTAAAGAATGGTAGACCCAGTGCGGTGGCTTGCACCTATAATCCCAGCACCTTGGAAGACTGAGGAAGGAGGATCGTTCAGGGTCAGGAGTTTGAGACCAGCCTAGGCAACATAAAAAGACCCCATCTCTGAAAAAAAAAAAAATAGCCAACCATGGTAGTGCACACCTGTAGTCCCAGCTACTGGGGAGGCTGAGGCGGGAGGATTGCTTGGGCCCAGGAATTGAAGGCTGCAGTGAGCCATGATGGTGCCACAGGATGGGCAACAGAGCAAGATCCTGTCTGTAAACAAACAAACAAAAACAACACACAAATTATGTTCTAAGTCAGAGTTGATCAATACAGAGCTGGCCTGCCCTGTGGAAGAGGTGAGCAAAGGGAGGCTGGAGCAGGGCCAAATTATCCCTTGGGTACCACACACAGGCACAGTGCTCAGAGGATATAAGAATAGTTTTAGGGTCCCATGAATGTATTTTAATTTCTTTTAAAATCAGAAAAAAAATGAACTTTTAGGTCAAAGAAAATGTTTTATGATATATTGACTTTTGTCTCTATACCAAGGCAGTTGTAAAATACGTGCGTTCATGTTAGTTTCATGAAGGAAGGAGCCCACAGGAGTCATCCTGTGGTTCCAGCTAGACTGCACCTTAGTGGGAAAGGGAGGGGGAAATCAGACCCTCCGCACTGGAAGGGGGCCTGTCACCATTCCTGAGCAGCTCATTCACGTTCTGACACCTGCATGGTTGCTTTAGTGTCTCATCGCGCTGGAATGAGTGCCCTCCACCTCAGAGGACAGAGTTCCCCTTGCAGGGACAGCTGTTCCGGAGTGCCTGGAGCTGACACTGGAAGATGATGCCTCCTGGCTGGCTTGTCAGTGAAGACATCTGAACAGTGTCCATCCTCTGTGGGCACTGGTTAAAGATGAAACCACAATAATAATGCATAAAACTCTTGGCAGAAAGCATAAGAGAATCAACATTTCCTGAGAACCTACTTTCTTCTGGGCACTTTACAGAGGTATTTTATTTATTTATTTATTTATTTATTTATTTATTTTTGAGAAGGAGTCTCACTCTGTCACCCAGGCTGGAGTGCAGCGGTGCGATCTGGGCTCACTGCAACCTCGGCCTCCTGGGTTCAAGCATTTCTCCTGCCTCAGCCTCCTGAGTACCTGGGACTACAGGCACCCACCACCACACCCAGCTAATTTTTGTATTTTTAGTAAAGACAGGGTTTCACCATATTGGCCAGGATGGTCTTCATCTCCTGTCCTCGTGATCCACCCACCTTGGCCTCCCAAAGTGCTGGGATTACAGGCATGAGCCACTGTGCCCGGCCAGAGCTATTTTATTTATAAGCTCCATTTTACAGGTGAGGAAAGTGAAGCTCAGAGAGATTAAGAGACATGCCTAAGCTTCCTGGTTCATAAGGAATAGACACAGGCCTATTGGAAGCCAGTTGTGTCTGATTCTTGAGCTGGCTATCTTTCTACTACATGGCATTGCCTGTAAATTCCCGGACAGAGCAGGGGGTGGGGAGGGTGAGGCTAGAATTAGGATGGACTTTCCTGCCCTGGATTTTTGGAGTTAGGGGCCCAAATGCATTTGGGTTGAAAGGAAACTGACTGAGACTCAGTGTGCCCAAAGCTGTCATTTGGGCTGAAAGGAGAGAGAGCTTGTCCCCAGGAGGCGGGACGTGGGGTTCTGCTGTGACTTCTGCTGCTGGCCGCTCTGTGGCCTGGGAGAAGTCACTTCTGCCCTCTGGGCTGCGGCATTCTTATTGGTGAAACGAGAGGAGGCGGACGTGATCTCCAACATTCTGGGACACGATTCGTCCTTTCTTTAGCCCTTCTGCAGCTAGTTTCACCAGCTAGCTTGAAGGTTCCACAAGAGCAGGGAATATTTATGTCCCCAAGTTTAGTATTTCAATATCCCCATCTTTATGATTTTTGCCTCACTGGGTACCTCTTGTATTACTATTTACTTAATATGTTCCTTTAAATTTACTCACTTTTAAGAAATGTTGCTTCTGTCCTAAACAATAATATTCATGAAATCATGGGCTCACTAATTCATTCATCCATTTGTTCAACAAATATTGATTGTATGACTATGGGGTACAGGCACTGTTCTATGTGCTGGGGATGCAGCAAAGAAAAAAGGAACAGGCAAAGTCTGTCTCTTAGGGAGATTACGTTTGCTTGGAGGAGATGGAGAATAAATATATACAGAAGAGAGTTTCAGATAACATCCGCTGCTCTGAAGAAAACTCAGCAGGGTAATGTATTAGGTCAAAATTTTTGATTCCTAGTAAGAAACTGATTTTACACTGCAGCCCAATGTACACACAAGCATACAAAAAAGAAAAATGAAAATGTGAAGAAACACTACTTACCTTTATTACACATGATGTGTTCTGATATTTTCTCTTCTGTTTTATTGTAGAAGATGCTGGTTATGGGCCACATTAGATAGGTTGTACAGTCTAGGAATGGATTGCAGCCTGCAGTTTGAAAAACACTGGAACAGCTAGGGAGTGGTGGTGACATGCATGGCACAATTTTAGATGGAGCATCCAGAAAAGGGTCTTTGAGGACCTGAAGCTTGAGCAGAAATCACAGAGGTGAAAGGAGGGAGCTGTGTGACGATTTAGGGGAAGAGCTTTCCTGGCAGAGGGAACAGCGTGTGCAAAGACCTTGAGTGGAATCAAATTGGGTTGATGTGTTGTTCTGTATACAGATACATGTGTCTTTTACCTGGCCCATGTGCTGTAATAGAGTTAAAACATCCTAAGTCTGCTGTAACAAACCGCCACCAACTTAGTGGCTTCGAACAACACGGATTTATTCTCTTACAGTTCTGGAGGTCAGAAGTCCAAAATAAGTTAGCAGGGCTGTGTTCCTTTTGAAGGCTCTAGGGGAAAATCTGTCCCTTTATCCTTTCCAGCTTCTAGAGGCTCATGTCCTGCATACTCCGACCTCCGACCTCTGCTTCCAGCATCACGTGGCCTTCTCTGACTGATCCTTCCACCTCCCTCTTTATCAGGACCCTTGTGATTATATTGGGCCCACCTGGAGAGTCCAAGATAACTGATTACAAATGTTAATCACATCTACAAAGTTGCCTTTTGCTAGGTAAGGTAACAGATCCACAGGTTCTGGGTATTAGGATGTGGATTGCTTTGGGGGGCATATTCAGCCTCCCACACCATGCTCACCGATATATCTGACCCCCCAGAGCACTTCTAGAAGGGCTTGCCATGGGAAAGAATGATCCATTGTGTTTGTGTCATGCCAAGGAGTAAAAGTGAAAAGTTTTAAGGAGACAAATTTAATTCAACATATGGGGGAGCAGTCTAAGAATCAGTAATGTCCAAACTAATAGGACTGGCTTCCCAGGGAGAAACAGGGAACTGATTCCTTGCCACTGGACATTTCTTAGCAGAGGCTGGACTTGGAAATTGTTAACCTTATTTCTATTGTCTTTGAGTTAAAGGTTTAGCCACAGGCTTTTGAGAGCTTAAAAGTGCACACCCCCACACTGAACATTCCATTGCCTTCTCCAACTGGAGCTGGTTGTAGGGCTTTGGAGGAGGGGAAGGGGGAAAGGGGGACAGAAAATGGAGCCTTGAGTCTTACAATGGGGGGGCGGGGGCTGATGTAAAAGGAAACTTTGAGCAAGGAGCCCTTCCCCATAGGAGATAACAATCAAATTATATACATTTTAAATGGCATTCTGGGGTCTTAGTGATTTTCATAAGAAAGCTCAGCTTGGAGTCCTTGGCATCTGTTTCTCCTTTTAGGACAGAAACCAAGAGACTATTTACATATTCTTAGGGCCCTATCACCAATTAAATCTTTTCAGAACCTCAGCCCTCCCTGTCCCCCAACCCCCATCAACTCTCTCCACATTCAGGATTAAATTTCTTGGCAGACAGTGGTTGCTGCTCTCTTTGGTGATTTATTTATTCAGTTGGATTATTTTTCATCTCGAGCCTGGGCATTTCAGGCCCCAGCGTCCACCTTCTGATCATCGGGAAGTGACCTGCTTGAGGACCCTCCCCAAACTCGGCCAGGCTAGAACGCATTCCTTCAGGCGCCAAGAGGCGGCCTGTCTCCGTGCCATCCCTCTGCACCCCCGCCCGTCCCTCCCCCTTCCTGACTGTGACAGAGCTTCCTTCGGGAGATGAGGGAGCACAGCTGGGTGACGTCACCAGGAATGCACAGGGGCCTGTGCAGGGGCCCGGAAGGAGCAGAAGTAAGATGTCGCTGGGAGCAACTGGACGGTTCATGTCATCATTTGCCGTAGAGACAATATGGTCCTACAGGGACTGAGGAATCCGTTGAAATGTCTGAGAAAGTTGTATCTGATGGAATGCTTCTCATAGCCTCCCCCTCCCCTCTGCCCCGCACCATCCCCTCCCCACCTCTGTCTCTGGTGCTTCTATTCTCAGTGTAGAAGAGAGCCTGGGAACACAGCCCCCAAAGAGCAGGGCTCCTCCACTGGCCCTGCTTCTAGCCAGCTCTGTGACCTGGGGCACATCACACAACCTCTCCGAGTCTCTGTGAGACATCTGAAAAATGAGTCAAACAATGGGCCCTGCCCCAGTGGGTTTTGAGAATAAACAAATTGATGCCAATGGAGCCCTCAGCACAACTCCTGGCACATAGTAGGGAGGTAATAGCTCCTAGTTATTGGAAGTTGCAATCTTGTATTAATAGGTTGTATTAGAACTCAAATGTAGAGGCCTACAATGAGACACTCAGATTAATCAAACAGATCATTGAGTCTTGACTTTGCATCTTGACTGTGCTAAGTAGTGGAGAATTTAGGGTAGGGGTGGGTGACTTTGGGTGTTAACTTCACAAAGCCTATAGATAAATCAGATTATTTATAAAGTAAAAATAATACACGTCCTCCTGTGGTTGTTGAGTTATAGAGAAGATAATGCATTTACACACACAGAGAGAATAATCCATACATATGTGAGAGTAATTGTAATTTCTACTAATGTAGTGATCTATTAATAATACTGAATAATAATACTTAGACTATTGTAATACTTATAATAATAAAAGACAACTCCTGCATTCAAGGAGCTTGGTGTTTGGTGGGTAAGATTTCCTTTTTGGTTTTTCTTTTTTCTCTATTTCTCTACAATCGAGGAAGAAAAGAAAAGGTAGCACTATGCGGTGGCCTATAGCACAGTGGATTCTGGACCCAGGAGGCTGGGGTTCAAGCCTTCCTTCATCAGTCATTAGCCGTGTGATCTTGAGCAAGTAATTTCATGTCTCCTTGCCTCTGTTTACTCATCTGTAAAGTGTGGATGATACTAATACTTACCTTGAAGTGTTGTGGTGAGGATGAAATGAATTAAAATATGTAAAATTACCATTTATGTGGCAACTACCTCATGGTGAATGCTATTGAAGGATGGGTTTTGACTATCACCAGGAAACAATGAATACGGTGTGGGGCAAGAGAGACATTCATGTTGAGCATTGAAAGTTAAGGAAAACTTTCCTAGGTATGGGTGGGAGCAAGGTTCGGCATTCCAGGCAGATGGAATAGTTGGAGCCCCAAAGTCAAAAGAGGTGGTTTGTTTAGAAAATGAACATCCAGCCTGGTCGCAGTGGCTCAGGCCTGCAATTATGGTACTTTGGGAGCCAAGGAGGGTGGATCACCTGAGGTCAGGAATTTGAGACCAGCCTGGCCAACGTGGGGAAACCTCGTTTCTATTAAAAACAAAAAAAATTAGCCAGGAGTGGCGGTGGGCACCTGTAATCCCAGCTATTCGGGAGGCTGAGGCAGGAGAATCACTTGAACCCAGGGGGCAGAGTTTGCAGTGAGCCAAGATAGCGCCACTGCACTCCAGCCTGGGCAATACAGTGAAACTCCATCTCAAAAAGAAAAAAAAAAAAAAAGAAAGAAAATGAAGATCCAACCAAGCTAGGTGGGTCACGCCTGTAATCCTAGTACTTTGGGAGGCTGCGGCGGGCAGATGGCTTGAGCTCAGGAGTTTGAGACCAGCCGGGGCAACATGGCAAAACCTCATTTCTTCTAAAAATACAAAAAAATAGATGGGTGTGGTGGTGTACGCCTGTGGTCCCAGCTACTCGGGAGACTGAGGTGGGAGAATCGCTTAAACCTGGGAGGCGGAGGTTGCAGTGAGCCGAGATCGCACCATTGCACTCCAGCCTGGGTAACAGAGCCAGAGCCAGTCTCAATTAAAAAAAAAGACGGAAAAAAAAAAAAAAAAAACCAGGCCAATGACTAGAGTGTAAGGAGGAGTGAAAGCAGATGGGGCAGAAGTGGAGGACTAGGTCAGTGGAGAAGGAAATTGGACCCCAAGGGAAGGAGTTGGGGTCCCTCCCCTTGGATGTGTTAACAGATCCGTGCTTTGGAGAGAACAGTCTGGCTGCAGTGTGAAGGGTGGATTGACTGCAGAAGAGGCTCCCACCATGGCTGCTCACTGCTGTCTCCTGCGGGGGGGGGCGGTTTGAAAAAACACCAGTGTCAAGATTCTGGACCTGGGCAGCATCCCAAGTTTAGCCCAAGTTGGGGACCCCTGGATGAAAGGGAGAGCAAGTTCTGAGCTATTTTAGCAAGTGGGATTGAGAGGGCTAGTGGCTGGGAACCCACCTGCCTTCCCCATGGATGCCTTTGACCTCCTCTCTGGGGCTTGGGATCCCACTCTGTAGGAGTGTAGGAGGCAAGAGATTTGCTGTCAAGACCCAGAAGTTCTGGGCATAGGCATTGTGACAAGCAACTGGGAGTGTGAGCTAAGCCAGGGAGTCCCGAATTCTCCCCAGTTGATGAGGTTGTAACTCCATCCTCCGCCTCTGTAGATAGTGCTAATTTACCAGACTATCTCCCCAGGGCAGGCTCTGATGTCACGGGTTAGTTGTTCTGGTGGGATGGGCTGGGCCTGGGTGGGTAGGGGAGCAGGGGCAGCCTTGTCAGCCTTTGAAATTGGAGCTGATGGTTTTTAATAATGTCAAATTTAAACATTCATTTCTCATGTTGGTGCTTTGGTGAACATTTCTTAGGCAGGGCAGGTGGTCTGCTTTGGGGACCTCAAGGCCGTAACGGCTCAGCCTTAAACACTGGCCTAATCCCCTTTCTCTTTCAAGGCCCACAGACACCCGCCATTCTTATGACGTCGTGGTTTAAAGGCTCCTTTCCTTAATAACTCCCAAGTCACTCTTGTTATAGCTAAGCCATGGGCTTGGCTCTGTGAGGGACAAGGCTGTGGGCCTGCTTGTTGCTGCTTTCCCGCCGTCTCTGGGGCTGTTTTTCTTTCCCCTTTCAGTTTGCCTCAAAGTCTTTGCTTTTAATTCTTCACAGGGATGGTTCTGCTAGCACAAGTGTGGGCGTGAGTGTATTTGATGACTAGAGAAAGGGAACTTCAGATGGAGAAATCTACTGAGGGCAAATAAAGTGTGGCATAAACATTGGACTGGGAATCAGGAGAGGCAGGGTCTTGTTTCTGGGTTGGCCCCTTTCTCACATGGGTCTATTACCTCTTATCATTGGCCTCAGTTTCCCCCATCTGTAAATGATAAGGTCAGTGGGACTCCAAGTTTCCTACCTATTCTACCATCTTATGGCTTCTTGAGGATGAGTTTTTAGCCAATGATTGGTTCCAAGAGCCAAAGGGATGAGCTCTTTATAGGATACTTCTAGAGGTACCTTATGGGGAGGAGAATGGCTTTTTAGGAAAACAGTCAAGGGGCACCTCATAAAGAATGAGGGAGAAAAGAGTAAGCATTTGTTAATATTAGTGTCTACCAGGTACTGCTTGAGATCGCTGCATACATTAGCATTTGCACCAGTCCTGCAAGGAAGGTGTTAGAAGTACCTTGGCATAGATGTAGAAACTGAGGCTTAAAGAGTTCTCAAATGGGATTTGAGCTGATTCTACCCAACTCTGAATTGTATTAATGGCAATCGCAATAAATAGCAACTTGTAGGTGTTGAGTGTTTGCTATGTTTTAGGCTGTGTTCCGATAATCTTATTTACTCCACATCACAACCCTTTGAGGTTGATACTATGAGGATCACTATTCACAGATACGAAATCTGAGAGTCGGAAAGAATTCTTGCTTGAAACAAAGCAGCTGGTCAGTGGTGGGGCTGGGATTTGTGTCCCAAGTCTAGACCCTGAGGGCAAAGCGTAAGTACAGGTGGAGACTGCAGGAAGGCCACTTGGGAGTGCCAAGGTATCCCCACATGTCAACCACGGGGCCTCCCTGTTAGGGGAAAGCCATATCTCTCATATCCCTGCTCAAGGGGCAGCCAAATAGGTGGCTGATTACTCCATGTTCTGTCCCCATCCCAACTCTTTGGCCCCATAGAATCCCCAAGGGTGGGACTCAGTGGCATCCCTTATAGAGTCCACCATTAGGACACAGGTTCAGAGAAGGATGAGTGTATGCCATCATATTTCTTCCTTAGAGAATTTGACCTAGGAAATGATAGGAGAAGGAGGCCGGTGGCAGAGGTGGCTGAAGCTGAAGGTTTATGACACACAGACAGGGTGTCATAGCCCCCTGGGCCCTCTGGAACCCAAGAAGCAGGCTGTAGAAACCATAAGAAAACAGAAGCATACAGATGGAAGAGAGGGTGGGCCAGCTGGGAGCAGGAGAACAGCACATGCAGGAAAAGCTGGTCGCTGAGACCATGTCCCCATGAGAGAACCTGGTCAGTGGCTATCGAAAGGAAGACCAAGCCATCAGCTCCTGGAAGTGCCCTGGCATGGCAAAGGTTCCCTACTTCCTGTAGGTCTCAATCTTGCATCCCAAGCAAGATCCCTCTTTCCTCACTGGTGTCCTTTCCACACCTACCCCCATGCCCCACCTTCCTTAATATTCAAGAGATTCTGCAGTCAAAGAGCTTGACAACAACTTCAACCTAGCTGCAGAGTCTGGGAAAAACAGTCCTCATTTTAGTATTACAGTTGTTTGGTTTTTTTGACCTGCTCTGCTCCACAATATTAAGGTGGATTGCAACTCCCTCCCACAAACCTCACAAACACATACTACCATAAGATGAAAAGTAAAAAGATAGAGATTCTGTGAAATAGAAAAAGAAAGGTAGTTGAATGAAATGCAGTAAAAGAAAATTTAGTGGTCGGGCACAGTGGCTCACGCCTGTAATCCCAGCACTTTGGGAGGACCAGGTGGGTGGATCACTAGGTCAGGAGATTGAGACCATCCTTGCTAACACGGTGAAACCCCATCTCTACCAAAAATACAAAAAATTAGCTGGGCGTGGTGGCGGGCGCCTGTAGTCCCAGCTACTTGGGAGGCTGAGGCAGGAGAATGGTGTGAATCCGGGAGACGGAGCTTGCAGTGAGCCAAGATGGCACCACTGCACTCCAGTGTGGGTGACAGAGCGAGACTCCATCTCAAAAAAAAAAAAAAAAAAAAAAGAAAATTTAGTATACATAGTGTGTCAGGGTGCTGCTGTGGATAATAGTAACACCACCTATCATTTATTGATGACCTATTATATGCTAGGCACATGTGATCTATCTATCTATCTATCTATCTATCTATCTATCTATCTATCATCTATCTATCTATTATCTATCATCTAAATTTCACTTCCACATCTGCCGTATGAGGCAAGTGGTAATTAACTCTCTTTTACAGATAAGGTTCACAGAGTTTAAATGACTTGCCCAAGGTCCCATGTCTTGTCAGTGGGGACACTTGCAGGAGAACCTACATTCACATTGTGAGATCCTGAAAGGAAAGATGCAAAATCCACTCTCAACATTTTCAGTGACCAACGCAAACATGAGGACATGACCCTCTAACACGCTCGCTCACATCACCTACCGGGTAAAAGCAGCCACTTGCTGTTTGCCTTGACACTGAGGTCTGAGAGGAGACTCCTCACAGGTCTTCTAGGGAGACACTGAGTGATGTTGGGAATACTAGTGATATCCTAAGCCCTAGCAGTGATGCTGGGGGTGATATCCCTGGGAGAAGGAGAGAGAGGAATGGTGAGAAGTCTCTTGGGTTTTAGCTTGGCCGAGGAGGCAGTAGGATGACCTTCCTATGAGTGCACAGAGAAAAGAGTTCATGGTCTGCAGTTTGAGGATGTTGAGACTCAACATCAGTGGTAGCCTGCCTGCCTCTCTTCTTCCCCCCTACCTCCTTCCTCCCTTTCTCACCCTCTCCTTCCTTCCTGAGGGTGAATTAAAGAAGACAATAATTGACTTTAAGAGCCATCTTTTGTTTTCTGCTTAAAACAAAATAACTGTATCAAGTCCTACGAGGGGATTAAAAGTGATTTCTCGAGAGTTAGATCACTTACGTAAGAGAAGGATGCTAATGAGTGAAGTAACACTGAATTTAACAACAAGAAATATCATCACTATCAGAATTTTTTGAGAGGCAGTACACGTTGATGGCCTCTTACTATTCATCCCCAAATTAAATCATGGACCCAATGACACTAGGTGGGCCACGTGTGGCCTGTGGGGTGGGTTGCTCATCATGGCTTTACATATTTTGGGTAGAATTCACCCAATGACTTTGCGCTGAGTCCCTAGGAGCACCCACCCAAACCAGCTGTTTAAAAAGTGAGAAATAAGCCTATCTACAGATGGTTAGTTGCCTCATTCTCTCTTCCAATCAGATGAGCGGATTCTGACTTTTAAGTGCACCCCCCCTTCCCTGCCCCAGCAATCCACCATATTGCCGTAAGCATGTTTGTACCAAGTGTGGACAGCTGCCAGGGTTCCAGGCTCCAGCCCCTGGTGCTTTCCCTGCTCCTTCAACTTGCTGCTCTGCATCTGAACCCTGGCTCCGCCTCCGATTTCTTTATCTGTTCTGCTCCTTCCCCTCCCTCTGGCTCCCCAGTTCGTGCCTGGCCCAGCGCACTGCCTTGATCTTGTTCTCCTGCTGGGTACAGGCCCAGGCTGAGGGTTCCCAGCACAGGGATTTGAAAAGTGGGCTTCCATAAAAAATGATGAGTTCATGTCCTTTGTAGGGACATGGATGAAGCTGGAAACCATCATTCTCAGCAAACTATTGCAAGGACAAAAAACCAAACACCGCATGTTCTTACTCATAGGTGGAAACTGAGCAATGAGAACACACGGACACAGGAAGGGGAACATCACACACCGGGGACTGTTGTGGGGTGGTGGGAGGGGGGAGGGATAACATTAGGAGATATACCTAATGCTAAATGACGAGTTAATGGGTGCAGCACACCAACATGGCACATGTATACATATGTAACAAACCTGCACGTTGTGCACATGTACCCTAAAACTTAAAGTATAATAATAATTAAAAAAAAAAAAAAGAAAAGTGGGCTTCAGAGTTGGGGGAGCTGGAGTCTAATGTCAGCCTACCATCTGTTAGCTCTGTGACCTTAGGCAGCCCATGCCACCTCTCTGAGCCTCAGTATACTTGTCTAGAAGGTGGAAACGATTAGATCTACCTCACAGAACTATTGAGAGGGTTGGATGTGAGAGAAGTTGGCACAAGCCTGGTAAGTAAGAAGCACTCAATAGGTACTGGTTATTATTGTTACCAGTGTGAGATTTTTTTTTTGACCAAATCTCGCTCTGTTGCCCAGCCTGGGGTGCCGTGGTGCAATCTCGGCTCACTGCAACCACTGCCTCCCAGGTTTAAGCTATTCTCGTGCCTCAGCCTCCCCAGTAGCTGGGATTACAGGCGTGCACCTATTTATCATGCCTGGCTAATTTTTGTATTTTTGGTGGAGACAGGGTTTCACCATGTTGGCCACACTGGTCTCGAACTCCTGACCTCAGGTGATCCACCCACCTTTGCCTCCCAAAGTGCTGGGATTACAGGCGTGAGCCACTGCACGTGGCCACCAGTGTGAGATTTTGAGTCCATCTGCATATGGGGTACTGGGAGCAATACAGAAAACCAATGCTTTTAAACACTGCATTCTCAAGGTTTTTTTTTCCAAATGTACAACCTCATAATAATAATTCCAAGGTGTTATAATACTCTCAATTTGGTGATGAGGAAACTGAGGCATAAAGGGAGAAATGAGGACACTTAATGTCACAGCCGGCAAATGGTGAAGCCTGGACTTGAACCCAGGCCTCCTGAGTCCCAGTTCCGGAAAGCAACACAGGCGGCTGCTTTGATCTTCCAAAGCTGCTGTCCAACAATGTGCCAAGAGGAAGACAGAGCAGAGCTGCTCCTCTGGCCCGGCCCCTCCGCCCTGATTGCCGGGTGGCGGGCCTTGCAGGAGGAATTCGAGCGGCTGGCTTGTGCTCATGCCTGAGGAATGTCTTGAGAAGTCGTGCCTAAGCCCTCTGTATCTGACTCATCATCTCCCCGTCTCCAGGAGTGTCAGAGAAGAGCTCCCTTTATCCCTCCTGTCCTCGGTCCCAGGCTTTCATTTGTCAAACTAAAAATATTCCCTCCGGGAACCTCCTTTTGCCAGAGGCTGAACGAGGTATAAGGGGAAAGGCATTTTAGTGTCACTTCCTGACAGCGCCTTGTTATTGTTCCTGGGCCAGAGGAGCAGAGCCGGGTGGCAGGAGCAAGGCGCCTCTGTCATTCTTGGGCCGGGGCCAACCTGTTCACCTTTCTCCTGCAAGCAGCCTTCCCTTTTTCCTCTCTCAAAGCTCCAGACAATAGTCCATCAGTCTGACATGTAGCCTTGTCCCGGTCCCTTGGGGCTGTGTGTGATTCATGCCAGGTGAGGACTACAGAATGCCAACTTCATTTCCTTTGCAGCCTAAGGGCTGGCACAGTTTGCACTTGTCTGCAAGGCTAGTTTACTGATAAAGAGACGTAGAGCTCGAAGGTAAAGGAAAAAAAGGGTAAAACAGATGAAGGTGGAACTCCCCAAGTAGGACAATGGCAATATGGGGAAGCCATCAAGATTTGTCTCCTGTTTCTCTCCTTCCTTTCCTTTCTTCGTTCTGTCACTTCTGGCAGCCTGTTGGCCCCAGGGCTGATCCCAAGAGTCCATGACCTTGACTTGGCCTAAAATCTTGGCTCATAGCCATAGAGCCACCTCCCTGGCCCCACCAGGGAACCCACTTCCTCGGTGGAAATAGAGCATAGTGAAATCAAAGGAGCACAGAATTTGGATCCAGGCCCCCCTTACCAACTAGCTGTGTGAATTTGAGTAAGGTATCTCATTCTCTGAGCCTGTTTCCTCATCTATATGGGTGGATAATAGTACCCATTATACCAGGCTATTGTGAAGAATAAATAAGGTGGTGTGTATAAAATAAGTCATACTATGCCTGTCAAACAGTAGGGTCTTGAATCATCATCACCATCATTGTTCCTCCAAGACCTTGCAATGGTGCCACTGCACCACTGGAATCAGAAGACCTTGTTCTAGTTTCAGCTCTGCCATTAACCAGCTGTATGGCTCCAGGCAAATCCCCTAATGTCTCGGAATCACATGTATTAATTTGTAAAATAAAGAAGAATTTAGGCTTGATTTCCTCTAAGATGCTTCTAAGATCTAAAGTCTGTGGTCATCGAGATACCTGAGAGTAGACATTCATGGAAAATTTCATTCTTTTAAAGAATATAAGAATAACCTTAGTCTAGGCAACATAACAAAACCCCATCTCTAAAAAAATACAAAAATTAGACAAGCATGGTGGCACGTGCCTGTACTTTCCGCTACTCAGAAGGCTGAGGTGGGATGATCACTTGAGCCCAGGAGGCAGAGGCAGTAAGTTGAGATTGCACTACTGTACTCTGGCCTGGGTGACAGAGTGAGACCCTGTCTCAAAAAAAAAAAAAAAGAGTAAATTGGCCAGGTGCAGTGGGTCCTGCCTGTAATCTCAGCACTTTGGGAGGCTGAGGTGGGACGATCAATTGAGCCCAGGAGGCACAAGCAGTAAGTCGAGATCACACTACTGTGCTCTGGCCTGGGCACTTTGGGAGGCTGAGGTAGGAGGATTGCTTGAGCTCAGGAGTCCAAGACCAGCCTGGGCAACATAGGGAGACTCTGTTTCTACAAAAAATAAAAAAATTAGCTGGGCATGGTGGTGCCCTCCTGTAGTCTCAGCTACTTGTAAGGCTGAGGCAGGAAGGTTGCTTGAGCTGGGGAGGTCAAGGCTACAGTGAGCCGCGATCATGCCACTGCACTGTAGCCTGGGTGACAGAGTGAGGCCCTGTCTCAAAAAAAAAAAAAAAGAAAAAAGAAAAAAGAAAAAAAAAGTAACTGCTTGCTGTGGACTAAATTGTGTCCCCTCCAAATTCATAAGTTAAAGCCCTAACCCCCAATGTGACTATATCTTAAGATAAGATCTTTAGGACATAATTAAGGTTAAATGAGGTGGTACCCTAATTTAATAGGACTGTGGCCTTATAAAAAGAGGAAGAGCAAGAAATCTTCCCCTCTCCTGCCATGTGAGGACCCAGAGAGAAGGCAGCTGTCTGCAGGCCAGGTGGAGAGTCCTCACCAGGATCCGAACTTTGCCAGACTTTCGTCTTGGCTTTCCAGCCTCCAGACTGTCAGGAAATAAATTTCTGTTGTCTAGGCCACCCAATCTATGGTATTTTGTTCTGGCAGCCCAACTTGACTAATATACTGCTGAAGGAAGGCCATCTGGCAAGGGAGCATTGAGGCAGAGAACGTAGTATCCAGCAAATCCTGGATAACCCTCATTGAACTAAAGAGGAATGATGGAGTTTCTACAGGCAGAGGGAGAAGCCACACACACCCAGCCAACTTTGCAGTCAGAAACCAGCTGAAACACTGCTATTAAAAGAAGAAATTTGGTCGGGCTCAGTGGCTCATGCCTGTAATCCTAGCACTTTGGGAGGCTGAGGTGGGCAGATCACTTGAGGTCGGGAGTTTGAGACCAGCCTGACCAACATGGAGAAACCCCATCTCTACAAAAAATACAAAATTAGCTGGGCGTGGTGATGCATGCCTATAATCCCAGCTACTCGGGAGGCTGAGGCAGGAGAATCGCTTGAACCCAGGAGGCAGAGGTTGCTTAGGCAATAAGAGCGAAACTCTGTTTCAAAAAGAAGAAGAAGAAGAAGAGGAAGAAGAAGAAGAAGAAGAAGAAGAAGAAGAAGAAGAAGAAGAAGAAGAAGAAGAAGAAGAAGAAGAAACTCTATTTTCAAACATGAATAGTGATTAACTCAGGCTCTGGAGTGAGACAAGTTGAGTTTGAACCTGAGCCCTGTTGCATGCTGGCAGAGTGACTATAGAAAACTTAATTGACCTCTTTGGGTCTCATTTCCTCAGCTGTCAAATGAGTCGTTGCTGCTACTTCCTAGCTCTGTAGAGTAAATGTGATAATCTACACAACGTGCATAGTCCAGTGCTCCACACATAGTAGTACTTGATAAGTGTCGGCTGCTACTGGTAATAATGTCATATTGTAAATAATAATTATTAATTAATAATAGTTTCATTCATATAACTTGCTTCACGTGCTTAAGCTAAAAAATAAGCCCACGCTTCCTGTGTTATTCAAGCTGAAACTGATCATAACCCTGTCTCTCCATCAGAAGATTGCCTTTCCTTCCTGGTGTCTACGCTCCCACATTGAACTGAAGAGGAATGATGGAGTTTCAACTTATAGTTGCAACCCTCCAAATGCTTATTCATATTAGATCCAGTCCCACTGGGGATTCTATCAGATGCAGGTGTGCCACCAGGAAGCTGGTGAGGCCCTAGCTGTCCTGGGTCCACCTTTGCCACGTTAGTTGCTGGAGCAATGAATCTCCACCTGACATTCTCAGCTCCGGCTCTAGTCAAAGTCACGGCACGTTTTTCTGCTCCTTCTTGGGAGGGCCTTCATGTCCTTTCTGCTCAAGTGACCTCACTGTACAACCTCAATTCTTTAGGTTTTTGAATAATCTAAAATCCAAAAGCATTGATCTAATAGCCTTTTCAACAAATGATGCTGGAAAACTGGACACCCACATGCAAGAAACTGAAACTAGTGAGAGGCCTCCCACTCTTCATAAAAAATTAACTCAAATTGGATCCTAGATCTCAATGTAAAATATAAAATTATAAAACTCCTGGAAGGTAACACAGAATAAAATCTAGATAACCTTGAGTATGGTGATGACTTTTTAGATACCACAATAAAAGCATGATCTGTGAAATAAGTAACAGATAAGCTGGCTTTCATTAAAATTAAAAACTTCTGCTCTGTGAAAGACAATGTCTAAAGAAAGAGAAGACAAGTCACAAACTGGGAGAAAATATTTGCAAGAGACACATCTGATAAAGGAATGTTATTCAAAATATACAAAGAACACTTAAAACTCAGCAATAAAAAAGCAAACAACCTGATTAAAAAATGGTCCAAAGACTTTAACAGACACCCCATCAAAGAAGATATACAGATGGCAAATAAGCACATACAAAAAGGCTCTGCATTATATGTCATCAGGGAAATGCAAATTGAAATGACAATGAGATGCCACTACATACCTATTAGAATGGCGGAAATCCAAAACACTGATAACACCAAATGCTGGTGAGGATGTGGAGTGACAGGAACTTTCATTCATTGCTGGTGGGAATGCAAAATAGTATAGCCACTTTGGAAGATGGTTTGGCAGTTTCTTACAAAACTAAACATACTCTTACCATGCGATCCAGCAACCACACTCCTTGGTTTTTAACTAAATGAATTGAAAACTTATGTCCACACAAAAACTTGCACACAAATGTTTGCAGCAGCTTTATTCAAAATTGACAAAACTTGGAAGCAACCAAGATGTCCTTCAGGAGGTGAATGGATAAATAAACTGGGGTACATCCAGACAGTGGAATATTATTCATCGCTAAAAAGAAATGAGCTATCAAGCCACAGAAAGACATGGAGTAACCTTAAATGCATACTACTAAGGGAGAGAAGCCAAACTGAAAAGGCTACATACTGTAGGATTCCAACTACATGACATTCTGGGAAAGGCGCAACTCTGGAGACAGTGAAAAGATCATTGGTTGCCAGGGGTTAGGGGAGGGGGAAGGATGACTAGGCAGAGCACAGAGGATTTTTAGGCCAGTGAAACTATTCAGTATGATATGGTAATGGTGGATACATATCATTATGTATTTATCAGAGCCCACAGAATGTACACCAAGAGTGAACCTTCATGTAGACTGTGGACTCTGGGTGAGAATGATGTGTCAATGTAGGTTCATTGATTGTAATGAATGCTTCACTGTGGTGAGGGATGTTGATAGTGGGAGGGTCTAAACATGTGTGGGGGCAGGGGGTATAGAGGAAGTCTCTGCACCTTTCTCTCAATTTTGTTGTGAACCTAAAATTTCTCTAAAAAAGTAAAGTCTTTAAAAAGCATTGATTTCCATTTGGATCTGCTGATCTGCTACACAAATTTACCCGTTCCTTCACCAGAGCCTTTGAGCTCCACAAACAAAAGGTATGGGATAGGGTGGCCTTTGACAAACCTTCAAAACTCCTTCCCCAGTGACAATGAGGTGCCTATTTGCTTTATATATCTTTATGTCTACAGGACTACATAAGTGGCCCTTTTCACAGCAAGGAGATCTGCTCCAATAATAATTCCACACTTTGTCAGATCAAGGATATTGCAGGTTGTAAAAGCAAATCACCCAGAAAAAAATGATTCCAGTTACCTATGACACATACTATTCTCTGAAAAACATCATGGTTTGAGGGATGGTAAAAATATGAGCTGAACTATTCAGAACAGCAAATACATGGAAGCAATCTAAATGCCCACCAATGGTGGACTGGATAAAGAAAATATGGTACATATATACCATGTAATACTATGCAGCTATGAAAAAGGATGAGATCATGTCCTTTGCAGTAACATGGAAGGAGCTGCAGGCCATTATTCTAAGTGAATTATTGCAGGAACAGAAAACCAAATACTACATATTCTCACGTATAAGTGAGAGCTAAATGTTGAGTACACATGGACACAATCAAGGGAACAATGGACACTGGGGCCTACCCGAGGGTGGAGGTTGGGAGGAGGGTGAGGACTGAAAAACTATCAAATACAATGCTTATTACCTGTGTGAGGAAATAATCTGTACACCAAATCCCCATGACACGCAATTTGCCTATAAACCAAACTTGTACATGTACCCCCAGACCTAAAATAAAAGTTGGAAAGAACAAAATCCCTGAAAGTTCTGTGGAGTTACAAAAAGGGGGCCCAATGAGCTGTAAGTCAACCGTGAGGAGGTTTTGAAAGTGCCTGTCACAATGCTGAATGTAAAGTGTGTGCGTAAGTTGTACTTATATACTTATCTGGATGCTTTGTAGACACCAGATTTTCTCTGCTCATTCATCAACAGGCAGTTAAATGTTCTTGATTTCCACTTAACACATTAATGTATTTTAGAAATTTAAATACTGGAATAAAATTCAAAATCAATGTCTAAAAAAATAGTCTGGGTGTGGTGGCTTATGCCTATAATCCCAGCACTTTGGGAGGCTGAGGCTTGTGGATCACTTGAGGCCAGGAGTTCGAGACCAGCCTGGGCAACATAGAGAGACCCTGTCTCTACAAAAAAAAAAAAAAAAAAAAAAAAGGTAGCTTGGCATGGTAGTTCATGCCTGTGGTTGCAGCTACTCAGGAGGCTGAGGTGAGATGATTGCCTGAGCCTGGGAAGTTGAGGCTATAGTGAGCTATAATTGTGCCATTGCACTGCAGCCTGAGTGACAGAGGGAGACCCTGTCTCCAAAACACAAAACAAAACAAAACAAAACAAACACCCTAAGACAAACCTATGTGCATCTCAGAATCAATGAAAACATTAGGTAATATTTCTTGGGGATCTATCATGTGCTGGGCACTTGTTCTAAGACTTAATTCTAAATAAGAATTAATCTATTTACTCCTCACATTAACTCTATGAAGTAGAAGCTATTACAGATGAGAAAAGTGAGGCACATATAGGTTTTACAACTTAATTTCATATGGTTAGGGAGTAGCTAGATTTGAACCCTGGCAGTTGTTGAATGCCGTTATTAGACATGAAGCAATAGCAATTTTTAAACAGCAACTTTCTTCTCTCTCTCTCTTTCACACACACACACACACACACACACACACACACAAACACACACAGGATTTAAAGTCCCAACTTACTGATTCCTCCAAATGCAATTATAATACCAACTTGTATTGAAGAACAAGAAATTGGGGTTGGAATGATTTAGTAAGTCCTCTTCAGGAAGGAATTTTGGTGCTAAAGTCCCTCCAGTGGGAAGGGGTGGTATACATACCCTTAGCACCATACATACCTTTAGCACCTAATAGAGAACAGATCACCCAGGAGACCACTTCGTTTAAAAAAGAAGTGTGGTTGGCCGGGCGCGGTGGCTCATGCCTGTAATCCCAGCACTTTGGGAGGCCGAGGTGGGCGGATCTCCTGAGGTCGGGAGTTCAAGACCAGCCTGACCAACATGGAGAAACCCCGTCTCTACTAAAAATACAAAATTAGCTGGGCATGGTGGCACATGCCTGTAATCCCAGCTACTAGGGAGGCTGAGGCAGGAGAATCACTTGAACCTGGGAGGCGGAGGTTGCGGTGAGCTGAGATAGCGTCATTGCACTGCAGCCTGGGCAACAAGAGCGAAACTCCGTCTCAAAAAAAAAAAAAAAAAAAAGTGTGGTTGAGCTCTTTGTTTCCCAGCTCTTTCCAATGGCTCTTCTTGGAGCGGGGGCCTGTTTATGCCCTGCAACATGGCTTTCTCATGATAATACTAGTAACATCCTCTCTCAGATGCTTTAGGAATATTCTCAGCTGTAAGTAACGGAAAAACCCAATTAAAAGCAGCTTCAACAAATAGGGCATTTTATATCTATCTATCTGTCTGTCTGTCTATCTATCTATCTGTCTGTCTGTCTATCTATCTATCTATCTGTATATATATGTCAGAACTAAGAGAAACAGCCTGTGTGTTTGACACACTGAGCCAGAGCTGGACTGCCTGCCTTTAGACACTCATCAGATGAGACAAAAATATATATATTATTTATAAATAGACATTATATAAATAGATATTTATTTAATAAATGTATAGTATAAATATAGATTTCTATTTGGTCTCACCTGATGAATGTCTGAAGGCAGGCATTCCAACTCTGGTGCAATGGCTCGGTGCTGTCAAACATGCGGGCTCTTTCTCTTAGTCCTGCCATCTTAGCTTGTTGACATGTTGCCTCTTGGTTTTCAAATGGATTTGACACCTCTGACCCTTATGTCCATGTTCTAGTAAGAAGAAAGGGGAAGGGCAAAAGAGCTTAGCTCTCCCAGGAGAATTCTTATAGCTTTTTAGCTAAAACTGGGTCACATGTGTAGACCTTCAGGCCAATTACTAACCAAAGGTAATGAGGTGACCACAATTATTTTGGACCTGTTATGATGCATCCCCTAAGACTGGGAAGGTGTCTCCTCTCCCCAAGATCAAGGGATCCCTGACTGCTGCCTGAGCAAGAGCAAAAGCAGGAAGTATGGATGGGTGATAGGTGGGGAGCCACCAGTGTCTGCTACATGTCTCCTTACCCTTTGCTCTCCTTCCCTAGCCCATCGCCTACTCTTCTCTACTTAGGCTCAGATAAAAAGGGGGGACCTGCATCCCCTACCATTGTATGGCCCTGAGGAACGTCAGTACTGGGAAGGGAGGGGCCGCCTCTGCTCCCCACACCATCTGTGAGCTTCTGACTTGCCTGCTGCGTCGTAGGCACTCAGTGAATACAGGAGTGCACAGATGAATGAACATTGGCCTGGAGCCCGCGTGTGTTGGCCAACCCCTCAGGAGCCACCAAGGGAAGATCAGGCCTCCTGTGGCCACTGGCCTGTGCAGGCAGTATGTGTGTGCGAGTGTGTGTGAGTGTGCATGTGTGCACGCTTGCAGCTCCTCCCTGCTTCAGACTGAATTACTTATAAACAGGCCTGTGCCAACCCTGGCAGTGTCTGCATTTCAACACAACAGTTCCCGCAATTTCTTGAATTCTTTTGATTTGGCAAAATCCAAAAATAAAACAAAACCCCACCATCTTCCGCTCAGCATGCCTCTGGAGCCCAGTGCCCTGCTTGAGCAATGGGTTCCGGATGTTTGGGATGTCTCCCCAGAGCTGGCCAATTCGCCTTTCCTCCTCCACATGTTCCTGCCCTGGATCCCAGCCTCCGTCCTGGCCTCTCTCCGGAGCTCCATGTGCAGGACCAGGACTTGGAGCTTTGAGGGCTCCCTGGGCCCCTATTCCTTGTGGGCACTATTCCATTACGCATCCTGAGTGTCTCTATCTGGGACATCTGTTGACGTAAGTCTCTCGACAAAGGAATTGAGAACATTTTTCCCTTTGTCTTCAAGAATCCCACTGGCCCTGAAATGGAGGCTGCTGAAATCTCTCCAGCCTCTGGACTCAGGAAGCGGTGTGTGGTTGGGTAATTTCATGTACCTTAATTCCTAGACACCAGGATGTGCAAACCACCTTTTATTATTATCTCACCCATGTCCAGGATTGTATACAAATGGATTTGTGAGCTCCTTATCTATCTAATTAGTGGGTTAGATTAGAGTTTTCCCACAATTGTGAGTAGGTGGAATAGCAGGTGCTGTGATACTTAATATAACTGAGGAAACTGAGGCTCTGAGAGGTTAAGGGAAAGATTCAAGGTCACACAATAAGACAGGAGCAGAACCAAAGCTTAACTGAATTTTTGTCTGACGAGCTTTCTGGTATACCACCTTACCTTTCAAGTTAGCTTCCTCGTCAATCCCCAGTGCAGCTAGGAACAGAATCCAGCCTCTCTCCAGGAAGATTCCTCTCGTCTTCCAGCCCCTAAAATGTTGGTCAGGCAGGGCATGTCCTCCAGCCTGTGCCACGGTGGCGGATGTCATGTGGACGGGCCCCTATGACAAAAAGCATCTGGAACTTGGAGCCTGGCACAGTCAGTGACCTGGAAATCCCTTCTGAAACTCCCCCCTGCCACATCACCTGCCCAGCCCATGCCTCCTCTGTGTCTATGTTAATTAAAGCAATCCCTTTCTCAATGTCCATTCCCCTGTCCCAACCCCAAATGCATGGGCAAACAGCAAGTTCAGCACTCTACTGCTAGAAAGGAAAGAGCACAAGCCTGGGAGTTGAGAGGCAGGGGTCAAGGCTGACCTGACATGGCCACTCACTAGATGTGGGACTTTCTCACATCCTTTACTCCTTTAGGACCTCAACTTTCTCCTCTGTGAAATGGGTGGGTAGGGGTGTGTTGGATTAGTTGGCCTCTCGGCTTTCTTTTCTTTTTCTTTCTTTCTTTCTTTCTTTCTTTCTTTCTTTCTTTCTTTCTTTCTTTCTTTCTTTCTTTCTTTCTTCTTTCTTTCTTTCTTTCTTTCTTTCTTTCTTTCTTTCTTTCTTTCTTTCTTCCTTTCTTTCCTTTTTTTTTTTTTGAGACAGGGTTTCACTCTGTTGCACAGACTGGAGTGCAGTGGCTCGATCTTGGCTCACTGCAACTTCTGCCTCCTGGGTTCAAGCGATTCTCTTGCCTCAGCCTCCTAGGTAGTTGGGACTACAAGCGTGTGCCACCACGCCTGGCTAATTTTTTGCATTTTTAGTAGAGACAGGGTTTCACTATGTTGGCCAGTCTGATCTCGAACTCCTGACCTCAGGTGATCCGCCTGCCTGCCTCAGCCTCCCAAAGTGCTGGGATTACAGGTGTGAATCACGGTGCCCGGCCTCTTTTCTATCAGTATTATACTATAGTGTGTCTTTGTGGTGCTATTTAGCATAGAAATGCACAGACATACATGGAACCAGGAAGAGAATATTATCTATGCTGTTTGTTTCCATGTAGTTTGAAAACCTGGAAATATGGAAGGAGTTTATTAGGTGCAACCTGTGTGTATGAACCACAGCATTGTTAGAGAGAGTGGACACTAAGAAAGTGAACAGTTACGAACTGCTTTGTATGTGCTGGGCACATCATATCTAATCCTCATTATAACCTCACATGGTGGAACCTGAACCTGGCTCCCTTGTTCTTTCTGTAACTTCACACGGCCATGTATTAATGGTATCTTCTATTTACTGAGCATTTACTGTGTTTCAGAGCCTACTCCAAGTAATTTTTTTTTTTTTTTTTTTTTTGAGATGGAGTCTCGCTCTGTCTCTCAGGCTGGAGTGCAGTGGCGCGATCTTGGCTCACTGCGACCTCCACCTCCTGGGTTCAAGTGATTCTTGTGCCTCAGCCTCCTGAGTAGCTGGGATTACAGGTGTATGCCACCATGCCTGGCCAATTTTTGTATTTTTTTTAGTAGAGATGGGGTTTCGCCACACTGGCCAGGCTGGTCTCAAACTCCTGGCCTCAAGTGATCTGCCCGCCTTGGCCTCTCAAAGTGCTGGGATTACAGGCATAAGCCACCATGCCCAGCCCTACTCCAAGTAATTTAAATACAGTATTTTATTGAATCCTCACAATAATCCTGAAAAGGTGAGGATTATCCCTTTTATGGATGTGGAAATGGAGGCACAGAGAAAGGAAGTCACTTGCCTAGGGTCACAGGGCTAAGGAGTGTCAGAGCCTGATTCTCACCCAGTTCTGCTTGATTGCAACACCCGTGTTCTTAACCACTGGACTACCTTACCTCCACTCTGCTGTAGGGACAGCTGACAACCCTCAGCAGGGTGTCTGCTATGTACTTCCTACTATGTCTACTATGTACTTGCTACTTGCTACTATGTCTACTATGTACTTGCTACTTGCTGCTGCATCTACTATGTACTTGTCTACCTTGTACTACTATGTCTACTATGTACTTGTCTGCTATGTACTCTACTATGTCTACTATATACTTGTCTACTATGTACTACTATGTCTACTATGTACTACTATGTCTACTATGTACTTGTCTACTGTGTACCACTATGTACTTGGAGGGAGGTGTACAAACAATCTGTGAACATTTAAAAACAAGCACCATCCACCCTCTGTCCACTAATGATTTATATTCCCCCCACATGCAAAATACACTCACTCATCTCCCAAGGACACCCAAATATCATTTCATCACAGCATCAGAGCGAGTTCCAACATTTTTCATCTAATTTAGGAGCTGATGAGATGCCTCAGGTGTAATTCCTTAAATTCAGCTCTTTAAGGAAGACCTGTGAACACACACACTTAAAATGTAATGATGGAATGGGCATAGGATAATCACTATAGACATTTATGTTCAAAAATGTGGAAAATGGGAGGCATAAAAGTCACCAGTCCATAGAATGTCTGAAATACACTTAGAAAAATGTTGGAAGTTCTCTGATTAAGACTTGATTTACTCCTGACTGGAAATAACTTTTCATGGCTCTTTGCCTTGCCATCTGGGGTCTTAGTTTGCCCTCTGAGTCCCTTTTCCTTTTCCATGAGAAGTAGTCTTGTCTACGACTGTGTAGTTTTCTCAGCTTATTTCACACCAGGTTTTATTTGTAGGAGGTGGTGGGGTTGGGGGAGGAAGGTTCAAAGTTGTTTTCCATTTTGTACTGTTACTGTCTAAGCCAGTGGTGTTTCTGCAAATATAATTTTCTTAAAAAGTTTGTGAGTCTCTTCTGAAACATGTTGGAGTCATTCCATTAAACAAAAGTCATACCTAGAAATGTCTTTGAGGTAAACTCATGGTCTTCTGCTAAAATGGCTGAGGGACATTAAGCTTCTTAGAATCTCTATTATTTGAGAGTATCTGTGAGGTACACACACATTTTTTAGAGGTGTTTTGTCTGATTGAATAGTACTCTGAAATATTACCTTAGAGCCTTCCGAGGTCTTAACAAAGGGCTTTAACTGCTAGACTCTTGGCTTCATCTTCTGACCATTTTTTCCTGCAGTGTCCTGAAAGTGATCATGGATGGAAGACATTTCTTTTTATTTATTTTTTCCTTCAATATATTACCAAGTTAGGAAGCCTTTTTTTTTTTTTTTTTTTTTTTTTTTTGGAGGCAGAGTCTTGCTCTTGTTGCCCAGGCTGGAGTGCAATGGCATGACCTTGGCTCACTGCAACCTCTGCCTCCAGGGTTCAAGCCATTCTCCTGCCTCAGCATCCCGGGTAGCTGGGATTACAGGCGCCCACCACCATGCCTGGCTAATTTTTGTATTTTTAGTAGAGACAGGGTTTCGCCATGTTGGCCAGGCTGGTCTCAAACTCCTGACCTTGTGATGCACCTGCCTTGGCCTCCCAAAGTGCTGGGATTATAGGTGTGAGCCACCGCACCTGCCCAGGAAGTCATTTCTTAATTTTAGCTTTGATTGCCATCTTGGGAGGTTGAAAAATTTTAAGACTATCAAGTGCTGGCACCTCCATGTGTAGCAGTCCTTCTTTTAGCTTATCTGTCTCCCCTCACATTTTACTCTAAGCAGCAAGAAACCAGGTGGCACCTTTAACACATAGCTTAGTAATCTCTTTAGCTAGATCCAGTTCATTAAGTACAGGTGACAGTGTTGCTAAACTTTTTGCCACAATACAACAAGGACCCTCCTTTCTTCTACTTTCCAGTAAGTTTTTCCTCAATTTCCTTTATGCTCTCATCTGAAGCCTCCTCAAAGATAATCATGCATCCACCAGCAGTTTTGTTGAAGCTCTTCAGGCCTTCGCTAACACTGTCCTCGATATCCTTCTATTTTCTGCTTATTGCTTGGTTCTAAAGCCACGCCTACATTTCTAGATATTACTTTTGACAGCACCTCACTTCTGGTACCAAAATCTGTATCTATTGATGCATAACAAATTGCCCCCCCTGCCCCTAAACCCACATTTTAATCTCACCAGTTAAGGGCCAAGGAATCCAAAAATAGCTTAGTGGGAGGGTTCTGACTCAGGGTCTCTCATGAGGTTGCAGTCAAGATGTTGGCCAGGCCTGGAGGAACCACTTCCACAATGGCTCATTCACATGGCTGTTGGCTAGAGGACTCAGTTCCTAAAGGGCTACTGGCAGGAGGCCTCAGTTTCTCACCACATGGACTTCTTTACAGAGTTCCAAATGCGTCCTTTTAACATGGCAGCTGACTTCACCCAGAGTGAGTGGGTCAGGGAGAGCAAATATGAAGCTTCAGCACCTTTTGGTTTTGGAAATGACAAACCATAACTTCTGCTATGTCCCATTGGTCACACAGACTAACCCTGATACAGTGTGAGAGGGGACTACTCAAAAGTGTGATTATCAGGAGATGGGGGATCACTGGGATCTATCTTGAGGCTGCCTACCATTGACCTCCATTGATTCATCTTTCTGGGTATGGAAAATACTGTTGTGAGCTGGATTACAAGGGGAAGGAGAGGGAGATTGATTTTTTTATGCTTTGTGACAAGAGCCCTGCTTTCATGCAGAATTTCAGCAACATTTTTTTTTAAATTTTTTATTCAAAGCCTATCATTTCCTAGGATCTAGGCATGAGCCTATGAGGGAGGCTGGCAAGGAGACAAATCCAAGAGGCAGATGCTATTCTACAGTCAGAGCCACACTTCCTCCGAGCATAAGGATTTGTTTAGGTCCTGCTCCTCTGTCCAACTTCCTGTTCTTGTTGGGTGAGTTATTTCTTAGGAGTCCCCCTCAGCTTTGGATGTGAATAAGTAAACTCCAGGTAGGACTCTAGAGCATCCTGGATGCATGTTTGAGTCCTAGCTACAGACACAACTTAGGCACCAGCTGGGACTTTGTTAAAAAGGTCAAGAATCAGGATAGTATAAGAATGTGACCTAGGGGAGAAAAAGAAGCAGAATCCACCCTAAACATGCACTGTGTAGGCACACAGTCCCTCAGTTGAAAGGGGGCTTTGGGGTACATTTCTTGGGTAGAGAAGCCATGATGTCTCCAGGTGGTCAACTAGAATCCACTCTGGCAGCAAACAAAAGGTGTGATAAAATAATCTGGACTTCTCAATAGGTATAGTGACTTCCTGCATTTGTATCAATCCTTGGGTCCTCATTCCTTTTGTGGCCTTCTGCTTCGAACTTAAGATTTCTGATTTTTTCTTTTCTTTTCTTCTTCTTCTTTTTTTCTTTTTTTTTTTTTTTGAGACAGGGTCTTGCTCTGTTGCCTGGGCTGGAGTGCAGTGGTGTGATCATAGCTCATTGCAGCCTCGACCTCCTGGGCTCAAGCAATGCTCCATCTCAGCCTCAGGTCCAAGTAGCTTGGGCCACAGGTGTGTGCCACAACACCTGGCTAATTTTTAAAAATTTGTTGTAGAGACAGGGTCTCATTATGTTGCTCAGGCTGGTCTTGAACTCCTGGGCTCAAGCCATCCTTCTGCCTTGGACTCCCGAAGTGTTGGGATTACAGGTGTGAGTCATTGCACCTGGCCAAGATTCCTGATTTATTTCCTAGTCCAATGACCCCCTTCTGGAATGACCCTGGGTACCCTCTGTGAATGAATACAATCATTATTGACCTAGTGGCCCACTTCTGGTGCCATTTTTTGGATCTTGACATAATTTTTCCCTGTACCATGGTGAAATCTGATTACACCCTCAGTCTGGCCTCAGACTGCCTCTCTACCCGGGCCTGTTACACCAGGGTATAGTATTAAAGAGGGTAGTTCTAGATGTTTTGAAGAAATCTCAACTCAAGACTCACCCACCATCATGCTAACAGGCATAAGCTAGTGGAAGGAGCCCCCTCGCTCCAGGGAGGGACAGATGTATTACGGGAATGAGCACTCTCCTCCTGAGAGGCAATGTGGAATTTTCTGTGGGTAGAGCTGCAGCAACTTCACTGGAAAGTATTCTGTCTTTAATGTGTGCACCAGGCATGTTGAATAACCTGCCAAGAGTCATCTTGAAGACCTACCAGTCGCTACCTGCTTTTGGTGAGTTCCCTGAAGTCACTGGTGCAGTGAGCAGAGGTCTACACGACCATGACTATTTGGATGTTTTAATACTGTAGATTAAAAAACAGGACAACTTGAAGGCATATTCATCTCTATTTCTCTCTTCTTTTCTCTCCTGAAATTGGTGCTTTCAATTGCAAAGAAACAGAGACCTTTACAAAAAAATGAAATAAAATAGCGTTTGGTATCTGGGACCATGCTTATGGTAACAAGAGTGCCTGTTATAAAAACAACAACATATATGAGAGGAAACTTGCCTATCTGATCAAAACTCTTTAAACTAAGAAAAAAAAGCTAAGATAAAAGGTATGAATGATATGAATGAATGAAAACTTTCTGACGTCTTGAACCAGAAGTCCTCTTAAGAAAGGAACTGTTTTGATCAGGAAAATCCCTCGATAAGCAGTTTGCAATTGAAGGTAGGGTGCAGTAGAAATAATCTAGCATGCTTCAAGGGAAAAAAAGAATCAGCTAAAACCTCTGTATGTTAATAAAAAACAGGAATTTGCAGCAAGTGGAAGAGAGTGGGGATGAGAGCAGAAGGTAGACAGAGGACAGTACAACATTATGGCAGGGTAGATGAAGGACTTTTGAAATGAAGATGCTTCACGTTCATATGTAGTTGTTTTTCTGTTGTGCTTAGAAATACCTCGCGTGAGTATTTTCGTGTAGAAAATAAGTATAAGAACTTGGCTTTAAACGTGGGTCAATGTGATGAAGTAAGAGAAAGTGTAAACAAGATAGAGAGATGATCCATAAGCTGAATGCATGAGGCATAGCAAAACCTCTGAGCCAGGCTCTCCAGCAAAGGTAACAGTGAAACAGAGGTGTTCGGGAGTCTGCACAAGGCAAACTTGACATGTAACATGAAGAAGCAAGTATGATTTCAGAGAATTGGACATGTGCTGGGATCATGCTCATCTGGCAATGGAAGGAAGGAGTGGACGGTTTAAAAGGCAACCAGTCTGGGCAACAAAGCGAGACCCTGTTTCTACAAAAAATAAAACAAATAGCCTGGCATGGTGATGCACCTTTGGTCCTAGCTACACAAGAAGCTGAAGCAGGAGCATCACTTGAGCCCAGGAGGTCAAGGCTGTAGTGAGCCATGTTTGTGCCACTGCACTCTGGCCTGGGCGGCAGAGCAAGACTCTGTCTCAAAAAATATATATAAAATAAAATAAAAGAGAGTTCTAATAAACTCTAATAACTCAGTAGCTGGGATTACAGGCACACACCACCACATGCGTCTAATTTTTGTATTTTTAGTAGAGACAGGGTTTCACCATATTGGCCAGGCAGGTCTCAAGATCCTAACCACAGATGATCCACCTGCCTCTGCCTCCCAAAGTGCTGGGATTACAGGCATGAGCCACTGCATCCAGTCGGGCCTGATTTTTTAATGTGTCAACATTCCTCCCCCATGTCTGAGATGCAGTGATCCCAGAAGATCACTGTGGTTCCATTCTCCTCATCATGGATTGGCTTAAGGATGGGCATGAGACTTACTTCTGACCAAAGAGATAGGGGAATTGTCCGCCTGCCTGGGTTTCTGAAAATGTGTCCTTTCTTCTAAGTAGAAGACACATGAAACCAGAAGTCCTTTTATTGCTGGACGTTGTTGTATTTGCATGGCGTAGGTGGAGCTGTAAAAACTGTTTTGAGAATATGAGGGAATTCAACTGACAATTGACCACCTGAGGATGGTGGAACAAAAGGGTAGAGAAGTATACTTGGAGATGCAATCCACCTACTGAAGTAATCAATCTTGAAGCCCCTCTTCCTAGCCCCTCTCATTTCATGAGACAACCAATTTTCCTTATACTTTAAGCCAGTTGAGCCTAGGGTTTCTGCTCTTTGCAGCCCAAGGTGTCTTGGCTGGCTCAGAGCTCAAGAAAGCTGAGGAGATCAGATAGGAAGAGGGCAAGAAGCTGATTTAATTGGGTCTCAGGAACTGGCCTGATGACTCACATCTCGAGGTGTGGAAAGAACTTTCCGGTGGGGCTGGGGAGCCACAGTCAGTAACTTTTAAGTAATTGTGGAGAATAGAAGGTGGTGCCAGAATCAGGAACTGGTCAGAGATTATCCTGATTTTCATAAAAAGAAAAGAAATTGTTTCTGGAAACTTTAGACAAGTAGATTTGAGGTAGGTGACAACAGAGAAGCAGGATGCATTAAAAAGCAGATGGTGAGTGAGCATTTAGGAAGGAATGCAGTGGTCAGTTGAAAGCAACATGACTTCATTGAGCACAAGTTATTCCAAAGTAACCTCATTTCCTTTTTTGATAAAGTTACTATGTTTGTGAATCAGGTGTCTGCCATAAACATTGCAGGTCTTGATTTCAGCTTAGGGTTAACAGTTTCTCTCATGGTTTCCTTGTGGTTAAGATGGTGAAATGTGGGTTGGATGAGAGCAGTGGTTTTGTGTATTTGCAGCTGTCTCAACAGCTGAATCCAAAGAGTGTTGAGTATTGAATGGATGTCACAGACCAGGTGCTGAGCCCCATCAGGGTGGTAGGGAGAGAAGTCACACATTGGCCTGGGCCAAGGGCTTGGCTGGGAGCGAAAGTCTGACACTCTGGGTGAAATAGTCTAGAAATGGGCAGGACTAGTGCCAGCAAACCCCAGACCTGTCACCCAGGGACCAAGGGTTAAGCAGCGTGGATCAGGTGGACACAGGATGGGGGTAGAAGTGAGAAAGATCATGGAGAAGACCTAGAGAGGAGGATGCAGACAAAGACATGGATTTCAGGAGGGAGGAAGAGGAAGGCGGGATCAGAGGGAAGTCAAAGGAAGTCATAGGAGTGGGTGTGCATAGAGTCCTGCTCCAGGTTCCTGCTCCTTGCTTCTTGAAGGTGCATGGGTCCAACTCATGACAATGGATATCAACCTTCAAGGAGGTTTCTTACAAAGTGCCAGCAGCTCTAACCTTGATCCTGTCTGATTTATCATTAGATGAAAATTCAGGAGGCAAACTGATCAAAGGTGTAGATGTCACACATCTGAGAGGGAGAGTTAATACCAGAGGTGACAGAATGAGGGCCCAGAGTGGTCCTGACAGGTTGGAATGTTGGGTCAAAAACAATAAGACACAACTGAACAGGCCTGAATGGAAAGTCTGGCATTTACATGCAAAAAACAAGCGACAAAAAAACCAGAGGAGGGCTCATCGCCTTGGCAGGAAATCACGTGAAAAATATCTGAGGCTTTTCCATGACCACCAGCTCAGAATAAGCCAAGAGTGTGATATGATTGCTAACAATCCAATGCAACAAGAGACAGAAGTATTCAGAGAAATCTTCTGTACTCATGGGAAGGAGTGTTCTCATTATATTTTTAGTCAGATGATATCTGGAGTATCATATTCAATTTGGGGCATCAGATTTTGGGAATGGCATTGATGAATCAGAGTGTGCTCAGAGATAGACTGCTTAAGATGAAGAAAGTTCAAGAAATTATGTGGTGTGAGGAGAGGCTGAAGGATCAGAGAACATTCTGCCTGGAAATGCAAACAGGATTTGTGAGAGAGATGCATGCCATTGAGGAAGAAGCTGAGGTAGAACTAAAACCAAAGGGTGCAAGATATAGGGAATACACCTTCCTGTAAATAAAGACAACCTTTCTGATCATTATAATCAAGAGAAATAGTGTCAGTTGTATACCACTTACAAGTGTCAAAAGCAGGAGCCCATTTGTAAGGTGAGCTATTATTTCCATGCTATGGATCCAGGTAATTGGAACGATCAAGAAATTGCATCCTGCTGTATCTTCAGCACCTAGACCATGACCTGGTAAATACTTGTTGAATGAGTGAGATATCACAGACATTGAATGCCTTCCCCAAGATTGCACAAATGGATTCTCAGGGTTTCTGCCTTTCTGGCTCCACTGCATGCCTTGGAGCAACTCTCAGATGCCCCAGGCTGTCTTGGGGGGTTGAGGTGTCTTGTCTTCAGAGACCACGTGGACATCTGCCGGCATGTATTAGAGAGCTTCCTGGCATAGGGTGGCGGGGGTAGGGGGAACCAGAGTATCTAAAAAACCCTTCCAACTCAGAGGCTTCCCCCAGAATATTCCTAATCTAAGGAACTCTTAGTTGCTGCTTATGAACCCAGGAAGGGTGTGGAATCCGTCTTCACACAGACCCAGCCAGCGGCTGTGGTTGATGCTATCTTCCCCTGGAATCTCTTCAGTGCTCTCCCTCTAGATCCCTATCTGGGTGTGGGTGTGTGTATGTAGTGCTTCTAAATCCAGACACATAGGGTAAAATTTATACATACAAGTTACCAAGAAAGACAGAATTTCAGCTTACTGGGCTGCCTGATGCATGCTTTTGATTTGTCTTTGTTGCCAACCTCTGTAAAAAGTGTAAGTCTTCATATCTGCTTTGTTAAAGGCGAAAACTCCTTTTCTCCAGAACATGGATTCTACAGAGTTGAGGCCATGATCATCTTAAGTGAATTCAAATATATATTCTTTTTACACTGACCTCCAGGATGGGCCAAGGAAAGTGTTTTTCCCTCTTATAGCAAAAGTATAAATTATGATACACCTAGAAAGTCCTCACCCCTTTAATTGTGATGGGGATGAGGTGATCAGACCGAGGGTCATAAAATCGACAATGTCAGCCTATGTTTGCATCAAGTTCTTCTTTCTCCTCCAGGAGAAGTGCAAAAGAAGTCTCCAGTGAATGGAGGGTCCCAGTGGACCACCTTCCAATCCGCAGAGGCTTGGCTGCCTGTCCTGCAGCCGCGTGTATTACTAAGTGGTGTCCAAAATCTCCACTAGGTGGAGAAAAAGAGCGGTTACGAAACGTACAAAGCCCCAAATCAAAAACACAGTCCAAAGAGTAAAATCCAATTCTAAATGGAACTCGAAAACTTGAGAAGTAATTTAAAGGAACCACATTAAATACTAGAATGTTTAATGGGGCCCATGTGTCCTGAGCAGAGAAAGAGAGTGCGAGAAATGGAACAGAGGAAATCAGGGAGACAATATGTCTGTGCGACTTGTTCTAATTAGGGGCACAGCGCTGCTGAGGATCATTCATTATAATTTGGTTAAATCTTCAGTATGGCCAAGGCACCTCTGCTGAGTGGTGTAAAACAAAGGGCTCCGTCGTAAACGGGGTGAGCGTCTCTCCGTTGGAGGTTAACGCCAGTCACTCGGGAGGGCCCAGGGCTGTACATCACTCTCCTGCCAGCTCTTCTTTATGACTCCAACGCTGGGCTCCAGCTAGCAGATGTCTGCAAATTTCGGGGAGGAGGGGGGAGGGGAGCCGGGGGAGGGAGGGGGCCCCCGGCGCTCATTGTCTCCAACTTGTCTGTCGCTTAATTCAGTATCTCTGTCTGCCGCTGGAGCGGGATAGGAAGAGTTCAAAGGAGGAAATCAAAACAATCCATAGATCAGAGCTTGGGAGTGATCGGTGTGGCACCCAGAAATCACCGGCACTCCTCCGGCTCCGCTTTGAAATGTGGACGCCAGCGATGATTTAGTGCGCCGCGCCGGCGCTCGCACCAGCAGCACGTGGAGCGCTTCCTGGGGGGTTATTTTTTTAGAAAGGAGAAGGTAGCCAGAGGCTTGGGGGGTGGGGGGTGTGGTGGTGTGGGTCAGGTTCAGGTTTGTCCCAGGCTAGAGGCGGTGTTTTTAGCTCAGAGCTAACCGTGAGGTGTGCGTGATAAGAAATATCTGAGGTGGAGTTGAATTCCCCCCTGCGCTGCCCTCAGTGCGCACACAGTGCAGCTCAGTCGGGTTTTGAACACTGCAGCTCAGTTCCTTTGGCATGGGTGCTTCACCCAGGCCTCCTACCAAGCTCTCCAGCTTGGGAAGGTGCCGTTGTCTGGTTTATGCTGTTGCCTTCTATCCCACCCCCAGCCAACCAGCTGCTTTGCTGTGACACAGACAGGGCCTCTGCCAGCCTACGGGGTATCCTTAAGTACAACGTGCCCCCTCTGGAAATAAGGGCAGAGCTTGGCCAGGCTGATAGTGCCTTTCTTGAGCTGACACAGCCTTGAGTCAGGCACATGGCTTGTCAATTAAAACGCAGGTTGGATTTCTACCCCTGCTTAACCTTGCCACTAGGTATCTTTGTGCAAAACACAGACTACCCATCCTTAGGCATCTGTCCTGGGGATGGGCAGACTACTAGGCTAGGGCATTTTCCCAGTTACACTTGTGGGTTTGAGCCCCAGACTGATTGTACAAACAAATATTCCCGGCTGTTAGATCTTATGCTGGTTATTGACTGGGCCTGTTTCATTGGATGAGGAGGAGCTGCATTTCCTGGCTTCACCTCCACACCTAGGTGGTCTACCTGCAACTGGATGCTATTGATCAGGTTGAGGAGGAGGGAGAGAATAGATGAGTCAGAGTGACCTGTTCTGTGACTAGTGAAAAGCAGAGGTGCAATAACTTCTAAAGGTAGAATAAATGCTTCAATCCATGTTTCCACCTCCCCAGTTGGGCTAGATACCCTTGTTCTGTGATGTGTATTTGTCCATTCACTTGTTTGACTTCCCCCTCTTAGACTTAACTGTGTAGTCCCTGTTCACTTTTAGGTCCCGATACCCTTTGAGGTGCCAGATTCAATAAGTCCTTGCCTCTTCATATGCGAAGAAAGTACTTTCTACTCTCTTGGCTCTTATTTAGCTGAGTAATTGTAATTTAATTTATTGATCATTTATTGAGCACCTGTGATGCTGGCACTGTGCTATGTGCTAGGAACATAAAGATGATTAAAATTGGTACCTGACCCTAAAGAATTTATACTCAACGGTAAAGTAAGGAGAGAGCTATCTGGGGAGAACTGACAAGTACCCTGCTAAGTTGCAATGTGTAAGCCTAAGAATGCTTATGCACTAGCTACAGTGGGGTCCTAAACAAGGGAGTGATCCAGTTTGAGACAGCCCTAGCGGTAGCCCTGAAGGGGCTCTGGAATTGTCTTATCCAGAGTTCAAGCATGGAGAGGTGTCCTGCTTGGAAAATTGCATGCAGCAACCAGACCTATACTATACTATCCCAAATACTTGGATAGGACAAACTTGGTCGCTTTCTCTGAAGACTCTTAGAAGAGAGGTTCTTCTCTGCTAACCAAATCCAGAAAGCCACCCTGTGGCAGCACCAGGACATAAACCACTGGGTGCCAGACTAGCTAGAAAGGCTGATTCATAGCTATCTTTGGACAAGAACAGCATAAGTGTTTCTCTATTACCCCAGTTGAGATTGTCAACATAAAGACCTGAACTGCCCTGACTTCCACCTCTAAGGTCTACAATTGGTCCAGTCTTGGGCTTCTGATGAATGAGTGAACATGGGAAGAAAGGAATGAATAAACAGTGCATGCATCTGTAAAAATTGCATGCATAACTACAGAGGAGATGAGGAGCAGAGGACTGGGGGTGAAGAGTTCTGTGCTCAAGTTCTGCCTCTGTCTCCCTGACTTTGATCAAGTCATCTCATGCCTTTGAATCTGTTTCTCTTCTGCAAAGGGAAGGGGTTTAAAGAGATAAGCATGAATTAAACAGGGAAGTTGACACAGATGAGGTGGGCACTATCTGTGTTTTGCTTGGAAACCTTCTGGCTGTGGTTAGTGAGGGCAGCATATTGTGGAGGTTCTGGTAACCCAAACCATCCCCCCAGCATATACACATCTCATCAGAGCCTTTACTGATTGACATGCTGGCTGCAAGTCATCATGAGCAGCCCTCACTTTGTCTGACTTAATTTGTCTCTCCTTAGGGGACAGGGATTCAACCACATAGTCTTCTAATATTTATTCAACATCTACGGTATACTAGCCACAATGCTGAGTGTGAAGGAAACAAAGTTGAGAAAGATGTGGTCTCTCACCTGTACAAACCCACAGACCAGAGAATGTGACAGATAACAGATAAGCAAGAACTTTCACACATTTGCATTTTATTTGCTGCATCTAATTATAAATTTCTCAAGGATAGATAGGGATTAGGAGTGTTGAGAGCACCAACTCCAAGGTCAGGTTATCTGGATTCATACCCCAACATCATCTTTTGTTGCTGAATGAGCTTGGGCAATACACTTTTATCTCTGGAAGTCCTGATTCCTTTAGTCATAAGTTGAGGCTGATAATAATGTTTTCCTCAAAGGACTGATGTAAACATTAAATGAGATAATGCATGAAAGATACCTAGTATGCAGTAGACACTCAATAAATGTTAGCAAATATTATTTTTTGGTTTCCTTGATGCCTTTTTTGCAGCAACTTTAAAGATTCTCTGCAATTAAATGTTAAAGGGATGATTTCTTGATGGTTTCAGAAGTAAAGATTAGTTCATAAGGGCACCAAGATTCCTGTAATTCTTATAGCATGTATAAATTATACTGCACAATCTAGCTCCATAATTACATAGTAATTCATTCTACAAACACTCTGCACCTACTCAGTGCCAGGCCCTGTGCTAAATGATGAAGATAAATAAGAAGGGAAAACCTCAAAACATGTGGTTCCTTGCCATTAAGGAACTCAAAGTTCAGAAGGTGAGGCAGATGAGCAAGAAGATGTAATGTCCTGTAGTACCCGCTGTGATGGAGATCCATGTCGTAATGATGGGGACATCAAGAAGGAGTGACCGACCTGCTGGGGTGGCCAGAGGGGGATTCCTAGTGCAGGAGCTGCTGAGCTGCATCCTGAAGACTGAAGAGGGGTTTGGGTTGTTTTATGCCCTGACTCATCAATAGACTTGGAAGCTGCGATGTCTCATGTCAGTCTCCTAGCTATACCTGGCATGAGGCAGTGCATGGTAGTGCAAAGACCCAGGAGAGCTGGATTCAACCTTGAGCTCTTAGAGTGACTTGCTCCATAGCTTTGAGCAAATTATTTATCCTCTCTGGACTGGAGGTAGCTTGTTGATCCAGTTGGCAGGAGCCTCTCAGATTGAATTCTTTCATTTTATATCCAAGAAATATTGGATATTAAATATTGTTAAGTACCTACTGTATGTGAGATATGATTAAGTACCAAGGAATCAAAAGAGCTTGTTACCATTAGGGGTGGCTAGAACTTAATCCCATGGTGGAGAGAGAGAGAGAGAGAGAAGGAAGAAGAGGAAGAAGAAGAAGAGAAGAAGAAGAGGAGGAGGAGGAGGAAGAAGAAGAAGAAGAGGAGGAGGAGGAGAACAAGAATGAGAACAAGAACAAGAACAAGAAGAACAAGAACGAGAACAAGAACAAGAACAGGAACAACAAGAAGAGGAGAAAGTTAGAATTGCCTGTCTCTGGGCAGAGGAAGAGTACAGTTTTTGCTCTTGATGCAGCCTGTTGTACCCCATGATATTACTGCAGGTATGGAGAAAGATCTTCCACTTTTTCTTTGTCACCTGAGACATGTGGTTCCTGAATGTACTTGTGATCTTCAATGACTCATAAGAAAAATGAAGGGTGCATATATCAGTTTACCCACTGAGCCAAAGGTCTGTGAGACTGTCTCATTTTCTTCCTTTCAGAGCTTGGAGGAAAAGATCAGATTTACTGGCAATTTCTCTGGGTTGCTCCAGGATGGATGGGTTACTATGGGTGTGGTGGTGAAAACCCCAGGCAATTACACATAAAGAAATGCCCCCAACAAGTGTCCCCAAAATTCCCTGTCAGTAGATTTTGTGGGTAAGAAGTACAGGTCCTCAGGCCATTTTCTGGGACTGAATCCCTGTGTTAACACTTAGTCACTGCGTGACCTTCAGCAAGTTACTTAACTTCTCTAAACCTCAGTTTGTTCTTATCTGTAAGAATCAGGGGCTTACTGTTGAGTATTAAAGGAGATAATCCATATCATATACCTGGCATCTAGGATATATAAATGTTAGCAACTAGCATCCTGGCAAGGTTGAGGCTCAGCATGAGCTCTTCACAAAAGGATTGTCATTACATCCAGCCTTCAGATGGGTACACTGAGGCCTTAGAATTGTCAAGGAATGTGACAGAACATCTGAAAGTAAAATGGTCTCTCCTTATTCTATCTTTTGCAAACATCTGACCTTCAAGGGATGAAAAGGGCCTAGAGATTAATAGAACACAGTGAAAGTGATGCTGTGAGGCCAGGTCAGAAAAGGCAATATGGCTTTCCCTGGCTCTCTCTTTCCGTGCTCCATCTTTCTTACCATCCAGTCACCATGTGGTGAGGAGGCCCAGGCCTCATTGCAGGGCTTCTTAAACCCCCAAAACCAGAAGGCAAGATTTTGGTACATGGATTATCCCTGGAAGGGAGTGAGGGAGAGGGGTAGAGAAAAGACCTTACCACAAACACAGGAAGTGTCTTTGAAGTCTTATTTATTTCCTTAAAAATTAATGTGGGTTTTAAAATCTGACTTTATAATAAATCTTTTTTAAATCTAAAAATAATTTTTAAATGACATATTGTCCAAACAGACCCTCTGAGATGTGCCCTGTTTATTCTGTGGCTTTAGTTACTCCCAAGCATATTGGCATGTACCCTGGGGCCACATGGACTCCAGTGTGAGAAGAAGGGTGCCCTGTGCACAGCCTTTACCCTGTTTCACTTGCTTTCTTCACCACCCTCCTTCTTCTCCCCAGATTGCTCTTTCTTTTCCCCCTGTCCATTCCTTCACTTTGGTCGATAGCACCTAGGATGTTTTTGAACTTTACTTAACTGTGCTGATGATGTTCAGAACTGAGGAGATAAGCCACAGCTATAATATGTCCCCCATAAAGCATGCTTTGGAAACTTAATCCCCAATGCAACAATGCTGAGGGTTGGAGCCTAAGGAGAGATGCTTCGGCCATGAGGGCTCTCCCCTCATGAATTGATTAATGCCATTATTGCAGGAATGGGTTCCATTATCATGGGAGTGGGCTCCTTATAAAAGGATGAGTTTAGCCCACTTGCTCTCTCTCACCCTCTCTTTGCTCTTCCACTCTTCTGCCTTGCCTCAGAGGGCTAAAACATTCAAGGCGCCATTTTGGAAGTGTAGACCATGACCCATGACCCCTACTAGACACCAAACCCACTGGTATCTTGGTCTTGGACTTCCCAGCCCCCAGAACTGTGAGAAATACATTTCTGTTCTTTATAAATTACCCAGTCTTAGATATTTTGTTAGAGCAGCACAAACAGACTAAGACAGCCAGTGATTCTGGTTAGGAGTGATATATCTCCTCCAGTTTCATTCATCCAAGCATTGTCTGTGTGCCACGCTTGATGCTGTTCTTAGGGGATACTGTGACAAACAGGACAGACATAGACACAGTTCTGCCCTTGCCAAACTTAAGGTGGGGGCGGTGGAAGAAGACAAACAACTTATATCAAGTAATTACAGTAGTTTGTGCTGAGAGTTACAAGAGGAAAATGCAGGGCATAAAGAGAACATAAAGCCAAGATAACTAATGTTACTGAAGGGTCAAGAAAGGCTTTCCTGGAAAGTGCCTTCCAAGCTGAGAGCTGAATATTGAGGGGAAAGGGAAAGAATGCTCTGGTTGGAGGGAATTGTATGAATAAGGTAAGAGAGAACACAGACCATTTAAGGAGCCAAAAGAAGCTCAGCCTGTCTTAACGTGAAAGAAGAGTGACAAGAGATGAAGCTGGAGACACCCGCAGGACAAGACCTCAGAGCTGTTCATAAGTCAGGTTAAGGAGTTTGGGCTTTACCTTGAGGCAGTGAGAAGTCAACTAAGGGAGCATGTGAGTGTGTGCACTTGTGTGTGTGTGTGAGGGAATGTGTGAGTGTATGCACTTGTGTGTGCATGTGAGGGAGTGTGTGCATGCGAGGGAGTGTGTAAGTGTATGCCCTTCTGTGTGTGTGAGGGAGTGTGTGAGTGTGTGCACTTGTGTGTGCATATGAGGGAGTGTGTGCATACGATGGAGTGTGAGTGTATGCACTTGCGTGTGTGCGAGGGAGCGTGTGAGTGTATGCACAAGTGCGTGTGTGTACGACAGAAAGAGAGAGAACAGGGGGTGGACTTTTCCAGTGGCTGCCCCTTGAGCTCCATGATATAAGCTGGAACCTCATGACCAGCAGGAACATAATAAAAAATGAAGACGCTGATATTTCATTATTGTTGCAGAATGTAATTAAGGACAACACAGACCTAATGAGTCAGAGAACAAATTCAGATGAATCAGAAGGGATGGCCGGGCGCGGTGGCTCACGCCTGTAATCCCAGCACTTTGGGAGGCCGAGGCGGGCGGATCACGAGGTCAGGAGATCGAGACCATCCCGGCTAAAACGGTGAAACCCCGTCTCTACTAAAAATACAAAAAAAAAAAAAAATTAGCCGGGCGTAGTGGCGGGCGCCTGCAGTCCCAGCTACTTGGGAGGCTGAGGCAGGAGAATGGCGTGAACCCGGGAGGCGGAGCTTGCAGTGAGCCGAGATCCCGCCACTGCACTCCAGCCTGGGCGACAGAGCGAGACTCCGTCTCAAAAAAAAAAAAAAAAAAAAAAAAAAAAAAAAAAAGGAGGGATGTGTGAAAAACAACATGGTTTGGGGAAAGAGGGTTAATGTTCTTCAGATGGTTCCTGCAGTGAACTAGATGACTTGTTGAGTATTTGACCATTAAGTGGCCTTTGTCAGCTGGGAAGATTGACTAGGTCCTCCTACCAGTCTCTGGAACCACAGTGGGGTGAAGAAGTATGGGTTGAGGACACCAGGTTCATAATCAACTAACTCAGGCTGGAAGACTATCTTTCTAAGCCTGGAGGGTTTACCCATCACCAAAGATTAAGCAGAGGAAAGTGGCAGGGGGCAGAGTGCAGGGAGGAGTGGATGGGTAGGGAGCAAGAGGTTCACCTACGCATGGGCCAGGTGGCTGCCTGGGATTCAAGGCTGAAGGGTGTGAGAAACTCACCAGTCACCCACTCTGCCTCCCTCCTCCCTCCCAATTTGGTTCATTCCTCTCTCTGAAGTTCCCAAGGGTTGACCTCCTGGATCCATTAGTGGTGTAAGAGGGGCAGCCTTTCTCTCTCTTTCTTTTCTTTCTTTCTTCCTTTCCTTTCCCTTTCTTTTCTTTTCTTCTCTTTCTTTCTTTCTTCTCTTTCTTTCTTTCTTTCTTTCTTTCTTTCTTTCTTTCTTTCTTTCTTTCTTTCTTTCTTTCTTTCTTTCTTCTTTTTGAGTAGTTGGGATTATACATGCATGCCACCATGCCCAGCTATTTTTTTTTCATTTTTGTCGATACAGGGTCTTGCTATGTTACCCAGTCTGATCTCAAACTCTTGGCCTCAAGTGATCCTCCCACTTCAGCCTCCCAAAGTGCAGAGATTACAGGTATGAGTCACCATGCTTGGCCTAAGCCACCTGTGCCTAGCCACTTTTCTACAGCCTAAGAAGAGCCCTCTAGCTAAGCTAGTACTGTGTTAGAAATTGGTTTATCTATTAATCTATTACATCAACTCTTCTCTTGCAAAAGGCAGGGCTATGATAGATTGGGATGGAGACTGGTACATTTTGAATGAGGAAGCTAGAGAAGATCTACAGCATGAGGCTGTGCAATGAAAGACTTGTAGAGAGAGGCTTGAACAATGCTGAAAGGCAGTGAGGAAAGGTTCATTTGTTCAGAAAATGTATCAAGTACTATGGGAAATGGTCTTCTCCAAAAATGGCCACAGCAATATTTTCAGGCCCACATATTCTTCCAGAACCTTGCCATTTCCCCTCCAAAGGCTGAGCCTATTTTCCCCATCCTTGAACCTTTGTGATGCTTAATTAATAGCATGCTGTGGAAGTGATGCTGCAAGGCCAGGTCATAAAACGCAGTATGACTTTCCCTGGTTTGTTCTCGGTGGCCTCCATCTTGGAATCCAATCTCCATGGTGTGAGGAAGCCCAGGCCATATGGAGAGGCCACATGTGGGTGTTGTGGCCAATGGGTCCACTAAGATCTTAGCTGACCTGCAGCATCAACTGCCTGACCTGTGAGTATATTTTCCTACACTTCCAGTCCCCAGCCTTGGAGCTGCCTCGGTGGGTGCCTGAGTGGAACAGAGATGATCTACCTCACTGAGTCCTGACCAGTTACAATTTCTGAGTAAAATAAATGTTATTATTGTTTTAAGACACTAAGTTTTGGGGGTAATTTATTATGTAGCCACAGCAACTGAAAAAGTATCTGCTGCAAAATGCCTGAGAATGATGGGTAGCATTCGTAAGAACACTTTAGAGTTTACAGAAGGCCTTCACACAGTGATCTCAGCCAGATCTCTGAAGAAGCCTGTGAGGCAGGCATTGTTATGTCAGGTTCACAGAAGGGAAGCTGAGGCTTGGAGGGATGGAGTGAATGGCTCAGAGGCATATAGCCAGGAACTAGCAAAGGAGGGAAGTTGAGTCCAGGTTTTCTTTTTACAAAGGCATCTTCTCCTAGTTCATCTGACCAAAGCCCAGTACTAGGGTCTGTGATAGCTACCTCACAAAAGCCCTGCATGAAAGCATCCTGCAGATAGTGGAGGTTACACCTACATTACAAGGTACAAAGTAATAAGAACCCCCCAGAGATGCATTCATTTAAAAAAAATAGTTACTGAGCCCCTACCATGTGCTGGGCACAAACCCCTGTCCTCCTGGATTTTCATTCTAGTGAGCAATGGATAGATTGCAGTTACATGTAGAATTGCGTATCTCACCAAATTCATATGAGGAAGTCCTACTCGCAGGAACTTAGAATGTGACTGTATTTAGAGGCATTTAAAATGGTAATTAAGGTAAAGTGAGATCATATGCATGGGCCCCAGTGCAATCTGAATGGGGTCCTTATAAGAAGAAATTAGGGGCCGGGCCTGGTGGCTCATTCCTGCAATCCCAGCACTTTGGGAGGGCAAGGTGGGTGGATCAGCTGAGGTCAGGAGTTTTAGACCAGCCTGGCCAACATGGTGAAACCCCATCTCTACTGAAAACACAAAAATTAGCCGGGCGTGGTGGTGAGTGCCTGTAATCCCGGCTACTTGGGAGGCTGAGGTAGGGAGAATTGTTTGAACTCAGGAGGTGGAGGTTGCAGTGAGCCAAGATTATTCCACTGCACTCCAGCCTGTGAGACAGAAGAGGAAATTGGGACACAGACAGGCACAGAGTGAAGATACAGGGAGAAGACGGCCGTCTTCAAGTCAAGGAGAGACACCTCAGAAGAAACCAACCCTGCTGTCACCTTGATCTCTGACTTCCAGCCTCCAGAACTGTGAGAAAATAAATTTCTGGTGTTTAAGCTAAGAGTCCCCAGCCTTTTTGACACAGGGGACCGGTTTCTTGGAAGACAATTCTTCCAAGACCAGGGGTGGGGATTGGGGAGATGGTTTTGAGATGATTCAAGTACATGACATTTATGGTGCACTTTACTTCTATTATTATTACGTTGTAATATATAATGAAATAATTATACAACTCACCATAATGTAGAATCAGTGGGAGCCCTGAGTTTGTTTTCCTGCAACTAGATGTTCCCCTCTGGGGGTGATGGGAGATAGTATCACCTGAAGTGTGTTGCTTATAATCTCATTTTGTTTGCTATCACTGCAGAAAACCCTGCTTTACAAAGATAGGATGTAGGAAATGAAAGCAGGCTTTTCAGCACTTTTGTGGCAATCTCAGGATACTCTGCCTTGACTTTAATCCAGAATGTATAGAGATTTGAAGTTGTCTTAAACATACCTTTAAGGGCACCAGCTGCAGCTGTACAGTTGAAGTACATCAACTCACTTGCCACTATAAAGCCTGCCACGAGATGCTGCAGCTTAATTGTCACATGCCACTCACGGATAGAGTTTTGATATGAGTCTGCAAGCAACTGATTTATTATGATCTCTGTCCAGTCAAACCTCTCTGCTAATGTTAATCTGTATTTGCAGCCACTCCCCGGCATAAGCATTACTGCTTCAGCTCCACCTCAGATAATCAGGCATTAGATTCTTATAAGGAGTGTGCAACCTAGATTCCTTGCATGCACAATTCACAATAGGGTTTGTGTTTCCTATGAGAAGCTAGTGCCACCACTGATCTGATAGGAGGTGGAGCTCAGGTGGTAATGTGAGCAATGGGGAGTGGCTGTAAATACAGATGAAGCTTGCCTACCACTCACCTCCAGCTGTGTGGCCTGGTTCCTAACAGGCCACAGACTGGTACTGGTTCATGACCCAGGGGTTGGGGACCCCTGGTTTAAGCCATCCGGTCTGTAGAATTCTGTTATGGCAGATTAATATTGTTGCTGAGGGAGTTTGTGGTGGGTCACGATTACTTCTTCCAGGACAATGGTGGAGGTAGCATTTGAATTAGTTTTAAAAGGATGGATCTGAGAGTCACTATGACTTGGGAACACTGGCCTTACCTCCTTGGAAAACACATCAATACATGAATAAATAAGTGGATAGCTCCAAAGATACTAGGTTAGGATAAGAGCAGGGCTGGGGGAGTTAGCTGGGAAGGGGATGATTTACTAGATTAGGGACACAGAGAATTGCAATATTATATAGCCCGATTGTATAATTTTGTTAAAGGAGAGGAAGGGGCATTAGGAATTATGCCAGACTAGGCCAGGTATGGTGGCTCATGCCTGTAATCCCAGCACTTTGGGAGGCTGAGGTGGATGGATCATTTGAGGTCAGGAGTTTGAGACCAGCCTAGGCAACATGGTGAAACCCTCTCTCTACCAAAAATACAAAAAAAATAGCTAAGCATGGTGGTCCCAGCTACTTGAGAGGCTGGGGATGGAGGATCTCTTGAGACCTCAAAGCAGAAGTTGCAGTGAGCTGATATTGTGCCACCGCACTCCAGCCTGGATGATAGAGTGAGACCCCATCTCAAAAAATAAATAAATAAATAAAAGCAAATAAATTATGCCAGACTGTCTAAATTTATTCCTAGAAACTACCTACAAATTATCTTGGCTCAGCCCATCACTATTTAGGGGACAGGCACTTGAAAATTTCCTCCTTCTATCTATACAAATATAAGCAAGTAGGCACTCATTATTCTGGACAAGGCGATAATAAGACCTGGGGTTCCTCTGTATGCAGATCTGATTGCTGGGAGGAAAGGCATCAATTTCCTAAGGGTCCATGGCCTTCAGAGAAGGAAAAGAACAGACATGCCATCCTCTGTTCCCCTTAGTTCAAAGTGAAGTTGTTCCAACCAAGTTCCAGTGGCCAGATAGATAGGGGGCAAACTCCTTAAAATAAAATTATTTTAAGAAAGCAGAGCGTTTTTCCTGGGGCCTGGGGTCACCACATGGCTTCAAGTTTCCCAGGGAGGGCTGGTCTAGCAAGGCTTGTTGCTGGCACTGCTAGAAACATGTGTGTTCCAAGTTTCCCAACTCAGTGGTTGGCTCTAGACAATACTGGGGAGGGAATGTGAACTACAAAGAATTATCTTGGTGCATCATAGTAATGTGAGCAGGGGTCTGAACCAACAAGGACATTTGCTAACTGTGGATCCATCCCCAGTAACCACACCACTGGGCTGTGGGAACTAAAAGTAATGATGAACTGACCAAATCCTAGGAGTCTTTGGCTTGCAAGTTTAGATGGAGACTAGGCACTCTGGTTTGAGTAAGTTCTCAGTATTTTAGAGCAAATTGGAGTTGGGGGTGGTTCTCAAGAATGAGATACTGAACCTCTGTTGTTGAGGCATTGGGTACTTGAGCTCTTAATTGGAAAAAAAACTAAATAAAGTAAAATAAATTGAAATTAAGACAAGATCTATCGTTGTGTACACCTTGATTATGTGGAGCAAGACATAAAGCTGGGAGAAACTACTGAGTCTCTTGTCCCTTGAAAATTATTGACCCTCCCCACTTTGCAGCAGAGGACACTAAAGTTTAACTCCATGTGTTTCTCATTGGGGTGGGAATTCATGGAGGGCAGAGTGAAATCTGGCTCCCATGGGCAGCCCCCACAGCCCGCGTGCCTCATAGGGATGGGACTGTGCTGTCTGCATGGAACAGATCATTCTCCCCACTCCCCGTGTTGCCTTATCTTGAAGTGGCTCCCCTCCTGCCACCGAAGCTTGAGCCCCGGGATCGCCTTACAGTGTGATTCTCAGAATCTCCCAGCCAGGAATAGCCTTTCCTGGATTTCTCTCTCTCCACTGTCCAGATGGCTGCAGCACTGGGAGCAGGAAGCCAGGTGGCCCAAACACATGTGTGTGTGTGTGTGTGTGTATGTGCGTGTGCACGTGTGTGTGTGTGTATTTCAGTGTTGGCTTAATTCTTTCTTTGCCACAGCCTGATTCCTTTATTGGCATGTCTCTCTGTGCCCCCAGCCCAGGCTGGATCTCTGTGTGTTGGAGATGGGAGCTGAGGGGAGGAAGTAGGCTCCGTGTTCGCATCCTTGGCAGGCTTAGGACATTGGGTTCGGGAATCACCTCCACATTTCTCAGAGCTCAGAGTTTATTCAAACTAAGCGGTGTCTTGCCAGGATGTACACAAAGAAAGAAGCAGCCCTGGAAATAAATAAAACATAACAAATAAACACATACATAAATACATAGATAAATAAATAAATGGGTCTGAAGATACTAGATTGGGGTAAGGTCAGGGCTGGGGGTGTTAGCTGGGAAGGGGAGTGGTTTATAGGGTTAAGGATATAAAGAATTACAATGTTATATATCCCCCTTGTATAATTTTGTTAAAGAAAGAACTCCCAGAGTGTGGAATGGGCTCAGGATGGTCTGGTCTTGTAAATGATAGTTCTTGTCTTGGGCTGACATTTATTATCTCATCATTTTTCATTGTTTTCACAGTCTCTCTTGAGTGGAGATTTGTGACTTTTAACAGTACAGCATCAAAAGAGTAATAAATTTCACCTGCTTTTGATAGTCCTACTTCATTTCTTACCATTATTGTTTTTCTCCCTCTGGGATATTACAGTATGATGTTGGGGGGCTCACTGGCCCCTCAGCCCCCTACCTCATCTCTTTACTCAAGGGATGTCTATTTGGCAAGAGAAGACGACCTGTCTTAGCCTTGTGCTGGCTACCCTACATTTTACTTGAAGCATCTCATCTCATTCTCCAAGCATCTTTCGTGACAGGATTCTTACATAGGATATGGGAGGAGATGAAACGACAAGCCTGAGATCATGCAGGGAGTTTCGTGGAGGAGCCTAGATTCAAGCTGAGGTGGTTCTGACTTTAGAGCTCATGTTCTGTGCCCATCAACTCCACAGCCTGCCTGGGCACCGGTTGGGGGTGGGCATGGAGGTGCTGCAGCTGGATCCCTCCTGGGTGGGTGGTGTTGTGGGAGGGATGCAGAAGCCACAGTGCCCCCGGGCTTTGTCTCTGATTGGAAGAACCTGAACACCATATTCACATCTCTCTGCAAAGCAATGGCAGTGTCTACTCTGGTCTGAATGTTTGTGGCCCCACCAAATTCGTGTGTTGAAATCCTAAACCCCAGGAAGATGGTATTAGTAGGTGGGGTCTTTGGGAGATGATTAGGTCACAAGGGCTCCACCCTCATGGGATTAGTGACCTTGTAATGGGATTAGTGCATTTATAAAATGGGCCCTAAAAAGAGCCCTCACCTTTTCCACTCTAAAGGGCGCAGTGAGAATATGGACCTCAATAATGAATGAGCCCTCACCAGGTACTGAATCTGCCAGTATTTTGATCTTGGACTTCGCAGCCTCCAGAACTGTTGAGAAATAAATTTCTGTTGCTTGTAAGCAACGTTCGTGTATGACATTTTGTTATAGCAGCCTGAATGGACTAAGACAGTGCCCTTGGATTCTTCTGTAGCCTTCCCACTGGGTCTGGCCTAAGCCCCACCCATCCCCACCTCCTGGTGCTCATCTTCTTGGGACAAGTAGAGGCAGGTGGGTGAAAAGCCAAGAAAAAGATTTGCAGGGTGAGAAACCTCACAATTGCATCTCCCTCCTCTTTGGAAGTTGGTGTATTTTTATTGGAGTTATACTGGATGATAAATCACGTCCTATGTGTGGTTTCTCAAATGCGGAATAGGTATGCTGAAGGGAGTGAGTGCCCTCCCTCTAGGGTCTTCTCAGAGCCGCCTGTCCCCACCTGTTTTTGGCCAAGTTTCCAAAAGGAAGAAAGTTCACATTCAAAGCCAACCTGCAGAGGAGCAGCTGCTTGGGTTGGCAATCCTGGCCTCCTTCTCTGGGCAGGGTGTCTCGGAAGCTCTGATGTGGCTGATTTTTGTTGAAATGGGTGAGTTGGGGTGGACTGGGAAGATGGGGGGAAGGGAACTTGTATGAGTTGTCTCCCATCCTCTCCCCACCGTATGACGTTATGAGCAGTGCTGGGTAACCATTTACTTTGCACATCTCTGGGAGAGTTAGAGGGTGGGGGCTGGGTTTTGGCTGGCTGGCTGAGGTCCAGGAGGAGAATGACTTGGCTAAGGTCACTCAGCCAAATGTGGCCCCAGGCCCCTTGGCACCTGGCTCAGTGTCCTGCCCTTCTGGCAGTGCTGCCTGTGGATCCCACCTGAGGAGGCAGCAGGCTGTGCGGAGGACAGGATTTGGCCCCCCCGTCATTCTCCTGGGCATCCAGTCTGGTCCATCAGGTCCATGGAGCAGCGGGGAGCTGGACACCCTGGGGACAAGCCAGAGAAATGAGAGAGTCCTTGCTGGGGTAGTGGGTGGGGGGCAGTGTCCTGGGCTCATGGAGTCTGTGTGAAAGAAACAGCCAAAAAGCATTTACTAAGTAACTGGATAACAGACACATAATTAATCTAGGTTACCCTGAGTTTAGTGCCCCAGCTGGGTCAGCACTGAAGCAGAATCTGAAATTAGGTCAAGGACTTACCTGATTTCACACCTGGGGAGACACCTACCCTCAGTGCATTTAGCATTCTGGTGACACATTTTGGAGAGTCGTAGGACAGGTGGGGGCCTCAGCGTTGGCTCTTTGGGCAAGTGACCCACCTTCCCCAAGTCTTACTTTCCTCATCTGTAAAATGAGGTTCACATACATTTCTTCCTCAGGGAAAGTAGCGTTAACATCATGTCTGGCACATGGTGAGGCCTCCAGGTTGTTGTTGTTGATTATTGGGACCCTCTAAGGATGAAATGAAATAGGGGATAAGCTAAGTCATGTTGTAGTGTGTGGAACTCAGTAACCACCAACCTCAGCATCTCCCTGTTTCCAACATCCCTCTCTGCCCCTGCCTCTTCCGTATCCTCAGCTTCACACACCCCACATGCCATGCCTTATCCTGCCAGACAGGTGGAATGCAGCAGCCCCTGCGATTGACCCTGCCTGGGGAAATGCCCTTCAATAGGACCCTCTGAAGCCTAAGAGGCCTTCTCAGCCCTAAAGACACTAATCACATAGATGAGGAGGAGGGCTTCCTGCACCCTCAGATCCTACCTCTGGTTCACAATGACTTCCACAGATAGGCCGGTATATGTCAACTGTGGGAGGATTTTGCTCCCTCCCACCCACCTGGAGACATTTGGAAATATTTTTGGTTGTCACAAATGGAGGAGTGCTACTTGCATCTAGTGAGTAGAGGCCAGGGATGCAGCTAAACATCACACAATACACAGGATGGCCCCCCTGCAATAAAGAATGATTCGGACCAAAATGTCCATGATGCAGAGGGTGAGAAACCCTGAGATAGACCGTAACAGGGAGCTATCCACAGACACAGGAGCACCACCAGAAGCCAGTACGCAGGGACACATGGTTGGAGGAAACAGGACTGGGCATAAAGATTTGTGTCTATTAGGAAAAGGGCGGGGGGTGCCTGGAAGGAGTGCTGTTGGAAGGAAGATGCTGGAGTTGAGTCTTGAGTGTTCTAGGCGCTCCAGGCACAGAAAGCTTGGGAGAGAAAAGTGGGGAGGGTCCCCACGTCCAGCATGGGCCACAATAACCAGGCCCTGGGTACCATTCCTGTTAATGGCAAAGGTTGGCCCCAAACACCCCAGGCTGCTGGTCAGGACCCGGAAGCTGTGCTCCGTGGACTCTGCTGTCGTGTGGCAGCTTGGGCTGGGCTGAGGGGCTTCCTTGAATGGCATTGCTTTGGCATCAGGGCCTTGTGGACACAGCCGGAATTAATTGACCATTGTTTGGTGTGGGTGTGCCTCTGCGTGTGTGTGTGTGTGTGTGTGTGTGTGTGTTCTTTGTTGTTTTTCTAAATCCACTAGAGGGCATGTCAATGCTAAGATCTGGCAGGTTGGACAAATGACATTTGTGTGAACTGAGGCTCCTGGCCCTGGGTGGTGAGGGGAGTGAAGAAGGGGCAGGTGACAGAAAATGGGGTTATTGATTTTGGCCCCTCCCCACCACAGCCTTCCCCTACCCAGTGATGACAACAAGATGATTTGCGAATTCATAGAGAAAGCCAGCCGTGATTCTCCCCTCAGTGACATACACCATTAGGGAAGTTAAGCTGGGAAGAAGACAGGGATGGCAGAGGCAGGTTCTTGGAATAGAATCTAACCATGGTGTGACTCTGGGAAGGGAATTCCTCCTTCCAGCCCCCTCTCTCACTTCCCCAGGGGCCATGTCGCCATGGTGGCCCGGCCTGGCATGGCCAGGTGGCCTTCACCCCTTTGGGCCAAGCAGAGAGGAGCACGTAGCTGCTGAACCTCCAGAGGTCTCCAAAGGTTCTAAGTGCAGGAGCCAAGAGCGCTTCTGAAAACCCTCATTCTGCACAGCCTGGCCCACCCTCAGCCTTCTCTTGTGCATGTGGCTGCCTGGAGAGCTTGGCAGAAAGGCCCAGAGAGTGGGGTGACTGAGCCGGGGGCGGGCTAGGGTGAAGGTAAATGGAACTGTGTTGTTTTACTGTCCACCTTGATGTCAGGAGGGATAAGGGGGTGTCATCTGGGTGGAGTGAGTGGTGTGGGGTTGGGGAGGTGGGAGGCAGTGAGGAGAGGCTGGGCCAACGGTCATCTGCTTTAGGAGAGGAAATCACAGGCATCCTGGGGTTTGGACAAGAGAAACAAGCACCTCTGAAGGTAGTAGGTTTGGGCTGAGTCAGGAACAAAACTTGCTGTTTTTAATTCGGATACACAGTTGGGAGGGAGCATTTGCCCTTGAGGTCTGTATTCAGATGTAGCAGGCTCTTTTCTCTTGCTTCTACTGACACAGCCCAGAGAGAAGTAAACGTTAGACTATATACTTACATATACAAGATCTGGTTCCAGAGCCCCGCTCAGCCACTGGCTTGCTCTGTGACTGAGGGCAAGTCATTTAACTTCTCTGAACTTGAGTTTTCTCATCTATATATCTGAAGGGTTGCTATGCAGATTAACTGAGATAATGCATGGAAGTACCCATCCCACAGTGTAGTTTAAAAAAAGTCCCAGTAAATATTCATTCCCTCCTATTAACAATCTCCAGTCTATAAAGGGGTCACTTGGTCACCAGGAAATAGGTAAGAGGCCAAACCAGGCTCAAGGATCATAGAAGAACCAGCAGCCAGTAGGGTTGCATTGGTGCCTAACAATAGCACAAGCACTAGTACAGGTGGTGGGGGATGCTTATTGAAAACTCCTTGACAACTCACAAATAATGAAACTGAGTCTCAGAGAGGTTCAGCAATTTCCCCAAGGCCACACAGGCAAGCAGGGATTTTAAGAAGTGTGTGTGTGTGTGTGTGTGTGTGTGTGTGTGTGTCTGTCTGTCTGTCTACGAGTCTCCCAGATCTGCTTAAAATGACAGATGACTGTTGTTCTGGACTATTGCAGAATCCTACTGGAGCCTGAGGCCACTGAAAAAATCACTAATACCAATCCTGTCTATTTGAAATTTTGTATTAAAATTGTGGACTTTTTGCATTAATTTTGATTTTCAAAAATACTGCATTTGATCCTACATATCTATCTTGATAATTGAATTTTTGGCATCCCCAAGGTGAGCTCTTCCCTCGTCTTCCCCTGGTCCTAACGTACCACTGCTATTACGCCTACAATTCTGGGTGGTCTGGCCGGGGGATTGTGACTCTCAAAAAGGCAGTGCACAACAGCTAGAGGTCACTGCTCACTAAAGGAACAAAAAATCCCCCCCTGTCAATATTGAAAGAGGTCTTCCTGGGAGGGGCCAGGGCCTGTGGCTAATGAACACCATGGTGAAACCTACTGGCAGGCAATAAAGGATCATCCTTCTCTGCAATCAGGCAAGTGCCGAGGCAACCTCATAATAAGCCAATATTGCACGTCTGTTAATATAAAATTCTTCAATCTATAAGTCATCAACATTTCTTAACAAAAAAAAGATCAGAACCTATATATTGTTGATGCAAGTATAAGTTGGTATGGCTTCTTTCTTTAGCAATTTGGCAGTTTCTATTGAAACTAAAAATATGCAAATCCTTTGAAGCAGATAGTTCCTTTTCAGGTATCCATCCTAGAGAAATACTGGCTTGTGTACACAAAGGGGCATTCCAAGCATGTTCATTACAGTTTCAAAACACTATATATGTCTACCAATGGGGAAGTCATTACATAAATTATGGTACCTCCATACTGTGGAGAGCTGTGCAGCAATAAAAAGGCATTAAGTTGACCAAACATGTTGAAATACATCAAAAGTCAGAAAAGAAACAAGTCATAAAGTCAAAGAACAACAGGGCAGAATGGTACCTGCTGTTTGGCCCATTTGTGCCTCAGGACCAAAAGTACACTGAAGACTCAAAGCAAAACTATGTACCTTTATATGGATATAAATGCAAAGAACAGCCTGGAACAATAAAGAAAGGTGGCCCAGTGTGGTTATTCTAGGAAAGTGGAAGGAACTTCCCTTCAACTCTTTGGTTTGATCTAAAAAATATATAAATATATTGTAACGAGAAAATAATATTCATATATCTGTTTTTTAAAGGAAGAAATAATTTTAAAGGAAGAAAGTTAATTGTCTTGGAAGTCCTTTCTGGATATGTTAGAGCATATGGGTGGAAGGGGTACACTCCTGTTGCATAAAAATTCAGGCAGTCTGTGATCTGACTCTCCCAGATTGTCCACCGGAAGACTGAGATAGGCCATCTTTTCTCTTTCCCTGTCTCCAGGAGCAATAAGTCTGTTCTCTCAGGAGGAAGAGGATTAGTCTCTTCCAAGATTTGTTAACTGCAAATGACTGATGAGCTGAGCCACCTTTAAGCATCATTACCTTCACCCAGGTTGTTGCTGCTCTAAAGGTTTTTATTTCTCCACCACACTATGTTGACAATCATTATGATGGTTATTTCGGAATTTTAGCAAGAATGTCAGAATAAGATCAGCTCAGTTGTGGTAACAAAGAAAGGCCCAAAACTCAGTGGTTTAACCATATCAAGATTTATATCTATCGTACAACATCCCCATGTGAGTCAAGTGAATCTCTAGAGCACCTCTCTTCCGGGTGGTGACTCAGGGTCTTGGCTGTTCCTGTCTTACAGCTATACCAGGTCATCGTATAACGTGATCACTGCAGCATGGAAAGAGAAAGCTGGAGGACTACATAGGGGCTGATAGCACTAGGTTTGGAAGTTGCATACATCACTTTCTCCCATGTTCCATTGGTCAGAAATGGTCACATGGTTCTAATCCAACTGCAAGGGAACCTGGGAAAGGTAGGAGAGCCCATGGCCATTTAGTGAGAATTTAATGTCTCTGTCACAATAAGAGGAAATGAAAAATATTAATTAGACACTTCATAAATGCCATTTCTGTTAATGTAGCCAACATGGGAGGCCATTCAGTAGTTCATAGGTTCCTTGAGGGCAGTGACTCTTGTTACTTTTTACCTGCATCCGAGTCCTGTTGATGAAAACAATGACATCTTTGCAGAGAGTCTTCATTTAGTGTTAGCCAAATTGAACTACTACTCTTACTCAAAATCTTTTTTACAACTTCTTTTTGGGGAAATTTTCTTCTCAGCCAGTTTACAATTGCACAAGGAAATCAATTGCATTTTTTGTTGTTCTTTACTTTTTAATTTCCTGTACCTCCAAGTTAGATCTTTGAAAAGACTTTAAAGTAAGACAAACTAGCAATATTGGTCAAGATGAAGTGAGCAAAGGTGCAGATAAATAATATGAATGAAGAATGAGATATCATTACACATATAGCAGAGATGATAAAGATAAGAAAACACTCTCACTCACTTTGTCTCAATGTATTTCTTCCAAGTCCCACCTGTTTTGTTTATTTGTTTGTTTTAACCCAAAGGGCCATTACCTAGCTTGAGTGATTATCTCTTTCTCTACCAGATTTGGCTTGTGGTTATTTCTTAAAACAACAACAACAGCAATATTGTTAAAATATGATATGGCTATGTTTAAAATGGATATATTGAAGACTCTGAAGGTAGTCCCCAAAGAAATATGAAGACTTGATTGTTTGATTATTTGTCATTGGAACATGGCCTCCTTAGAGTCCAGGTTTGAAAGATGACTCTGTTCTTGGAGGCTTAAGGACCCATAGGTTTGTTTAAATAATTACTAGTCCCCATTAATCTTCATCTATGTCTTGAACAACCTTGGATTTAACCCACCTTACTCCCTCTCCTAAGAATGTGGAGTTTTAGAAGCTGGAAAGACAGTTCAAGAGGGACTTAGAGTCCCAGAAAAGATGGTTCTTAGGAAATAGTTTAGAAATATCATTGTTCCAAAGATGAAAAGGCTTGCAGTAAAATCTGAGCCTGGCTGAATACATGTGCCATTTTCCTTTATGCCTTTCTCATGGAGAGAGACCACCAGCTCCTCCTTCTTCCCCTCACAGCTTCATGGCTGTGAAAACTCCATAGCTGCTGTCCCTGTCTCAATACTGTCCTCAGGTGCTTCTACCAGATTAATCTTCCAAAAACTCCTCTTTGATCATGCTCCTCTTGGAGGAAAAACATCTTGGCCTGCAAAAGTGGCCCCACCCTACCTGGCCAACTTTATGTTCACCTGCTTCCTGACACAAGAGTCTCTTCCCTAGGCATGTTCATTCCCTCCACTTTCCATAAACATGCTGTCCTTGTCCTACTGCTTCTTTGCATTTGTTCATGTTACTCAGCAGGCCTGGGATGCAGTGCCAGGTCCACATCATAGGAATGCTTGACTTTACATAATGAATGGGTTCCCGGTTTGTCATTTAAAGCGTACGCGCATGTGTGTAAAGCTAATCCCACTTCCACAATGCTGGGTGTTTAGCTTCAGAAGTTAGTCTTGATTTGTGATTCGTCCTTGATTGGCTGTGAGCCCAATTCTTAGTTTTATATTTTTCTGCCTCTTAGTTGCTGCCAATTTATAAACCAACACTTAAATCCTTCAAGGAAGTTCCTTTAATAAAAGCATCATTTTTGATAGAAAGTGAGGAAGTCACCCCTGCATTTAAAAAATTTGTGGTTAAAAGCTTGGATTATTGCCAACTGGATTTTCTTCAAATGGGGCCTACTTCTATATGTCAAACAACTTCTTTCCAATTTGAGATTCCCAGGGTGCTATGCACTAAAGCCATCTTTAGGGTTTTATGTAGCCACATCCTCAAAGACTTTCCTCCTCACTTGACTTCACTTGTGCAGGCCTGGGCTTCAGCCAATTCATATATATCTGGTATACACCAGAGGGGTGGCCAGGTGAGTCTACTAGGGTTTTGCTTTGTTTTGTTTTGTCTTAATGGGAAAGGCTTATGTGCCTTAACATTTTGGGGCTGATAATGAGCTTTTGGACTAAGACTTCTTAGATAGTGATAAAAAAGGGTTACCTTGTCCTCCTAAGACTTTGTACTGGATGTGGGGAATGGGAACAGTTTGGTGGGAGAAGATGTCATAACTTGATGTGTAAATGACTTAGGAACAAGTTTGGGGAGTGCTAGTGATACTCTGGCCTGGTTCCCATGAAATAAGTTCCACAGTCCTCTGGGGGTGGGAGCTGTGAAAAGAGAGAAGAACACTCTTCGTGGTATCAGTGGCCCAAAGACCACTTGTGACCCAGCATAAAATGGATGGGTTGTGACTATAGCAGAAATGATGGCATGTGACTCAAGGCTTGGCTCTTTTGGAAGGCTAACTCCTGGGATCCAGGCACCATGATGTGAGGAAGCCCAAGCAGCCACATGGAAAGGCCATGTGTAGGTGTTCCTGCTGACATCCACTGCTGAAGTCCCAGTCTACAGCCAGCATTACCTACCAGATACGCTTTAAGATGATTCCACCTGCCAGCCTTCAAGTCAGCTCCAACATGAATCTTTTCGGCTGAGACCCTAGAGACATGAAAAAGAGTCATTTACTCTATGTGTCCTTTAAAAACTTCTGACTTAGAGAGAATCCCTGGACATAACAAAACCATTGGTATTTTTAAAAAGCTATATATACCACTGAGCTTGGGGAGATGTGTTATGCAGCAACAGTAAGTGGGACAGAGAACTACTTCTCTGAGATGGACAGAAGGGATTTGGAAGGTAATGGATGAATTATCCAGGGAATGAGGCTGGCAGTTACAATGATATCTGAATTCTCTGAGCACCTCAAATTATCCAGGTCCTACCCTTAAGACCCAGAAACCTAGAGATCAAATGGGAATAGAAGAAAACGAGGGCAATTTGTGAGACCCCCATGACTTTAACCTCTTGATCTAGAGAGGAGATTTGGATTGGGGCTGCAATTTCAATGATCTTTCTCTTGAGAGGGGGCCAAGGAAGAACTGCTTCCTTCCTGCCTTCATGATCCTAGTGTTTTCCAGGCTGGAGACCTTAGAAACACTGGTAACATCTGTTACATTTAGTGTAGAGTCAAAGAGGCTTGCAGGGCTTGTTCCTTATTGCTACAACAGCCAGGGGAGAAAACCTTGCAAAATAATGTAAAACTTTGGTTGATACTCATGAGTCTCTCTGGAAAATTCAAAGTAGCTAATACAGTGAGAGAGAAGAAATGACCTCAACTCCTTCCTGTGTTTTGCTTGCTGGTTTGGCATATCACTATCTGTGCCTCTTTTAGGGAACTTCCCTATATAGGAAGGACTGAAGATTTTGCAGGATTATGTTGGGTATGGGGTGCAGTAAAAACTAATACGCTTTGTCTCTACTAACCTCCTCTCAACTCTTCTCCTCAGCCATTCCCAAATGCGTTACGTAGGTGGAAGCTGGGTGAGTGTCAGGAAACTAAACTCTGCAAAATAAGATGACACCCTCTTGGAAGATTCGGAAAAGTGTATCAGACTTCAAGAGCCAGCTCAGCTACTACTTCAAGCTAACCTTTCTTGAGACCTCCCCTTTACCTGCTTTCATCTGTGCTGCCCGTTGACTTAACTGAATCACCTAGTGGACTGTGAGTTCCTTAGCATGCTGTCTTTAATCTTCGTATCTTGAATGCACACTCAGTTCTGAGCACATTCTACTCAAGAAATTTTTGCTGGGGGAAAAAACAACTCGTTGTCAGCATTTGATGTATATCTTTCAGAAGTTTTCTTCCTATGTTTCTTTCTTTGTTTTGCATAGTGAACATACTATTTTGCTGTTTTCTCTTTGCTTACTGTGGTTTCAGATGTATTTTTCCTGTTGTAACATAATTTTAAAGCTTAGGAATAACAGTAGTAACAATTCCATTTATTATATATCTGCTGTGTGCCCAGTATGGTGCTAGGGACTCTGCACACAGTTTCTTACCTAATCTTTTCCATTTTCAAGGTGGGTGTCATTAGCTCTATTTTATAGATGAGAAACTGAGGCTCAGAGGGCTTAAGTAGCTTGTCAGCAGTAACCAACTGATAGAAACCAAATTGGTCCCTCTTAATTTCCATATTCATATCCCTGCTATTTTACCATGCCACTTCCCATCATTTTAAGTGGCTTCATAATACTTACTCTTTTGTGTAGAGGTGCCATAATTTGCTTAACCATTTCCCTATTTTTGGTCACTTAGGATATTTACTAATTTTAGATATTATAAACAATGAGGCAATGAACATCATTGTGCTAACAGACTTTGCCTTTATTTTTGGATTATCACCTTGGAATAGAGTCCCAGAAGTGGAATTACTGGGTTAAAGGGTAGGACTGTGTTTATGGCTTTTGATACTTATTGCCAAATTGCTTTCCCAGAGGACTGTGTTTAGTAAAACAGGCTCACTTTATAGGCCCAGGGGAGTCACCTCATTCCTCCAGGATGTCGGGTTGCCCTCTAACCACTAGAGGGTGTGAAAGGATATTATTGCTGAAGTGACAAGAGCCTGGCCCCCTCTGGGAAATCCCCAAATTTGCTTGAGGAGCCTTCAGAGTTGCCTGAGAGGGAGAGAAAGATGCTTAATTAGTTAGACGCTCCATGCCAGGACAAGCTGACTTTCTTGGATTTCCACCAAAGGCAGGATGGTTTACTGTCTGGACTCAGGAGGAGAGGGCAGTAAATAGGGCCTCTGAGGCCTAGGGTTCGAGTTTGGCCATGCCACCTCCTGCTCTGTAACTTTGGGTGACTGACCTTCCTCTGCATGTCTCTGTCTAAGGACTTTGAGCCTCAAATCTCAGTGCCAATTAGACTGGCAGAAACTCTAAGCTTCTCCAGTGCAGAGAGTGTGTCTTGCATGTTTGTTATGTCCACAACAGAAGCACTTAATAAGAGCAGAGTAAATGGTGGCTGAATTAATAGATAAAATGAAACCGGAAATCAAGAGTGGACATGGCAAGGTTGGCATGGAGGCTTCCAGTCTGGGCTTCCAGTCGTCACAGATGGTTTATTAAAGAAGGGATGTTGATTGCTTAACTCCAAGGCATTGAAAATGGGAAGATACTTAGAGATCATCTTGTTCACATTCCTGGGACAAAACAGAGGCCCATACAGTTACAACGATGACAGGGCCATCATTTCCACTTTTTTTTTCATTTAACCAACATTTATTGGGCACCTATTGTATGCTAGGCTCTGTGCCAGGCATTGGGCATAGAAAGATGATCTTGAAAAGTTCTTGCCTTCAGGGAGCTTTAGTTTGTGCAGGGAGATCAGCTGCCCATATTAAACACTAAGCAAAGGCTGTGCCCTTTGAATGGTGAGGCTAAGGAAGGCACATAAAGCTGGGAATGCTGGACTTGCCTCAGATATTCCTAGAGGAGCACTTCTTAAAATGTGCTCCTTGGAACATTTGTTCAATTGGCCATTTAATAGATGTTAACTAAAATATGGTTTGGTGGTATATCAGTTAGCTATTGCTGCAATAATGCTGAGTAACAAAGCAGCCCCAAACTGAGTTGCTGACAATAATATTTATGACTATTTTTAAAGTATGCCTACAGACCTGTGGGGCAGCTGGATGGAATGCCTCTGCTCCACAAGTCTCTCATTCTTCTGGGATCAGTAGGCTTCCCAGGGCATGGTTTTCTCATGGTTATGGAAGAATAAGTGGGCAAACTAACCTGCATAAATATATTTCAAGCCTTTTCTCAGGTCATGCCCATTAACATCCCATTGCCCAGACTAAGTCACATGGCCAAGCCCAGTATTAACAAAGCAGGGAAATATACTCCACCTCTAGTGGCAGGAACTGCAAAGTCATGGCAGAGATTGTGGATACAGGGAGGGGTGAAAAATTGGGAGCAATAATGCAATCTACCACCGTGGTCATTTTTAGTTTAGGGAATCCTGGTGAGTTAGTTCGATTTATTGCAGGACTTTTCAGAATCTTTATAGATGATTCAATGTAGAGCCCTCATTTGAAAAGAAGGAAACTTAAACCCAGAGAGGAAAATAACTTGCTCAGGATTTGTAGCCACTTAGTAGCAGTCCTGCAGTGAGACCCTAGACCTTGTAATTATCAGACAAGGGCTCTTTCTCTCTCCCGACACTTGCTAAGGTGCCTTGACTACACTAGGCTAGGCAGAGAGGGATGAAGCAGTGCTCGAGTGACCCTCAGAAATATGACCCTGAGTGGGGCAGAGAAAATAGGCAGACAGAGTCTTGAGGAAAACTGTCATGAGGCCAAAATGAAGGACATATACTCTGGTGTCAGGTTGTCTGTCTGGGTAACCCTGGGCAAGTTATTTCACCTCTCTGTGCTTCCGTTTCCTAATCTGTAAAATAGGGGAAGTAGATATACCTACCCTGAAGAGCAGTTGAGTTATAACTTGTATAGTGCTTAGAACAGGACCATAGGTCTGCTATTATTATTATTGTATTACTATTGTGCAGGGAGATGAGCCACCCATATTAAACACTAAACAAAGGCCGTGCCCTCTGAACGGTGAGGCTAAGGAGGCACATAAAGCTGGGAATGCTGGACTTGCCTCAGATATTCCTAGAGAAGCACTTTCTAAAATGTATTCCTTGAAATGTTTGTTCAATTGGCTATTAAATAGATGTTAACTAAAACATGGTTTGGTGATATGTCAGTCAGCTATTGCTGCAATAATGCTGAGTAACAAAGAAGCCCCAAACTCAGTTATCTCCTCTACTGTTGTTTTCCCTGTTTCCCGGTTGTTCCCACCCCACCAACCTCCTTTTTAATACTCTATTCTTGGCCAGGTGTGGTGGCTCACACCTGTAATCCCAACACTTTCGGAGGCCGATGCAGGCAGATCACTTGAGGTCAGAAGTTCAAGACCAGCCTGGTCAGCATGGTGAAACCCTGTCTCTACTAAAAATACAAAAGTTATCTGGGTGTGGTGGCAGGTACCTGTGATCCCAGCTACTGAGAGGCTGAGGCATGAGAATTGCTTGAACCCAGGAGATGGAGGTTGTAGTGAGCTGAGATCACTACACTGCAGTCCAGCCTGGGTGACAGAGTGAGATTCCATCTTAACAACAACAACAACAACAACAACAACAACAATAACAACAACAAACTCTATTCTTGTTATTGGTTGGCAGCTAGTACCCACTAAGATGCATCAGAATAATTAGGTATCATTTAATATTAAAAAATGGGGACACTGGAAACATTCAAGGTCTAAAGGAAAGGCAGGGAGTGGAGTTACACTTTGGAAATGGGAATCTTGTCTGAGGCCATATCAAATTTCACTCTGGCTGAACACCTGTCTCTTTGGATATTTGGAAGGAAATGGGTTGAGTGTGACTAGGATGGCAATTCACCCAGGTCTGTGGTTCTTAACCCTGGATGCACATTGGAACTACCAGGGAAGATTTCAAACAATAACGAAAACCCTGATGCCCAATGCTACCCCAAACAAGTTAAATAAATATCTCTGTGAGAGGCACAGGTATGGATATGATTTAAAACCTCTGCAGGTTAGTCCAGCATACAACCAGGTTTGACAATCACTGGCTTAAGGCATAGGGTGGGTCCACAGGAGACTGTGAAGTCAGACACAAGTGGGTTTGCATCCCAGTCCTGCCATTTATTAGCTGTATGACCTTGAGCAAATGACCTAGTCTCTCTGAGCCTCAGTTTACTTCCTTACAAAATGGGAATAATAATTATTATCTTGCTGAGATTTTGTAAGAAGCAAATGAAAACCTACTCAATTTACTTCATGTAGCTGGTATATGGAATGGGCTCATTAATTATTTGTTAATTAAATGCATGATGATGGTCAATAACAGCAGCACTAAAGAGCAGGGTTTGTAGCATCTAATCCCAGACTGGAGCCATTTGGCCTCCTCCCTGTTTGGGGTTGTTGACTCCTATGCTCATAGGCCTAAGTCCTCTGCAAGAAGAATAACTGTGACCTGAAGGGGAGGCTTGCTCCCAGGTTATTCAGTCTATTAACTGATCAAAAGCACCAGGTCTTGGGGAGCACAAAGGCTGAAATTCAGTCCTTCTGATTGTCAAGTCGTGTGCCTTCCGGGTTGGGGCAGGCTAGTTGGACTACCTTTTCTAATCAGTTCTCCCAGAGGAGGCATCTTATTCTAAGTCACAGTGATCCCATTACTGGGTATATACCCAAAGGATTATAAATCATGCTACTATAAAGACACATGTACTCGTATGTTTATTGTGGTACTATTCACAATAGCAAAGACTTGGAACCAACCCAAATATCCATCAGTGATAGACTAGATTAAGAAAATGTGGCATATATACACCGTGGAATACTATGCAGCCTTAAAAAAGGATGAGTTCATGTCCTTTGCAGGGACATGGATGAAGCTGGAAACCATCATTCTAAGCAAACTATCACAAGGACAGAGAACCAAACACCACATGTTCTTACTCATAGGTGGGAGTTGAACAACGAGAACACATGGACAGAGGGTGGGGAACATTACACACTGGGGCCTGTCGGGGGGTTGGAGGGATAGCATTAGGAGAATTACCTAATGTAAATGACGAGTTGATGGGTGCAGCAAACCAACATGGCACACGTATACTTATATAACAAACCTGCACGTTGTGCACATGTACCCTAGAACTTAAAGTATAATAATAATAATAATAATAATAATAATAATAAGGTACTGTATAGGTGAGCTCTGGCCCTGGACTCTCCATCTGAGGCTGGAGACAAAGATACAGGAGGTCCTTAAGCTGTCCACTTTGCCTACTTTTCATTCTGGCCCTGACCACATTCAGCCAACAGCCCAGCTGGGCAGAAGGCTGGGATGCAGTGAGCAAAGATGGGGTAGCGCTTTGGAGCAGAGATATTAGGCAATGTGTAAGTGGTGGTCCAGTAGGTTCTTCCAGGTGGTAAGAGGCTTGGATTCTGGCCAGGTTCATATTTAGCCTGTGACAGCATCCATGCCTTCGTTCTGATAATCTATTAATAATTCAGAATATTTGGTAAAACAATTGGGTTCTTTAATTTCATAGCCTCCCACTCAAAGATAGAGGACTAGGAAACTAACATTGGGATAGACACTTCAAATCATTATCTCAGCAGTTAAGAAATCATTAAAATAAAACTTCATGGCCAGGTACAGTGGCTCATGCCTGTAATCTCAGCACTTTGGGAGGCCGAGGCAGGCGGATCACATGAAGTCGGGACTTCGAGACCAGCCTGGCTAACATGGTGAAACCCTGTCTCTACTAAAAATACAAAAAATTAGCCAGGCTTGGTGGCATGTGTCTGTAATCCCAGCTACTTGGGAGGCTGAGGCAGGAGAATTGCTTGAACCTGGGAGGCGGAGGTTGCAGTGAGCTGGGATTGTGCCACTGCACTCCAACCTGGATGACAGAGTGAGACTCTGTCTCAAAAAAACAAAACAAAACAACTCCTGCTACCTGAAACTCTTTCTTATTCTATCTTCTGCTCAGTGCCACTAGTCTGGAATATTTTGTAGCTTGACTCCTCTTTGTAGTTTGTTTTATGGAAACAATAGGTATACTGAAATGTGTTCCAAGATACTGACATGCCCGCTGGGGACTAGGAGGAGAATCCTAGTGTGACTCATGAAATCCTCTGGACCTTCCCTGTAGGTGTTTGGCGATGGTAGCATCCAGATGCCAGCCCAGCCCTTTGAATGCAGCCTGTGATCTTTCCACATTAATAGTAAAACAAACAAACAATACAAAGAAATTAACAGCAACAAGTTAGTTTTACAAATATAACAAATAGAATCTAAATTTTCAAAGTGCAATTTAATATGCAGGGTGGATGAAAATTAAGATTTGAGAGCAGCAAGTCAAAATACATTTCTTGTGAGCCAGGTTGACAACATATTTTTTTTTGTATGAAAGTGAAGTGGGTGACAAGTTTACTAAGTTGTCAAATGAGAGACAGATTTGAAAATACTTTGTAAACCAAAGAGCCATGCAAGTGTTGGTTATTTAGATCAGAGATATTTAAGCTGGGGTTCATAGATCCTTGAGAAAGTCATGGATGAGTAATTCACCACCAAGAACCACCTATATTTGCAAGCAAAACTTCGCGCATATTCACATATCTAGTTTTCTTTAGTGAGAGAACACATAGTTCTCGTCGGATTCTCAAAAGTGTGTGTGGCTCAAAAATGATTAAAACCACTACTCTAGTCTGAACCTTTATGTCATTTGCTAGTGAGAACAAAGCAATGATTTCAGAATCCAAAGTGCCGCCTAAACTCTCTGCAATTTTCTTTCCATGTCATAGGAACCCAGGGAAGAAGTAAAAGAAAATTTTCCAGGGGAAGGAAGATTGAGTAAAGATCCTGTTTTCCCAGTGGCCATAGGCCTTGGAATTCACCCTAGTGTTCACATACTTAGCTGGAGAGAGAGAGAGAGAGAGAGAGAGAGGAGAGGGAGATTTTTTTCCTTTTCATGAAGGCATTGCTGCTTAAGCAGATGGCAGAGACACCATCCCTTTCAAAGTGATGAAGTGAGATTGCTCAGACAAATGCTTTTCAAAATCTTGAACCTGTGAGGTTTTGCTCTGAGTTCAGGAAATAACAGGATATAAATCTCCCTGAATCATCTCAGCTCACGCAAATTCAATGCTGGGCCATAGTGGCTCTGGCAACATCTTGTTCTTTCTGTGTAATGACTTTTGATGCTGTGGATTTAGACAGATTAGGCCATTTAGGGGAAGGAGGGCAATATTAATATACAAAATTGTTAAATGTCAAATGAAATCCCTTAATAATGTGTGTGTTTAAGGTGAGTATACAGGCACTTTGAAAACACTTCTAGCACCAGCTCAAACATTTCAGAAATCCATTTTGCAAGTTCAAACAAATAATCCTCCACCAATTATGCCATACCTGTGTGAGTCCGATGGGTAATTCTGCACAGTCTCAGTTGGGAGTGAAGGCACATTCTCTTATTATTGTCAGTATCATTGGCACACCTAATTCTTCATCCAACGGGCTGAATGCTTAAATTCCACAGATAAGTGTACAGCTTCCAACCAAGAGTAGGTTTTAATATTTCCCACAAATTAATTACCTAAGTAGTTATTTTTACTTGTTTTAAAGGCCAATATGTGCTAGATCTGGGCAGTCTCTACCCTGAATATCCCTACCTTTTGGTCTTGACAAATAATGCCTGGGATTTGGAATAATTTTTGGAGGTTGGGGAAGATATTGAGAAGGGGTAAAAAAGTAGTTATGAGAATGTAATAATTTGTATTATATTATATTATATTATATTATATTATATCATATTTTCTAACACAAGTGCAGGCTAAAAACATGACCATTCTTTCATTTATTAATTAAAAAAAGTCATACCATCACAAAGCTGGAGACAGGAATGCATAAAATCATCTATGATTTAAGACTGAGCCTGGTAACTCCTTTAATAGATATTAATGAAGGTCTATGAGACACAGAGGGGTAAGATTCTGTGTCTTACGGGTTTGGGACAGTCAGAGGCTAGTCGTGGAAAGCATCTTCAAGGTAGTAATATTTGGACTGGGCTGTGGTAGAGATGTAAGGTTTAGAAATATCTTAATTCCCGTCCTGTAGTAGACGTTGGCTGAATCTAATGATCTCAATAGAAAAGCAACAGAACTACCTTAGAAGCCATTTAGAAAATAGAATAAAGAAGAAATATTACTCACATTTTCATACCACCAACTTTAGTTTGGTTGGCATTTGGCCGCTTTTCTTGTCAGCTTTTTCTCTGCTATTGCTTCTTCATAACTATTGTTTGTCACATCATGTGCTATCATATTAAGCAGACATTCTTGTGTTTTTTTTTAAGTGAATCATTAATTGGAAGCATTTTTCTTTTCTTACTGAGTCTCGCTCTGTCACCCAGGCTGGAGTGCAGTGGCACAATCTCTGCTCACTGCAACCTCAACCTCTGAGGTTCAAGTGATTCTCCTGCCTCAGCCTCCTGAGTAGCTGGGACTACATGCCAGCATCAAGCCCGACTAATTTTTGTATTTTTAGTAGAGATGGGGTTTCACCATGTTGGCCACGCTGGTCTCGAACTCCTGTCCTCAAGTGATCCACCCACCTCGGCCTCCCAAAGGGGTTACAGGCATGAGCCATCGCTCCTGGCCAGAAGCATTTCCATGTTGTCACAAGAACGTGCATATTTAAACGAGGAAGAGATGGGGAATCAGGATTCCTAGGGAAGGAGAAAGTGAAGGCAAAGTTCTCATTGTAGAAAGTGGCTGATTGGCAGGCAGTCCACTGTGGCTGTACCTTGGATTTTATGGAGGGTTGGGAATAGCCTGCTACGGAGCTGCAATTTTTTCATGTAGGTGATGGAGAGCCATAGGGGCTCTGAGCGAGATGGTGACATAATTAGAATTTCATCCTCTCTAGGGATGGCTTTGGAAGTTCTGAGATTCCATGGGGAACTTTGGGAATTCCAGAGTTTCTTGTGGAAATAAGTAAGCAATCCATTAATCAATAAATAGGACAAAAATCATTAACTAGCATCTGGATGCAAATGCCAATGTATTTTGTAAGTACTTCTTAGTGTCAGCTCCAATAGCACAGGACTGTTCATTGAAGACTTCATTTTAGGAGCATCAAACCTGTCATTTGATTTCAGTGATCTATCAGAGCCTAACCTCTGCCTCCCCTTGCCAAATCTGATCTCCTAGTTCATGGATGGCAAACAAGCTTTAACATACCTAACACTTTTAGTGGTAGGCTGCAAATGTCCTATGAACTGTGTTAAGAAGGACTCTGAGGGCATGTCCGGACTTAGCAGGCCACTGGTGTGGGAGTAAGAAGCCTCAGCCTGTATGCCATACACTGCTTTTTCCATCGTTATGCTCCCTCAGATGTTCAGTTTAGACGTCTTATATTTAAAATTCATATGGCCTAAATCTGTATAGTAGAGCCAAACCAAATGGAGTCCACAAAAGAAGCAGATAGAAGAAAACTCATACTAGTCAAGATCTCCATAAAGTACTTGATCCATCCATCTATTTATCCACCCATTATCCATCGATCCATCTATCCATTCACCCATTTATCTTTATTCTACATCTACAATGGGCCAGTCAATGTACCAAGCTCTGGGGATACAGAAATGATTCTTGTCTCCAGAATTCAGAATCTAGTAGGGGAGCCACTGAAGAGATGGTTAAGTATAAAATGGTGTTACAAGCTAGGCCAGAGGTTTGAACATAGTGCTATAGCACAGAGGCAGTACCTACAGAAGCAGACTACAGCAGGGGAGGGGATGAGGGCAGAGGTGGGGCTGTGGTTTACTTATTGAACTGAGAGCTCCATGTATTTTCTTCACATTGCATCCCCAGCACATAGCCTAGTGCCTGGCACATAGTAGGTGTTCAGCATATTTTTTTTGAATGAATGAGGTGTCCAAGGAGGGTACAAGACTCCCACAGGTCATCTAGTCCATCCACCTGCCTCTGGGCTGAGCCACACCTAAATCATCCCAAGTACTATTTTGGGTGCAGTTATTCTTAGCTGGCCTCTCTGACAGCTGGAAAGAATCAGAGAATCAACCTCTTCTCTGAGGCTTTAGTGCTACAGCCCACATTCAGGAGAAGCTCTGTTTGGTGGAAACAAGAGCTGGGAAGAGAAAGAGAGGCAAGTGGGTCCCAAGCCTGAAGCTTGGCTGGATGTAACTCAGAGGTGGGCCAGTCTCCTTTTCGTGGGCAATCAGAAGGTGAAGCTGAGACACTCTGATTCAGGAGAGGCTTGGAAGTTTGCAGTTGGGGTTCCTGAGGGACTGGGTTGTTGCTGGGTGCCTGGCTTGGCCCTGTCAAATGGGAGGAGGAATTTTCAAGGGCCGGAGTCCCCCCATGTGCAGCTTACATTAGGGCAGAGGTCTGCAATGTGCAGAGGACCTAGGAAGGGCTACTTCCAGATCCCCCTTCTTCCAGGTCAACTCAATCCCTATATTCCCTCCCCCCAACCCCACCAATATCATTGGTGAAATAGGAGTTTGAGGCTGCAGCTCCTTAAGGAGATCTTTTTTTTTTTCCAGGACCTGTTTTTTCCAGGGTATTTCGCAGTGGCTGGAGAGTGTCGGGGCCTAACACAGTCAGGCTGTACCAGGAGCCAGAGCCCAGGGTATTATAATCTCATGGGAAGATAGGAAGAAATGATTAGTGGGTGTTGAATGGCCCTGCTGTGAGCATTCTGAGCTGGACCGGTCCTGGGGCAAAATCAAGGGCAAGTTCTAATCTCATTTTCAGGTAGGGGAAGGGTAGAGAAGTGACTTTCTGGGGCAGTCTCTTGAAAAGCAGGCATAAACAGGGAACAATGGTACCATTCCTTTCTGACCTACTCAACCTGGTGCTTGATACGAAAGGGGTGTGTGCTTGTGTGTGTGTGTGCGTGTATGTGTGTGTGTCAGAGAGAGAGAGAAAAAGAGAGAGAGAGAGACTAAGTATAAACTTGTGAACCCTCTTAGGAGGCTAATGCTTGCTCCCAAATCCCCCCGGGATAGGGATGGATTTGCCCCTTGTTTTCTTATAAAAACCTATGTTTTCTAAATGCAATACAAAAAGTGGCTCAGAGGAGCCACCCCTGAGCTTCAGACCCCTTGATGACTGCACTGTCCCTATCCTTGCTTCTCTTGGCCCCACCCCCTGCCACCAAAGCTTCTTAACTAAAAATAAAAGTTACAGAACAAGATCAGAAAGACTTCTTCTGACCTGGGACAGTGGGAGATAAAGCAGTGACAGCTGGCTGAGCCCCAGCACCTAGGAGGATGGAAGTGAAGAGATAGCTGGCATTGGATTTGGCAGACATGATTGAACAGTGGCCTCCTACCTAGAATTGTGCTATGACCTGTAGACACCACAGAGAAGAATGTGATATCCTCTCTGCCTACAAGGAACTTCTACAACCCTGCTCACCTCATGCTTTTCTGCAGAAGGTCTTTAAAGACAAAGCCAGAGGCACCTGCTTTATTTAGGATGACAGTGAATATTAAGTGCTTCCTTTACTAGGAGCCTGACAATGTGTACACAGTAAAACCCTCCACGGTTGGCATTTCTGAGGTTCTAAGATATCCCTCACCAAACCTGCCCTCATCTGACCTACTCATAGGGGAGGCTTAAACATATTGGACTCATCCTCATTTCCTTACTCTTTAAATGGCATTGAACATATTCTGGCTTTGATACTTTCTCTGTGGCTGTGCAAAAATCACGCACCCTCTTTAAGTTCGATTTCCTCCTTGATATTAGGTTGGACCATATGAAATTGCTATATTCTGAGGTTAAAAACGACCAAATATCAGTAATTTCATATGGTCCAACTGAACAAAATGAAGGGGCTGTTTTGCTGTCTAAAATCCCTTCTGTGTCTGATGTTTGAGACTCTTGGCATAATACTCGATTCTTCCCTACTCTGCTTTCGACAAGGTGAGTTCACCACTGCTAGTCACTTACCTATCGATGCCCCTGGCTAAGGTGTACTCACTGTCATAACAGCTTTCAGGCAAGTCCCACTCCTGGATTAGGGGCTTATTCTGTTTTCTGGATCTAAAACAGCCTTATCACACTCCTATGCTGAAGAACTTATTTTTCAATGCCAGCTCCATGTTACCTGCCTTTAGGTGCTCTGGCTCTCTCAGCCAGAAATAATTTCCCCCTTTTTCATGCCCCAAGGCCCTTCTCATATTTTTAGTAACATTTTTTTCTTACTTTAAATGAAAACACAATCATTGTAGAATATTTGGAGATAGAAAAAACATAAAGAAGGAATAGGGATCATGTGTAATCCCCCATCACCCAGTGTCTACGTTTGATACATTTCCTCCCAGGCTCCCTTTTATGCCAAATTAAATGTATGTATGTTTGTTCTTCTAAACTGCCATAGGCCTTTAGAGTAGATTGCATTTCAGGTTCTAATTCCTCATTCCTTCCTGTAGCTATATTCTTTGTCACGTGACTTTGCAGTTCCTCCCACCAAAGAGGTGGGAATATATTTCCCTTCCCCTTAACTTTGGGTTTGGCCATGTGACTTGCCTTGTTTGTTTACTCTGCCAATGAATAACAACTTTACCATAATTTTTAGGTGAATTATAATGATCTATTCTTACTAGCTGACTCACAGATTGAAAATATTTAGAGGAGACGGAGTGGATCATCTCTCTTTTCTCTTAGAGTTATTGGCAAAGAGCAAATGTTCAGTAGGTATCAGATTAGTTGTTAGTATTAGATATCTATGCTGGTGTGGTTATTTACGCTGGTATAATAAATTACCCCCCTCCTTTAAATTCAGTGGTTAAAGGAACAAACACTTATTATTTCACAGTTTCTGTGGGGCAGGATTCTGGGTGTGGCTTAGCAGAGTCCTCTGGCCCAGGGTCTTGGGTGCTGGGGCTATCATCATCTCAAGCCTCAGGGGGAAGAATCTGCTTCCAATCTCACTCGGGAGGTTGTTGGCAGGGTTCAGTTCCTTTCAGGCTGTTGGACTGAGAGTCTCAGTTCCTCACTGTCTGGTGGCTGAGGCTGCCCTGCTTCATAAACATGGCAGCTGGCCTGCAATGAGAGCGAGCAAGCAAGAAGGCAAAGGAGGTGAACAAAGCAGAAGCCAGAATCTTTTGGTAACCTAATCTTGGAAGAGACATCCACACTCTATTCACTAGAAGAAAGTCACTAGATCCAACTCATGCTCAAGGGGAGGGAATTTTAAAAGGTCATAAATTTCAGGAGGCAAGACCTTTGGGAGACTTCTTAGAAGCTGCATACCATGCTCACAAAGATAGAGTCAGAGTTTGTATGACTTTGTGGAGCCCAGGCATTGGACTATGAAGAGTTGACACATGCAAAACAGTGAATATCACAACACAATGAATTAGACCACTTGTTCTCTGGGGGAATAAATCAGCTATGGTATCTGTTCTCATGAAGCTTACAATCAATAAAAGCAAAATTATGTACACACATGGAGTCTGTGTGTGTACATAATTTTGCATTTATGTGCATTTGGGGTATGGAGATCAGAATCAGGATCAGAGTAGCAGAAAGCTGAGCTGACAGACCACTGGGACACTGCCCTTACTTATATGATTTGGTTTTGTGTTAGAAAGACTTCATGCCCTGCCTTACCCAGCCTGGTCCATTCATCTCTGAGGGACAAGAGGTGTTAGTTGGAATATTCCAGAAAAGAAATGTGATGTATCAAGGAGTGTAAATGAATGTTATTAGAAAAGATACTGACTGTGCCTGTGTCCTTGAGGGTGGAGCAGATATTGGGGCTCAGATGTTCAGGGTTAAGTTTAAGTAGAAAATGCTGTGGAATGCCCCCAGGTAAATGCTCAGCCTCTTTAGCATGCTAGTACAGTGGAGAGAGTTTTGGGTCAACTTATACAGATCAAGATTTGGAACCTGGCTGGGCCCCTTCCTAGCTAGAAAAGAGGTGACCTTGCACAAGATGTTTTGCCTCTCAGAGTCATGGGTTCCCCATCTGAATTACAGGATAATCATAATACTTAACTCACAGAGCTAATGAGGGATAGTTTTCTTGTTTAAACCACTACTTTGTTCAAAGGGAATTCAAGGCAGTGTTTGAAGCATAAAAAGACATAAATGAACAAAAAAAAGGGCCTAGCATTTCATCCATCCCCTGACCCATCTATCGACCCATCCATCCATTAACCCATTGATGTACACGACTGTTCATCATCCTTTCATCCGTTCACCTACTGACTCTCCATCAATTCATCCATCCATCCATCCATCCATCCATCTACTCATCCATCCACATGTCCATCCATCTACATGTACACCTATGCATCCACCAGCTATCAGTCCATCTGTTCCCCCATCCATAATATTTATTGAGCACCTATAGTATATCAGGCATTGCACGGGCTGCCTTGGTTGCCTTAGACTCCGGGGGAATAAGTCAGCTATGGTCTCTGTCCTCATGAAGCTTACAATCAATTAAAAGCAAAATGAATGTTTTTCCTTTCTTCTGTCCCCCCTTTCCTTCCTCCCATCTGCCCTCCATCCTGTTTCCTCCCCCTCTCTCCTTTCCTTTTTCACCTCTGGTTTTGGGAAAGAATTGATCCCACACCAAGGTTGGGGGAAAAGCCAAAGTTGTGGGAGGCCTAGCTTCGCATAGAGAGAGATTTGCTGTGGTGGAGAGTGCAGTGGCCAGTAGCCGGAGTAAGACCTCGTGATGAAAATTAAGTCCTTGTTTGAACCACTGCGAGAAGCCAGCAGGGGTCCCTAAGATCTAGCTCCAGGCCTCTCTATGTATTGCCTCTCTGGGATTGGCCTGACCCATGGGTGGGGCAGGTAAATGCCTTATCTCTTCTGTCCCCAGCACCCCTCCTCATCTACTCTTTGATGCCTAAAGGGCCAACAAGTGAAGTGTATTTCTTGAGCTTAAAGCTTTGATCTCTGTGAAAATGAAAATCCCTGTGGGAGGGTCACAGTTTAAACTGGTACTGATTATTCACACTTGGTTGTGAATGAATATCACTTTTTGTTCCCCAATGGAATTAAATCAACAGGTATTTACAAGCCTGCTTGAGATCAGATTAGGTAGGCAATGGCATATTTGGAGAGAGCCCTAGATGGGGACACAGGTATGTTGGGGATGGTCCCTGCCAGACCACCTATGAGCTCCTAAGCCTTGTGCAGTCCCTCTGGGCTTCTGGGACTGGATGATCTGCAAGGTGGCTCCTAGGCTCTGAAGTGGATATGGAGGGAGTCACCGAGGGCCTGCTTCACGGGCATCCTCCTGAGCAGCTACACAGGGCTCTGTGCTTGGTTAATGTTCTCCTGTCACCATCCTGAATAGAATAGTTTTTGAACATGAGGCCCCACATTTTCATTTGGCATTATGCCAGGAAATGATGTAGCCAGTCTTGGTGGCAGCGGTGGTGGTGGTGACTCGGGAAAGGGGTCTCAAAGACAAATACTGCTCACTTTAGCCGCTTGCCCTCAGTGGCTGCTGCTCCCCATCCTCCACAGTCCAGCCTAGGACTCACCTCCTTGGGAAAGCCATTTCCAGATAAACTCACCTGCCGGGAATGCTCAATTCCTCCCTGGCAAGTAGATAGATAACAGGCTTGGCTTGGTGAATCTTTTGCTTGTTTGTGATGCTCAGGGGAAATATTGGGTGGTTTTAAGTGCGTGCCCCCATTTCCCTGCTAGCGGCTCTTGGGGTGCTCCCCACCTTCTCTGGATGCCCTGCTGCACGGTAGAAAAAAATTCTTTGGAATCACATAGTCCTGGGTTTGAGTTCAGACTTCACTTTTTACAAGCTGTGTGATGAAGGGAAGATGGCACCCCCTTGGAAGCTGCCACCTGCCCTCCTGGATTACTGTGAGGATGGAGAGATGTGTATGTATAGCACTCAGCACATAGTAGGCGCTAAATAAATAAAGGGGTCTTAAACTCTCAGAGTCTCACTTACTTGCCTATAAAGTGGAGAAATCACTCCTACCTCTAGGCCGAAGGCTCAAGGCCATTTAAAATCATTATCAACTAAAAATACCCAGATCCTAGTGCAGTCTCCCCCTGCCCCCACCCCACCCTCTGGCAGGCAGAGAGCTGCGCCCAGCGGGAGTCCCGACAGCAGAGCGCTGCATCTCTAGGGTGATCGTGCCTTGCGAGTTTCTAGAGGCTGTTGAGCCCTTTGAGGTTTGAGTTACATTTTCACTTGGCAGAGTCTAGTTCTCTGATTCAAAGAGAAAAGCTGTCAGAGAGAGGGATAGGAAGAGAAGGGGGGTGTGTGTAAAAAAATAAAAAAGGCTCCCACAGCTTCTCGGACTTGGAATGGCTCTGTGGAGACCAGGCGGGATGCATGCAAATCAGAAACACATGCATGAGGCTTTCCTCCCAGCACATGCGGGCTCCGGAATGAAGGCGCCAAGCCCTTGACATGCTGGCTCAAGACTGGCCAGGCTTGGGCTGGATTGGGATGTGGAGTTGGAGCCTGCACCTGTGTCCTCTTGTCCTGTCCTGGTGAAAGGGGAGAAGATGGGAGCAGTGGCTGGTTCTATGCTCGACTCTTGGACTCTGAAAGGTCCTGAGGCCTTGAGACCTCCTAGATCAAGAGGCCAGGGAAAGCTTTGGGGGTAATATCTGGCAGCACAGGGCAGTGGAAAGAGCATGGGCTTTTAAGTCAGAAAAACATGAGTTAGCATCTTGGCCATGTCCCTTATTAGCTGTGTGACTTTGGGTAAGTTACTTAAGCTCTCTGTGCCAGAATCTTCTCAGCCAAAACTTGAGGACAATGATCACTGTCCCAACAGGCTTTGTGAGAATAAAACCAAAGTTTGCATTTTGTTTATTTATTTAATGGAAGATTGATTTGATCCCTTATACTTCTTTTCTTTCCAGACAGGAGACAAGACAGCTCTTTTAAAAAATGTAGTGTATTAAAGAAACCATGGCAAAAAGAAAAGAAGGGCTGAACAGAAATATGAAGCGAAGGCAGGGTTAGTACACAGGCATGCACAACTTGGAATCTTGCACAATTATTAAAGTTGTTTAGTAAATTTGTTTCTGAGCTTTTAGTTGGCCAGAATAAAGCAGAAGACATCATTGAGAAGATTCATGTTGTCTATTAAAAAAATGGCTTTGGCTGGGTGCAGTGGCTCATGCCTGTAATCCCAGCACTTTGGGAGGCTGAGGTGGGTGGATCATCTGAGGTCAGGAGCTCAAGACCAGCCTGGCCAACATGGTGAAACCCCATCTCTACTAAATATACAAAAATTAGCTGGGCATGGTGGTGCACGCCTGCAGTTTCAGCTACTTGGGAGGCTGAGGCAAGGAGAATCGCTTGCATCTGGGAGGTGGAGGTTGCAGTGAGCCGAGATCATGCCACTATGCTCTAGCCTGGGTGAAAGAGAGATACTCTGTCTCAAAAAATATAAAATAAAATAATAAAATAAAATAAAATAAAATAAAATAAAATAAAATAAAGTAAATGGTTTCTCTGGAGAGCAACTTTCCTTGACATTGAAGTCGCTCGCAGTCTTTTTTCCCAGGGGTCCTCTCTTCCGGGTCATAGACTGGGAATAAGTGGAGAGCAGTTCCTTGTTGCGCTGGACTGTGCTTCTTATACTGACTCCCAGTGGAAGGCATTGGGAGGATTGCAATGCATGTGCCTGTCTTGGGACCCGGTACATAGCGGGTGCTCTCTCTAATGGGCTGCTTATGGTGTTGGGGCGATTGTCTCCTTGCAGGAGAAGGGCTGGAATCTAATACAGCTTTTATCCCACAGCTTTCCTCTGTGGCTTGATTTCACCTTCTGCCAAGCCAACCCGCTCCTCTCTCTCTGCTTTTCTGAAGCTTCTATCAGGGGTGCCTCTTGGTGGCTCTGAGATGGAGATGATGCAGACAGATTGGGCTGTTCTCAGGAAGCCCAAATCCTCCTCCTGGAACTCTGCATAGTTGGCTCAGTGACATTTCATCTCTCTGGGTTCTGTCCCAGGGAGAAAACATGTGGGCATTCTCTAATAACTTGAGCATAGCTCCCTCCTGCCTTCCTTTGTTTTTCCTTCCTGGGCAAATGAAAGGCAGAATGAATGAAAGTTTCTATTCTGATGGGAAAACTCACTCTGGCCTTGTAATGAGCTAGAATAATTGATTTGTCGATGAAAACCAAGTCTGTGGAATTGATGCTTAGTGTCAAAACAGTCCAGATCACTTTGGTACCAATTCAGCGTCGCTGGAGGGAAGCTGTTAGCCAGGAGCCCAGTGAGAAAGGAGTAGGCTGAGTTGAAACATGAAAAGATTTGATTGTACTAAAGCTCCCCAGCACAGAATTGCCCTGTTGGGATCTGATTTCAGCGCTCCAGATCGAAGGTCCCGGCTAATATTTTCTTTCTTTCCTTTCTCATGAGGGTAGAAATAACTTGGCAATTGCCCCATTGCAGCTACTGTTTGAACGTGGATATTAATTTAATCTGGAGTTCTGTTACTCTTTAAATATTTAGGGGTTTGGCTGAAGCCTTTATGCTTTTACAATGCAATAGACAGTAAAAATGGAATTGGAATGTTTCTACTCATTTCAGAAAGGACAGGGATTCTTGGCCCCGTTTCCCACACACCCTACCCCGCCCCATTTTCATTCCTTCATCTTCTGACTGCAGCTCCTGATGAGAATGAAAAGTTATTTCAACATACAAGGACAGAGGCCATGGGGTGGAGGAGAAAGAGAATATACTTTAGAATCAGACAGATCCACAAGGGAATGTTCAAATCCTGGCTCTTTCACCATGAGCTGTGCAAATTTGGGTGAGTGTTTAAGAACTCTGTCCCCTCTTCTATGGACACCTACTCCATAGAACTGATACAAATATTCAATGAGATATAATGTATATTTAAAGCAACCACCAGAATACTGTTATTATTTTATGAAAATGCCATTGACTTAAAACCATATATCCCCAAAGTGTTCCTGCAAAATTCTGAAAGGGTATATTTCTTATAGGATGAAGCTAGTTACTTCTTGGGTGACCTGGTGTTCTTTTAGTTTCCTGAGTTTGTTGAAGGAGTTGGGCTCTGTGCTGTTGTTATCTAGAGAAAGGCACAGAAAAGAAGGGTGCTAGATAGAGCCCTTCTATGCTTCAAGTGCCACCATCTAATTCTCTTGTTTCCCCCTTCCAACAACTGTGGAGTATATTTTTATTTGAAAGATGAGGAAACAAACTCATATATCTGGAGTCACTTGTCCCAGTCACACAGTGACTCAGAGATCACAGTGTGATTGCCTCCACAGTTCAAGTTCTTTTGGCTTGACTAAGATGCTGCTCACAGTTTCTGATGGTGATGGGAGATAAGGGGGGTCTTCCCCGTCTCCACTAGAGACCTGCACCTGGGACTCTCATTGTTTTGTTGTTGGCTTATTTTCCAGATATCTATCTATTGATCTATCTATGTATCTATCTATCTATCTATCTATCTATCTATCTATCTATCTATCTATCATCTGTCTATCAAGATAGGTTCTTGTTCTGTGGCCCAGGCTAGAGTGCAGTGGCCCCATCAAGGCTCACTGCAGCCTCAACTTTCTGGGCTCAAGAGATCCTTCTACTGGCTGGGCGCGGTGGCTCACACCTGTAATTCCAGTACTTTGGGAGGCCAAGGCGGGTGGGTCACCTGAGATCAAGAGTTCGAGACCAGCCTGGCCAACATGGTGAAACCTCGTCTCTCCCAAGAAATACAAAAGTTAGCCAGGCGTGGTGGCAGATGACCCCTATAATCCCAGCTACTCGGGAGGCTGAGGCAAGAGAATCGCTTGAATCCAAGAGGCAGAGGTTGCAGTGAGCCGAGATCATGCCATTGCACTCCAGCCTGGGCAACAGAGCAAAAACTCCGTCTTAAAAAAAAAAAAAAAGAAAAGAAAAAAGAAAAGAAAAGGGAGAGAGATCCTCCTACCTCAGCTTCCTGAGTAGTTGGGGCCATAGGGCCATCACACTCAGTTTTTTTTTTTGTTTGTTTGTTTGTTTGTTTGTTTTTTTTTTTTTTAGAGACAAGGGCTTGCTATGTTGCCCAGGCTGGTGTTGAACTCCTGGCCTCAAGCGATCCTCCCACCTTGGCCTCGCACTGTACTGGGAATACAGGCTTGAACCACCTTGCCCATCCCCAGATATTTATTAAGTGTCTATTCTGTGCCACATGTTGTGGGAAGTAAAAAGGAGCAAGACATAGTCCCTGGCCTCAAGGAACTAACAGTTTATTTAGAGAGACAGAGAGACACATAAGTAATTTTTTAAAAAGAGAAAGGAGGAAGAAAAGTTTTGGAAGGAGTGTTGGGTGCTTCACTGCGTCCCGTGTTTGTACTGGCACTGCTGAGCATGTGGATAGGAGTGTGCACAGAGTAGGTCTGCAATAAATGTCCTCTAAGTGAATACAGTCTTTCTCCCCCATCATCAGCCCCCAAATGCCAGAAATCCCATATCTGGTTTCCTTAGACTTAAGACCTGGAGTCTTCAGTGCACAGTCAGCTTGAGACTGACAACCCAGGAACCTTGCTGCATAATGAAAGAAAGCCATAGCTATGCAAACCAGACGAAGTGGATTCAGCCCAGGTAATAATAAGAACAACAAGGGCTGGTAGCTATTGAGACTGACTCAGAGCCAAGTTGTGTCTGCACGTTCATTTACTCTTCATGACTTCTGATGTGGAGGATACTTGCTATGGATGGAATCTTTATGTCTCCTCCAAAAATTCATGTAGAAAATGAATCCCCAATGTTATGGTATGAGAAGATGGGGCCTTGGGCAGGTGATTAGGCCGTGATATTGGAGCCCTCGTGAATGGTATTAGTGCCCTTGTAAAAGAGACCCCAGAGAGTTCCCTTGTCCCTTCCACCATGTGTAGACACAGCAAGAAGGTGGTTGTGTAGAAACCAGGAAGTGGGCCCAAATTAGATCCTGGATCTGTAAATGTCTACTGTGTTTAAGCCACCCAGTTGATGGTATTCTCTTATAACAGTCTGCACAATCCAAGATAGTAATCCCAAAGCCCAAGCTACAGATGGGGAAACAGACATGATGAGGTTGCCAGGCTACATCTCCGGGTATACAGAGAGGGTGGGGAAGAAGCCCCTTAGGCCAGGCCCAGGGAGAAACTGATGACATTTGGACACCTGGACATGAGGTGCCTGGGTTGGAGGGTGCCCTGAACAGCTTCAGGAAGGGAGGGTCGGAGCAGGCAGCTGTCCAGCATTCCTGAACTGGGCTGAGTACACACCTTCTCCATCAGCCACACCCAAGTCATCTCCACCTTCTGGCATACATGGAACAAGGGTCTCGGAGTCTGTGGCTCTTGAGACAAAACTGGCTTCGAGGAGTCCTCACTGGCTGAACCTGCTTTCTTGGGCCCAAGGAGCCTCCTGAGAATTTCTGGCAAGTTAATGGCCTCAGAGTGGGTACGGCTATTTATTTTGCTGAGAAGAGATGTCTTCATCTTCACTTTCTCTATTTCCTCTTCTGGCAATTCTTTCACTCACCCACCCCTCTCTTTTTCTTTTGACTCCTCCTCTTACTTTTCTACCCCCTTTTTCTTCTCTTCCTCCCTCACACACTTCCTCTTCTGCATTCTCTTTTCCTTTTTCCTCCTTCTCATTTCCAAACAGTTGTCTTTTATACACTCACATTTGTAGGCATACGTATAAGATGTAAGATTTTTGAAACAGATATTACATATGTGTATATGTATTATATACATATTTAAATATACAAATATATATTACAGATGTGTATATGTGTGCATACACACATATATGCATATATATGTACATATACATATAATCAGTGTAATTATACATCCAGACATGTTTTTCTGCTAAGAATATCGAAAATCCAGAAGCCAGTCTGACCAGAGCCCCATTAGGAGTCTCAAGGGGAGGCAGAAGAATGGTGGAGAAAGCAAGGACTTTTAGTGTTAGAGGCCACTTGGGCTAGAAGTTTCCGATACTAAGTTGCTACATGATGCTGGGAAAATGACCGTATCTCTGTTTTCTCTTCACATGGAAAACAAAAGCTACATACGACATAAAGTTGGAGTGATGCTCCAATTAGAGAATAGTATTACAAAAACTATGAATGTGTCATCCTTTTAATTATGTGTTGTTTCATTCTCTCCCTCATTTGAAACAACTGCAGAACAATTGTGTGTATGTGGGGAGGGGGCAGGGAGGAAAGAGGAAAGAAAAGGGAGGAAAGACTTATTTTCACAAAAAAGTAGAGTAGTTTTTACATAATTCCTATTGGATTACTTATCCCCACTGTCTAAAGAAAGATTTCTTAATTTTCTTTTCACTGATGTTCAATACCACATTTGTCTAACTTTTAGTAATTTGTATAATTGAAATGAAACCTATTTTTCTTTTTGCTAGGTATAACCTTATTTTGCAACACCCAGTATGCTTTTCTGTTTGTTTGTTTGTTTTTTGAGACAGAGTTTCACTCTTTCACCCAGGCTGGAGTGCAGTGGCGTGATTTGGCTCACTGCAATCTCCTCCTCCCTGGTTCAAGTGATTATTCTGCCTCAGCCCCCCGAGCAGCTGGGATTACCGACATGCACCAGTACGCCCAAGTAATTTTTGTATTTTGTAGATGGGGTTTCACCATGTTGGCCAGGCTGGTCTTGAACTCCTGACCTCAGGTGATCTGCCCGCCTCAGCCTCCCAAAGTGCTGGGATTATAGGCATGAGCCACTGTGCCCAGCCTACACCCAGTGTACTTTATCAAACTTTCCTTTCTGGAACTGTGGATCTGCCCCAGTCTTGGGGGAATAGAGTATTGATCTCGAATCGTTTTGTGAACTTGGCTTGGTTACTCACCTTTTCTGAGCCTCAGTTTCCCCTTCTGTGAGATGGGGGATGAGATGATTCCTCAGCACCTAGCAGGCCTGTTGTGAGGAATTGAAGTCCCTGCAGTTAATGATGCTTCATTGCAGAGGCGTTTCCTGCCACAATACTCAGGTCAGACCAGCAGAGGCAAGGCAGGGGTCCCTCAGTAACAACAGTTTCTCTTTGGGGACTGTCTCCTGGACATTCAATGTGATGTTTTTTCTCCCTCTCAGGAATCTGGCCAAACTCCAGGGCCACCTATCATGAGCAGCCTTGTTTGCTGGCAATTTGCAGAGTTGCAAGGGGTAAAGGACTGGCTTTGACTATTCAGTCTTTCAGGTGAGTGTGGGGAGCTGCCTTAGACCGGAGGTGTGGACTTTTCCTTCCCTTTTAGGAAGAAGGCATTCCCGTATGTGATTCAGTGGAAGCGTGTGTGCATGTGTGTGTGTGGTGATGGCAGTGGGGCAGGGGGGAGTGTAACAATTTTTTGAGTGACTGCTTAGTGCCTACACTGTCTTGCAAGGTGTCCTCTTATTTAATATCTCTTATTTAATCATGCTGCTTCTGGCCAGGCGCAAGCGGCTCACACCTGTAATCCCAGCACTTTGGGAGGCCAAGGCAGGCAGATCACATGAGGTCAGGAGTTTGAGACCAGCCTGGCCAACACGGTGAAACATCATCTCTACTAAAAATACAAAAATTACCCGGGTGTGGTGGTGGGCACCTGTAATCCCAGCTACTCGGGAGGCTGAGGCGATTCAAGGAGAATTGCTTGAACCCAAGAGGCAGAGGTTGCAGTGAGCCGAGATCATGCCACTGCACTCCAGCCTGGGCGACAGAGAGAGACTCCATCTAAAAAAAAAAAAAAAAAGATTGTCTCCTGGAGGCCTGATTATCCCCATTTTACAGAGGAGGCCCCAGAGGCTCAGAGATGGTATGTAATTGTTCCCAGTCATGTACCTAGGTCTGTAGCCTCAGAAGCCCAGGTGGGAATATAGGAGGGAGGGAGGAATGTTTCCAGAGGACAACAGGGCAAGGGCCTAAGCTATTTCCTCTCTGCTATTTCCTCTGCCCATTTTCTTGAGCAGAATGAATTTGAGGAGGGGATGACAATAGCAGCTGATCTCTGATTGTGCCCAACAAGTGTCTTGGAATTTTGGATCCTGCTATAGAGGAAGCCAGCAGTTCAGAATGGGCTCTGCTCTGCCCGAGCTGTGGACGGCCATCCTTCCTAAGAACCACAGGTTTTAATAGATGAGCCCCTGCTTGTCTTCTTTGATGTTCACAGGCCTTGAGTCCTTGTCAGCATAATGGCCCATAAAGCCAGAAAATGCAAGAGAAGGGAGCAAAAAAGAGTATAGACTTTATTATTATTATTTTTTTGAGACAGGGTCTCGCTCTTGCTGCCCAGGCTGGAGTTCAGTGGCGTGATCTCGGCTCACTGCAACCTCTGCCTCCTTGGTTCAAGCAATTCTCCTGCCTCAGCCTCCCCAGTAGCTGGGATTACAGGCGCCCACCACCACACCCAGCTATTTTTTGTATTTTTAGTACAGACAGGTTTTCACCGTGTTGGCCAGGCTGGTCTGGAACTCCTGACCTCAGGTGATCTGCCTGCCTCGGCCTCCCAAAGTGCTGGAATTACAGGTGTGAGCCACTGCACCCGGTCAAGAGTGTAGACTTTAGAGTCCAACCAATCCATGCTCAAGTCTTATTCTGCCACCTTCCAACTATATGGCTTCAGACCAACCCTGGCTCATCTTTAAGCCTCAGTTTTCTCCTCTGTAAAATGGAGATGAATCTCATTTACTGTAGGAGTGAACCAAGATGAGGAATGAGGAAGTGCCCTGCATGCAGCCTGGCACATGGTAGGGATCCAGGAGATGCTGGATTGTTTTCTTCCCGGTAGAGAAGATGTGTAGTCGGGAAACCCTTGGCAAAGGACAGTCTCAGTCTTCCCTGACCCCAGCTGCTCAGACCCAGGAGATGCTGGACTGTTTTATTCCTGGGAGAGAAATGTGCGGTCAGGAGACACCTTATCAAAGGACAGTCTCACCCTTCCCTGCCCCCAGCTGCTCAGAGTTAAAAGCAAGAGACATGCACCTCACAAGCACTAAACATCACATGGAGAGAAAAAAAACAAGTAAGAAAGGGAGAAGGCAAGACAGATGGATGAGTCCGGATCTGCAGAGCTTTGGTCATCACCAGAGTGATGCTCAGAGCTAGCTGCCCCCAGTGGCTGCTCTGCAACAGAACACACCCAGAGGCATAGAGGATGTTTCTTATCGCTCCAAGCTCTGCACTGGGCCTGAAGGGGGCTGGGATCCAGTTTTGATGAAGGGACACGAGGCCCTTGCCTTGCTGGCTGCAGAGGCAGGAAGAGCCCACCGGGGTGGGGCTCCCCATGAGGCTGTCTGGAATTGAGGAACACAGCCCACTGCGGATTCCAAGAGCCAAAGAAACGAAACTCTCCAAGCTTACAACTGTGGAGAAACACTTCTTCAGTCTGTTTTAAATCAAAATCCCCACGCTGACACTTGGACTCCATTCAACCATTAAAAAGTTCCACTAGCAAATAAACACTTAGCCAAATATTTGCTCCTATGTGTTTTCAATAGTAAATGCCAGCTATATTGCTCATCTCTGTATATCACCCTGGTGGCCCACCCCTGGTTGTCTGGAGCTAAGTGGCTTCTTTAAAGACAGGTGGAAACTCCTTCCAAACTTCCCACCATGGCAGCCAAGAGGGGTGGACTCAGACCCTGGTGGAAAAGAAAAAGTTCCCTCCCACCCTAAAGGGCAGACCAACTTAGGATCGTTCCGTGAGATTTGTACTTACATGTAGCACAGACCCCACAGCCCCCGGGCCCCAGAAACGTATTTCTGCTTTCCCCTCCTCTCGTGGGTCGTGCTCCTACCTTCCCCAGTGCTCAGTCACCAGCCCTATAATTGCCAGCACACCTCTGAGAGGTGGGTCAGGTTTTATAGCTGCTTCCCACCCCATCTTCTGGCCCCCGAGGACTTTAGGGGAAGGTTTAGAAACTGGGAAGGCAGAATGGAGATGAGAGTGAGAAGGCAAAGAAGGGCTTCAGCTTTCACAGGTACAAGGGTGTTTGGGACCTTAAGTTACACAAAACACAAACACACACACACACACACACACACACACACACACACACACACTACCATGCATCATGCCACACAGCAACCACAGAATTGGCTAGCGTTCCTTGGTTGTAAGCAGCAGATACTGATGGGTTAACTTAAATGAAAAAGAGAATTTATTGGAGACATTAAAGGGAGCTTATAAGAGAAGAGGTGACAAACTTAGGTTTGGAAAAGACAAGGCCAGACAGGAGCTTCAGAGGGTGTCAGCAGCAGGAACTCCTCAGCAGCCTCATCCAGGTGCTGCCACTGGAGAAAATGTTCTTAGTCCCGGACACTGCTCATGAATCAAGTTCTAGTAAGGGAATTTTCTGTTGACCTTGATCGGGTTCTATCCTTGATCGGGTTCCCTCCCTGTCGACCATTGAGGTCAGGATGCCTTGATAAATAGTCCTTCAGGGATTGGTTGCCTTTTTTCTCAACTGTTTTTGTATTCTGACATGCAAAGGATACTACGCTTATAAGACATGATGGAGTGAAAGGATAAGTTGTTCTTCCTTATCGTAAGGCTACTTCTGGTCATAAGTGACTGCTAAACACTGCCTCCCCAACCAGGACAGAGGGGATCAGTGTCTCACTCACCTGAACCTTTTATGGAAATCACTGGGAGATTCAACTGTTTCCAAGAAGGGGAGGTAATCACCAAAATATTATCAAGATGCCACCAAAGATGGCAAATGGAATGGTTCCTGAAGACTCACTCCCCTCCCTAACATGCACTAAAGCCTCCAGCATCATCAATAAAGCAATGGGAGGTTCTCTTCTGCCTCTACCTCTGCCTCCCACTCCTCCCCATCTCATTCCAGCCACAGTATATTGAATTTTCCCACCTAATTCGTTTCTCAGTACAGGGATAGCAAACACATACACTTTTTTTTTTGAGACAGAGTCTTACTCTGTCACCCAGGCTGGAGTGCAGTGGCACGATCTTGGCTCACTGCAGCCTCCACCTCCAGGGTTCAAGCGTTTCTTCTGCCTCAGCCTCCCAAGTAGCTGAGACTACAGGTGCACGCCACCATGCCTGGCTAATTTTTGTATTCATGGTAGAGATGGGGTTTTACCATGTTGGCTAGGCTATTCTTGAACTCCTGACCTCGTGATCTGCCCACTTCGGCCTCCCAGAGTGCTGGGATTACAAGCGTGAGCCACCGCGCCAGGCCTAACAAATGCATTTATATCTCTGCTCGCACATCACAATCTCTCCTTCAAAAGACTGTGGGCACTTGAGGGCCCAGGCTCCTTGGTATTTCACTGGCACCTAGACAAGTGCTCTGTACACAAGTCAGCCTTCAAAACAGACCCCAAGCTTAGACAAAATTTATACTCCAGATACATCAAATGCTTACATAGCTCCCAACATGCTCTGCTGTTTACAGGTCTCCTTGGAGGGCTTTCTTCAGTATTCACGATGTCTCTTGAAAGGGACTTTTGATGTACATTTATGGAATGAATGGAGAGAGTGGTAGAGTGGATTCCCCCCGAATAGTAATGAGACCAAAGCATCAGATCATACAAAGATGTTCATGATAGTCTTGTCTTTTTTTTTTTTTTTTTTTTTTTCTGGAATCTCTTAGGAAAACTTGATCCAGTCGGCTATATTCTTGGACTGGCAAAACTGTAATGTTGAGTGCTTCTACCAACTGATAATCTATGGGAAATCAAGACAGAGCTGCTCTGGGATGACTATGCACATTGAAGGAGGAGTGGAATTTCATTTACAAGACATTTTGATGAAGTCTCAGTAGGGAAGAAAACTAACTTCTGGAGAGAGCTTACCTGTGCTAGATAATTGTACTTGCATTATTTCACTGAATCTTTTTGGCAAAGCTTTGAGGTAGGCATTATAGCTCCCTTTGCACAGATAGAAATACCAAGGAGAGATGTAGACATATGCCTAAATTTATTTTTAAATAACTGGTGTGAGGCAGAGCTGGGAGTCAAACTCAGGTGTTCTCCCTCTGACCCAGAGCACTTTCTTTCTTTTCTTTTTCTTTCTTTTTTTTTTTTTTTTTTGAGACGGAGTCTCACACTATTGCACAGGCTAGAGTGCAGTGGCGCGATCTCGGCTCACTGCAACCTCTGCCTCCCAGGTTCAAGCAATTCTGCCTCAGCCTCCCATGTAGCTGGGATTACAGGTGCGTGCCACCATGCCTGGCTAATTTTTTTGGTGTGTGTATTTTTAGTAAAGACAGGGTTTCACCATGCTGGCCAGGCTGGTCTCAAACTCCTGACCTCAGGTGATCTTCCTGCCTCGGCCTCCCAAAGTGCTGGGATTACAGGCGTGAGCCACCGCATCTGGCCCAGAGCACTTTCTGCTCCACCTCTGCACCTCTTTGCCTGCTCTATCATTAATATCACTGGTTTTCTTTTGGGCTAGTTTTTAGTTCTGGCTTATGCTGAAACTAACGGACATGCCACCTGATGTGGACAGAGGTAGCTTAGAGGATGTGGTCATGTTTTGGGAATCCAGTATTGAGACTGAGATCCAGCATTAACTGTGGCTGAGATCTGTCTCGAACACATGCACACATGTACACCCATGTGCATTTAAGTAGAAACAATTGAGGGCTGATAAGCCAATCAAACGGTTGATCTCTTCCAGTCACTGGAAAGGCAGCAGAGAGGGCGTGGAGACAGACACATCTGGATGAGAAACTCCAGCTCCACCCACTTAACAGCTGTGTGATCTTGGATGTGCCATTTACTCTCTTGCCTCAGTTCGTTCATCTGTGAAATGGAGCAAACATCACATCCTTGGTGGTTGTGAAGATTAACCATGATCATGTGTATGTGGCATGTACTGTTACCTACCTGTTATCCCTTAAGTCACGGGTGAAGGTTTGAAAACAATTGTGAAAGAGGGTAGTGTCAGCTGATGTATACATGTCTCTGTTTATCTTTCATTTTTCTTACTGTTCAAGTGAAATGCCAGAAGGTTGAGCTTCAGTCTGGTGCCCAGGAGGACAAGGGGCACATGCTAGAAATAGAAGACAATGGTGCCTTGGTCCCTATTGGTAGATTGAATGATTTGTTCAAAACATATTCATGGTGCCTTTCTGTAGGACCCCGGCTCCTGCCACTTCACGGGAGAGGAGAGCACTCCCATGCCATTCAATCCGGCATGGCCGTGTGTCTTGCATTAGCCAGTGGGTTGTGAGCAGAAGTGACTATGCCCTGCTTGAGAAGAAGTTCAGTGCCATCCCATGATTTTACCTTTCCTTTGACATGAGGCCGCAAGTCCCAGAGAGGGGCTGCTCCTTCTGCTTGGACCTCAGAAAGAAGATAATAGGGGCAGAACTGCAGCTGACTTGTGAAGGGCATTTAATGGGAGCAAAGAGACCTTTGAGATTTGGGGTTATTCCTTATGGCAGCACAGCTGGGAAAGCTGACTAATTAATAGCATCGCTGATGGCATACTGGGGCTGCCACACTAGCTGTCACTGGTTTTACCTCCAGACTTCTTACTACATGAGAAAAAACAACTCCTACTTGGCTAAGCCACCATTTTTGGTGACTGTGGTCATGATATCCAGTATCATGAAAGTACCAGGCACATTCGCACTTAATAAATTAATGTTAGCTATTATTAGGGTAATATACAGACATGTATTTTAGAAAATACTCAACTTATGCAGTCTACATTTATGAGATAAATTGATGGTGGATTTTTAAAATGAAATTCGGCTTTGTTAATAACCTAATGAATTCACTTATTTTTATTTAAAAATTGAACATTACAAAACGCCGTAAAGTGAAGATTTCTACCTGCCATTCTTTCAACACTTCTCTCCATTGATAACCTGTGTTATCAAAACATTTTTCTGTGTAAGGGCCAGATTAAGGTGAGGCAAGTGAGGCACCTTGGGCACAAAATTTAAGGAGGCCCTCACTCTCTCGCCTGTGCAGGGCAGAGTTGATACTTCCATAAGCCTGAGAATGAGGGCCTCCTTAAATTTTGCTCCCTGGGTGTCCTTATTGCCTCACCCCAGTCCTGGCCTTGCTAAGCATTGCATACATTCACGCAGGTACTTACGTAGTTATTTTTCAAAACTAAAATCACTTTTAATGAACTGTGACTTGCTTTTTTGTTTTTTACACAATGAATCAGAACAATTTGTGTCAATTCCTACGAGTCTATCACAAACTTTTAATTGTTGTGTAGTATTCTGTACTATGAGTGAACCGTAGTTTAGCCATTTCCCTACTGATGAGCATTTAAATTTTAATCTTGCTCTTGCAGTGAATGCTACCAAAAACATAACCTAGCTCATATGTGCTTTCCAGTATTTCCAGGGGATACATTTCTAGAGGTGGCAATGCTGGGTAAAGGGATGTTTTAAAACTATGAAAGCTACAACCAAAGCACCTTTCAAAAGTTTCAAACCAATTGATGTTCCTACAAACAGTGCAGAAGGATATAATGGGAAACACTTTACATTAGAATTATCTGCATGATTTCTTTAAATAGCCAGCTTTCTTGGTACTTACGACTTCCCCAAATTAAAGTCACATGCAGTTTTCCAGCAGTCTGTTATTGCATAAATCCAGACAGGCTGCTGAAGTGTGTGTGCTGCCTTAAGAGCCAGCTTTTTCCCTGCTGTGTAGCTCAGCTGGGAAGTGGTTGCTCTGACTTCTCCTATAGGCCTGGAGCTGGTCTGTGTTGGAAATGGGGTGCTGGGCAATCTGTAAGGTTACACCCTGGGTCAATGTCTCACAACTGCTCTCCAATCTCTCCAAAGATGGGAGCAGGATCGTGAGTCCTGTGGGGCATCAACAGCTGTAGAAAAAAAACTTTCCAACACAGAGGAGTTTGTTGAATCTGAATCTCTACATTTTTGAGGAACATAACTTGATGTGGAATACTGCTAGGCCTTCTGGCAAGGAAGAAGTGCTGGACCTGGTGACCATTCGAGATAGTTGTATAGGATTCTGTATTATGAATGAACATAGTTTAGCCATTAGCCATAGCAACAGAGTGCTGGACCTGGTGACCACTTGAGGTTCTTGAAATCCTCCACCCTGGCCCTCCTCCTACACTTTCCCTACATTCCAGGATGGATGTGGATTCCTGTCCATTTGCCTTCAAATCAGGAGCTGGCAAACTCTGGCTTGTGGGTCCAATCTGGCCTGCAGCCTCCTTTTGTAATATAAAGTTTTATTGGAACACAGCCACGCTCATTTGTTTGCAAATTGTCTATGGCTGCTTTTGCAACAGAGGAGTTGAGGAGTTGCGGCAGGTTGTTTGGTCTGCAAAATCTGAAATACTTATTATCTGGCCTTTTACAGGTAAAGTATGCCAACCTTCTGCTCTAAATGTCTTTCAAGTTTGTTCCTTCTTTTTCCTTATCTTAGTTCATCACATCTTGCCTGGATGACTGCAGTGGCCACTAAGCTGGTCACAGAGTGAGCTTTCTTAAATGCAAGTGTAAGGATGGCAGAGCCTCAAGTGCTTCAGTTTCTCCAAGTGCCTGTTCCCTGAGTGGCATACCATTGAAGGCCATCTGAGTCTGCAGCTATGTTTCCACTCTCACTGGTGTGTGCACCTGGAGCTGTCACTTTTTCAATAATGCATTTCTGACTCCCTCATCAACAAAGGTATTTACTCCTTCCTCTTTGCTGCCAGTAACCACTGAGAACATGCCTTCCTTTGGTATTTCAACGGCATTTGTAATTATGTGTCTTTCCCTGTCTTTCTCACTGATCTGTGGACTCCAGCGTGCAGGAAACTTGTCTTATTCTCTTTCACATCTAACAAGGTCTGGCCCAAATAAGTACTAAAGAAATGTTTGCTGAATGAATAAACACTAATATTTCTTGAGCTCTTCTTGCTTTTTCTCAATACTATCTCTTAGAATCCTCACAACAGCCTTGTGGCATAGACACTGTTATATCCCCACTTTATAGATGTGGCAGCTGAGGGCACAGAGAAGTTAAGTCACTTGCCCAAGGTACAGAACTTGACAGGATTTGAACCCTGGCAGTTAGGCTTTATGGTATATATCAAACTCTAACTCCCATAGTAATAATGAGCAAATGAATGAATGAATGAATGAATGAATGAATGAATGCAGTGAGATTCCATGAACTGAAGATAGGAAAGGGAAATGCTACGTGACCTTATAAAACCCATTGGTAGCGTTTATAAAAGAAAAACACAAAGATTCCAGGAGACCTGGCAGGGATGGAAGCTATGGAGGATCAACAGCCCACAGAGTTCAGGCAGAGTTTAAAGCAAGTGGAAAATCAGACCCTCTTGTGAACTGCTGGGAGTGCTCAAAGAAGAAGCCATAGGGCTGGGCATGGTGGCTCATGCCTGTAATCCCAGCACTTTGGGAGGCCGAGGAGGGTGGATTGCCTGAGCTCAGGAGTTCAAGACCAGCCTGGGCTACATCATGAAACCCCATCTCTATTAAAATACAAAAAATTAGCTGGGTGTGGTGGTGCATGCCTGTAATTCCAGCTACTCAGGAGGCTGAGGTGGGAGAATTGCTTGAACTTGGGAGGCAGATGTTGCAGTGAGATGAGATTGCACCACTGCACTCCAGCCTGGGTGACAGAGCAAGACTCTGTCACAAAAAAAAAAAAAAGCCATAGGGCCACAATTAAACTAAACAAACAAAGCCTGCCCCTTGGTGCATTCGGTGAAGGTAAAAAAGCACCAGCCTTAACATTTATGGCAAGCCTCCTGTACGCGTAACACCACGCCAGTGAGCTGTACATATGCTGGCTCAATGAATGAAAATTACCTCCCCAAGCCCCACCACAAAACCTTTCTTATTCAATACATTTTCATTGATCAGCTATTATGTGCCAAGCCATTGAACTAGATGCCGAGAGAACAAAAATAAACAGAACTCTAGGAGCTCCCAGTCTAGCAGGGGAGAGTGTATAATTCTAACAAAGTGCTGGGCGTTATCAGAGAGATACAACCAAGAGAACAGAGGGGACCTAACTCTGCCTGGAGATATGGGGAAGATTTCAAGACAGTCATGACTGAGGTGGGTTTTGAAGGATGAATAGAATTTTGCCAGGTGGACAAGGCAGAGATGGGCTCCTTGAGAGAAAGCACAGTTAGTGCCAAAGCACAAAGGCAAGAATGCCAGGATGCACTTGGGGATCTAGGAGCAATTCAGTGGGGAGAAACAAAGAGTGGAGGCCCATCAGGAAGTCTTGTAAGGCATGCTGTAGAGCTTGGCTTCCTTCTGTGGAGTGACTGGGTTTTTAAAGCAGATGTTTTAAAAAAATGAGATGGTATTTGCATGACACTAACGTGGAAGAAACAGAAAGGTGCAACTGGAAGTCAGGAAACCAGCTAGGAAGCTGTTGCTATAGTCCAGTGGGGAAAAATTCGGGTCTGAGCTGAAGACATGGACAGGGGAGGTGAAAAGCAAGCCAAAGATCAAGAAGTGTTGGTCTTGAAATGTTAAAATATACACTAACCACTTGCTTTTTGAAAAGGCTGGTTATTAGAATCCTCCTTTGAGGGGGCTACACACACACAGAAGTGATAGTGTTGCCTTTATCTGGAAAGTGAACAAACACACCCTACAGAAAAATGGTAGAATAAAAGTATCCAACAAAAGAGTAAATATGTATAATAATTACAGTATTGGGCCGGGCACAGTGGCTCATGCCTGTAATCCCAGCACTTTGGGAGGCCGAGGCGGGTGGATCACTTGAGGCCAGGAGTTTGAGACCAGCCTGGCCACCATGATGAAACACCATCTCTACTAAAAATACAAAAATTAACTGGGTGTGGTGGCACATGCCTGTAATCCCAGCTACTTGGGAGGCTGAGCCATGAGAATCACTTGAACCTGGGAGGTGGAGGTTGCAGTGAGCTGAGATCATGACACTGCACTCCAGCCTGGGTGACAGAGCGAGAATCTGTCTCAAAAAACAAAACAAAACAAATTATAGCACTGGTGTAGTCTGAAATAAATGCATGTATTGTGTAGGATGCAAGTAGGTAGGTATGTAAGAGTTGGATGGTTTTAGCTTGGGGATCTCTTGTGAGGTTGTAGTCAGGATTAGGTGGAAGTTTTGGTTTTTGGCTGGAGAGTCTGCTTCCAAGATGGCTCGGTCCTGTGGCTGGCAAATTTATTTTGGTGTTAGGCAGAAAGCCTCAGTGTCTCACCACAAGAACCTCTCCATAGGGCTACTTGAGTGTCGTACCAACAGGCTTCCCCCATGGGGAGTGATCGAGAGAGCAAGGTAGAAGTAGCGATGTCTGTTATGATCTCGCCTTGGAGGTCACATGCTGTCACTTCCACAATATCCTTTTGGCTATTCAGGTCTGTCCTCTTCGCTATGGGAGAAGACTGTACTAGCATATGAACCCAGAAGGGGGGATCACTGAGAGCCATCTTGGAGGCACAAATGGGCCTTGGTCTACCTGAGAGTGGGCTAGGTAATGTGGTGCAAAGGAATGCAAGCAAGATTTGGAGGCAGAAATTGGTTGATTGACCAGTAGGATCCATGCCTTAGATCCTCATCTGTAAAATGAGGTGCATAATCAAAACCCTGATGGCTAGTGAAGGTCATTTGAGACAAGGCTTGTAAAATGCTTTTTGGGAACCATAAAGCATGATAGTATGACATACAGTGACTGCATAAATAAAAGGGATCATTATGAAGTCCCATATTTTATCTGGATGGGAGGTTTAGCCTTGATGAATCTCAGACCTTCAAGAAAGATACTTGATCCTTTATTTCTGTGGCTGTAGAAATCCAATAAATAACATTTATTGATCTTCTACTTCTACATGCCAGGAATGGCACCATAATAATTTCATTTCATTCCCTCAATGATGCTGAGAAATGGAATCTATAAACCACATTTTATAAGTGAGAAAACCAAGGCTCAGTGAGATTAAATAACTTGCTCTGAACATGGGAGAGCTGGGGACACCAGCCCAGTCCTGCTGGACCCCAACGCATAAGCATGAGGCAAATGGGAGATGGGCTTGGTGGGACCTGAAAAAAGTGTCCCCACCCTGCCCAGATCTGGGGCCTGGGATGTCCTCATGGCTGGGGTTTTGCAGGTCTCTGGCAAGGGAGGGTGAACGGTGAGTGACAGGCCTCTCCTACCCCTGCACATTCTTGGTCTTGAACTGATGAGGGGTCTTCTTGTGTGTGTCTGTGTGTGTGTATGTGTGTGTATGTGTGACCACACTGGCAACCGCTGCCATCCCAAAGCTGGGGATTAGGGTGACGAGTCCTACAGTGCCCTCCAGAGTTGGACGTAGGCCAGGGCTGCATTGGGCCTTGGCCTCCTTGGAGGACGGCTCCCAGACCATTCTCGGAAAAGCATTTGCAGCAAGGCTACTCCAGGTGCCAGGCCGGGCCATCAATCCCTCACTCTTCGGAGCAGTGAGTTTATAAAGTAGCAATTAAATAAGAGCTCTGTAAGTGCTTCTGGGAACTGCCCTGAATGCATTTTCCAAACATAAATAACGGGGACCTCCACTCTGAGCAAAGCACATACAGAGCAGAGAAGCAGTGCCAAAAAGAAGGGAGCCCTGTTGTGCTAACGAGTTGGGCTACGTGCCCCTGGTGTGCACGTGTGCTCCGTGTAGGTGGCAAGTCCATTTGTCTTGCCTGCCTGGGTGGCATGTCAGCCTGTCCGGACAGTTCGTGGTGAGGAGATGGTGGCTGTGACACTTGTTCCCCTGGGAAGGCAAAACATTGTTATTTCAGAGATAGTGATAATGATGGTGGAAGCAATGATGACAGCTGTTATTCATTGAGCACCTATGGTGAACCAAGAGCCCGCAGATCCCCTATTACTGGGAGGATTAGAGACTTGTCCAAGGTGGAAAAGCCTATAAGGTGGAGGGAAAGATAAATGAGAACTCTTCAGCAGCTTACATGTATTAGGCTCTTATTATACGCCACAAAGTGTTCCAAGAGTTTTACTTGCATAAGCTTACTTAGATCTCCCAACAAACCTGTGTACTAGGTACTCTTCTTATCCTATTTTGAAGGGGAGAAACTGAGGCATGGAGAAGTCATGTCTCTTTCCCAGGGTCACACTAAGCCAACATTCAGGTGCAGGCAGACTTGCTCCAGAAACCCTACTCCTAACCATTTCTGTGCTGCATTGGTCCTGAGCCCTGGTACCGGGTGCCATCCTATCTTTTCAGTTCAGGTTTGATTATTGTCAACAGTCTGTCCCTCCCCAAGTATGGGCAGCAATGTCTTTCTCAGAAAACAATACTCCCCTAAGTCCCCCTGCCTGTCTCAGTGAGCCCTCCTGGTCTTAGGCCTAGCCTTGGCCCGAGTCTTCCTCCTGTCCCCAAGAGCTGGCTCTCCCAGCCATGAAGGGATCCCGAAGGGCCATGCTCACTCTGCTCTCCCACTTCGTGCCTTTGCCCATGCTGGTCCTTGCCCCTGGATGCTCTTTCCCTGCTTGTCCACCTTGGGATTTTAAGTCATAGATGAAAGCTCACTCACTCTTAGAAGTATTTCCTGACCTCACCTCCACTTTAACCCCCACCGTCCAGCTGAATGCGTCCATCAGAACATATATCAAATTCTTATTATTGTTGATTTTCTAGTCTGTCTCCCCTGAAACAGTGTTGCATGTCCTGGGATGTATAGCTCCTCACATGGTGCCTGGCACATAGTAGGGATTCAATAGATATTGATAGGTAGGTGGAGCCATTTTCCAGAAAGAGTGGACACATCAGATCACACCTGATCCTGAGTTGCTAAGAGCTCCAGCCATGACTATGCCTGCTCCCCCCAGAGCAATGTGCAAGGAACAGGACTGAATAGAATGAGCCCTGACCTTGGCTCTGCCATGAACTTGCTGAGTGGCCTTGACCAAGTCATTCCACTTCTCTAGGCTTCCATTTTCTCATCTGTATAACAGGAACAATTATATCTTTTTGGCAGATCACCTGAGGCTTGAATAGGATACAGAAAACAAAGGCACCCAGCACATCATTGGAACTTGATAAATATTAATTTTCCTCCCCCTTCCCCTTACCGTGAAATGGGCTCTTGGTTTGGGGATAATTGAGTGGCACTGTAAGACACCCTTTGCAACAGATGCCTCTGCAGGTTTACCATTTTCCCTCCACGTCACTAGGGTATTGTCTCATTGTTTTCTGCAGAAGACCCTGCCACCACTAAGCTTCTTCCCTGCCTTTCTTGGGGTTCTGAAGCAGCCTCTGGCCACCAACTCTGTCATGCCACACCTGAATGCTGTCTTCCCTGCAGTCACTCACCAGAGAATCCCATCGCAAAAACCCCATCAAGAATCTAGCCCCTGTTCATTCCAGAGTCAGGAGTCAGTGATTTCCCTGTCTTGGACTCCATCTAAGTTGCCAGTGATTAAGAAACTCATATATTTTCACACACATTAAAAGAAACATGATGTTCACTTTTCCAAGAAAAGCCATCCTTGTTTGTAGACCCTGTAATATATTGGGAACGCCTCTTAATTGGCTTCTAGGTCTGAGTGTCAGAAGTCAGACCCAAGTTTGTTTATTGACACAAGAAAAAAAATAAAACGTCGTATAATTAGTTGAGTGACTGACTCTAAATTCAGTAACTCCCATTGGTATGTGGCCTTGTCAGGGTTTAAGATTCCATTTTGGGTTATGAAAGAGGCCGGGTCCTAGGTAGTCCAGACGCGGGCCGCACTGCATCATAGCTATTGTACAAATGGGCTCAGTGTGCTGTTTGTGTTAAGATGGAAAACTTTTACATGTTTGATTTTTATGCAAGTCAATTAACTTGTTTTTTATAACTGTAAGGGCTTGCTTTGCAAATAAGATTACTTACCACTATAAATTATGGGAACATAGGGGCCTATTCAGACAAAATGTTACACACCCCTAACCCGTGCACCAGGCTGCATGCCGGCCTTCTGCAGGGGGGACAGCCAAGGCGAATGGGACAGGGAGGTGAAGGAGGAGGGAGGGGTTATTTTGGTGGATTCTGAGGGGCCCTTCCAAGAAAGATGCAAAGGGGGAGTGGGGAGATCTGGGGGCAGAGATTAGGAGTGAACCGCAATACTCTTCTCTGTGCTCACCCCCACCCCAACTCTCCCAGGTTGACCAGAGCTGGCCAAGACCTTTCCTTACATGGCAACACAGGAATCTCCTTTGAGGATTTTTTTTCCCCCAAATGTTTGCTTCTTGGTGACAGCATATCCCCCTGAAGTTGGAAAGTTGGAGAGGGCTAAGTCTGGGCTTTATCCTCACTGTCATTTGTTGTCCTTCCTGCATGGTGGTTCCACGCCCATTCCAGCATTCAGTGGGCAGCCCCCTCCCAAAGCACAGGGAAGGAGCAAGGTTAGGACAGAGGGAGGGAGAGGAAGAGGAGCAGGCATTCCTGGGGGGCTGCCACTCAATGGTGGAGAGGGGGCTGGGAGGGTTTCAGGCAGGACTGGGAAAGAGCAGGGCCAGTCTTTGGTCCCTCTGACTTACTCCTTCCCTTCAGGTCCTTAGCAGAGGGCACTGCAGTTCTATACATAGGTGTTCTGGAAAGCCAAGTTGGGACTCTTGTTTCTCAAGCCCTTTTGTGAACTTGGATGGATTCCTTCCTGTTCTAGGTCTCAGGTTTTTTCATCTGTGAAATGTGAGCAGAAACCCCAGCCCGGCATACCTCCTACGGGTAGGTTGTGATCCTGATGTGATCCTCAACAAGGTAATTTTGCAATTTTGCATTCCAATCCCATGGACATGTAGCAATGTCCAGAAACATTGTAGCTGTTACAACTAAGGGGTGGGTATGGGCATCTAGGAGTTAGAGGCCAGGAATTCTGCTAAACACCCTGCAAGATACAGGACAGCCCCTGCTCCTTGCCTTCCAACAAACAATTGTCTGGCCCAAAATGTCAAGAGTGTCAAGGTTGAGAAATTCTGTTTATCCAAAGCATGTGAAGGAAAAGGAGACCTTCTTGGTGTGATCAGTATTTGGGACAAGATTTAATTTACTGAAGAATCAATATAGAATGTCTAGTCACTCAGAAATAAAGGGATGTCTTCAACAGTGGCAACAATACAATCCTTCACAAATAAATAGGACATTGCTGCTGATTCAGTGCTTTTAGATGCAAATTTCACCATTAGAGTTCCACAGTAACTGTATGGCGGTAGCTAGAGAAATAATAATTATTTGAATAATCCTAATAAGGATTATGATATTATTCCTATTCTGCTGATAAAGAGACTGAAACTTAAACATATGAAATCGGTGGGGCGAAGTGGCTCACGCCTGTAATCTCAGCACTTTGGGAGGCAAGGCGGGCAGATCACCTGAGGTCAGGAGTTCGACACCAGCCTGGCCAACATGGTGAAATCCCGTCTCTACTGAAAATACAAAAAATAGCCAGATGTGGTGGTGGGCACTTGTAATCCCAGCTACTCGAGAGGCTAAGGCAAGGTAATTGCTTGAACCTGAGAGGTGGAGGTTGCAGTGGGCTGAGATCACACCGTTGTACTCAGCCTGGGCAAACAGAGCAAGACTCTGTCCCAAAAAAACAAAAAGCAAAAAAGTATGAAATCATTAGTCTAAAATCACACAGCAAAATCTTCAAGCACAGGGTCTTTTTACATATTTGTTGAAGAAATCAGGACGCATATAATCATATTATCATGAAAAAACTGATTTGAGGCAAAGCCAAATGACATTGTCAGGCATGACTTCACTGCACTTGAAAATGCTTCCCAAAGGGAGGCCTTCCTTTTTAAGATAATTGTGCTGTCCTCCACACACCTTGAGTACTTTGTACCCACTCTTATTGGGTCATAGGTTGTGGCTTCTATGTCTGTCACTTCTATTGAATTGGGGGCCCTTTCAGGGTAGGGGCCGTATCTTAATCATGTTGACAGGCCTCTTCAAGCTGCAGTTTCCTCTTCCAGAAAATGAGACAATGGCTGCAACCTTACCAGATAGACCTCCATTAAATGTCTGTGGAGCACTGGGGTGAAATAAGAACGCTGGCTTTCCCCAGTGCCCCAAGCTTCTGTGCCCACCCCTTCATTCTTTCCCTTGGCTTGTTTGATATTGTGCCAAGTGGCAGAGAAGGCAAAAGATTTGTAAAGAGTATGAGAAGAGTCATTGAACTCTGAGGACCGTATTTTATTTTTTGAAATCTGGCTTATGGAAAACTGAGAATCACAGGTGTTAAGGGGAACTGATCTTTGAGAATCCAATTTTCATAAGAAATAGAAACCAGTGGTGAGATTTCAACTTGAAAATAAACTTCAGCTCTGGCTCATCAGATCATCCAAGGAATCAAGTGTCCCCAAAGAGATGAAAAATCAAGCTGTTACTTGGCAGATCTGGAACTCACAGAACTGTTAGCACTCAGCCTCTGCATTTGGAAATGGCAAGATTCAAATCTGGCCTGATGTGTTCTCCCTTAGGCTGCTCATGATGTGTGTCTGCTGGATGGAGGCCTCAGAAAACTCATTTGACATCTTGGCTGTAACTTTGTCCAAGTCTGTGTCTGATGTCATTATGCAATCAATTCTATACTAGATTCTGCCGGGTAAGATCTTAAAAGACAAAAGCTTTGTTCTCCAGATCGTCACTGGTTTTGAGGACGTACCTTGTTCATTCATTCATTCATTCATTCTGCAAATTATTTATTAGAGCAAATTAACTTCTGTGACTCTCAATCTTCTCTTCTACATAACAGGAATAATAAACCTTGCTTCATAGGGTTAAGTTTTAGGCATATGGCTGGTACTCAAGAAATGATTATTATTAGATTATTATTATTATTAGATTCTTCACAGAAGTCTTAGTAGTAGTCAAAGCATAAAAGACATTTAAAGGCTGGACGCTGTGGCTCACATCTGAAATCCCAGCACTTTGGGAGGCAGATGTGGGAGGATCACCTGAGGTCAGGAGATCAAGACCATCCTGGCTAACACGGTGAAACCCCATCTCTACTAAAAATACAAAAAATTAGCCAGGCATGGTGGCGGGCGCCTGTAGTCCCAGCTCCTCGGGAGGCTGAAGCAGGAGAATGTCGTGAACCCAGGAAGCAGAGCTTGTAGTGAGCCGAGATCGCACCACTGCACTCCAGCCTGGGCGACAGAGCGAGACTCCGTCTCAAAAAAAAAAAAAAAAAAAAAAAAAAGATTAAGTAGGGTCTACCCCTTGCCTCTAGTCTGGCATAGTAGAATTACTGTTATTTTCTCATTTTTTTAGTTGAAGAAACTGAAAGTGAGGTAAAGAGTCTTATACCCATGAACTGGACATTATTATTTCTTTCCTTTCACAAATGAGAAAACTGAGGCATAGAGATGATATTTAACTCTCCCCTAGGGACATATCACTAATCAGCAGTAGATCCCAAATAGGACTGCAGGTAGCCTGGCTCCAGAGACTAGGATTGTAGCCTCTAGACTCAATGGGATTAGAGGCTATAGTGAGAAGAATATTGGATTTGGAGTTAGAGCAATCTGGCTTCTAATCTCTGCTCCAGCACAGACTATCTTGAACCTGGGAAAGCCACTTAACTGTCTGAGCTCTGGTTTCCTTATCTGGGAACTGGAAATAATGATAATACCTACTCTGTAGGAATCTTGTAAGAAAGAGAAGTAACATATGTCATTCCTTAGGTAGTGTAAATTCTATCTTAGACCATCATAGACATTTTTGCTTAAAGACAGGGTCTCACTCTGTCTCCCAGGCTGGAGTGCAGTGGTGCAATCATAGCTCACGGCAACCTTGAACTCCTGGGCTCAAGTGATCCTCCTGTCTAGGCCTCCCACAGTGCTGGGATTACAGGCATGAGCTCCCATGCCCGGCCAGGTCACCACAGACTCTTAAACATCACAAGAACTTTTGCAAACATGACTGTATGGAATTAGTGCAGTCACATGAGGAGGAATATAGGAGAGAGATTTTTTATCCCTGTTTGCAGATAAGGAAAGTAAGCCAGAGAGGAAGAGAAAGGGGGAAGGGAACTCTTTTAAATGCTTTCATTTATTCAATCAATATCAGTTAAGCAGCTATTCAATTTATGTTGACTGATATCATTTATTTAATAAATGTCAGTTGAGCAGTATCACATCATGAGGGGTACAAGGATTGACCCTATTTTTTTCTGGATGAGGAACTGAGGCTCAGATAAAGCATAACTTGCACATAGTCACAGAACTAATCATGAGCAACACTGCAATTTAAACTAAGGTATGTGTGGACCCAGACATGCTCACAGTGGAGTGAATTTCCCCCAGGTCTCAGATGTAAGGGGCAAAGTCAAGGAAGGCTCTAACCCTAATCTTCTGGGTCCAGATCTAGTCCACTTTCATCCCACCATGTGGTGTAGCCCTACAAATAAGTTGAATTCCAAATTCTAAGCAAGCATTGACTAATGCAAAAATGGTTAAAAGGCCAGAACCCTAGAGGCAGGAAATGTCACCTTCCTTGATTAAACCTGGGAAATGTACCCATTATGGATAAGATTTGCTGTCTACAGGAAACCGTCTTAGACATAAACTGATCCTATCTTCCAGCCAAAGTGATTTGAAGATGGCTTAACTAAGGAGATTTAAGTAGCTGACTACCTTGAAGGTAATCTATGAAAAGGGACCTCTGTCTTCGGAAAGTGCGTCTACCACAAAAGTCTGTGAGGATGATGGGTGTGGTTCTGTGATAAGTGCAATCAGAAAGTCCATATGAGTTCTGAAAAAGTGCAGGTGACCTTGGAGCCAGAGAGATGGGGTTCAAATCCTAGTTTCTCTCCCACTTTGGACTTATTTGTGTTTAACCATCTTCATCTGTAAAATGGAGAGAGCATTGTTTTGTTTGTTTGCTTGAGAATCTAGAGACATTAGGATGATTAAACCATACTGTACACATCTCTGCTAATCTTTTAAGGAAAAATCATGGAGAATGGAAAAAAAATCAGTGAGTGAAAAGATTTCTCTGTATCTTCGTCACAATCCAGAGAAAAGAAGTTCAGAATCCAATGGTTTTGGACAACTTGGTCATCAGAAAAATGAAGTGTGTCCTGTCTTTGGTGTATTTCACTAGGTTCTACCTTATGAACATGATGACAATAATAATAAAAAAGTACTTTGCTGTTTACTGCGTGCCTGCACATACGGTTCTTATTTTCAATTTCCTGAGTTGATCCTGTACTCTCTTACTTTTTGACCTTTGTACAATGTTGTTACTGCTGGAACATCTCTCCTCTCTCTTTGCCAGACCAACTGTTTATCCTTCAATATCAATTTAGATCTTTTATTCTCAGTTCCCGATCCACTCTACCACCAACCTGAGCGAAGAGCCCTTCTGAACACCTTCTAATCCTGCAGCTCATGTTGCAATTGCATATTTGTCTGTATCTTCACTTCTTCTCTCCATGAGAGCTGGGGTTGGGTCTATTTGCCTTTGAACTCCCAGAGTCTAGCACAAAGCTAGGCACATGGAAGGTGCCTAATGGATAATGCTGTATGAACAAATGAATTTGATTTTCATAACAATTGCATTAGGAAGGTAATAGGGCTAGAAGACACTGGAGAGATGGTCCAGGCCAACTCTCTATTTCAGATGAGGGAATCAAGGCCCCAAATTAAATAACAGTCCTGACAGCACTTTTCCTATTGGTAGCAGAGCCGTTTGACTGGTACCAGGCTGTTCTTTTTGTCCCAAGTCTGTGGTCTCCAAGCAGCCTCAAGATAATTATACAGATTTAGATACCTTTGTATTGGACTGGGAACGCTCCAGACAGTAGTCATTATGCAATGGAAAGAACATTGGAGCTATCCTTGACTCCTCCCTTCTGTTTATCTTCTGTATCTAATCAAGTCCTGTCAGTCTAACCAAGTCCTGCCAATTTTAGCTCCTAAGTTCTTTCATCAATTACTACCTCTCCATCTAAATCCTTCCATGATAAAGAACCACCCAATCTTGAACCCAGGCATTGAAGAGTTTTGCTTATTTGTCTCTTCCCTGCTGCTGATTTACCCTCTACAATGACATACAGAGCTTTTTCATGACTTCACATGAACGCTTCAATGATCTACATGAAAGTCCTCTCCCATGAACTAGAGCACTTTAATAACTTCCAGTGGCCTTGCAAGTAAAGTCAAAATCCTGAACATGGATTACAAGGCCCTCCATTGCATGGCCCTTGACTTCTACTCTAGTTTTTATTTGTCCACCATTCTCAGGCTCCTGTTCTATGCTGCAGGGGCCTTGAATTGTGCAGCATTCCCAGTACACACCAATCTATTTTAGATCTCCATGCCTATGGTCATGCCAGTCTCCCTTTCAGGAGTGCCTCTTTTCTTCTCTGCCTCCCCATTTTGCCCAGCTCACTCTTACTCATCCTTCAACTTGTTGAAGCTCCTGGGCTGGACCAACAGTTGACATAGCAATACTTGTCCACCTTAAGATCAAGGACCATTTCTGATGTATCTCTGTGGCTCCAGCACTTAAACTGGAGTTTTAATCTCACCGTCTTACTAGCTGTGTGGTCTTGAGCATATCGCTTGCCCTCTTTGGACTTCAATGGATAGGTATTGTGTAGCTACTATGTTGTGTGCATGATGTAAGTCTTGACTTCCTCCAGTGTGAAATGGAGAAGGAAGGATAACTGCATTACATAATCTTTAAGGTCCCCTCAAATTCTAAACGATATAGTTCCTGCATCAATTTCACTGGCATAATATTACCCCATTGTAATATGGTGTTAAATGTAAGTGATGGCTTTGGAACAGGATTGACTGTAGCACAGTGGTCAAGAAACCAGATTTGAAATCAGATGAAGAGGTTGTGAACAGCTGATTGGTATTTTCTGGGAAGAATAATCTTGGACCACTTGGATACTCAGTTTCCTCATCTCAAAAAAATGGCAGTGATAATAAGGCTCTCTTTTGGTTGATGAGATCAATTGAGATGCTATGTATAATGTGCTTTGTGCACCCACATGCTCAGAATAACTGTAAGGAATGGCTATTATTGGCTGGGTGCAGTGGCTCCCTCCTGTAATCCCAGCAATTTGGGAGGCTGAGGCAGGTGGATTACTTGAGGCCAGGAGTTTGAGACCAACCTGGCCAACATGGCAAAAACCCATCTGTACTAAAAATACAAAATTTAGCCAGGCGTGGTGGTGCAGGCCTGTAATCCCAGCTACTTGGGTGGCTGAGGCATGAAAATCACTTGAACCTGGGGGTGGAGGTTACAATGAGCCTAGGTCAAGCCACTGGACTCCAGCATGGGCAACAGAATGAGAAACCCAAACACACCAAAACCAAACGAATTGAAACCAAACGAAACGAAACCAAAATAAAAAGAATGACTATTACTGACCTGTCTTACATAAGAAGGAACCACATGAGCTGGGAGGGTCAATATCTGATAGCTGGTGCATGGAGCGGATTCTACGATTCCAGATTTACAGGGACTGGGCTCAGATTTTTTATCCAGGGAAGCCCACCAGCCAAAAATGCTAGAAATAGCTGGTTTCCCTTAGTCATAGCATACTACTGGGGCAAGAGCTCCTCAGTGGCACCCATGCATGGAAAAGGCCAAGGTGGGTGGATCACTTGAGGCCAGGAGTTTGAGACGAGCCTGACCAACGTGGTGAAACCCCATCACTACTAAAAAGACAAAAATTAGCCAGGCGTGGTGGCCAACTCCTGTAATCCCAGCTACTCAGGTAGCACCTTCAAGGGCTTTGATTCTTTTGCTCTGTCTCCATCCTAGAAAGAGTTTTGTTGCGTTTGTTTGTTTGTTTAAGTGGAGATTCTACATCCTCTTTACCTTTGCCCCTCTCTTTTGGGAAAATGTCCTCTTGCCTTTGGGCAAGGCCAGCCCGGCCCTCTGAGCAACACTTTTAAGTTAGATGGGCAGCCTTGATCAGCAAAATAGGGGTGTGAGGGAAACAGCAACTGTGTCACCTCTTCATTGCTGCTGGGATGCGTTGCTATGGATACCAAATTCAGGGAAGCAAAGACAGCAGCAGAAGAAAAAAAAAGCTATAGTGTGTATATTGATGTGGCCACGTGTGTGCTCCTGCATGCTTGCACACTTGTGTATGAGAACCAGAGAAAAAGGAAAGGTGTTCATTGAGGAGGAGGCCTGATATTTTAGCAATTAGATTGGCATTACCAAAGGTGGATTAGCATTTCCAGATACTATATTAGTGATCCGCCCCTATACGATACTCCATAGTCAGAACAGGCCCCAGAAACTTGGCCTCTGTCTCTCCCCTTCTTGTTTCTTATTCGTGGTCCCAGCCCCAACAGGGGACAGAGAATATATTTCTTAAGTGCCCACATGTGGCAGACATTGTGCCAGGCACTTACATTTCTTACCTGCCTTTATCCTTGCAGTAACCTTGTAAGATAAATAATGTTACTGCTATTGCATAGATGAGGAGGTTAAGGAGGCTAAGGGTATAGGCTGTGAAGTCAGAATGCTTGAGTACATCCCAAATCTACCAATCACTAGCTGTGTAACCTTTGATCTCTGCTGTGTCTCAGTTTCCTCATCTGTAATTGGTAGCACCACCACCAGCATGGTGAAGGGTGAGTTGAGACATGCTTAGCTCAGTGCCTGACACATCATAAGTGCCCGACACATCATAAGTGCCCAATAAATGATAGTTGCTATTATCGATTGTGCCCATGGACAAACAGCTGGAAAGGAGGGGGTTTCTCATTTGTTGACACTATACAATACCTGCCATGGGGTAAGTGCTTAACAGATGGATGAAAGTATCACAGTACCTTGGTTTTGCCACTGTCAGGGAGGAGAAGGACTGATGAGATCATGGCTAGGTTATGAGTGGGCTGTCAATCTAGATGTCTCTTATTTCAATCCCAGGCATGGTGGCTCACACCTGTAATTCCAGCACTTTGGGAGGCCAAGGAGGGAGGACCACCTGAGGTCAGGAGTTTGAGACCAGCCTGGCCAACATGGTGAAACCTCGTCTCTACTGAAAATACAAAAGTTAGATGGGAGTGGTTGTGTGCACCTGTAATCCCAGCTACTTGGGAAGCTGAGGCAGGAGAATCACTTGAACCTGGGAGGCAGAGATTGCAGTGAGCCGAGATCGCCCCACTGTACTCCAGCCTGGGTGACAGGGTGAGACGCTGTCCCAAAACACACACACACACGCACGCGCGTGCACACACACCCACACACCATGGGCTCTTTCTACTCATCATGTTGGCCTGATTCAGAAACTAGACTGATTTCCCAGCCTCAGGAAGGTTGTATCCTTGGAAATGTTTAAGGGTAGGAGTGACAACATCCTGTCTTTGACAGCCAAACTGCCGTCTGGCCTGCAAGGAGAAGGTGTTGGTCCTAGGAACCTGCAGAGTACTGGTTCTTTCAATGCCTTCTGGGCTCCTCTCACAGCTTTCAGGGCTTTGGAGATGACAGATGTCTCTCTGACATTTGTGGTACAGTGGAGGTCTAATCGGCACATTCTTTAAAGAAATGCTTCATTTGGGAACCAAGAAAGAAGAGAATCATATAGAGCATTTTAAAAGAGTGATTTTAAGGCCAGGCGCGGTTGCTCACACCTGTAATCCCAGCACTTTGGGAGGTTGAGGTGGGTGGATCACCTGAGGCAGGAGTTCGAGACCAGCCTGGCCAACGTGATGAAAACCTCTACTAAAAACACAAAAAATTAGCTGAGTGTGGTGGTGCATGCGTGTAATCCCAGCTACTTGGGTGGCTGAGGCATGTGAATTACTTGAACCTAGGAGGTGGAGGTTGCAGTGAGCTGAGATTGCACCACTGCACTCCAGCCTGGGTGACAGACTGAGACTCTGTCTAAAAAAAAAAAAAAAAAAAAAGAAAGAAAAAAGATAAGAAATTGACTTTAATATTGGGAGGATGATTATCAGGCATTCCATGGGTGTTACTTGAATCTGGTCCCAGCTCCAGTGCCAACCAGCTTTGTTACTTTAGACAAGTCTGTGCACCTCTCTGGGTCTTGATTTCCTTACCTGTAATGAAGCAATGACTGGGACAAATGGCAACCACTTTGCTCTCATGTCCCCTTGGCTCTATTCTTCTATGACTTCACCCCCAGCTTCTCTGGGTACAAATAGGTCACAATTCCTCATTATTCCAGCTTTTGCTGAACCTGCTCCTTCTGGGACAGTAGTGACTATGGAAAGGCATCCCTCCCTGGTATTCACAGGCTTTTCCAAACAAGAGTCCAATGATCTCCAGGGTTATCTGCCTCCACTTTCCCTCTCTGTCTCAGAGGAAACAGCTTGAGTCCTCTTTGGAGAAGCACGTATTATTAATAACAATGGCTTGTGTTTGTTCAGGGTTTTAGAGCTTACAATGGAATTAATATTATCAGTCACACAGCTGGGATGGGATAGAGCCTAGAGCTTAGGTCCAACTTCAAAGTCCCTGCTTTTAACAACCCCACGTTACCTATGTCTTCAAAAGGTCTCCTTAAGTTAAAGTTGAAATTAACTGATGTTCATGAAACAAACAAACCATTGTATTTGGATTTAATTTTAAAAGAAAAAACTGGAGCCCCTTCTCATATCTAGTCACTGAGTTCCTGATTTACCACACATTTATTAAACGCCTACTATCTACAGGCACTATTTTGGATAATATGGTTACAAATTATAATCAAAAACAGTAGCTGCCTCAAAGGGCTTTGAAACCCAGAGGTAGCCAGATATGGTTCCATACACAGGTAGTGCAAAGTTATAAGTGCTGGACACACTGTAATGGGAAAAAGTATTCAAGGTTGGAAAGAGCATGGCTTTTGAATCCTGGTTTTGAGTCCTGGCTTTGCCATTAACTAATTAGGAGTCTTTGGGTAAGTCACACAATCTCTGTGAATCTATTACATAGTAAGAGTAATACCACATAGGATTACTGTTGAAGTTTAAGTGATACAATGTACATAAAGTACCGAGGACAGTGCTCATCACATGTGGGCAGTTCATATCTATTCGTATTATTATTAGTGACCAGTACTGTGGGAGGAAAGCATTGCTTGATTAATTCCACCCTGGCCAAGGGTTGAGGAGGTGCCATGAAGCTGGGCCCTGAAGTATGAGTAGGTCTCCCCTGGTTTGGGGTGATGGGGCAAGCAAGGGTGGGGCAGGAGGTCTTTCAGGGAGAGCAAATAGTGTGAATAAAAGCTCAGAAGCATCAAAGGGTTGGCAAGTTTGGGCAGCCATGAGTAAGTTGGTGTGGCTTGTTGGTGGGGGTGGGTGGAGCAGAAAATAGTGGCAGATTATAGTGGTAGGTAAATTGGGGTCATAGATTGTAAAGGGTTTTGGTGCCATGCTAAGGAACTTAGCCAGGGTTTTATAGAAAAGGGGAGACACTGAAAGTTTGGAGTGTGTGTTAGGGAAATGGCCACTCAAGTGGCAATGTTGAAGCTGGGGCAAGGCTGGAGGTGAAGACATGGACTATCAGGCTCAAAGGCCAAGGCAAAAGAGGACAGAGGCCTGAGGGCGAGGATGGAAGATGGACTGACAGACAATTTAGGAGCTATTGGCGGATACTTTGTTTGTGATAAAAGGATGCTGACAAGGATGAAAGACCAGAGATTTTTTATTTTTTTCGGTCTGTATACCTGGGTGAACAGTGGGGCCATTACTCAAGAATAAGAAAACTGAAAACAGATCAGAAGGTTTGGGGATAGGGTTAGGATTCAACTTTGAAAACGTATTTGATGTGGTGAAGTCCAGGAGGCAGTTGGCTCTGCAAGTGTGGAACTCAGGAGAGACATCTGCCTCGGGGGTGAGATTTGGGTGCTGGCCATCCAGTGGTGATGGCTCCCACTGTGGAAGGCCCTGAGTTTCTTTTCAGGCAAAGAGATGGGAAGAGCCTGACCAGAACTCTGGGGAACATCAAGCTCCAAGTGTCCAGCCAGAAAGAAGAATTGCACTGAGCATGACCCTGGGGACCCCAGGGGTTGGAGCTGCAGAGCAGGCCTATCCATGGTGCTTGCCTTTGAAAGGAAGAGGAAACAGCAGCAGAGGCCCAAGCCCTTGGTTAACCTGTCTCAGAATGTGACATTTTGGGGAAGTTGTCCGACCTTGAGGGTGTGAGGCCCTTGAGTCCACAAGTTAGTTACCAGCAGCCCATACTCTCATCAAAGTTTCTCCATTACCCTTGGTCTCTAACTTGAGGTTTGATATTGACTAGGTCACTTTTCCTCTATGGGTCTCAATTTCCTCATTCTCCACTGTGGTAGTCATGGGTAGACAGATGTCCTTTAAGGCACTGCATTGCTGTCATTGCATGTTGACTCTCTTGGGGCCCTTGGTCCTCTGTGGCTGTGATGATCTCACTGACAACCAGGTCTCTGCCCTTGAAGTGAGGCTGGAATGACACCAGTCAAGGCTGTTTCTGGGAGGGAGTCACTTCTGCATATTTCCAGTAAAGAGCCAATCACTAGAAATGAAGAATTTTTAGATTTAGAGCAAATTAGGGCTAGTTTCCCTAGGCTGGATTCCTGCCTTTGCTCAAGTAAAACCAACTCTCTGTTTTCCCAGTTTCCTCCCATCCTGATTTAACTTTTTGTCTTTTCTCTCAGCTTTGCCTTTGGTCATTGGTTTTCCCATCCTCACCCATTCTTTGTCTTATAATTTAAAAGAACAACAACAACAACAACCGCCACCAAAAAAATAACTGGAGCTAAATTAAAAGCCTTTGTCACCTGAAAAAAAGGTAGCAATACATTCCGATGGAGAAGAGCGCAGCACAGGCCTTGGAATTGGGAGAGAGGAGGAAACCATCATTGGCTGGGCAGGGGCTACACGTTTGGAAGATACTAGAACATCCCAATAGCCTGGTAAGATAGGTGTCATTATGCCCATTTTAGGTATGGAGAAACAGTCTCAGGAGATCAGGTGCCTTAACCAAGGTCCACAGTTAATAGAGCCAGGATTCAAACCCAGGCGGTTCTCACTCCAAAGTCCAAGGTGTTCTGTTTTGTTTTCCTCCATATTATCAAGCTCCCTCTCCGCAGAAAGGTTTTTGCCTCACGGGCAAGTTACTCTTCATGTCTCAGTTTCCTTATCTTTCAAATGATAATCCAAATTCTAGCCATGAGCTGTTGTGTGGGTTTGAAAGAGATAACAGATGTGAAAGTGGTTTGTCAACTGTAAAGCATTAGACGTGAGTTAGTCATTGCTTAATTTTATTATTCCCTGGGCAGGAAAGATCAAGTTTTAACTGTATAGCAGATAAGGCAATTTCTCCCATTTTTAAAGGATTTCAGATGTGGGGGCAGGTGATTCTTCTGCCCATTCCCTGGAGTCTTCTTAGAATTTTCTCTATGAAATCATTCAGTGCTATCTAGCTTCTGATGGGGAAGCTTGGACTCTCTCTGACTGGGAGGGTTCTTGATTGGCTAAAAGGGTTTATCTGGCAACTCAGCTCTCCCTCTCCGCCTATTGAAGGAGACGGGGGGTTTCGGGTTCAGTAACCTGGGAGTTCCTGTAATCCCCAGAACTGATAGTCACTTTAGGGTCTTCTGCTCCCTGCCCTGCATTTCACATGTGGGCACATTCTTAAATTCCCTCTGGATCACTATTTAACAGCAGCTGGACTCTGAACTCTTGGTATGCTTGGAGCCCCAGATAGAACCTGGCTTATACCAGGAAGGTAATTAATTAATATTTTTTCTTTTATACAGTGTATTCATTTATCTCTCTCTATATATTGTCTACATGTGCCCCAAACAGCACCAGTGATCAGGGATATCATAATGAGTACAATGGAGACAGGTGATCCATGTATTCGGAGAGAGAAGGCACACAAATAATTGTAAATTGTGCATTCCAACTACAAACCATAATACGGCCTATGAAGAAAAAGCACAGAGAGCTGAGAGATCATGCATCAGAGGGGACCCGATATGCTTCCCCTAAGACTGATCTGAAGGACAGGGTGACATTTAGGGGAGCTGGTGGCAGAGGAATTACCCCAGACTGAAGGTGGGGCATGTGCAAAGGCCCTGAAGCAGTGGGGAACTTGGCATGTGAGGGGACCTGAAAAGAAGGCTGAGCCCAGAGCCAGGGGAGAGAGGGCCTCAACTTGGTAAGGATCCTGGCTTTTATTCTCAAAGCAATGGGAAGCCATTGAGAGGTTTTAAGCAGGGGAGTGACAAGACCACATGTGTGTCTTAAGGTCACTCGGGCTACAGCGTGGAGAATGGATTGGAGCTGGGGTGAGCAGGGAATCAGGGAGAGTGGCTGGGATTATGAACTCAGGGAGCACTAAACCCTCTGCCTCTCCCAACAGCCCAGCAGAGTGCTAGTGCTAGAGCTAGAGCTGTCTGAATCTTGGCTCCACCACCGACGAGCTGTTTGATCTTGGGCGAGTCCCTTAGGCTTCCTGTTTTGCAAGTCTCTGCGTCTGCAAAATGAGGGGAGGTCTCCTTGCTTAACAATTTTTTTCCCCTCAATTGAATAAGTTGAACACCAGTCAGGAGTCCTTTACAACACTGGGTGGGAAGACGCTGACAAAAACAGCGACTATAAGGCCTGTTTTGTTTGGCAGGTGTAGACTCCCACCATCTTCCTTTTGTTGCATAGACTTACTGGGCAATCTGCAGATGTGTGGTTGGTTTCTGGAGCTCAACCCTGACCATAGAGAAATAGCAGCTGCTGGATCTCCCAGTGCTGATGGCACCAGCTCCTCCTGCCTCCAGCAACAGGAATGAACTCTGTGACCATCTGTCCTTAACTGAACTTCTCTGAGCTTCAGTTTTCTTATCTGTAAAATGAACCTATGTGCATTTATTCCTGCAGTTAATGTTTGTTAAGTGCTGCTATGGGCCAGGCCCTGTGCTAGGCTCTGGGGATATTAGACAAGCCTATTTCCTATCCTTGGGAGTTCTCATGCCTCATTTTACATAAAATTATGCATGTGAAAGTGCTTTTTAAATTCTAATGCTGTTTAAACCTATAACAACTATAAAGGGAGGGTTGAACTGAAAATCTGGAAACATTGCTTCTGGTGCCATTTCTGTTCCAAAGTAAATAAAACTGAGACAAGTCAATTGGCCTTGATAAGCCTTAGTTTCTGCAGTCAAATTAATGGGTAAAGAACTTTAAGGACACCCCAGCTTAAATATTGTGATTCTATCCTCTTTCCCTCAAAATTTGAATCTATTTTTAAAATTCTGTATATGGTTTCTTTTGGGGCCCCCTTTTCTCTTATTTCAAAAGAATAAAAATTTGCAGTCTCCTCACTATATCTAATCCAGAAGTCCCAATTGCAAATGTCTACAAAGGTCATGGTAGGTGATATAATGACTGAAGTATGCAATAGAGAGAGGTGGAGGCTGTGGCAAAACAAAGAGGGCACACCCTATTCAAAGGGGGCCATTTCTTTTCAGCTGCAGCAAATTATTGCTTCATACAAAAATGCAAGCTGGATCCAACTTCTGTTTTCCTTTAAATCATCTGTCAGTTTTGTCCTTTTATCTCTTCTTCCTGATTATCTGTCCTTCAGGATTAGATGCAATCTCTTACGTGGACTTCCAGTCTGGAGTTTTACCTTTCTAATAGTTTTGTTTGTTTGTTTGTTCGTTTTTATATAGTTTTAATCCAGAAAGTCTTCCCACCTCATCCTTTGCTCAATGACCTAGCATGACACCCTGTGGACCCCCAAATCAGTCCATATTTCTTTACCTAGTATTTAGTGAAGACTTACTATGTCAAGCACTATGTCAGGGACTTATATGAATGGCCACACGAGGGTCTAGCTATCTCTTAGTCTCAATGTCCTGTGTATGTGTGGGTTGGGGGTAAAGGAGGGACAGAACTCCTACATCTGAAATTCCTCTTCTGTGCGTGGTCCATTGCAGGCCTGAAGCATCAGGGGTCCTTTAAAATCTGTTCCTCAGCCTCGCACCCAGTCAGTGACCAGGTCCTCTCTAGTCTTCTGAGAAATGATCTCTGTATTTGTTGGTATTGATGCTCCTCAGGTATAGACTCTTATTTGACTCTTTTTTTTTTTGAGACAGGATCTCACTCTGTCACCTAGGCTGGAGTGCAGTGGCGCGATCTCGGCTCACTGCAACCTTTGCCTCCTGGGTTCAAGTGATTCTCCCATCTCAGCCCCCCGAGTAGCTGGGATTACAGGTGTGCACTACCACTCCCAGGTAATTTTTTTTTTTTTTTGTATTTTTAGTAGAGACGGGGTTTCATCATGTTGGCCAGGCTGGTCTGGAACTCCTGACCTCAAGTGATCCACCCGCCTCGGCCTCCCAAAGTGCTGGGATTGCAGGCATGAGCCACCACGTCTGGCCTTGACTCTTTCTTGACCATAGCAAGGCTCTCCTTAACTAATCTCCTGGCAGCCACTATTCCCATCTCCAATCTATTCAGGACACCGGCACCAAATTTAAATGGAAAATCACTGCATCGTTTCATTTGTGTGTCCTAGACATACAGTATAGAACCTGGACTTCAGAAGTGCCCACCATAAGATAGATTAAAGATGGGTGCCAATTATTTGCTACTCCTCCCATTGAGAGGTGATGTCTAATTTCCTTCCTCTTGAATCTGGGCTGGTCTTAGAGACTTGCTTAACCAGTAGGCTGAAGTGGAAACAATATTTTGGGACTTTTGGAGTCTATGTCACAAGAAGCCCTGCAGCTTCCCTTCAGGCCTCTTGGAACACTTTCTCTCAGGGCCATGAGCTACCATGTAGGTCCAATTAGCCTGAGCCACCAGACTGTGGGAAAATCCAAGCCGCATGGAGAAGTCCCTTGTAGAGGCTCTGGCCAATATTCCTTCTGAGCTCCTAGTTGGCAGCTGGGTGCTAGAAGCCATTTTGGAAGTGGATCCTCCAGCTCTCAGCTGACATAATGAGTATAAGAGATGAACTGCCCAGCAGATCCCTTCCCAAATTGCTCACTCACAGAATCATGAATAAAATAAAATGGTTTTTAAAGATTATTCATTTTGGGGTAGCACGTTATACACCAATGGATAACCAGAACAGTGCTCAAAAATATTTATTGAGTGAATAAATAATTCATTTTGCAGCAGTGCCCTAATGGGGGTCCCTGCCCTATTTAAGAACTCTCAATGGCTTCCTGTCACTATTCCCTTAGTTGGCATTCAACATCCTCCATAATCTGGCTTCAACCTGCTTTTCAAATCTTATTGCTTGCTCTTCTCAGCATGGATCCATCCTATGCTAAAGTTTGTTTGAGCTATTTCCCAAACACACACATACTTTTCCAGCACCATGTCTTCACTGATATTAATATATACTGCTTTCTCCATCCTCACATCTCCTCCTCCATCCTCACTTCAGTGGGTTGACATTCAGTCTGTTCTTTGAGGCTTCTGTCAAATGCCTTCTCTGGCTGTGAGCCCTCCTTTTTCCGGCCCAGGTTTATTTGATGCTTTACCTCCTCTTTTATCTCTTACCCAGTTCTTATTTATTTATTTATTTATTTTTTTAAGAGACAGGGCCTCACTCTGTTGCCCAGGCTGGAGCACAGTCAGGTCACAGCTCACTGCAGCCTTGAATTCCTGGACTCAAGAGATCCTCCTGCTTCAGTCTCCTGAGTAGCTAGGACTACAGGAATGTGCCACCATCCCTGGCTAGTTTTTAAATTTTTTGTAGACATGAAGTTGCCCAGGCTGATTTTGAACTCTGGCCTCAAGCAATCCTCCTGCCTCGGCCTCCCAAATTGCTGAGATTGCAGGTGTGTGCCACTGCACCCAGCCACCAGTTCTTCATTTCTTATCTCCTCTATTGCATTGCAACTTCCTTGTGGGGGTGTGGGGGAGGAAGTGGGGGGTGCTGGCACATAACAGGGTGTGCAAATATTTTTTTGTGTGGCTTACCAGGCATGAACCCCTACAGAACTTGACTTGAGACTTACCAGCTCACAGCGTGGCATGCATTTTGTCTCCCAAGATCGGTGTTCAAGTCCTTAAAGGAAGGAAGATTATTTGGAAGAAGCATAGGCTTTGGTGGTGTCAGCTTGGATTTTGAACTGTAACCGTGTCACTTACTATGAGGCTTTGGGGAAGATGCTTAAACTCTCTGAGCTTCAGTTTCCTTATTTGGACACTAGAGGCCTTAGTTGAAAATGAGTGTAAAGGCCTAACACACCGCTTGGCACATCACAAACCATTAATAAACACCTGCTAAACAGGTACAACAGAAGGATTGATCCGCTTGCTGATGATCAGTTGTTATAATGTCAACTTTAGGGAGAACTCGCTCCCATCAATTAAAAAAAAAAGCAAAGAAAAAAGAGAACAAGAAAAAGAGAATCATGATGAGGCTCACTAGAGAGGCACCACCTAGCCAATCTCAACTGTATTAATCTGTGTGATCTTCAGCAAGTGGCTGCTGAGGTCTTAGTCTTCTCATCGGTAAATTGAGCGGTGGACATTGGAATCCAAGCTCCCCTCTAGCTCTGACATTCCAAGAGCATTAAAGAAAAAGGATGAATCACCCCCTTCAAAATACCAATATGGGCTGGGCCCTCCCCCTGTAGTCCCCATCGAGCACAGCTAAGAGCTCTTAATACGCAGCCAGCTTCTTCTTGCAGCTGCCACCAAACTTCAACCCCCTTTCCCAGGGAGTCTCAGAAGCAAGACTGATAATGGACCCCTGGCCTTCTCCATCTCAACAGAGAACTAAATCCCGTTCCCAGACTCTGGGGGCCAGAGGACCCTCCATTGAGAGGGCTGGCTTTCCCTCTCAGTTTGGTCATTGGGCCTCAGTTTGCTCTTGTGTGCAGAGAGAGAGAGAGAGATTGTGTGCGGTGTGTGTGTGTGTGTGGTGGGGGGGGACATTGAAAGTGGAAGGAAAGAATAAAGGGGAGGCTTGCAAATAGGAGGTTGATGAGTGAATTCTCGAAATTCTAGTGGGAGGAATGGGTTGGTGGAAACCTTGCCATTCTCTTCCAGTATTTGAAAAAGTTGACACGTATGTATCTGTAATAGTTATAAATCTCCACTCTGGGGAGACACAGCCCCCCAGCAGCCGCATAAATTCATAGACACAGGTGTCAGAACCGCAGAAGTCACTAGATCAATTGTCCTCCTTACAGGAGATAGGCACTGGATGACCGAAGAGGACAGTTTTCTTGCCTCTTTACCCAGAGCTCTCTCCTCCTTTCCGCATTGATGCTATTATTAGTATTATCGGCATTAATAATAATGGAGAGGTAACCAGCTGCGCATTAGGCACAATGTTCCAGGACCAGCACTTCCTTCGTTAGCTTCTGGGACTGCCTGGGTCCCGCTGGGTCCTCTCCCGCGGCCGCAGCGGCTTCGGGCCTGCTCTCTGGTTCTGTGCATCCGGTGGTCTGTCTGTCGCCGGTCACGTCTGCAACCCGCGTCCTCCCAGCTCACACCGGCTCCTGCTCTGAAAGCCGAGAAGCTCGCCGGCTGCGGGCGGGTTTTCCAAGTGGGCAGGGGTGGGGAGGAGGGGCGCGGGCGGGCGGGCCCGCGGAGGGAGGAGGGGGCGTCGCGGAGGGGAAGACCTCGCATTGTAATCCAATGACATTGCCAACGTGGGGGTGGGGGCGCTGGCCTCGGCGCGCTCTCCGAGTTTTGGCTGCCCGCCCAGCTGGGAATAACTCTCTTCGCATAATTCGCGTGTTTACCAGGCATGAAAATTCTTGCTTTCGCCCCCCTCGCATAAGACCCCTCCTCTTCCCCACTCCCCACCACCTCCGCCCCTCGCAAGTGAAACTCTGTCTAAAAAAATATTGGCCCGGGGCACAGAAAGTTTTGCATAAATTCATAAGTGATGAATGGCTGATTTTAACGTTATTTGGGTATTTGTCAGAACTTAACAAATATACATGGGGACGGCAGTTCATAAACTTAAACATCTCAATATCCCCTTTCTTCTGGAAATAAATTACGTTTGTTTGCCCAGCTTGGAGTCTTAAGGTAGCCGACATTAGGAATATTTTAAAAGCCATCATCCATCGAGCATGTCTCCCAGGCGCCAGGAAGATTAAATGAAAGAATCATAAGATGGAGGTCTTTAACTTTTAATCCTTTTACAATGAAGCCTCAGATAGTCGCGGGGGCAGGGTGCCCTCTCTGGGGGGAATAATGCCGTTATTCCTCGGCTCTCAGTTAATGAATACCCTAACGTCTGTCCCACGGCTGACGGAGGCAGCGCCGGGGAGGGGGCTCGGCTCCGGGGCCAGGCTATTGAAATGAGGAGCCATCGAGGCTGCGTCGGGAGGGAAGAAAGCGCCGGGCTGGAGGGACAGGGCGGGCGGGGCCGGGGGCATTGAGACTGCGCTGGGGACCAGGCGCAGGTTTGAAATAATTAGCATAGATTCGCCGGGACTCCGGACTTGGGGGGTTGGGGGGGGTGGGGGGTGGGGTGGAAGGAACGCCGGGAGGGAGGCGCGGAGAGGTGGCAGGGAGGTGGGGAGGGAGCAAAGGAGAGCGACTTTGGAGTCCAAGATAAATAAAGAGAGCGCTGAGCAGTGTCAGGAGGCTGGCCCACGTGGAGCTGTGAGGACGGGCGCCACTGGGGACTGAGGCGGAGGGACGCATGCGAGAGTCAGGCGTCGGTCCCAAGGAGTTGGCTTTTTAAGGGGTGGGGTGGGAGTGATGTTTTGCACGTCCCTTTAATGGGTTACGTGCCTTCTGCCCCTATCTAATCTTAAAGCGCAAAGATTCCGGTTCCGATTTCTCCCTCCTCCCCACCCCTCAAGGGGAGAAAGTGCCCGAGCACAGGCATACTCTCTTCCCAAAAGCAGATGCCAGAGGTGGTGATTTTCACCCAGATTCGGACCCCTCCGAAACCATGGCCCTTAGTCTTCCTTAGGTCCCCGGGGAGAGGGGAGGCCAGTGTCAAATCTCCCTGATATCCCCAGCACCTCCGGCCGAGGGCCTGGGATTTCGGGGCTCGGACCTGCAAGATCCCGGAGGCTGTGAGCCTTGTTGATTCCAAGGGATTGCCTCAGTTCGTACCACCGTAGCTTCCGGGCATGCAAAGGGTTAACATGGGCTGGATATTGAGGTGGGGGGTACGAGGCGGGAGGGGTGGCGGGATCTGGGTGGGCGCGCTCTGATCTCCCCCCCTCCCCATTCCTCGGGGGTCAAGTTTCAGCGGCACTCCGCCCCCAGGGTAGGTGTGAAAGACACGTGTCCCCATTGTGAAGGGCCTGTCAGGCAGGACAAAGCGGCCGCCCACCCTCCCCCCGCCCCTCGGCCCAGCCTGGGGTCAGCTCCAGGGGGCCGGCTGGGTGTCGAGGTCACTACAGGCCCGAGCTTTGGTGACATAGGGGGAAAAGCTAGGAGACTAGGCGGAGGCCACGTGATGTTTTAGTGAGGGGTTAGAGAATATCGCCCCCCCCCCCAACGCCCTCAAAAAACTAAGTCACCTCCATCATACCACAGGAGGGGAGTCCGAGGGGATGAGCCCCTTCCCCAACGGGGTAGGAGGCACAGCAGCATCCCCTACCCGCCCCCTCCCACGCCCTCCCACCCCCATCAATCACCAACACAGAAAATCAGTGTGGAGCGCAGTCGGTTTTAGTGGTTTTCTTTAATCCTGCTCTGCACTTCTTTCTCATTTACTACACGGGATATTATAAAGAATAAATAGCAGATACTCTTAATTTACAATGATTAGTCATTCCATTTGTTCTCTATATTTACAATAACTGTAAAATAACATTGAACTCTATAGCTTCTTCGAGGTCCAAGGAAAACCAAAACACTTTCCGAAGAATGGAAAATAGCTTTTAAAAAGTCCTCTACAAAAGTTCCCCCGTCTCTTTGTACTTCAAGAAAAAAATAACTTTTCCCCCCTGCTTCGCCATGCGAAGGGCACTGGAATATAAATAGCAGGTTAACATTATTAGCAACAACCAGAATAAGTCTCTCTTTTCTCTGTTCTTTTTTTTTTCTTTTGCTTACTTTTTTTTAAAAATACAGTAGAAGCCGGTAACTTTTAACGTATAATACTGACCTTTTAATAAGTAAATTAAAACTGGGACCGTATATACACACACATATACATTCCTACACAGTTAAACAGTGCATTACAGGAACCAGAAAGCTAGGTCTCTGTAGCCCAGAAAAAAAAAAAAAAAAAAAAAAAAAAGTTCATTGAAAACCCTCGCTAGAGGGTGGTGGAACTGGTTGGAGGCGGTGCAGGGGGCGTCGGTGGGGATCGATCAAGTGTCCGGGTGCGGGCAGGGGGCCCCCGAGTTCTAGCACGAGCACTTGCACTCGGAAATGATGGGGTACTGGATGGGAATCCAGCCGCAGCGCTGGCCCCCGCGCCGCTGACAGCGCCACCGCAGCACCGTGAGGTGCACGGACTTGGACGGCTTGCACACCATGCCCTCGGGCACGGAGCACGAGCGCTTACTGAAGCAGCTGCCCACCTTCACGTAGCGCGGCCAAAAGCGGCTGCCCAGGTCGTTCCACGCGTACAGCACGGGGCAGAATGTCTGCGACCACAGCCACATCTGTAACTTCCTCCGCAGCTTCTTGCTTAGGCGCTGCTTCTTGCCCTGGGCCAAGCCCTCGGAGAACTCTAGCCCTTTGATCTCGCTCGGCATGGCCCCCGACGGCCGCTGCCGCAGCAGCTGGTCCAGCTCCGCCAGGTCCTCCGCGCCCCCAGCTGCACCCCCGCCCCCGCCGGGCCGGTCCTCGGGGGGCGAGGTGGCCATGAAGCCTGGGTCGTAGTGGCCCCCGAGCAGCGAGCGCAGCAGCGTCTCGTTCAGATCCTTTTCCTTGGGGTCAAAGATAGGGTCTGGGTGTTCGATGAGGTCCACCAGGGGCAGGTTGTCGCTGGGTGCCGGGCGGATGTGGAGATAGTGCTGGCCGCCGGCCGGTGTCGCCCGCAGCCCCAGGACCACCACCAGGGCGTAGAGGGTGACCCCTAGGCTGGGGCAGCGCTCCATGCCTCTGGCGCGCGCCCGGGGCTGCTGCTTCGTCCCGCGTCCCCGGAGGAGAGCACGCCGAGCCCGCGGCGCCGCCGCGCTCCCCCGTCTCTCCGGAGGCGGCTCACCCGAGGCTGGGCAGGCGCAGGGCCGGCAGCATGAGCCGCCGGGAGAGCCCTTCGCGCAGCGCCGGCTCCCACCGGGGCGGAAGAAAGGCACACAAGTTGGCCGCAACTCCTCTCCCGGGTCTACTGGGGAAGGCGGCCGCGGCTGGGCATCCGAAATTACTCCAGGGCGACCGCGGGGCGCGGGAGGCGCCGGCTCCTCGCTGCCTTCCCGGGCCGGCGGCGGCGCAGGGCGCGTGGACGAGCCGCTCTCCCCTCCTCCTCTCGCTGCTCTTCGTCCGGCCGCTCTGTGCAAGCGCCGCTGGCTGAGCTGGTTCTAGGGGCACTTCCCTCCGCCTGCTCCGGGCTCCGCGGCCGGCTCTGCCCGGCGGACTCCAGCGGCGGCGGCGGCGGCGGCGTCCGCGCACGTTGGCACCGGTTTGTCTGTCTCGCAGGGTCCAAGCCTTTAAATTTCCTGCACTTTCAGCTCCATCACCATGGAAACCACTGACTCTCTCGGCGTTGCCCCCTCCCCCTTCTTCCCCCCAAACAACAACCCCACCCCCCACTTCTCCACCCCCGAGGAGCTGGAGCTGCACAGGCTCCGGGGGAAGCCGCCTGTACTCGCCGCGGAGGCGGCGGCGGCGGCTTCGGCAGCGCCCAGGGCTGTGCCCCGCCGGACCCAGATGCCCCGGGAAGCCGACAGTCCGGCTGCCCGCCGGAGCTCACAGGCGGCGGCGGCGGCGGCGGCAGCGGCGGTGGCGGCGGCGGTGGCGCTTGGCAGGTCTCCGCGCAATTTTCTCTCTCCCCCACCACCCACCCCCCTTCTCCTCCTCCTGCAAAATGCACCGCCCCCCTCCTTTCTCCTGGAGCAATGCAACTGGGGCTCTAGGCGCCCCGCCAGGGCCAGTCCTGGGGAAAGCTCGCGGCGGCGCTGGAGCCGGGCTGGAGGGTGCAGAGCCGGTGTTTGGGGAGGGGGGGCGGTGCTTGAGGTGGGGCTGGAGGGTTTCTCACTAGCTGGGTGCTTTGCACTGGGAGGGGAGCAGCGGGGAAGTGCTGGGGGCTCGTTTCTCGGTGCATGCAGTTCGGAGCAAGAAATTTCTCCATGTGCATGGAGCGTTTTCCCCGAGCGCGTCTTCTTCTCTCCCGGGCTCTTGCTCTAAGTCCCCTCCCCCCAACACACATATATACACACACACACACACACACACACACAGCCCCTACCCCACCCCCCTTTGCACCAGGGAGTCCGAGAGCCGCAGCGTTGCGCAGCGTGATGTAATTCTTAGGAAGCACTCCTGTCTGTCTGCCCCTCGGGCCCACGAGGGGGTTCCGCTCCTCACCATCCTCCTCCTCCTTGGCCGGGTCCTGCACCCTGAGTGGCCTAGCCTCAGGGGCGCGACTGGCTCGCCTGCGGCTCCCCTAGCCCGCCCGGCTCCGCGCGGCCGCCGCTCGGCTCCCTGGGGGCGGCGCGCCCTCTGCTGGCCCGCTATGAGCCCTGCACCTGGCGCTGGCGGGGGCGGCCGTGCGAGGTGGGTCGGCCGCTGCCCGCTCTGCCCAGTTCAGCTTCTGCTTCTGTGTCCCTGTCACTTTGTGTGTGTCTGCGTCTGCTGACTGGTCCGTTTTGGTTCTGGCTATTTTCCCGAAGGTCTCCAGGCCCCCAGTGTAAACAAACTTCCTGAGATTCCTTCTCGGTCCCCTCAAATTTCACAAGAATGCGTGCAGCACCTTCTGCCTCAGGTAAATCGGTCTCTGGTCTCAGTGGGTGCGAGTGGGGACCAGAAACTTGAAAGGTGAGCTGACAGCAGAGGCACCTGAGTCTTGCCCGGGGTCCACCCTGATATAACTCGGACAAGTCATTTTTCTCACTTTTCGCATTAGTGACGTAACTATTAATAGATTTCTCTTCCAGCCCTACCTTTCTGTGATTTTAAATAAACCTCCACGATGCTTTCTCTTGTTCAGAAGCAGTTTCTCTTTGATGGGAGATGGGTACTGAAGGGACACCTCCGGTTAATTTCCCCTTGGACGAGGAACTCAATCTCAGCTTTAAAATGCAAACTCAGTTTTCTTTGTGGTGAATGTGATTGGAATCTGGAAAAAGCTGGAGAAGAGAGACTTGGAGTGGATGACTCAAGTATTTGCCAGTCTTCCATGGAGTGGGAGTTAAGAGGTCCCATTGTGACAACCTAAATCGCTTAACTTTCTTTCCCCAAAGATCTGGTTTTTCCTTTCAACCTGCCCCACCCCAACTCCCAAAGTTTATCATCTGTCTAAGGAAGAAAACACTTTGTTGCATACTACAGTCTTTCTGCAAAACCTCTATTAAAAGGGGTGGGCAGTTTCCGCTGAAAGCGTTTCCCTCAATTTTAAAGTCTAGACAACTAGAATTAGACTATCAAGGGACTGCTCAAAAGGAGATCTTGCTTTGATGGATACTGGAGTTAACAACAACCCATTGGTTGTTTGAATTGGGCTGACTTTGAAATAATGTGTGATTAGAACCTGGTACAGGCCGGGCACGGTGGCTCATGCCTGTAATACCAGCACTTTGGGAGGCTGAGGCAGGCGGATCACTTGAGGTCAGGAGTTGGAAACCAGCCTGCCCAACATGCTGAAACCCTGTCTCTACTAAAAATACAAAAAAAAAAAAAAAAAAAAAAAATTAGCTGGGCGTGGTGGCAGGCTCCTGTAATCCCAAGTACTTGGGAGGCCGAGGCACGAGAATCACTTGAACCTGGGAGGCAAAGGTTGCAGTGAGTTGAGATTGCACCACTGTACTCCAGCCTGAATAACAGAGTGAGACTCTGTTCCCACCTCCCCAACTCCTCCCCCTCCAAAAAAAGAACCTAGCACATAGTAGGCTCCTAAGCATACCTCTTTCTTTTTTATGTGCTTTATGGGGATTCAGCACTAGTTTGTTTCCTTATGAAGATTACATGTTCCAGAGCAATTTTGTCACTGATGTGAATTAACTAAGAAAATTATTTAGTGGAGTTCAAGGGCTAAACTCTAGCTCAGCCCTCCTGAGATGGTAGGTTCCAATTAATGACATTATATCATGCTGGTTTCTGTTCTTTTAATCCCCCTCTTCTCTCCTTCAAATCACCTATTTTTGCTTGAAAACCAACCCAGATCCTTTATTTAGTTGGGCTGAGCAGATTTGACTGAACAGCAAAAAAGGTCCCTCAGGAACCAGAAACAAATCATGCTTGAGAACAGATTGGGTGACCTGTTTATGGAGTATCTACTGGGTGAAGACCATCAGGAAAAATACAAAGAAGAAAAAATTCATAGTCAGTCTCCATCCTGCAAGACTTTTGTAGTACAGTTAGGGGAGATATGACAACCACAAGAAGAAATAGTAAAAGGACATCAGAAAAATTTATAAATTCCCATAACAGTGTGGACTAGTTTTTTATAACCTTTTCTTTTTAAAATCCATGTCCCCTTTTGATAGATATAACAATATCATGCTCTTCTTTGAATGTTGTTTAAAGTTTTTAAAATACATTATTATAACCAAAAAGAAGCCCAAGCAATTATGTTAGCTATACTGTTTTCAAACCATATCTACCCCTCTTCAATGTGAAGTTCTGAAATGCCACATTTGGGAAGCTTGCAACTCCTAACTCTGTGCCACACTGGAGTAGCCCATGCGCTTAGGTACTGAGTGAACCTGGGGATGTTGGTATCAGAGACTAGGAAGTACTAAGACCTTAATGGTAGAGCTGAATTTTAGCTGAGCTTCATGAAGAAGGATGTATTTATCTGAGTATGGAGAGGAAGAGATTTGAGAGATAGGATATACATCTACATGAAGAAGGGAACCACACTTGTATGAGGGACAGCCAGAAAATCTGGGGATATGAGAGGTGGAAGAGGAAATGTCCCAGACAGGGAAGCACCACGACTTTTGGACCAGGTGGATTTAAGTTGGAATTCTGGCTGTGCCCCTCACCGGCTGTGTTACCTTTTTAAAACAGTCATCTTAACCACCCCGTTTCCATTCTCTCATCTGTAAGATGGGGATGATACACACCTCTCAGAATCATGCCACGTAAAAGAGGTAAGGAATGCCTAGCCTAGTAAGGTGCCTGGGGCAGAGCCTATATCGGGCAATGGTTTTACAACACGTTACTTCTTCAGAGAACCCCACTGCCCTCAACTGGCCAACCATCTCAGGTTTGAGCAGAAGAGGGTTGAAGGGGTGAGGATGCTGCTGAAATCAACTCCAACACCTTTGGACTTGCTTTCTGTCCACTCCATCTGTGCAACTTGAGGGCTGCCAGGCTTCAGGAGTTTGAGGGAGGGAGGACTGTAGTTTCTTAGGAGATTCTGTAGTCAACCCATTTTGATGCTTCTGTGGTTCTGTTGAAGAGGGAGCTTGACAAAACTGGACAAAGAGGGTTGTATTTCTTGCAAAGGAAGCTGTGGGCGGAAGATGGGCCAATGGAAGTACGGCTATCAGCTTGACTCTCGCTGTGGGCGGTGCTTGGACTGTAGTGGGGCTTGGTTGGGGACTTAGGCCTCAGGAGGCTACATAGGAAGAGTTAATGAACAACATAAATGGAGGCCTGTCCCTGGGTAGCCCCATCCCAGGTTTCTGTCCCTGCAAAATTCTCTGGGCAAGGTAAATGGAAGCACTCCTTTAAACAGTCGCTGGGGCAACTCCAGGTCAAAGGCAAGAGGAGCCTGAGGGTGCTTTTATGTATCTTCTCTTATTTCTATCATGATTCGAAGAACAACTTGACAATCTTCTTGCTTCTTTGGCCCTGGAAACATAGACCTAAGGCAACTGTGGGTGACGCCTAAAGGGCATGGGGCTTGAGGTCAGAAAACTTGCAATCTACCAGCTGTGCGACCTTGGGTGAGACACTCTACCTTTCAAGGACCATGAGACGTCCTTGGAGAATGCATGAGAACTGCCATCTTTTACAGCTGGTGTCATCCCAGGCATTGAAATTCTCTACCCTCTGTTTCTGACAATCTCTTGGGACCCATAAATATAGAATCTGATGGGCTTTCTCTTAATGAGACCCCAAAATGGCATTCTTGGGCTTGACTTAAGTTAGCAAAGGGAGACCAAGTCAGCCATGAGGCTTGTCACATATCTCTCTTGACTGCCAGAAGGTGACAGTAGAGGTGGCACTGAGGTCAGAGGGTGGTGAACTCCATGTAGCCTCCTGGGTGCTGGGGAGCCCTGGCCAGTTCAGAACTCACAGTGAGGGTAGAAAGAACCCAGTTCAGCTTCACAGGGCATTATAATTGTGTGTGTGTGTGTGTCCCATTGGTGGTTAGATTCTGGTGAGAAGTAACTAAAATGGGCATGCTGGGCAAAAGAGGGAAACTAGGAGAGAAAGAGGAGGGAGAGAGTGGGAAATCACTCTAAAACGTGGTCTGGGGTGGGAACGTGGGCAAATACATGTGAAATACATTTCCCAAAATAGAGACGAAGTTTAAGACCAAAGGAGGAAAGGAGCTTCAGCGAGCTTATTCCAGCCCCGACAGCCCCTTCCCTTCCTCAGTCTGGCTCCTGCTCCGCCTGTAGCCCCCTCCCCATCTGGCTCCGCACTGGGGAAGGGGAGACGTCTCTGGAGCCCGGTGGCTCATTCATCTCCTGATAAACTGTTTATCTGAGTTTTAACGAGGGCGCCTCTCTCCAGCCCTGGAGACAGAAGCCTCGGCATGTTTAGCCTGCCCTGATGTGGGGGGCCTGGGGGTGGGTGGGGGCGACGCCAGCAGGCATATCTTCTCCGCTTTCCTGCCCTCAGCTCTCCTGGGCTTCACATTGCATTTCCTTGGCTGAAGTCTGGGTCTAGGATGGACCCAACGTTTTCCTATGGAAAGGAAATCCTTGTACAATCCTTCTCTCTCTAGCCACTGCTTCACACACACACACACACACACACACACACACACACATTCTAAATAAAATTTAAAGACCAACAACACTTGGTTCTGAGTTAACGGACTTTTACCATATGTGACCCAGTATTTCAAAAGGGGAATGAATGGAATACTACAGATACAGTATTGCTAGTGTGGGACAAGAATCTCCAAAATGATGGGGGGGCTATGATGTGAACGGATAACTGTCATCGAATAGAAACACAAACTCTAAATGCTCTAGGACTTGCTTCCCGCTCCCCACCATACACTGTCATAGGTTTGCACAGGCACACAATTTTCAGATATTGAAAGCCTACCTGTACTGAAGAGCCTACCTTCCCGACCCCAATACATATGTAGTTATTCAATACAAACACATGAGTGCACGTGCACACACATGCATATACACACATATCACACACACTCGCTATGCACTGCTCCCCAACAACACACCACACATACCACACACACAGACATACACACCACACCACACACACACCACACACCACACACACCACACGCACACACACACCACACCACACACACCACACGTGCACACACACACACACACAAACCACACACATACCCATACTTCTGCCTCTTCTGTTCCTATCTAGGCTTAAAGGTTTCTGAAGGCAGTTCCCTTTAGCGACCTGCCATGGGAAATTGATACACTGCCTCCTCCTGCCAAAAACACACAAACACCCATCTCAGTGTACACTTGCATTTCCCCCACATCCTCTCATCCCACTGCCTCAGATAGATGTGTATTGAGATAATAAGGTCTAGTCTCCCTTATCCCGTCAAAGGCTCAAGATAACAAGCAGACAGAAGCTCAATGGAGTGAAAAATAAGGTGAAAAATGACCCCATTTCAGGTGGGTGGGATGAATCACGGGTTCCAGCTACCGAATCCACCTAACACAAAACCTTCACGTCTCTGACTTTTTTCCTAGCCCCTACTCCGTCTCCTCACCATTCAAGTCATGGTGCAGCCTTGGATATGACTTGCTGTGACCACCTACTGTCATCCATCAGTCTTTTTCATTTATCTCATCACCAGGCATGTACCCCAATTATAGACACATTGCTCAACAAGAGAGAAGATGGAGTCTCATCTCTTGAGGAGGTCACAGATGATTGGGGAAAAAAATAAAGATTACAATTCAGGATGTCAGCTGCCATGAAGAGGCATAGAAATGTTGGGCTGGGGGATCCGAAACGGCTCCCTAAAAGATTTGATGTCCAAGTTGATTTTTTAATTTCTTTTTTTTTTTTTTTTCCAGAAAGAGTCTCATTCTGTCATCCAGGCTGGAGTGCAGTGGCATCATTCTCGGCTCACTGCAGCCTCTGCTGTCCAGGTTCAGGTGATTCTCCTGCCTCAGCCTCCCAAGTAGCTGGGATTACAGGCATGCGCCACCACGTCTGGCTAATTTTTGTATTTTTGGTAGAGACAGGGTTTCACCATGTTGGCCAGGTTGGTCTCGAACTCCTAACCTCAAGAGATCCTCCTGCCTCAGCCTCCTAAAGTGCTGGGATTACAGGCTTGAGCCACCATGCCTGGCTTGATGTCCAGGTTGAAAGACCTGAAAAATCAAGAGGTGGTTACAGAACAAATGGGTGAGGAGAGGCCACTGACTGGATGACATTTGGGGTAGTGGGGAGGAGGTGTGACATAATCCAAATTCTGGGGGTGGGTTGGCAGTGCCCAGAGTTAGGGCTTGAGGAATAGACTGGAAGACCAGAGGCCTTGCATGGTGGACCACTGAAGGGTCTTAAGCTGTTTTAAATAGGATTTGAATTTAGACTTGACCTTAGAAATATTTGAAACAAACCTTAGAAACCATCTAAATATGGCGATTATAGGTCTTAAATATTTCAAGACAGTCCCTATTAAGAAGTGGCTGGGCGCGGTGGCTCACGCCTGTAATCCCAGCACTTTGGGAGGCCGAGGTGGGCGGATCACGAGGTCAGGAGATCGAGACCATCCTGGCCAACATCGTGAAACCCTGTCTCTACTAAAAATACAAAAAATTAGCCGGGTGTGGTGGTGGGCACCTGTGGTCCCAGCTACTCGGGAGGCTGAGGCAGGAGAATGGCGTGAACCTGGGAGGTGGAGCTTGCAGTGAGCCGAGATCACACCACTGAACTCTAGCCTGGGTGACAGAGCGAGACTCTGTCAAAAAAAAAAAAAAAAAAAAAAGAAAAAAAGAAAAAAAAGAAAAAAAAAGAAGTGAAAACAAAAATTCATTATGTGTTACATCAAGTTTGAAATCTAGGATTTCAACTCTAGAGCCCTTGATTTTAGTCTCTATGCAGGGATTATTTTACGTACGAGGAAATATGTCAAAAAATGTTTGTAAGTCATTAATTGTAATGATTATCCTTAAAGAATGGGGTTATTACCCTTAAAGTGTGAGGTGACGAAGAGAGAGAAGCTCACTTTTTACTTTATGTAAATCTGATTTAAAAAAAGATGGCAATCAGTATTTTTGTATTTAAGGAAAAAATCAGTAAAAGATTAAAGTCAGTGAATTTAGAAGAAACAATTTGCCCCAAAGTTACTATTAGGCACTAGTAAAACTGAAAATGGTGCTTAAAGTTCTAAATGTTAAAAAGATTTTTGAAGCCAGCAGCAGGCTGCAGGGTAGGCACGATTCTTATTCTTAGGTGATCTTCATTTTTTGTTGAGTTAAATGGTGCAGTGCTCACCTATGATGGTAAAGTGAAGAAGCACATTTGTGGAACTTTCGTATGCATATGTGCGTGTGCATGTGTGTGTGCGTGTGCGCACACATATAAGTAAGTGACAGACACTGTTTCATGACACTTTGATTTCCTGTCTCAGGCATCTACAGAGAAATCAGATTGCTTTCCAAATAAAGTGAAAACCCACTGCTGGGCTGGGAAATAAAACTAAAATGAACCAAAAACCACTCTCATGCTTGATTGAAAAACATCTATGCAGTCTGGAATGAGTTTGGTGTGGAAGCAAATGATTGGAAATAAGTTACCTAAGTTGAGGGTTTGGAGGATGAGGTCCCTAAATAAGTACCAAAGGAACTTATCCTTTGGTAAAATGGGGAGGTAGGGACAACTACCTGCCCATTTTATAGATAGAGAGATTGAGGGCCAGAGAAATGAGGGGGTGTCTCAATGCTCTGCTCTTGACTCAAGGTTCATCTATGGAGGCAGAGAGAGGCTTGTTAGCTCAGAGCCGTGAGCCCAAAGCGGGCTTCTTAATGCATCTGATGTCTTGCTTTGAATCCACGTTTGACTCCGGAGATCATCAGTACCAGCAGGCAAGGGAGGTTTACTTGTGGGCAGTGACTTTTGGCAACCTGGTTGAGTAGAAGAGAGGGCTCGTTTCATCTTCCTTCCACTCCCCCGACCCCATCCTCATCCCCACCTCCCATAATGGAGCATGACTGTAGTAAAACAAGGCTTTTGATCAAGCTTCTCCACCTCACTCTTAAGACAAACAATGTCTCTGAAACCCCCAACTGTTTTTTTATTTTTCTTATAGCTAAGGTTTCATCTTAGTGTCTTTACTCAGCTTCATTTAAAAATGCCCTCAATTAAGGAAAAAAAAATTGCTTTTTTATTTTAATTCACAAAACATACCTACAACATATGAAAGGAAGGCTTCAAAGTTACACAAAAAACCACCTTAAAATTCTAAAAGGGGTTCTTACTTTTCCTGTAACCCACTGGGCAACCACAAATGTTTTACAATCTGTTCTTTGGCATAATAGGTTAAGATCATAAGTAAATTTATTAATTAAAATATGAATAAAAATAAATAAAGCAGTGGCCAGTCCTTTACCAGCATGGCTTGTGTTTCAACACAGGACTTTTTTTGAGATATGATTCATTATTCATTGGAGTTTTGGAAAAAAATTAGTTTTATAAATTGTTGGTATGCTTATAAATTTAAAGAAAAAAATTTTTTTTCACTCATGATAGAGAGAATGGATAAGGTTAGAGCTGGTAGCCAGGCTTGGGCCTCTTTGTCCCTTCCCTACAAAATGAATTCAGTACACTACAATTTCAGACAAATGTCTCTTTTCTCACACAAAAGCTTAACCATGTTAACTGGTTAATGTAAAGCTTGATTAAACTCGCAAAGATAATCCCTAAAATGCTGGGAGAAGGGCCCTTAAAGTGCCTGGAGGTGGCAGGGAGGAGGCGGGCCAGTAATGAGGCAAGGTGGTGATTCCAATCTCATTTTCCCTTTGCATTGTTTCAAAAGTGAATTACTGCAGTGGTTCAGCAGAATACGTTGAGAAAAATGCAAAGCTGCTTCCCGCACCTCCTCAAGGATTTGAGTCACCTCGGATAAGGCTTTAAATATAATAAGAGACATCGTAATGATCATGCCACGGGGGTAAGAAAATCCTGGCAGATCACATTTTATAGAACTCTGCTTTTCTTTCAAACCCTAGCCCAGAAGGAGAGGCAGCTACATTTTAGACTAAATGTTTATGGTTTAAGCTTCTTCAACAGTGTGAACGTTTACTGCTGAGCTAGTCCTATTGTTCCGTCTGTGATTTAAATATGCTTCTTCTAAATATTTTGACAGCAAAGCAAGTCTTGGGGGCACTTGTACATTTTCTAGGGACTTCAGGGCCGTCATTGGTTGCAGGGTAGGGGTTTGATGAGATCTCTGACTTGTCATTTGTAGCAGCTATTCTTCATCTCACAGGTATGAGATCCTAGATGGGGTCTTTATCTCTCACCAAATTTACCCTAAGGTCACCACTGAGAAGTAAGGCTTGCAGATGGTACTGGCCCACCCAAGACAGATAGCTTCCTGCTGAAGTTTAGTGAGGTGCCCTCATTTCTCCCAAAGTCTTAGTATTCCTGAAGAAGAAACAGGCTAAAATAAACTGCTGTATAGGATGGGAATTGTAATTATTCAAAAACCTCTAAGGATTCTTCTGGTTACTCTCAAGATAAAGTTATGACATTTGGTGCCATTTCCAACCTGACCACAATCTACCTTTCTCCTATTACCTTGTTCTACTCTTTGCTGCTTGCTGTATATTTAGCTTGGAGGTCTCTACACATAGCCTGCACCTCCTCACTGTTACGTGTGCTGTTTACTCACTTTCTCCCTTTTGCAAAATCACTTGCCACCCTCCGGATCCTGCTTAAACATTGCTTCCTCCATTCTTGATTCTGTCTGGGAAGATAAATTGCTCCCTCCTCTCAGTCCTACCCCTTCTCATTCCTTCCTCTAGCTCATCCATTAGTGACTGCATTCAGGCTGATGGCTGTCCTGCCTGCTGGACAACGAGCTCTTTATGGGAGTTCAACTCCTTATTCCCAGTGCCTGGCCTTGTGTTTATTATACAGTAGGTGCCTAGTAAATGAGCGAACATCTGAACTTGTTTAATTACTTCTGGTTACCATATTGGATGCTGGTAGTGGGTAGATGGAAGCGATGGTGGTCAAAACAATGCCCATTTCTTAATTAACAGCTTATGATGTTTGATCTTCTCTTATAAATCACATCCTTCTTCTTGGCTGAGTCTGTCTATTTACAGAAAAAAGTTTAATCAGATTCCTCATAGGTGTCTGGAAAATAAAAAGACCAGTTTGACCCAAATAGATGCTTTACAATTTAACTGGTACACACCAATGTCTTATCCATGTTGAACTAGAGATGGCCTGGTTGTTGTACCAACACCCTCAGCAGCCTGAATCCTCACAAATTAGCAGCTCTGTATCTTGAAGTCAGCTGATTTTGGCAGCAGAAGCAATTCAGGGCAGGGGAGAGGGTGAGGGATGGTTGGCTATATCCCAGGAAGCTGCAGCTTGGGCTGTTGTTGGGGTGGGGTGGGGAGTAGTTGAATGATCCCAGCTCATTCTGGAGAGGCAGCAGCTGCTGTGAGATGTCAGGCTAACCTCAGCCCATGTCCTCCGAAAGGAAGATGGTGCAGGCTGCCACTCCCATCCTTGGGACCCCAGGATCTAGTTTTTGCTGGAACTATTTTTCTTCCCTTCCACCCCACCGCTCCCAGTCCCTGCCATGTTCTTGGAGAGGTGGACTCAGAAGCCATTTTCCAAAAGGGCAGAATAGCACTAATCTCTCTGAAGACAGCTCTCCTTGGTGTCCAATTCCTCTTTGTGTAGCCAAAGAGCCTTGCTCACCATCTGGCATGGTCAGCACTCACTGGGGGTGGCTGGATCAATGGCTGGGTTCACTGTCAACACCGACTGGGTGCAATTCCCTAAACATCTTTTAGGTCCTCTAAACTGTCATTCCCCAGTCACAATTGTCCAGATAACCAGGTCAAAGGTGCACCTTTGAGTATTCTTTTCCCAGCCTGAATGACGCAGCCCAATGCAAGAGCTTCTCAGGAACAGCTCCATGTTATTCGGGCTCTGTCCACCTGGCACAAAGGGCAATGCTTTGAAGAAGAAATGGATTAAGATATTAGATTACAGTTTCTCTAGCCAGGCTCAGGGCCTGTGCTGAATGTTCTCTCCCAAGTAGAGTGACTTGGCAGAGTGGGTCAGGCCTCCTGCCTTCCTTACTTTCCTCCACTCTCCAGTGCCTTCTGGGTGGGAGGTGGAAGGGGAGAGGGGGACACTCACTCTCCATTACTTACATCAACATTTTTGTAAAAGTCAAACAGGGCTGCATTTTTTTTGTCTTATACTTTTGCACATGTTCTGTCCTACCTCGGGGCAGCATGAAGATGCAGGCAAAAATAGTCAGTGGATCATGGATGAGAAATGGCTGTGGAGAGGCAACAACTCAACAAGAACATTTAATTTATTTATTTATTTATTTTGAGACAGGGTCTTGCTGTGTTGGCCAGGCTGGAGTGCAGTATCATGATCATGGCTCACTGCAGCCTCAACTTCCCAGGCTCAAGTGATCCTCCCATTTCAGTTTCCCGAGTAGCTGGGATTATAGGTGGCACCACCATGCCAGGCTAATTTTTGAATTTTTTTGTAGAGAAGGGGTTTTGCTATGTTTCCCAGGTTGGTCTCGAACTCCTGGACTCAAGTGATCTGCCTGCTTTGGCCTCCCAAAATGCTGGGAATACAGGTGTGAACCATTGCACCTGGCCCAAGAAAATTAATGTTAACCTCTTTCTTCTCTTCCCCCTCCACCTTCCCAATTACTGAACTCTTACTATGTGCTGATATAGTGCATTATATTTGTTGTCTTATTCAGTCCTGCAGACATCTCAGTTTATAATCAAGGACACTAAAGCTCAGAGAGGTCAAGTGACCTGACCAAGGTCACACAAGTAGGAAGTAACACAGCTGAGGTTTAGCTCTCTGACTAACTCCAAAGCTCCTGATTTATTCCATGTGGCCTTTTTTGGTTTCATATGGAATTCTGCTTTTGGTATTCTTTGTACAACTTATAGATGTGGAAGGTAGTGATGGGGGTGGAGAAGGACACAAAAGTGGAATCCAATGTGACCCACAAAATAGTAGTATAAATTATTAATGAATGCAAATAGGCCTGGTAAATTTATACATGAATTGCAATCATACACACCAACTTGGGGACAGTGCTTGCCTCTGGGGAGAGGGACAGAATGTAAAGTACTTGGTGGATACTTACGTATATCTATACCATATTATTTCTTTGAAAAAGGAAAGAGATCAAAGAAAACATAAAATAAATACAAATCTTTGGTGTTCAAAAACCACAATGTGATAGCACTCATACCCATTAGAATAGTTGATATCAAAAAAAGGGAAGGAAAATAACAAATGTGATGAGGATGTGGAGAGACGCAAACCCTGTGTGCTGCTGGTGGGAATGTAAAATAATGCAGCCTCAGTGGAAAACAGTATGGCACTCCCACACAAAATTAAAAATGGAAATAGCATATAAACCATCAATTCCACTGCTGGGTATATCCTTCACATAACTAAAACAGGGACTCAGATATTTATACATCTTTTTTTTCATAGCAGCATTATTCACAATAGCTAAAAGGTGGAAGTAGCCCATGTGTTCATTGATGAATGGATAAATAAAATGTGGTATATCCATACAATGGGGTATTATTCAGCTTTAACAAGGAAAGAAATTCTGATGGCCTCAACATGGGTAAATCTTGAAGACATTATGCTAAGTGAAACAAGCATAAGTCACAAAAGGACAAATACCGTATAATTTCACTTATATGAGGTACCTAGAGTGGTCACATTCATAGAGATGGAAAGTAGAATGATGGTTGCCAAGGGCTGGGAGGAGGGGAAATGGGAAGTTACTGTGTAATGGATATGGAGTTTTAGTTGGTGTATTAGTGTGTTCTCACATTGCTAATAAAGACATATTTGAGACTGGGTAATTTATGAACGAAAGAGGTTTAATTGACGCACAGTTCCACATGGCTGGGGAGGCCTTACAATCATGGCTGAAGGCGAACAAGGAGCAAAGTCATGTCTTACATGGCGGCAGGCAACAGAGCTTGTGTAGGGGAGCTTCCATTTATAAAGTCATCAGATCTTGAGAGACTTATTCACTATCACAAGAACAGCACAGGAAAGACCTGCTCCCATGATTCAATTACCTCCCACCAGGTCCCTACCATGACACATGGGAAATATGGAAGTCACAACTCAGGATGAGATTTGGGTGGGGACACAGTCACAGCGTATCAGTTGGGATAATGAAAAAGTTCTGGTGATGGATGCTGGTGATGACTGCATAACAATGAGAATGTACTTAATGCCACTCAACTGTACACTTACAAATGGTTAAAATGGTGAATTTTACTTTATGTATATTTTACCACAACACAAAAATTAAAACTTTTAGTGGTGTCCATTGAGGGAGGAGCAGAACTTTGTAAAGAGTTCTCCCTCATAGGCCACCTTTCCATGGCTTGTTCCCCACCAGGAGTCCCGAAGTGAAGGGAGAGGCTCCCTTCCCTTGGGACTCTTAACAGGCAGCTTTCTTGCCTCTGGTAGGCCAGTAGCTGTGTGCAAAACGCATTTCTCCATTCTTTTGTCGCTCAGCCAAGCCCTGGATGCTTTCAGGCTCAGAGGAAGTTCATCTGAAAATAAAAGCGGTCCTTCAAGGGTCCATTTGGACTGAAAGACTCCCTTCCTGGTAGCCTCTGAGGCTGAAGCACGACTCCAGCCAGCCCCCTGGGTATAGTAACAGCCCTGTCAGCCAAGGCAAAGCTGCCGAACCTCAGAATCCCAAATTAGCACCTGGCCCTTCAATAGGGCAACTTTGGTTTAAAGTTTAAGTGAAACCTTGACAGTCCTACTGACTTGAGGGGAGGCCCTGGCCGGCTCTCATAGGATGCTCTTTCTTCAGAGGAATGTGAAGGTGTGTACAGTGCGGTGTCTGCAAACAGTCAGTGCCTACAACTGCAATTAGGGCCTTTCAATGGAGGTGTTAGCCACATTCAAAGTCTGACCGGTCTCACCCATGAAATTCATAATGGGATAAAAGTTCCATTCCGGGACTGACAACTTCAAATGGAATTTGGTGTAATCTTTTATTTATTTACAGGGTTGTGGGAGTGGGGGATGGGGGTTATGAAAATCCCACCTCACCCTGCACTCCACCCCCCAAGCTTCCAAGGATGAAATGAGGGTTGGGATTACATTTCGAGGGAAGCGAGGCTATATTTAAATATGCTTTGGAAAGTGTGGCTCCATGTCTGAGGCTGCCCTGGGTGACAGCTTCATCCAGCCTGGCCGGGGACATTCCAAAGAATCATATTGAGACCTTGTTGCTAATTGGTTCCAATTTATCAGTTCCAATTTCTCCCATACCAGGGCCAGCCTGAATGCTTGATAATTTCAGAGGGAAGCAACACACTGGATTTACTCCAGGAGCTCAAGACGGAGTCCATGCTTTGCCTCCGTCTGTGGTTTTCACTGATGACGATGGCTGTTTAATTAATTCCTGAATGTCCCTTCTTTTTAACCTAAGCTTACCCAAGTCATTATTCTATTAGCTGCCTCTTGGTAGATCTTTCAGTAACTTAAGTTCCTCGTATTTACGCAAAAGCAGCGGCTTTTTGTGGTATTAAGCGAGCTGGGAGAGCCAGGGGGTGGGGGTGGGTGGCGGATTTATTTGTAATTACAGTAGGGTTCTTGCTCCCATCCCACCATTCTGCCCATTCACAGGCTCCGGCCAGAGCTGGCGCCAAGATCTCCAAGTTGCCCTGTGTTTATGTCATTGAGACGAGGACAATATTTCAGTGTGGAGCCAAGCCACAGGGATCCACTCTATAAAACCCTCACTAAAAATAGACGTTCCAACCTCTGCCCAGCCCCCCTCCCCGCCTCCGCGACTCCCCCACGCCTGCCCCCAGCACTAGCAGCACCCAGCTTCAATTCGCAGGGAGACAAGCGTGCCAAATCGGTCGAATCTGGGGGCCCGGCGAGCTCTTTTCTTCCTGAGGAGTTTTAACCCAGAATAAAAGGCGTCAATTAGCAGCCTTTAGAGCTGACAGGGCAATTAAAGTTAAATTGCAAGACAGAGGGAGAGCTGGAAGAAGAAGGAAGGAAGGGAAAGGAGAGAGAGAGAGTGAGGAAGAGAGAGATTTCAAATGTATTTTTGGTGACAGCTGCATTTTTGAGGAGGGAGAGCCTCTCAAACTACAACTGGCTGTTTGGATATATTTTCACTTGTGAAGTGATATTTTCAGTGGACACTGATACTCCCAGTTTATTGCACTTTTCATGTTAGATCTGAGCTGCTTGGGAAAATTAAAACAAACACAAAGCAAAAGGATCTTGTCTTTACAAAGGCTCCCAACTGGCTGGGTCCCAACACACCCGTTGCTTTGCAGGGTGAGTTAGATGCAACATGGAATTGTGAGGGTAGATGTGTGGGTGGGTGAGGGCGGTTGGGATAGTCAGCCCTAATTCGGGTTTTGGGGCTCTCAGAGCTTAGAGCTGGTGACTTGGTCATAATGCTTCTGCACACCCCTGGGCTTTCAGCTCAGTTTCCTAGTCCAGGACACCAAGTCAGATTATAAAACTCTTGGGAAATAAAACCTTTTTTGGTCTACTTCTAGGTGACTTTCCTTCACTGATGACGATGGCTGTTTAATTCTTGAATGCTCCTTCTTTTTAACCTAAGCTTACCCAAGCCATTATTCCATTAGCTGCCTCTTGGTAGATCTTTCAGGAACTTAATTTCCTCATATTTACGCAAAAGCAGCAGCTTTTTGTGGTATTAAGCGAGCTGCGAGAGCCAGGGGTTGGGGGTAGGACCTGGGAGGGCTTTGGTTTGGGACCTGGGAGGGCCTGCAACTTTTTGAATGCAGATTGGAATTCATAACAAGAGCAGTATTGATTTGTGATTCAATCTTGCAACATGCCAGCTCAGGGCAATGAAGCCCATTGGAGCTGTGCACAGGGCTGGACCCAAGAGAGAAATGTAACATAATCAGAGCAGGGGTCAGCCTGGGGAAGCTAGAGCTTTGCCCACTTCCACAGCCTCCTACCCCACCACCACTCCCAGCCCCCAACCCCTGGAGGAAACAGGAACTACAGTTCCTGAGAGGGTGTTCTCAAAGTCACCCTTGCTTTGTCGGACCTCAAATTTCAGTCTCCCATCCTACATCTATAGTCCTTTTTTCATGACCCTCCTTCACTGTTTAGGGAAACTACCATTTCTGTCCATGCATTGAATGCAAGCTGGATCCCATTATTATACCTATTTGATGTAAGAGGAAACTGAGGCTAACAAAGATTCAGTAACTTGCTCAGTGTCGCCTAGTTCATAAGAGATGGTGCTGGGATTGGAACTAAGTCTAAATCTCAAGGCTGTGCTCCTTGGGCTGGGCACAGTGGGATTTGTAATCCCAGCAATTCAGGAGGCTGAAGTGGGAGGATTGCTTGAGCCCAGGAGTTTGAGACCAGCTGAGCAACATGGAGAGATCCTGTCCCTACCAAAAAAAAAAAAAATTAGTTGGGTGTCGTGGCACAAGTATGTAGTAGTCCTAGCTACTGGGGAAGCTGAAGTGGGAGGATCCCTTGAGCCCGGGAGGTCAAGGCTGCAGTGAGCCATCACGGTGCCACTGCACTCCAGCCTACACAACAGAGGGAGACCCCATCTCAAAAATAAAAAATAAAATAGGCTGTGATCCTAATCTTCACATGAATCTTCAGAAAAACCTTTTTATTATTTATTTATTTATGAGACAGAGTCTTGCTCTGTCACCCAGGCTGGAGTGCAATGGTGCAATCTTGGCCCACTGCAACCTCGGCCTCCCGAGTTCAAGCGATTATCCTGCCTCAGCCTCCCTAGTAGGTGGGTATTACAGGTGCCCGTCACCATGCCCAGCTAATTTTTTTGTTTTTTTTTAGTGGAGATGGGGTTTTGCCATTCTGGCCAAGCTGGTCTTGAACTTCTGACCTCAGGCGATCCGCCCACCTCAGCCTCCCAAAGTGCTGGAATTACAAGCATGAGCCACTGTGCCCAGCCTGTTATTTATTTATCTTTATTTTTCAAGAAAAAATTTAATGTCAGATTAGGAGAAAGAAAGAAAACTGCATTAAGTACAACTAATCAACTTGAAGGAAATAAAGAAGTGTAACATAAAGAAACCAGAATCAAACGCAATAATCTTACTTTCAGTATGTTTCTTTTTTGTCATTCTTATTACTAAACATAACTATTATATAAATGAATAATAATAAACTTGTGGTAAGTACTAATTGCTTAATAAAGTTTGAGATATGCGTGGTTCATGATTTCAAGAAGCTTATAACCTAGCAGAAGTAATCACCATAATTAAAGCTAGAACTTACTGAACATTTACTATCTAATAAATATTCAACCCATGTTAATTAATTCAAGATTAATTAAATTCTTATTTAATCTGCATAACAATTCTATGTAGTAGGAACTGTTATTATTCCCATTTTACTGACAAGGAAACAGAATTACAGAGTTTTAGTAACTTACCTAGTATCATGGAGGGCTATCTCACCTCTGAGGCTGCACTCTTACCCACAGACAATAAAAGGAAATGGAGCAATATAGGATAATGTATATCTTGATTATCTCAATACCAACCTAAATTCATGACATTAGTTCAATGACAAACAGAGAGAATGCTAGCTTGGTAAGAAAACCTTTTTAATCTAGAATCAGTGCTCACTTTGGAAGTTTTGAAGCTCTTAGTAGAGTGGGACTTGCTGGTCTTAGGACACTTTAAAGACAAAAGTCAACATGCCTGGAATCAGCACTTGTGAGCTGAAAGGACTTGAGAGTGATGTTTAGTGGAAGGTCTCTCCAACTGGGGTCTAGGGTTCCCGGATTTTGGAGAACCTGTTCTCAGGAGTATAATGAGATTAGATATTTGAGACATATCTATCTGGCTCAAGCCCTGCCATTTTGACAGCTCAGGAAGGTGAGAGGCCAAAGGTCACACAGTTAGTTATGGCAGATGAAGTCTTAGCCAGGACTCTATCTTTGTCCAGGACTATTTCTGCTAACTAGTATTTTTCTGACACTGGATTTATAGGTTTACTCACACAGCTTGATGGAAACCCCTTAAGGGCAGGGACTGATTCTTGGAGCTTTAATAGATATTTGGAGAGTGAATGCGTAAAAGCAATTTAGGAGTAGTTATAGGTACGTAAACATTTGATATGCTAATTACAGACCAGTGTTACTTGCACTCAGGGGTATTGATATTTGGCCACAGATCAGTTTCCTAATGTCAATTGCTTAAATCAAGTAAAATCACCTGTCTTTGTATACCCTGAGTTCCTCTCGATTCATTCCACATTCAATAATATTTTATGGAATACCTAATATAGGCCAGGCACTGTTCCAGGTTATAAACAAAATAGACTAATTCCTCACTTCCCTTCCCTATTAACTTTCTTCGTAAGATATTGACAGCCATATACACATGTACTTTTAATGAGATGGGGTCTTGCTATGTTGCATAGGTTGGTCTTGAACTCCTGGGCTCAAAACTATCATTCTGCCTCAGCCTCCCAAATACCAAATAGCTGGGATTACAGGTGTGCACCACCGAGCCTGGCTGATATGCCATATTGCTATTAAATGGGATTTGGTTTGGTTAGAGTTTGATAGAGAGAAGTCCAGTTTGATTTTTCCAACGTGGAGACAATGACTCATCTGATGTATTTTGTTGGCTTGTTTTTTCATATTTTCTTCTATTATGCCTAAATGAATGTTTCTTTCATTTAAAAAATTTAAAAATCACAAAGTAATACACTAAAAAAGTAAATGCAGGAATATAAAAGTAAAAATATGAACGTCTCCCTCATCTCTCCCTTGAGTAACCAGTGTTAATGATGTGGTGGTATATGTTCTTCCCTCATGGTACGTATATACAACAGTCATACAATACACAATATCTACTCATATATAAAGTGGACAACCATCCCTAGAGGGTACAGGGTTGGGGCAATTCAGTCAGTGGGGCTGGCCAGGATAATTATGCTTGATATGGTTCTGCACTTGTAGGCATTTTTTACAAGCCTCTTAGGACATCATTAAGAACAGAAATTTCAAAATTAAATTTTAATGATATTCAGAAAAGAGTAGTCAAATGTAGCACCTTACAGCTCCCTCTCCTTGCCCCACCTTCCCCAAAAGCCTAGGCCCAGAACAGCCTGCACTCTATTTGAGGCCCAAGGGGTAGGTCCCAATTTGAGTTTTCCTTTGTTTCTTTTTCATCTTCTTTTTTTAAACAAAAATGTTTGATCCTATTATCGATGTTATTTTTTTCAACTTGCTTTATTTTTAACACATTTAACCACATGAGTGTTTGTCCATAGGATTACAAGCAGAGTAGCACACTCTTTGTAATGGTTGCATGCTTTTCCGTAGCATGGAGGCATCATGATTATTTATTTATTTATTGAAACGAAAGGTCTCACATATTTATTACTGAACCCAGCCAACCAATGCATTCATAACAGATTCACAAGAGAAAAAAATGTATTCCTGATAAAACATGTCCAACTGTCCAGATAGTGACATTTTCAGCTTGATATGATAAGATGGTAGTGACTTTGACACAGCATAAATATGTGTGGCATCTCATGTGCAATTCCTTATAGACCCAGCTTCCTTCTTCTCCAATGTCTCCTTTTGGAGTTGTATCTGATTTTATTACCAGTTTTCATCCAAATCCACTGGAGAATGAGACGATTCTGCTTTTGTTTCTTGGCCAGGAAACATTTAGTCCTGAAAGTCTTGTGAGAAGACTTGATGAGAAGCGGAGTCAAGCATATACCACGATGGTGGAGAAAGGAGCATGATTTTTTAAAAAACAGTTTTCCTGATAAGAAGCATTTGGCTCTCTACGTTTTTTTCTTTTTATTGTTGTAATAGATAGAGCTGCAGTAGAACAGCTTTGACACATGTCTTCTGCTCACTCGTGAATATTTCTTTAGAATAGAGTCTTAGAAGTGAATTGTTGGATCTGAGGGCTTGTGCATTTGTAATTTTGGTACTGCCAATTTCCCTTTAAAAAGTTCCAATTTGCACACCAACCAGAAGAGTGCCCTTTACCTACTCATACTACACTGGGCATTTTTTGCTATTCATTATGCTAACTCCAGTCGACCATATTCAGTGGGATATGATCAGTGATAGGTCCTCAAGTGAGTAAGAGTGACAAACCAAGACTGTCCTGAGAGTTTACCTTTGTTAAGTTTCCCTTAAACAACCCTTCCCAGCAGAAGTGGAGCTGAAATAGTAATAAACAAAATAAACAAATTAGACTTCAGAGACTCATGGGTATTTGTCAAGTTCTGAAGCAAATGGATTACATCATCTGAGCTGGTACAAGAAGACCTATCCTCCTTGCTGGCCTTAATCCTGCTGAATTCTATCTGGATTCTGTCCTTGGAGCTCTAGGAAGCCTCTGAGGGCTGGAAGGGTACCTTTGGTTCACAGTTCCCCAAATAGTGAGGGCTGATCCCTAAGCAAGCCTATCTTTTTGAACATAGCACATGATGATTTTTCACCTATAAGAAGATAGTTCATAAAAGGTGCCCTTGGCCTTTGACAGGTAGCCTACTTCAGGAGAAAGGCACTAGAATTAGAAGGAAGTATTAGAAGACTGGCTTCCTGCTGGTGTTTGCCATTTACTAGCTGTAGCATCTGGAGCTGTGGCACCTGTATTCACTACCTAGAATTCCAAGAACCTCAGGTCCCTAACCCACTGAACAGGATTTTGTCATATAGTCTTCACACTTCACGGGGTTGCTATGAAGAGAGCATGCCTCAGTGTCCCAGTGTGGTATGGAAAAGTTTTATAAAAAGGTATGTCATTTTGACAACTGCAGATTTGATGGATCTTTGGTAGGAGGACTACTGCTTTGATACAAATACACAGAGCAGCTTGGATAGTATTTAAGTCTATGCATAGATATTAACGGACCCTGATATGTGAGTGCTTTGGGAGAAAGGGTCTTGGATTGAGTTTCTAAACCATGTTTCTTTGGGCTTCAGATAAGCTTTTGAGAAATTTGAGGAGTAGCAAGGAGCTCCTGGGGATGCTTTTGTAATACTGTGAGACATTTGGAAAGAGGATGACAGAATGGTGTGTAATTGCCCAAGACGATAAGGTTAACTTTTAGCTGTTGGGCTTGGCACATGGTAGGAGCTTAAGACATAATGGAGTGAATGCATGAATAGTGCTCATACTTACAACCCAATAGTGTGAGTATTCTCTTTGACCTTGAGTTGGAGATCACATGCCAGTCCCTGACATTTTGCTCACTGCTTTAATGACATGATGCTATGTTATAGCATAGCTATGTTATTAATAGCTATGTTAATACCTGGCATTGTGCTTGACTTATTGGAGGGGCCCATTTAATGTTTTCGTTTGGCTCCCTCTGTCTTCGTGGTCCTGCTGTCTTCATTGCACAGTTCGCATAGATTCCCCATTCCCTTCCCCCTTTTTTTTTTTGGCATATGGGATAATTATGTATCTTTATTGCAGCCAGATACAATGTGTTTCAGTTTCAACTTTGCCATGTGCCTTGTTTAATGACAGTGAGTAAAGTACTTAATGTAGCTCTGCCTCAATTTCCCCATCTGTAGAATAGATAATAAATGGTTCAGGATTCTTGTGAGGTTTACATAAAATGATGGTGCAGGGCGCTACTCCCAGGTTTACAACCCAGTATAGTGAGACATTTGAGATGGTTATCCTTCACATGATTTTAGTTTTGATGACAACAACAACTAACATTTTGGTGTGTAATTGCTTACAAGCCCCTGTAACCACTTTAATTCCATTCTTATAAGAAGTCATGGAATTATGTCTCAGAGAGGTGAGGCAGCTTCTCCAATGTCCCACCACTAGAAATGGTGGAGCTATATTTCTGCACCAGGCTGAATCCCTAAGGCTAATTCAATGGTGCATTCCTGACTTGGCTCCTACTCCAGTTTCAGAGACCCATGGGTATTTGTCAAGTTCTGAAGCAAATACACTGCATCATCTGAGCTAGTATAGGAAGACCTATACTTCTTGCTGGCCTTAATCCTGCTGAATTCTACCTGGATTCTGTCCTTGGAGCTCTAGGAAGCCCCAGGGAGCTGGAAGGGTATGGGTCCCCTCAGTTCACAGTTCTCAAAATAGTGAGGGCTGATCCTCGAGCAAGCCCATTTTTTTTGAAGTCTGTAGTGGGACGTGATCTCATGGGGGAGCAGGTCCCCAGGGAAGAGTGAGGTTAAAGAAAGCCAGACTGGGAATGACCTCCGAACACTGGCCTCTCCCTCTTGACCTCCATCCATCACTGCTTCCCTCTCCCGGTGTCTCCAATCTCCTGGGGGATGGCTGTCTCCTCCTTTCTTTTCTCTTTAGCATCAGGGAGGATGACTCAAACACTGCCTAAGGGCACCAAAGGCATCCACAAATTGGTCCCAATCCCAGCTAATGAGGAAGGCAAGAGAGGAGACAGGCAGGCTGGGTCCTGTGGCTTTGGGCTGTGAGAGGAGGGGAGATGGGGGCAGCCAGCTAGGCCCTCCTCTGACCCCACACAGCCCCGAGGCCTGAGGCCTGAGGCCCCATACCCTGGGCATGTGGATCAGACTTCTCTGAAATATCTTCTGTTCCAAACCAGTAAATAAACAGATCTGTCTCCAACCTTCCTCCCTCTTCTCATAGTCACACTTACCCACATGAGATCAAGTGGCTCTGGTGGTATAGAGGAGAAGTTAAAAGCACATCTTTCATTCAGAGCCCAGAAGGTCTTAGTGTCTATTCCAGCTTGCGGGTCCCAGCATAAGCCACTCGACGTCTCTAAGCTTCAGTCTTCTCATCTGTGGAATGGACCCAGTATTACCTGTTTTGGAGAGCTGTGAAGTAAAGGTTAGTTCAGACATGTGAATTGCCTGGAACCCAATCCTTCAGGAAGTGGTGTCTTTTATTAATTTAAACAACCTCCTTCCCCTGACACCACCTCTATCCCCCAACACACACATTTAGAGCAGGCAACTACAGCACTGACACAAATCCCAAGATCCATTTTTCAAATCATTGCCTTTCTTTTAAAATTGATCCTAATATGACTTCTTGTAGTGTTGGGACCCTGCCCTCCCAGGCCAAACTGCAACACCAGCATCACTGATTAAATGCTCTTAGTGTCAAATTGGCGCAGCCCACTCCCTTGAATGACATGGGTGTGGGGGAGGGGAAATACTAACCAAATAATGGCCAAGGGTGTTCTGAGGTCTTCCATGCTAACTCTTTCCTTTCCCCATCACTAAGTAATCTCTTCTAATTTAAGGTGGTCTCCTCGGTTGATAAACTCAGCTGACTTCCGTTTTTTTTCACTCCTGGCTTGAAGTCGGAAATTATATTGGTAAGTCTTACTACAGTGGATGTTATTAATGTGCTTAATGGGCACTCAAGGCAGTTTAAAGATCTTAGCCTTTGCGCTGTGCCTTTATCCCACCCTGGGGGTAAATAATGGAGATGCTAACACAGTCTGTAAAGGGGAAAGAGCAGAGGTGGCCTGCCTGCTTCACAGGGGCAGGATGCTTTGATGGCCTGTCTGTAGGCGGGTGATGAAATCAGCTTCCCTCATTTTTATATCCCTTTCAAAAGGCCAATTCTCCCAACACAATGCCCATTTCCAAGTCATTTTTAATTTGGCATGAAAATGTCTTCTTTATTCCAGACTAGAGGCAGCAGAGTTAATGGGAAACACACATCTGGGCAGCTGTGCTCTCCCAAGTGAGGAGGTGAGCACTGGGGGCAGGAGTGTGGTGAAGGATTAAAGATAATGGCACTCAGGCCCCATCAACCTACAGTGTTTAATCACACTGGAATTGTAAGTTTTCAGTGCTATCTGTGGCTCCTATGAGTGGCCATAGATGCCTTCTTTTCCCTCATGGAGGTGAGGTATGGGGTGGTGGGAGTGTCAGTTAACTTTTTGGTGGTCTTTAGTTCTTGATCCCAGGCAATGGAGGGCATTCTCCTTGAGCTCCCTACTAGGGGAGTCCAAACTGTTTCCTAGATGGCCCCTCTTTTGCTGTAGACATTCCCCATGTCTGATGCGGATAGTGGGCATGAGTGCTAAGATGGGGGCATTTGGCAATAGGATAATGGTGTAGGCTCTGAACACGTCCATGCCAGGCTTTCAGGATTCTTCCTAGTCTGTTTTCATTCCCTTCTCTGATGAGATTCTTTGTGTATGAATTCAAATTTAGTACGCATTTGTATCCAAGATGAGCAGGCAATGGCCCTGATAGACAACTTTATGTTGATAGTGGCCTTGTCCATGAATGCCTTGAGTTCTCTGCATAAACTTGCTCCATCATTATGTTGGCCTCAAGTTTTAGGCATACTTTTACCATATTTCAGTTTGTATATTATTTTTTAAAACTGTTCCTTAAGGCTGACATGTGTAGCCTAAGGAAACTTGGGGTCTATGAATCCCTTGGAATTGTCTATAAAAAATGTGTGTGCTCATGGCTTTCATCAGATTCTTAAAGGAATCTCAAAAGCTAAAATTAGGGTGTCATACATCCCCATTTGCTTGAGAAAGTCCAGTTTATGCCAGTTGTCCTGGTGTAATTGTTAATAACAACTCTTCAGTCATAAAAGTGTCTTGGTATGGATGATAAGTTACAGTCTATCCTCATTATTTGCAGATTTCCTATTTGTGAATTTCCCATTGCTAAAATTTATTTGCAGTTCCAAAGACAACACCCACAGTGCTTTTGTGGCCACTCACTGACCTATGCAGAATGGCAAAAAATTGAGTTGTCTGACATGCATGTTTCAACTGAGGTCGAACTGGGTGATACTTTATGTTCTTGTTTCAGTGCTCATATTGTAAACAAGTGTTTCTTTCATGGTCTATCTATTACCACGTTTTTTTGCATTAGCCGTTGTTGGTGATTTTGCTGTTTGAAATGGCCTTCAGGCATAATGCTGAAGGTACAGGAAAGTGTGATGTACCTTGCAAAGAAAACAAATCTGTTAGATAAACTTCATTCAGGCATGAATTATAGTGTTTTTGGCCATGAGCTCAATGTTAATGAGTCAACAATATATTAAACGAGGTGTCTGTATTGGTCAATGTTCTCCAGAGAAATGGAACCAATAGGATAGCAAGCTAGCTAGCTTAGATAGATAGATAGATAGATAGAGGAGATTTAGTATAGGAATTGTCTCATGTAGTTATGAAAGCCAAGAAGTCCCATGATCTGCTGTAATTCAGTCTGAGACTGAAGGCCCGAGAATTCCAGGGGCCAATGGTGTAAGTCTGAGTCTGCCTGAAAGCTGGAGAACCAGGAGTGATGATGACCAAGGGCAAGAGAAGATGGATGTCTCAGTACAAGCAGAGAGAGCAAATTCACCATTCAGCCAACACCATAACTACTTTCTTTGCCTGTTGACTCAGAGGCATGAGGAGCCCAAAGTGGCCAGGTGGCAGGCAGTTTCAACTTCAAGTTCAATGGAATCACTGTTGTGTCTCCTGGTGAAAGTATTCCTGTCTCTGGAACTAAGACCTCTAGGCCAGCAAGGCATAAAAGGTGTGGGAACGGTGTGCAAAAAGCAAAAATTTTGTTAGGTAGTCACTCTGGGTAATAGTGAGTGGTGCTACTCCCATTTTCACCCCTTGATTCTTGGACTCATGAATCCTGGCTATCAACTAACAGCACCATATATCAGACATTGATTCAAAGCATAGACAGCTTTCTGAAGAACGTTGTTCTATCCCTGCAAAGTACTACTACCTGGTTGGCACTGTAACTGAGTCTTCAAAATGTCATTCCCTTGTTCAATCAAGCAAACTGCTTAAGATGGTGGGAAAGATGGTAAGACCAGTGAATTGCATGAGCCTAGGCCCATTGCCAAACTTCTTTTGCTGTGAAGTAAATTCTTTGATCAGAAGCAATGCTGTGTGGAATCCTTGATAAGAAGCAATGCTGTGTGGAATACTATGACAGTGTGTAAGGCATTCTGTAAGCCCACGGATGGTAGTTTTGGCAGAAGCATTTCATGCAGAGAAGACAAAGTCGTAACCAGAGTAAGTGTTTATTCCAGTAAGGACAAAAAACTGCCTCTTCCATGATGGAAGCAGTCCAGTGTAATCAACCTGATGCTGGATAGCTCGCTGATCACTCCAGGAAATAGTGCCATATCTTGGGGTTCCGTGTTAGCCTCTATTTCTGCCAGATTGAACAACAGTGGTGGCCACAGGCAGGTCAGCCTTGGTGAGTGGAAGTCTATGTTGCTGAGCCCATGCATAAGCTCCATCTCTACCACCATGGCTATTTTGGTCATAAGCCTATTGGGCAATGACAGAGGTGGCTGGTATCACAGAATGGGTCATCCTATCTACCTGATTATTTAAATCCTCCTTTGCTAAGCCCACCCTTTGGTGTACATTCATGTGGGATACAAATATCCTCATGTTTTGCTCTTTCAGAGAGGTCTATCTACATACCTCTTCCCCCAATTTTTTCGTCACCAATTTTTCAATCATGTTTCTTCCAAGTCCCTGACTATACAGCCAAACCATTGGCTATAGTCCATGAATTAGTATATTACTGCGTGAAGGCCATTTCTCCTTCCAAGTAAACTGCACAACTAGGTGCACTGGCAGAATTTCCCTTCATCACAGTCCTTCAGGGGTGTCCCAAAGATGGACTGTAGTGCTGCTGTATGGTCTGCACAACATGCAAGCACCACCCAAAGTTGACAGCTTTTGAGTGGTGTTTGCATATTGTGCAGAACCAGCTGTAAAGCAGGCCCAAGTTTTTTCTTCCCCAGTCAACAGATTATAGGGAACTCCTCATGAGGCTGTAGGGGCAGCCTGGTAGAGAGACAGGAGTGTAGCAGGAGTGGGGATCATGAGCATTTGGGCAATTCCTTCATGTAAACTACCCGTTCCTTCAAGGCCTTCTCAGGCCTGATCATGTATGTATTACCTCCATTTGATGGTGAAGTATTGCAGTGCATGCCCAACTTTATGGTTTTGTGGATCAGCTAACACGCAGTTCATGATGGGCAACTCAGGTTATATGGTAACTTGGTGGCCCATGGTTAAGCACTCAGTTTCTACTAAGGCTCAGTAGTAGGTCAAGAACTATCTCTTAAAAGGTGAGTAGTTATCTGTGGATAATGGCTGAGCTTTGCTCCAAAATCCTAGAAGCCTGCACTTCAGTTCACCAATGAGGGCTTGCTAAAGGCTCCAAACAGCATTCCTATCTGCCACTGATACTTTTAAGCACCATTGGATCTGCTGGATCATATACCCTCAAGTGTCAGAGCAGTTTGCCCAGCAATCTGGACCTGTTGCAGAGCCTTCTCTTGCTCTGAGTTCCACTCAAAACTAGAAATTTTTCAGGTCACATGTAAATGGGCCAGAGTAACACATCCAAATGAGGAATATGTTGCCTCCAACATTCAAAGAGGCCCACTAGGCATGCTCTTTCTTGTCTGTAGGAGGGGCCAGATACAACACCTTATCCTTCACTTTAGAAGGGGTATCTTGACATGCCCCACACAACTGGACCCCAAGAAATTTCACTGGGGTGGAAGGCCCTGAAGTTTTTTGAATTTATTTCCCAAACTCTGCTGCAAAAATTTCTTACCAATAAACTAGAGTAGTTGCTAATTTCTTGCTCACTAGAGCCAATCAACATAATGTCATCAATATAATGGGTCAGTGTGATATCTTGTGGAAGGGAAAGGTGATCAAGATCCCTGAGAACTAAGTTATGTCATAGGGCTGCAGAGTTGATACACCTGAGATAGAACAGTGAAGGTGTACTGCTGGCCTTGCCAGCTGAAAGGAAACTACTTTTGGTGGTCCTTATAGACAGGGATAGAGAGAGAGGCATTTGCCAGATCAATAACTGCCAGGTAATAGGGGATGTGTTAATTTGCTCAAGGAATAAAACCACATCTGGCACAGCACCTGCAACTGAAGTCACCACTTGGTTAAGCTTAAAGTAATCCACTATCTTTCTCCAAGATCGTCTGTCTTCTGCACAGGCTGAGTAGGGAGGGTGAAATGGAGATGTGGTGGGAATCACTATTCCTGCATCTGTCAAGTCCTTGATGTTAGTACTAATCTCTACAGTACTTCCAAGGATGTAGTATTGCTTTTGATTTACTATTTTCCGTGATGTTAGTACTAATCTCTACAATACTTCCAAGGATGTAGTATTGCATTTGATTTACTATTTTCCTAGGTAGAAGCAGTTTTAGTGGCTTCCATTTGGTCATTCCCATGATACTAGCCCTCACTGCAGAGGTCAGGGAACCAATGTAGGGATTCTGCCAGGTGCTAAGTGTGTCTATTCCCATTATGCATCTGAAACTGTGGATATAACAACAGGATGGATTCTGGGGCCCAATGGACTCACTGGACCCACTGTAAGATGAACCTGAGCTAAAACTCCATTAATCGCCTGACCTCCATAAGCTCCTACTCTAACTGGAGAATCACAGTGATGTTTTGGGTTTCCTGGAATCAGTGTCCGTTCAGAGCCAGTGTCTAATCGCTCCCAAAAGAACTGATCATTTCCTTTCCCCCAGTGCACAGTTACCCTGATAAAAGGCTGTGAGCCCATTGTGGGAAGGCTGGGAGTAAGATTAATAGTGTGTGTGTTCAGTGGTGAACTAGGCTTTTCTTTGACGGGACTCTACCTCCTCTTCACTCAAGAAGTTTTGTGTTTGTAAACTAGCTCAAGTCTGGGAATTGATTGAGGGGCTGTGACTCTGTTTTTATGATTTGAGTTACACTGAGTTACACTTTTGTTCACTTGACCTAGAGCCTTTCTGCTTATATGGATCAAGTAAGAGCATTGTAGGCTTCTTATTTATTTCACTTCTAGGAACACCATGATGAACCAGCGAATACCATGGATCTGCATGAGTCAGACTATCCTGATTGTTGCATCTACTCTGCTATCCATGTTGGTAACTATGTCCATCTGCCTTTGACAGTTGAGTGCCACACTTGGATCCAATTACACAAATTGCATTTAGATTTTCCAACTGAATGGCTACAGTTCCTACTGTAAGGTCTGGTCTCAGAGAATAGTGATCATGAAGCTCTTCAAGGATGCTGGGGCTCCCCTCAGAAATTTACTTCTCAAAGTATTGGTGAAATTTATGTCTTCTGGACTCTCCTGGTGTGGGTAAGCAGGTCTTAAATGACAAATCCACTCTAACATTCCAGTCTCCCTAATTCTTTGAATCCCTTCCTCTACATTAAACCACAGGAGGCTGGAAATTTCCAATTTGCTCATGGTAGCCCATCTTTTGATCCAGGTTTCAGCCAACCAACCAAATTATTAGAGCTCTTTCTAACTTCTTGAGCTGCAACATTAAATGCAGAATCACTGCTTGGTGAGTTCATATCAATCAATTCAGCTTCATCTGACTTTGTTTCTTCCATCATTATCCCACACCCTTAATAACCATTCTTACACATGTTCCCCAGATTTCTGATTGCATAAATTGGAAAACTCAAGTACAGTTATGTGTTGCTTAAGGATGGGGACACGTTCTGAGAAATGCATTTTAGGAGATTTTGTCATTGTGTGAACATCGTAGAGTGTATTTACACAAAATTCTATATGGTACAGCCTATTGCTCCTAGACTACACACCTGTACAGCATGTTACTGTCCTGAAAACTGTAGGCAATTATAACACGATGTTAAGTACTCATGTGTCTAAACATATCTAAACAAAAAGTACAGTAAAATATGGTAGAAAAGACAAAAAAAAGGTACACCTGTATAGGGCCCTTACCATAAGTACATAAGTAGAGCTTGCAGGACTAGAAATGGCTCTGGATGAGTCTGTGAGTGAGTAGTAAATGAATGTGAAGGCCAAGGACATTTACTATACACTACTATGGACTTTATAAACACTGTAAACTTAGGTTACACTAAATTTATACTTTTTTCTTCAATAATAAATTAATTTAGCTTATTATAACTTTTTTACTTTGTAAACTTTTAGTTTTCTTTCAACTTTTTGACACATTTCTAATAACTTTTCTTTTTCTTTCTTTTTTTTTTTTTTTTGAGACAGAGTCTTGCCCTGTCGCTCAGGCTGGAGTGCAGTGGCATGATCCCAGCTCATTGAAACCTCCGCCTCCTGGGATCAAGTACCTCCTGCCTGAGCCTCCTGAGTAGCTGGGATTACAGGCACCTGCCACCATGCCCAGCTAATTTTTGTGTTTTTAGTAGAGATGAGGTTTTGCCAGGCTGGTCTTGAACTCCTGACCTTAGGTGATCTACCTGCCTCTGCTTCCCAAAGTGCTGGGATTACAGGCGTAAGCCACTGCGCCCAGTCTTTAATAACTCTTAACTTAAAGCACAAACATTTTACAACCGTACAAAAACAGTTCTTTCTTTATATCCTTATTATATAAGGTCTTTTCTATTTTTAAATATTTTTAATTTTTTTACTTTTTAAGCTTTTTAATTAAAAACTAAGACACATATACACATATTAGCCTAGGCCTACTCAGGGTCAGGATCATCAATATTGCTGTCTTCCATCTCTGCATCTTGTCCGATTGGAAGGCCTTCAGGGGCAATAACACACATGGAGCTGTCATCTATGATAACAATGCCTTTTTCTGGAATACCTCTGAAAGATCTACCTGAGGTTGTTTTACAGTTAACTATCTTTTTTATAAGTAGAAGGGGCACACTCTAAAATAATGATAAAAAGTTTAGTATAATAAATACATAAACCAGTAACATAATTGTTTACTATCATTATCAACTATGATGTACTGTACATGATTGTTATATGCTATACTTTTATACAACTGGCAGCACAGTAGGCTTGTTTACCCCAGCATCACCACAGACATGTGAGCAATGCATTGCTCTATGATGTCAAGACATTAAGATGGCAACATTAAGGTGTCACTAGGCGATAGAAATTCTTCAGCTTTATTATAATCTTATGGGACCACCATTGTATATGTGGTCCATGGTTGACCAAAATGTTATGTGGGGCATGACTGTAGTTCCTTTGGAGTGTAGCACACCTCCTCACAGCTTCATACTTTGTCTTTAGGGGCAAAGTATGTCCCCTCCTGGGACATGAGTCTGGTTATAGGTCTAGAAGAAAAGAAGAGTGATGGGGAAAGGTTCTGAGGAGAGCTAGCATCATATTGCATGGTAGCTGCCTCAGGAGAGGTTATTATCACTTCCTAAGGTAATGCAGGATTAACCCCTCAGATAGAGATGGAAAGGCTGTAGCTATTGGGAGTGGACAGATCACTTCCACTGCGGGTGAGGAGAACCTTTCTACTGGCAAAGAAGACTCATTTAGGGACTTAATGTCCCCATGTTCATCAAGGTCTTCCCACATATCCCCATTTCAACTTAAAGGATTCCATTTTTTCCCCCAATGAATGCCATCACTTTAACAGTGGACACCCTGTGATGCTGGGAGTTCAACTTGCATTGTAATTCAGCAAATTGCAAGATGAGGTTCTGCATTTGATTTTCAGAAATTTCAGCCCTATGGCTACAGGAGATAAGACTTTCTTTCAGGGCATACCCAGAAGCTCTTAGGTCATTTATGCAATGCTTGAGCTTTGAATTCACATCCTTAAGCTCATACTTTTCTTTCACCACTTTGCCCAGTGACATTAGGAGCAACCCACCAACATCATTATATTCCTTGGCTTTCAAAAAATGTTTGAAAGTATCACATATAGAGTTACTAGCACCTTACTTCTTCTTTTGTATTTTTTTAAACTTGGTACTTATTTTATTTGAATAATATATGAGGAATCACAATTGCTTCAAAGCTTCAGGCCTTTCTAAATGAAGCTTCCCTTGCATTCCTAATCTTGAGGAGATTAAAAGTCTCTGAGATCTTATTCTGTTTCGTAAACTTTATTACTCCCTTGGAGATAGCAGTCTTATGATCAGAAACCTGAAAGTTTGTCAGACTCCCCTTGGGATAAAGTCTCACTTAGATTCAGATAGTCAGACGCTGATGGCAATGAATTCAATTCTGTCTTGATGGTCTAACTATATAGTAGGGCTGCTTTCAATTTCTGTCTTTTTTCTTGATGGCTTTGTTCCTAAAGAGTTTACTGGTTCATTATAAAGAACATTGCAAAGGATACAGATGAAGAGATGTGGAGGGCAAGGTATAGGGGAAAAGGCATGGAGCTTCCATGCCCTCCCTGGGCATGCCACCCTCCAGGAACCTCCATGTGTTCAGCTATCTGGAAGCTCTGCACCTCGCTTCTTGTAAATAGGTGATTAGAAGTATCCCATGCAGACTTTTTTGTGTTTCTAAATAATTCACTCCATGGATTATCAGTGCTCATTTTACATTGGAAACATAGTCATCAGTGTCTTTAAATCTAATCAGATTGGAGAGTCCGTTTCAGAAACCCCAGAACCAATTCAGAAAACTTATCCTTAAAATTTTGTTCCTCTAGAACCATTCTCAGTACCGAACAAAATCTGTATTCGTCAGGGTTCTCCAGAGAAATAGAACAAATATTATATATTGGATAATATACATATGTTGGATACATATATATATAATATATATATCTCCTGTCCTTCAGATAAATCCTATTCTTCACATATGTATGTGTGTGTTCATGTGTGTGTGTGTGTGTGTATATATATATATATATATATATATATTTATAATCCTATAAAGATTTATTATAGGAATTGGATCATGCAGTTATGGAGACTGAGAAGTCCCATGATCTGCCATCTGCAAACTGAACAACCAGGAAACCCAGTGGTGAGTCTGATTCAGGAGGCAGAAGGCCTGAGAATTGGGGGTTGGGGGTGGAGTCGGGATGATGGTGTTAGTCTTGATCTGAGTCTAAAAGTCTGAAAATCAGGAGGATTGATGGCTGACAATAGGAAAAGATGGCTGTCTCAGCTCAAGCAGAGAGAGTAAATTTGCCCTTCCTCTGCCTTTTTGTTCTATTTGAGCCCTCAACAGATTGGTAATGTCCACCCACATTGGTGAGAACAATAATCTTTACTCAGTCTACCAATTCAAATGCTAATCTCTTCCAGAAATATCCATGCAGACACACCCAGATTTAATATTTTACCAGCTATATGGGCATTTCTTAGCCCAGTCAAGTTGACACATAAAATTAACCGTCATGGTGTCTTTAAACAGAAACACTCATAAAACAACATTATAAATTGATGGGATGATGGAGATCTTGTGACCAGAGGCTTGCAGGAACCTAATCTTGTATTTTGTTTAGGTGCAATGATTCAGTACTTGCTAATTCAGGTGACTTTATAGAACATAAAATGTGAATTGAGTGTGTTTTGTTACCCTTGTTAAAATTCTTTTTTTTTTTTTTATGAGACAACCAGTTTGCAATCAGTCAGACTTGGTTCCAGAACACTGCTCTGCTTCATGCTAGTTGTGACACCTTGAGTGGTCACTTCCCATGGGCAGACATCAGATTTCTTCTCAGTAGGATAAGAAGAATGCACTTGGGGTTCCCTTTCTTTTTGCCTTAAGTTGTACAGCTTGTTATTGTCTTGGAGAAGTAGATTATCTCTTGGAAGCCTGTTCCAGATGACAGTTGAAGGTTCCTTCTTGTATCTGGAACAGACTAGCCTGTCTGTTGAGTCCTCTTGTAATTATGACTGGAGTGGGCCCTTCCTAGGGCCTCTCGTTGGGAATACTGGTAATTGCACATCCATCCCCTCCCTTTCATTGCCTCCCTTCTCTATCACTTCCTCCTTTCATGGAGTATCCTTAAATCGAGAGAAGTTTTCAGTCCCAGGGAGCCCAACAAATAGACCTTCCATACTGGCAGCATCCTGATCTATTTTATAGGTACACAATAAAGCCTAGTAGAGAACATCTAAATGACCCAGTAAAAAACAAGAAAACAAAAGGAGTCAGAAGTTTCATGTACAGAGTGCCCACAAAGAGTTGGGCATTGTACTGTGTACTTCGATAAATTACTCTATTTCCCACAACAACTTTGATAGTTAGATATTATTATGTCCATTTTAAAAACAGATGTGGAAACTGAAGCTGAGAGAGTTAAGAACACTCAGTAAGTAAGTAGCAGTGTGAACAATTCAAATGCAAGTTTTTCTCACTCCAAATCCTATCATTTTCACTTGTTTGTGGTGTTTTCCAATAAAGGCTACTTTGGGGGAGTTTGAGGGGGAGCTTCGAAGTCACAGGATCTCTGACTCCCTGGGGAACTTTGAGAAAGAAAGCAGATCATCTTGTATAATGGAAACTCCAAGGGGTTCAGCAGTTTCTTAGGAACCCTGGATTCCAGTGGCCCATCTTCAGACCCTGGTGTAGGATCAATAGTGGACCTCCAAATTAGTTGTTTCCCAGACTGGCCACCCATGTCCTGTGGGCTGCTATTTGTGGAAGGTCATTCTCTTAGCTCTGCTTGCTTTTTGCTGCTTTCGAGCACCCTTTTTCAGAACAGGAGCTTGGTTGCAACACTCTCTTTTGCTTGGCCCTAGGACAATTTTTCCACTGTCACCGCCCTGTAGCCTCAGCTGGCACAGAAATTCCAAAATAAATGAACGTGTTGTAAATCGGGAGAAAATATTGTGTCCTTGTGGTGTTGATGTTGATTGCAGCTCAGCGGCTCAGGCAGCAATGACCACAGCTCAAGCTGCATATTTCTTTACCCAAACACGCAGAGGGGCTGCCGAGCCCAGAAGGTCTGCAGACGCCTCCATTCAGTATGCACTTCAGCTTCTTAGAGGTGTGTTGGGCTGACAAAGTGCCGTTGATCTGCAGCCACCAGCTAGGCCAGGGGCCCAGCCTGTCAAAGCCAGGCTGAGACAAGACGCACCAGTCTTCCCAATGTGGCGTTTGGGAACAGAGGCCTGCCGATAACACCTTGGCAGGAGGTACCCCCTGGAGCAGCGTGGTGCTGGCCTTGGGAATGGCCCTCGGGCTTGCATTTGATTGGGACTGGCACAGCACAGCCAGTAGCTAACTGAGGCCCTGTGGTAAGAGGCTTCATGAGCCAAGGGTGGGGCCTGGGTTTGCTTGTCAGAGTCTGGCTGCAGGTTCTGAGGGGTCTTGAAAGTTTGACCACCCAGCGTCATTTTGGTAGGGACAGGAATAAGAGAGAAACAAAATCTTCTTTGAAGAGGGTTATGAGCAGGCAGAAGGAGAAACTGATCGGTCACATGATTTTTTTTTTTCCCCCTACCCCAAAGATTGAGACTGAATTTTCCAGGCAACAATGGGAATTCTTGTATGGGTTACTTTCCCAGAGTGTTTCGGAGAGACATCTATTATTTTTTTCTGTCCAGCAACCCCCATACCCTGCTTTAAGACATTGTTCCCACTTCCCAATCATGGGACTCGGTGGTACAGCCAATCAGTTTCTCATGCTCCTGAGTGTAAGGGTGGGACATGGTCATGACCTGCCAATCACAGGACTGCATTTCACTGTCAGGAATGGACATTTAACTGCAGTCAGACCCATCAGAATCTTTCCCTGGAACTTTTTTTCTTTTTTTGAGATAGTCTCTCTGTCGTCCAGTCTGGAGTGTAGTGGTACAATGATAGCTCACTGCAGCCTCAAACTCTTGGGCTCAAGCCGTGCTCCTACCTTAGCCTCCTGAGTAGCTGAGACTACAGGTATGCCACCACACCTGGCTAATTTTTAAATTTTTTGTAGAGAGAGGATCTTGCTATGTTGCCCAGGCTGGTCTTGAACTCCTGGCCTCAAGTAATCTTCCCACCTTGGTCTCCCAAAATGCTATGATTACAGCCGTGAGCTACCACACCAAGCCTTTTTTCCTCTTTTTCTTAGGGACTTTGGATTTGAAGGAGAAAGTGGTGCCTTTTATGACAGAGAGCTAGGAGGATATGAATTGGGGATGGCAGGTGGCCATCTTTTTTACAATTTGGTGATGACCTATTTGCAGAATAGGAGAGAATAAGGCAATATGCGGAAAAAGCATCAGTACCAAGCAACGGGGAAAAAGGTGAGAGAGGGTCTTGAGGATTGTGCTTGAATTCCTGGACCTAGGCATGCCTGGAGCCAGGTTCATCCGTGATTTCCCGCTTTGACGGACCAATATAGTCTCCTCATCCTTCTTCTTTAATCCTAAATTAGTCTGAGAGTTCTATCTCAAATAAGGGTCATGGCTTGTGGCCCATCCTCAGGCAAATCAAAACTGTGTTTCTGAGGGGGAGAAGACAGAAACTGGGAAAGAAATTATGAACAGTCATTTTATGAAACCCATGCATGATAATGGTCTGTGGTCCCACCTCTATTCCTTCTCATTAATTTGTTCAGCATACATACATACATTAAATGCCCACTGTGTGCTAAGCTTGTGCCAGGGCTGGGGATATTAAAATGAAGAAGGTGAAATCTCTTGCCCTCAAGGATTTCACAGTCCAATTGGAAGAACAAACAAATAAACAGGCAACAATAACACACGGTGATATGATACAGTACTAGGATTAGACTACAATGCTAGGAAGGAACATTGGCACCCGGGGAACATGGGAAAAGGCAGCTAACTCAGCAGTGAAGGGAGATCAGAGACTTCCAGAAGGAGGCAGCACCTAAGCTGAGCCCTAAGGGACAAAGTCTCCTGGAGATGGAGGTGCAGATGTAGCTGGATGTTCACCAGTAGCTCACCACTCCAAGCACCTTCTGATGGGTTATTATTTCTGAGAATAATGTGGGAGTGCTAGAGAGGAGCAGATATGGTGCTATCCTGAGTTGCACTAAGTAAGTTACAACAGATTTGGTCCCTCTTGAAGTGAAAAATATCCAACAGACTAATTTGGTGAAGACAAAAGAGAGAAAAGACAAAGGAACATACAGCTATAGAATCAAATTTGGCAAATGTGTATCATAGTTTTTGTATCCTCTCTGGTGAGTTCTGAAATGATTGAATGGCCAAACCCCAGGCAGCAATAACCAAGGGTCAGTGGGGGAGAAGGTTGGGAACCATTTGCTTATATGAGAGTGGAACTAACCATAGAATGAGTTTTAAAGGTAGCTTTATTGTTTATTTTTAAAGTTTATTGATTTTTTTTAAATCAGAAAAAAACCCTCAAATCACTCAAAATACGATTACCCAGAGATTTCTACTACTAAGATTTTGCTGAGCTTCACCTAGGCATTTTTCTAAGGATATATTTACATAGATTATTCATACATAGAGATATATGGCTATAATTTAATAAAAATGGGATCGTACTGTGTGTCCATTTACATAATCTTTTTATTACTTGATGACATGCTGTGTTAATCTTTACATTCTAACAAATACAGAACTACACTATCATTTTTAATGGCTGCATAATATTCCATTAAATGGAAGTATTGCACATCAATAAACCCTACTGAACTACTGATGGACACTTAGAGGGTTCCCAAATTTTCACTCGGTTTTGATAGCAGTGCTGTGATAAGCCTCTCTGTAAACACAGTGGAGTTCCTTAGGTTATGCCACACTGGGGACCAGCACAGCATTTTTCAGAAGGTCACTTTATCCTGTGTCTCCTCGAGCGTTGGAACATATTGATTTTCTGCTTGGCTTGCATGTAGGGATTATGTTATAGGTCATGTATCTTTAAACACTAGCCTCACACGCAGCAGGAAGAGATACTTATTCTATGAGAGGCAGTTGGGAACTGAGGCCAGTTTGAGAGATCAAGAGATTCTTTGTCCCCCACATCAAGCTTGCCTTGGACTTAGGCTTATTGGGTGGAAGTATTTCAGAATGACACACACACTACTTAAATGATTTCTCTTTGTCCCTTTTATTTATTTTTATTATTACTATTTTCAAAACTTTAAGCCTGGGTCTCACTATGTTGCCCAATCTCGTCTAAAACCCCTGGGCTCAAGCAATCCTCCTGCCTCAGCCTCTTGAGTAACTGGGATTACCGGCACATGCCACTGTGCCCAGCCTACTTAAATGATTTCTTTTCCTCTCTATGTTGCCGTCATATATTTTTGAGTTCATATTTGTTAAATGTTCATGTAATGTAATCTTCCTTATCTGCTGCACATCATTTTGCACTTGTCCAATTATCTCTTTGGTGTAAATTCCTAGAAGTGAGATTACAGGCCAAAAGTCTGCACAGTTTACATGTTGATACATACTGTCCAACATCCCTCCAGAGATATTGTATCAATTTAGTGATCCCTTTTAACCATGGGGAAATAGTTTTTCTGTTCATGCTTCGTTTGGGGGGTTTTTCAACGTTTCTTCCTTGTGGAAAGCTTCATTTAAAAGCAACCCCTTTAGGCAGTGCTAATGAGGATGACTTGAATTGGGTGGCCCCAATGGACATTTGCATCCAAGGGCTAGGTAAATGACAGAATATCTTTGTGGGAAGGGCTCTGCAATAGATGCTTATGATGTAGAGATTAGCCGTCCCTAATCCTTGGCTTGGAGCTTATTCTGGGGTTGGGGCTGAAAAGAGTTGAGAAGGAGACTACAGCAGAAATTATGGTAACACATGACTGGCTGGGGAGGCACTGGGGGCCATGACTCATTACCAATCAGGAGCTATGGACACTCACAGACGTTCAGATGTTCCCATCAGGAAATGATATTTCCAGGTCACAATTCATGTGCTCTATGCCTTCCTCACCTGCCCTTTTGGCCACTGCCTTTGCTATCTGTCTGCTATTTCCAACAGTGATTTTCAAATATTTTTGATCATACCTTTCACTGGTAAAGTAATTTTGATGAGGTACCCACAATATTTGTTTATTTATTGATGTACTGGTGAATAATATATATAAATAAAAGCTGTTGTGTCAATAAATTATGCAATTATAAAATATATTCAGAAGCAAGAAATTTTAAAGCATCAGATAAAAATGAAATAGTGTTTTAAAAGTCTCCCTAACTGTACTAGCCAAATACACATCAGCAGCTACACAATCAACCTTTAGAGTAAGGTTAATTGTAAATGCAAGTGGATTTGTAGCCACCCATTTTTCAAGTAGATTTTATTTTATTTTATTTGTGATAGAGTCTCTCTTTTTCATACAGGCTGGAGTGCAGTAGTGTGATCGTGGCTCACTGGAAGCTCTGCTTCCCAGGTTCAAGCAATTATCTTGCTTCAGCCTCTGGAGTAGCTGCGACTACAGGTGTGTATCACCACACCCACTAATTTTTGTATTTTTAGCGGAGACAAGTTTTGCCATGTTGGCCAAGCTGGTCTCGAACTCCTGGTCTTAAGTGATCTGCCCGCTATGGCCTCCCAAAGTGCTGATATTACAGGAGTAAGCCACCATGCCCAGCCTCAAATAGTCTCAATAATTTGATTTGTTGGACAATTTTCTTATCATATTTGATAATTTAGTTGATGGAGAGCTCACTGGAAGTAGGAAAAGCAGGATTGTCATTTTCCCTTTTTTTGTTGTCACTTGTGCTTGTGTTATCAGTATTATCCTTCGTCCATACTTTCTTTGCAAAAATTCTTTTAAAAACCGTTTGTTGATTTTGTGATGAGTTTGGTTAAAATTAGGTAATATAAAACATTAATCTACTTAACTGGGTACATGTAAACTGCAATACACATAGAAATGCACTGAAATCAGGCAAACCAGGAAAGGCATGGCTGTCAGTCATCTGTATTTTGAGAGCCCCACTGAACCCTCAATACACCTTGCATGCTGTTTGTGCTACGTTTCCTCTGTCATATGGACCAAGGAAGACCACAAGTGACAACTTAGACATTAAATAACATAAAGCTCAATTAATTCATTTTTAAGAGAAAATAAATATGTATTGCAATGTTAATATTTTCTCTCAGTTTTCGGGATTGTTGTGTGCATCCTCTGGAATGTTAAAACTAATTGTGTTGACTGTTGACTGATATGGTGAGGTAGACAAAAGGTGGCTGCAAATTCTTCGTTCCTCCTCCCATTGAGCAGTGGAATCTTATTTCCTATTTCCTGAATCTGAGCTGGTCTAAGCGACTTGCTTGGCAGAAAGAACAGGTGTGGAAGTGACATTCTGGAATTTCAAAAGCATGATCATATGAAGCCTTGAAGCTTTGGACTGAACCTCTTGAGACACTCTCCGTGAGATCCCTAAGCGGCTGCATAAGAAGTTTGGTTACCCTGCCTGATACTGCAGGCTGAGCCTAGCCTTCTGGCAATCCCAGTGCAGATGTTAGAAGTGAGAGTGAAGCTGTCTTCTGTCCATCCACCCAGGTGAATTCTTTGTTGACACCATGTGGAACAGAATAACCAGCCAGCTGTGCCCTGCCCAAATTCCTGACCCACAAACACATGAGATATAATAAAATGGTGTTGTTTAAGACACCACATTTAAAGGCTATTTGAAGCAACAGAGAGCCTTAACTTGTGGCTTTACCCTTCCAGCTAGATGCATATATAGTCCCTCTTGACTTTAGTGAGAACTTCTTTTCTAGCCTTATTTTTTTAAATCTCTGAATATACTTCCCAGTAGTATTTATAGATTATAAATTACCATCTCTGGGAGAGAGGGCATCACCAGGAAAACTCACAGGGAGGTGTGATCATTCCTGTCTTATCCATGCCTATGGTTGGATTTGATCTGTAGCCGCTTCTCTGGATCTAATTCTGCTCAGAGATTTTCAGTCCCAGGGTGACATGATTTGGCTCTGTGTCTCCACCCAAATCTCATGTGAAATTGTAATCGCTGGTGTTGGAGGAGGGACCTGGTGGAAGACGATTAAATCATGGGAATGGACTTCCCCTTTGCTGTTCTCGTGATAGAGTTCTCATGGGACCTGGTTATTTAAAATGAGTAACACTTCCTCCTTCATTCTCTCTCTTTCCTGCTGCCATGTGAAGATGTGCCTGCTTCCCCTTCACCTTCCACCATGATTGTAAGTTTACTGAGGCCTTCCCAGCCATGCTTTCTGTACAGCCTGTAGACCTGTGAGCCAATTAAACCTCTTAATTTATGTCTTAGGTATGTCTTTATAGCAGTGTGAGAATGCACTAATACACAGGGCTTTTCCCCCTCCTCAGCCTACTGACCACGTGGAAAGGTTTGTCTGAGATCCTCAGCCAGTGGGGTAGAATCTGTATCCACTCTGGCTTTTCTTACCAGTGCCTAGTCCCATGGGTATTGCTCTTGCATTGACAGAATTCTCAGAACAACCTCATTTGAAACCTGACCTTCAGTGCTTCTCTGCCCAGGAGCCTCAAAGTTGTGCTCCTGTCTCCTCCCTAGAGAGTGACTTTCTTAGGCCCCCTAATACTTGACTTAGATCTGGTTTGGGCCGAGGAAGTTTATCAGGACCAGGTCTTTGGGCTGTTGGTCTTTCTTTGAGGGAGTGGAAACTTGTCCCTTAACGTCATAAAACAGGGACTTCTTGCCAACTCCTCCCTAACCAGGTTCCCTTTCCTCCTTACCACAAAGCCAACCTGGCTGGGCAGGCTTTACTTTCTCCCTGAAATGAAAACTAATTGAAACGTTGTATCGGTTACCTGCTGCCACAATGATGTTGGTAGAAAGTCACCCCAAAGCTCAGTGCTTAAAACAATACATAGTTCTTTACTTTTTTTTTTTTTAAGGCAGAGTCCCTCTCTGTTGCTCAGGCTGGAGTGCAGTGGTATGATTTCGGCTCACTGCAACTTCTGCCTCCTGGGTTCAAGTGATTCTTGTGCCTCAGCCTCCCAACTAGTTGGGATTACACGTGTTTCCACCACACACCAGCTAATTTTCATATTTTTAGTAGAGACGGGGTTTCATCATGTTGGCCAGGCGGGTCTTGAACCCCTGGCCTCAAGGGATCCACCCTCCTTGGCCTCCCAAAGTGTTGGAATTACAGGCATGAGCCACTGCACCCAGCCAACAATATATATTTCTTATCGCTCATGAATTGAGGGTTTACCAAATAGTCCTTGTGGTCTCAGTTGGGGTCACTTTTGTTCTGTAGTCAGCTGTGGGTCTGGAAGGTGGCTCTGCTGTTCTTGGTTGAGCATTCTCATATGCTTGGGACTTGGCTAGCTATAGGCTGGTACATGAAGCCTTGGTTGAGAAAACCGGACTCTCCTTATGATCCTCCTGCAGGCTCTTTCAGTCATATTGTGAGGCTATCACCATCTCATGGTAGAAGTAGAAACATGCAAGTGTTTTTGTTTTTGTTTTTGTTTTGTGGAGCTGTTTTCCCACATAGCCAAGGCAACATACAGAGTAGGAGAGGACTATGAAGTCACAGGCAAAAGATAGCCATAGGGAGGCCATTAATTGGCCATTAATGTAATTAACCTAACAATACGATCAACTCTCTTTTCTACCAAGCGGTTGCTGAAATCTCACCTGGAACAATACAAAGGCAATCATTTGGTGGGAGCTGTAGTCACGAGAAAATGTGAATATTGGCAGATACACAGGGGTGAAGCAGGGAAAGGTGACGAAGAAATGTCCTGCTCACAATCTCTCCCTAATGGACAATCTCCTATTAGTGCCTTCCATGAGCCAAACCCAACCTGAAGCCAGCCAGTAGAAAAGCCCAGAAGACACAGGCCAGAAAGGTCAGCCTCCCTGGTCACAGAGCATATAGATGAGGGCAGAGGGTATATCTGGGTGTATGTATCAAGCAGGTCATTCTTTCTTTAGCCATACCACAGGGACAGAACCAAAAAACCTTCCTCCCAACTCCAAGCTCAGGAACTTTGAGATGGGCTAGTTTCAAACAAAGCCACACTCAGCAACCCCCATCTTTCTCTTAATCCCTCTGTCCTTATATTGGCTAGGTACTCTGAGATGCAGATGCCAAGACAGGTTTAGACCTACTGGGAGAAATTACTGTAAGTAACAAAAGGAGAGGGAGCCAGAGGAGACTGGAAGAGCCATTAGACCATGATGCAGGTCTGACACCTTTGAAGGGAGAGGAGAGAGGGTTGGATACATAGAGTCTCAGACAGCAATGCACTTCTAAAAAAGTTTCAGCTAGGCCAAAGGAAAGTCCTTGAACCAAAGTCCATATTAAAAGAGTCCCATGTTTTGCAGGAACTATATGCCCAAGTATCACTGCCATGCTTACCCTTTGACTGAGAGCAGCTGTGAGATGTGTGGTCTGTACACAGAGTGCTGCATTTGGAGCTCGGCAGCTGGAGCCATCAGTCAATTATGCACTTGGTAGTAGTAGATCTGAGAGGCAAATTTTCATGGCTTCTACTCTTCTTTCCTCCTTCTCTCCCTTTCTTTCTTCCTTCTTTTTTTCCTTCAGTTAATATTTTTGGAGTGCTGTTTAAGTTCAGGCTTGGTGCCAGGTACTGGTCATAAATAACAAATAAGACAAACATGATCTCTGCCCTTATGGAGCTTACGTTGGTTCTTTTTATGATTTTTTTTGCTAGGGTTCTGTTGAGTGATCTCAACTGAAAGCATTTTTGAGTGGAAGGAGGGAAATTTGTCTAGCTGTATGCACTTTCTCCCCATCCTTTCACCCCACAGAGCCTAGCCAACTGCTTGGTACATCATTCAGAGAACCATATTACCTAAGCCCAAACCCAGGCCATTCTTATTTGTGAATTTACTTACAGCAAAAGTCATAAAAAAGTGTGAAAACTAAATCACATTTTTTCACAGTTTTAATGCATGCCCTTCAAGAATTAGGACAAATTCATGGAATTGAGCTGATCCTAGGAAATCCAGGTTATATGTTAAATAAAACAAAGAGGTTGACTTAATCAGACTTGTTTGGATGCAAACAGAGATTCATCTAAGTTACTCATAGGTTTGTCATAAGTTTACATGTGCATGGGAACTCAGGGAAAGCTATTTAGCTGGCCTTGGTAAGATGAAGAAGTCCAGCAGAATCTGAGCCATACAGAGACAGAAGTGGAATTCAACGTCATTTGGATCCTGGCTGGTTCCAGGAATGTTGGTCTCAGGAGTTGGTCTTGGATCTTGACTCTGGTTGTCCACCATTTTGATGACTCATCTCTTCCCCATGGCTTGGTCTTCTCTTCGTACTGACTGATTTCCTCAGCCTCTGTCCTTTATGTTCTTGACCTCATCTTTTATTTTGTATTTTTGAGACAGGGTCTCACTCTGTTGCCCAGGCTGGAGTGCAGTGGTGTGATCACGGCTCATTGCAGCCTCGACCTCCCAAGGCTCAGGTGATCATCCTGCCTCAGCCTCCCAAATACCTGGGACTATGGGCACATGCTACCACACCCAGCTAATTTTTGTCTTTTTAGTAGATACGGGGTTTTGCCATGTTGTCTAGGCTGATCTCTAACTCCTGGACTCAAGTGATCTACCCACATCCGCATCCCAAAGTGCTGGGATTATAGACTTGAGCCACCACACCTGGCCTCAACTTCATCATTTCTTTTGTTTTTTAGACTGAGTCTCGCTCTGTCACCTGGGTTGGAGTGCAATGGCGTGATCTCCACTCACTGCAACCTCCACGTCCCGGGTTCCAGTGATTCTCCTGCCTCAGCCTCCCGAGTAGTTGGGATTACAGGCACGTGTCATTGCGCCCTGCTAATTTTTTGTATTTTTAGTAGAGATGGGGTTCCCCCATGTTGGCCAGGATGGTCTCTCTCTCCTGACCTCGTGATCCGCCTGCCTCAGCCTCCCAAAGTGCTGGGTTACAAGTGTGAGCCACCACACCTGGCCCATCATTTCTGACTCTCATAATTTCACTTTGTTTGTGATGCATCATGGTCCCTCTGGTTTCTTTCTGTCTCATGATCTCTGGCTATCTGTTGCTAAATGCTTTACTCTCCTGGTATTTCTATTGTTCAAATACTAGACAGAAAAAATCTGATTGGCCCAGGTCTTCTTTTATGACAGTCCACCTAATTGGTGCTGGACTGAGGAACCTTGTTCAGAAGTCTGATTGTGGTTCAATCGACTGACTGAACAGATTACAAAACCGAGACCCAGAGAAGTTAAATAACTTGCCACAGGTCATAGAACTAGCAAACAGCTGGCCCAGGGTTCACACCTATATTCTTGACCCCAGGTCTGTACTGTTTCTTCTTCAGCACCCCACTTCCCTTGCCCTTCAAGAGAGACACTTATGCCTGGCTTACATACAACTCAAAACACTCACTTCTCTGCCTCCTTTAGCCTGACACACAGGTTTCCCCAGAATCCAGGGAATGCATGTATGTGCCTCTCTTTGTCCTTTACTTATCTCAGAATCCCAGTGACCATCTAGTCCATGAGAGTGATGACTGTATGCTGTCTACTCCCTTCTTCATGTTATGTTGGCCTCTACCACACACCTTCTTCTGGGGTAGTAAAAATAATTTTGGATAAGAAGGTGTCAGAAGGCCTGAGTTTAAGTCTTGGCTCTGCTACTAATGAGCTGGGTGACCTTGGGCCACATTTTTCTGGTGACAAATGAGAAAAGATTTTAAGTTTCTTGGAGTCTCCATAGGCCATGCCCCAAATAAAGCATGGGTTCTTTCAGCTTATCTCCATGTGTGAAAGCTCATTGGCTTTGGCTTAGGATCCTGAATCTCTGGTCCTTCCAGGTGGATCAAAGTTCTTTCATAGCCTTCTGCTGACCACAGCCACCATGTGTAGTTGTTTGGGAAATTGGAGGAGGCTGGGTTGCCCCTAAAGATGGCTTGAACTTTGAGTAAATGCTACTTTCCATCTGATTCAGGGCCTTTCACGTGGTTGGAATGTGAAATATAGCTGAGTGGGAGAAAATAATTCTCCATAGTATGAATTCATTTTCTTCAGCTGTTTCCCAAGACCATGCTTTTGATTCAGCAAAGCCCCACAGTTTCACATGTTATCATCCTAGTCTGTCTGGAGTCCCAGTCTGCAGATACAGAAGTCTAATCAATGGAGCGTTCATTGTCATCTCTTTCATTCATTAAAAATTGAGTGCCATGGCATAGTTCTTGGGTACTAGGCTTGGAATAGTGAGTAAAACAAATATGACCTTTTCTTTTGGATTTTTGGATTCCAGAAGAGAGATAGTCAATAAATAAGCGATACATATGTGGTTCTGACTTCTCAGATGACTCTTCTTTAGAAATCCCATAGGGAGTAAATCAAACGGCGCTAGTATCTTTTTTTTTTTTTAAACTGCCTCTTAGTGTTATGCATAACAAATAAGATCTCATTATGAATAATTTCTCCAAATATCCCAATGGCTTTGTCATAGTAAAATTTACTTACAAGGAGACCCAGTGAATCACAGTCCCATCTTAGGAGCTGATGCTATATTGAAGCAGACACACCCTCATGATCACCTGAGAAGCAGCAGGACACAGTCATATTTTCTTGGTTATATAGTCAGATAGGTTTGTGTTTAAATTCCCATTTCTCCACTTATTAGCAGTGTAACTATGGGCAAGTTACTTAACCTCTCTCAGCATGTGTGTATCATTTATCAAATAGTTTGGGTTATCATGTGGTTTTACATGAGATAAAAAGTCAAAATACTTGGTACATAGTAGGTGTTCATTAAATGTTCATTTTCAGTCTTTTCCCTAAAAGTAAATTAGTGACAAAATGGCTTCTGAACCAAACAGTGGAAGAAGGAAACTGTCATATAGACAATTTTGAACTAAGCCTATTTCTCCATTTATTAGATCATTTTTGCATATATTCCCATTATCATTAAATAATTAATTCTTGTTATGTACCAGGGCTACTAGGCCTGCTAGGTTATGGGAATGTAGTGGCAAGCAGGACACAGTCCTTGTCCCTGTAGAGCTGTTTTAAAATTTTTTCTTTGTCTTTGACTTCTTCCTCTCTCCCTCCTCCCCACCCTGCTCCCCTCCCCCACCCTCCTCCCCTCCCCCCACCCTCCTCCCCTTCCCCCCTTCCTCTTTCCCTCCCTCTCTTCCTTCCCTTCCTCCCTCCTGCCTCCTTCCCTTCCCTTCCTCTCGCCCTTCCTTTCTTCTTTCCTTGTGTCCACCAGTGGGCTTTTCATGTAGGGTTATATTTTAGAAAGCATGATTAAAATGATGTTTGAAATTACATGGGAAGTAGTAACTATAGAGATGTAGAAAATGGTAGGAAAATAATGGCGAGGAGGGGCAGTTTTGCTTTCTTCACCTTTTTTTCTTGTATGATGAAGAGCCCATAATCAGGATACTATTACTATAGAGAGTGACTCTTACATAGAAAGGATCCAGAGAGAGTGTTTATTGTATAGGAGCATTAATTATAACCATCCAGGCCAACAGCCTGTCATGGAAATAATCCTTTTATTTGTAGCTCTTTACAGCTCTTTACAGCAATGGGATGTGCCATCCTGGAAGCTGACTTGTGTTACTCTCTGCAGGGATGCAGGCCAGTGACAATTTACAAGTCTATATTCTAAGGTTGCTCTAAACAACTGGTAACTGAGGTGATGAAGGGATAGGGGCTTTGCATAAATAGAAAAGCAAATGTATATTTGTCGGCATTGCTCTCTTCTCCTTTGCTTTTCCCTCTTTCCAAAAATAAAGTACATTGTTCCCAGGGAGTGGAATTTGCAGTGGCAGCTGTCTGCCTGGCTGACTCCTTCTCAGAGAGCAGAGCTCAAGGAAGTAACTAGGGTTAATTTGAGTTTGTTCTGTCCTCCATAGACACTGGGATTGATGCTGCCAAAATAGCTGCATTCACAGGGTGTGTCAGACTGAGCTTGAAATGCCCATTCCTCGCACATTTACAAGTGACACACAAGCTCTGTTGGTACCTGGGTCCTTGGGTTCTACACAAGTGTTCCCCGTTGGAAAGTCGGCTCCAAATTGGTGCCATTTGTCAAGAGTGGCATAGCATTCCTTCTGCCCTTCTCCACTCTCTGAAAATCACCTCTCTTGCTCTGGGTCAACAACTCAAATGAGGTTTGATTTTGCCTTTGCTATTGTTTGTCCACCTGTTAAGCTGAGAGGCTAATCAAAATTGTGAAGGAAGACATGAACTTTGTACCATGCTATAGGGCTGGCTTTAAGTAAAATTTAGGATTTATGAGATGACAGCTCAGGGTTGCTGATCTAGGTTGTTTGCCCAGGAGAGGAAACAATTTATTCAGGCAAGTTCTGTGGGCAAAATTCAGGTGCATAGTCAATGTTTCTGGAATTGAGTTAAGCTGATTTGAATCAATTCAACAAACGCTTGGTGTAGTTACTACCCCAAGACATTTGTGTAAAACACTCTAGCCTTTCTTCAAATGGCTGCTTCAGTGTTTTACATTAGTAGAGATATTATGGAGGGATAATGTGGATGTGATCCCAGGAGTATCAATCTTAAGTGGTCGTGGGAGAAAAGATAGCATTGGCACTTGGGAAAAATTGTTCTCAGCCACATTTTGTTAGCAGGCACTAACTAAGTGTGTTAGGGGTTATGGGTAGTGACAGAACACCCGTCCATCCATTCATCCATCCATCCAACCCATTTAAAAAATTGACTCCCCAGCACTTTGGGAGGCCGAGGCGGATGGATCACGAGGTCAGGAGATCGAGACCATCCTGGCTAACATGGTGAAACCCCGTCTCTACTAAAAATACAAAAAATTAGCCGGGCGTGATGGTGGACACCTGTAGTCCCAGCTACTCGGGAGGCTGAGGCAGGAGAGTGGTGTGAACCTGGGAGGCGGAGCTTGCAGTGAGCCGAGATGGCGCCGCTGCACTCCAGCCTGGGCAACAGAGCGAGACTCCATCTCAAAAAAAAAAAAAAAAATTGACTGTATGCTAGCTGTTACAGTGAGAATAAAATATATCTTTACCATAATAAGTGCACTTATTGGATTGTATGGTAAACCTCCCCCCTACCGCAAAGACGTATATACATCTTAATCCCTGGAATCTGTGAATGTGTCCTCATTTGGAAACAAGGCCTTTACATATGTAATTAAGTTAAAGATCTCAAGATGAGATAATTCTGGATTATCTAGGTGGTCCTAAATCCAATGACAAGTGTTCTCATAAAAGACACACAGAGAAGAGACACAGAGAGAAAAGAAAAAGACCATGTGAAGATGAAGACAGTGATTGGAGTTATGCAGCCAGATGCCAAGGATGCCTGAAGCCACTAGAAGCTGGAACAGGCAAGGAAGGATTCTCTTCTAGAGCTTTTGGCAGGTCCTGCTAATCCCTTGATTTTAGACTTCTGACCTCCAGTACTGTGTGAAAATAAATTTCTGTTGTTTTAAGCCACCAAGTTTGTGGCAATTTGTTGCATTAGCTCTAGTAAACGAATACAGGGCATTAGCAAGTAATTTTATTATGGAAATCCATAGTTGGAAGCCAGCTCTTTCTGAGCTTTCACAGGCCTTTATAATTCATTCATTCACTCCCTCTCGAAGCACAAAACTCAGGGCCACTATGTGCCGGGCACTGTTCTTGGTGCTGAGTAAACAAAGACAGTAAGATACAGCTTGGCCCTCTAATGAGCTCACAGAGTGAGGCAAAGCAGTAACTTAGCCAACAGAGAAAGGCACTTAGAGGTGTGTGCTGTGAGAGCACAAAGTGGGGCTGGACACCTCAGTATTTTTGCAGGGAGATGATGAATAGCTTATTAAAACAGAGACACATGCTTTATGGCATGGATGTGCTCAAAACTAGGGCAAATCTGCTTCCACAGAAAGCACTTCTGGGTCAGGCACAGTGGCTCACGCCTGTAATCCCAGCACTTTGGGAGGTTGAGGCAGGTGGATCATCTGAGGTCAGTAGTTCAAGACCCTCCTGGCCAACATGGTGAAACCCCATCTCTACTAAAAATATAAAATTAGCCGGGCATGTGATGAGGTGCACCTGTAATCCCAGCTACTCAGGAGGCTGAGGCAGGAGAATCACTTGAACTCGGGAGGTGGAAGTTGCAGTGAGCTGAGATCACACCACTACACTCCAGCCTGGGCGACAGAGAGAGACTGTGTCTCAGAAAAAAAAAAAAAAGAAAGAAAGAAAGCACTTCTGCGGGGTGAGCGATGATTTCTCTACCCTAAACTTAGGCTCACTTAATAAAGAAAGGCTGTAACTTATAATTTATGGGGGCCCATGGGGAAGAAAACAAAAGCGTCCTTTCTTGAGTAGGCTGATTGTGTGTGGAGTTTATGTGTCAATCTCCCTCTGACATTGCCAGCCCTGATTTGAAATCCTTGTGAGCTGGAGATGGTAAGTGGTGGTGGGTGGGTGGGGATGAGAGGGTGTGAGAGGTTGGAGTGGAGGGAGGGAAATTTGTCTGCACAGAAAAGACAGCCCCATCATGAGCTGGGCCTCAGCTAGACGTAGAATGAAATTTCCCAAAGATGCTGTTTTGTCTTAGAGACTTGTTCAGATACAGTTACTCTTTTATTCACTAATAAAACATTCATTTACCGTTATGAGATTAACAAGATGGACTGTGTTAGGGGTCAAGATGGGATGATCCTGGAAGGCAATAAAATCATATCAGGAATGATTAGTTATATGGGGCATAAGACAAGACCTTGAGCCTGAGGAGCACTGTAAGGCCAGGCGTGTTTAGCCCCATATGTGAGTGTAGAGCCAGATGTGATGATAATGAATATCGATGGTTAGAAAAGGGAGATCAGAGATGGCCACCATGACCAGGAAAGGCATTGTGAGGAATGAATGACTTGAGGTGGAGAGATAGGTAGGATTGATTTATTGTTATTATTTCTTATTTTTTTGAGACAGGATCTTACTCTGTCACCCAGCTAGAGTGCAGTGGAATGGTCACGGCTCACTGAAGCCTCTACCTCCTGGGCTCAAGTGATCCTCCCACCTGAGTAGCTGGAACCACAGGATTGCACCACCATGTCTGGCTAATTTTTAACATTTTTTTTTTTGTAGATAGAAAGTCTTGCTATGTTGCCCAGGCTGGTCTTGAACTCCTGGGCTCAAGTGATCCTCCTGCTTCGGCCTCCCAAAGTGCTGGGAGTATAGGCGTGAACCACTGCACCAGTTGACATGGGTAGGATTTAGATGAGAGCAGGTGGAGGTTGATAGGTCTTCCTCCCTCCCTCCCTCCCTTCCTTGAACCCCAGGTAGGAAGAAGATAGCATGCTTAAATGTCTATTGTCAAAAAAATTGTCTTCTGGGGAAGCAGATGAAACATGTGTTAGCTGAAACATCAAATTCTGGTAAAGGAAAAAAATCTTGGGAGACAAGAAACAAATCTAATTTTTTAAAGTAGAAAATATAATTCATTGCCAGATTGTGAAGTCCTTGACTGCCTGCTTAGATGTTTAGATATGATCCTAAAGGCAGTGGGAAGCCATTGCTGTTTCTTTTTTCTTTTTCCTTAAAAAGAATAAAATTTATTTTTTATTCTAAAAGTAATAATCCTCATTATGGGAAGTAGAAGGATTATAGAAAAGAAGGAAAAATAAATAACCTGTAATTTCACCTTAAATAAATGATTACTGTCAGCATTGTTTCCTGCATATAATTTTTTAAATAGTTGAAGAAATCGTATATATACTATTTTATATCCTCTTTTTAATCTTACTATTATAACACAAGCCTTTCCTGTTATTTTAGTCTTTCAGCCACATAGTTTTTAATGCCCACATCTAGAAGATGCACATTAATTTACTTAATCTTTCCCCTATGGTTGAATATTTGATTTACTAGCACTTTTTCATTATTATAAATCATGCTGGGATAATCTTCTTCCATATTTATGATTATTTCTTTTGGCTAGATCCCTAGATGGGGAATCACTGGATCAAAGGGCATGAACATCTTTAAGGTTCTTTGAACGTTCTGCCAAATTGCTTCCTTGGGGGTTGTTGAGCTTTGGAAGTACATGATGAAAGATAAGTCTCATAGCCGAGGACAGGCAGAGCCAGGCCAGAGAGAAAGAGCATTCCAAACATTCTAGCAGGAAGAGACATTCCAGAGTCACCGAAGCCGCAGTCCTGGTGGTGTGCTGTCCTGATATGAAAGCATTGCTGGTGCCCCTGCCATTTATAGAAAGCTGGCTTTGAATTCTTCCCTACAAGGACAGTAGTACTCCAGCCACGATGGTCTTCTGTTCTGCTCTTGGAGCACACCAAGCTGACTTCCACCACAGGGCCTTTGCATTTGCTGTGTTCTACTGGGAATGCTCATTCCTCAGATTTTGCCATGCCTCATGCTTTTGTATCATCCTCTGCCTCCAGCCACTTCTATCAGGTTGATTTTATTCATAGCGCTTATTTTTCCTGACCCATAGTCAATGTTCAGTATGTATCCATAGAATGATTGAAGCCATTCACTCGTTCATTTAATCTATGAATATTTTCTGAGGGCCACTTAAAAATATTCTCATTGCTTTTCAGGTAAAGAACAAAATATTTAGCATAGCCTATAGAAGGGTTTCCAGAATGAATTTCTACTCAAACTCTCCTGTTTTATTTTTATTTTTTATTTTTTTAGACAGAGTCTCACTTTGTCATTCAGGCTGGAGTGCAGTGGTGTGATCTTGGCTCACTGCAACCTCTGCTTCCTGGGTTCAAGTTAGTCTCCTGCCTCAGCCTCCCGAGTAGCTGGGATTACAGGCACCCACTACCACACTCAGCTGATTTTTGTATTTTTAGTAGAGATGGGGTTTCACCATGTTGGCCAGGCTGGTCTTGAACTCCTGACCTCAGGTGATCTGCCCACTTTGGCCTCCCAAAGTGCTGGGATTACAGGCATGAGCCACTATGCCCAGCCTCTCCTGTTTTATCTTGTCTCGCATCCTGCCTTAGTCTCTGTTCATCAGCTCTACTCTCTTTATATTCTTGAATGTGTCCTGCTGCTCACTGCCACAGGGACTTTGCACATACTGTTCCCTCTGCCTGGAACATACTTCTTGTTTTTATCTCATTAATTTCAACTCAACTCTTATATCTCAGAGCAATGGCACTTTCTTGGAAACTTTCCTTGACCCCCCCAAACTAGATCATTTCCTCTATTTCAAAATTTTTGTGGGAGTTAATTTCCAAAGATGATCCCCAATGAACCATACATTCCAGCATTCATGTACTTTTGTGGTTCCCCTTCCTTGAGTCTACTCTGACCTTCTTTTTTTTTTTTTTGCCAATAGAATGTGGCAGATGTAACACTGTGCAGTTTCTGAGACAGTCATGAGAAGTCTTGCATCTTCCACTTGGTTCTCTTAGAGTGCTTGCTCTTGGGACACCTCCCCTTCTAGGAATCCAGCCACCATGTTCTGAGAAGCCCATGTTACATGGAGAGGCCATGGGTAGGTGCTGTAGTCAAAAGGCCCCGCTTGAGTTCCAGCCGACAGCCAATGTCAACTGACCATGATGCTGAACTTTCATGTGCCTCCACCTCCAGCTGCTATCTGACTGCAACTGCATGACAGAGGCCAAGTCAGAACCACCCAGTTGAGCCCAGTCAGTCCATAGAGCCATGAGAGACAAAAATACATGTTTGTCTTAAACTACTAGTTTCGGGATTGTTTGTTACACAGCAACGGATACCTGAAACACATTTGCAGTATTATATTCCTTGGGGTACATCATTCCTCTCCTTCGTTGTACTCATCACAGCTGTGACTGTTTCTTGCCTAATTATTTAATTAATGATTCTCTATGGATTCTTTTCTTACTAATCTATAAGCTGTATGAGGGCAAAGACCATGTTGACCATGTATTTTGCTTTTATTTTGGGGCTTTGTTTTGGCTCATCATTGACAATTGTCACTTCATGGCCACATAAGAAATATTTGGGGAGCCTTTTTTGGTGTAAGTTTCAGGAGAGGCAGGGATTTGCCTTCCAATAAGAAAGATGGAAAGTCTTTATGTGTCAGAGAATATCTGACAGATAGGGCACAGCGTGTCCCCAGAGCTCAGCCAGTCAGATGCTCCTGCCTGGGTCTTAGAATCTGGAATCAGTGATGCAGAGAAGCAGGGAGGGCTGAGGATTCTTTTCGGTGGCCCTGGTAGCAGCGTCTGGTGTCCAGTAGTGTCAGCCTCAATGCCCTAACTGACTCATCTGAGGTATAACCTTGGCTGTGCTATGGCTGCCCAAATTCCTTTAGTTCCTGCCTATCCATTTTACAAGTTGGTTCTCCAACCTTGCTGGTGATCCTCTGGGCTACTTGATATCCCTTCAGAATTTCATTTATGTTTAAGTTAGCCAGAGTTGCTTTCTGTTGTGTCTAACTGGTGATGTTGACTAGTCACATAGTACCCAGCATGTAAGTATTCCTAAAGAAATGAATATGAATGAGTGTCAGGGGCCAAGGTGGATATCAGAGATTCCAGGATAAATAAACTTCTAATTCAGAGATGCCTATTTCTTTTTTTTTTAGATGGAGTCTTGCTCTGTTGCCCAGGCTGGAGTGCAGTGGTATGATATTGGCTCACTGCAACCTCCACCTCCTGGTTCAAGCAATTCTCCTGCCTCATCCTCCTGAGTAACTGGGATTACAGGCAAAAGCCACAAAGCCTGGCAAAGTTTTGTAGTTTTAGCAGAGATGGGGTTTCACCATGTTATGGCCAGGCTGGTCTGGAACTCCTGACCTCAAGTGATCCTTGGCCTCCCAAAGTGCTGGGATTATAGGCGTGAGCCACTGTGCCCACCCAGCCAGAGAAGCCTATGTTTTGCTAAGTTATAGATATCCATGTAGAGTAATTAGAGGTAAGTGCTGCAAGAATGATGGGCACATAATTATGGGAACCAACTATAGCTAAGAGAGGAACGGGGAGGGGATCACCTTGACTTATGTCAGTGACTGTAATTAGATAAACTGTAAATATTTATTTGTTGAATAAATTGATGAATAAATAAATGCAATATTGAAGTAATTAAATGAAAAGCTTTGGCAATTGTACAGTAGTACATAAATGGAAAGTATTATTCTTAGACTAACACGTTGAATTCTGTATTATTTATGTTGCAAATATCAGAAAACCCAAGTCAAACTAGCTTCAGTAAAAAGAGAATTGACTGGCTCATATATCAGAAAAGTCCCGGAAGTGTAATAATTTCAGGTGCTTGGGTATTGTTACCAATATCTTCTCAGCTTTGATCTTATCTGCATTGGCATTATTCTTAGGTTCTCTCTAAATGGTGGTTCCCAGACATTCAAGACTTCCTGTCTCAGGTCCAGGCTCAGAAGACACAAACAAACAAGAAACTACGTTTGGTTGTTCCAGCATAAAACCTTGGGTTTGCATTGGACAAGATTGGCTTACTTTGGGTAATATATGATGCTTGAATTGGCCAGACCTAGTTCATGAGCCTGAAGTTGTGTTAGAGTTCAGCCCTACTGCAACTACTAGTGGTTAGGATCACAGGCACTGCATGCAGTCTACCTGGATTTGTAAATCTCAGTTCTGCCATTTAAGAGCAAATTACATATTTATTTGTAAGTTATCTGAGACATCTCTCAAATGGGAATAATAATAGTACCTGTACCAAAGAGTTGGTATGAGGATTAAATGAGTTAATTATGCAAAATGCTCAGATCAGTGCCTGCCATGTGGTTAGAGCTTAATGTATGTTAGTTACCATTCTTAGCTATTACTGCATGGACTGAGAATAGTGAAGAGATGGTTTCCAAAGGAAATTCAGGGGGCTGTTACCAGAAGACGGTACGAATGAATGCTCGAAAGGCAAGAACAACAAATGTCCACTACACTTCATCCCCAAGTTCTAACAACCAACTACTGGAGGTGGGCAGCCAATAAGCTCTTGCATGAAGCCAGCTGGGATTCACAGCTGCCTGTTGGTGTCAATCTTATCCCCCAAGGTGAAGTTCCAAAGCACAGTCATGACCACCTGATCAACACCCCAGGAGGGCTGAATGTCTCTCTGGCAATCAGCCCTCATTTTTCTAGGCTTCACCTTTGTGGCAGTCTTAGAAAATCCATGGCTTGGCCAGCCTGAGTGCACATTAAACCATTTCAAAATGTTGGAAGAGGAAGTCTGCATGCTTAATGTGTAATTTAGCTGAAAGAACTGGAACAACTTTCATTTTGGTATGTTCCTCATTTTGCAAATGAACGTTATTTTCATAATGGACCATAATGGCTTGCTCAGAGTTATTCTGGTCTGTCATATTAATGTGGATTACAGTGCTTTAATAAGAGTTGACTTTTGAGTCTTTGGTCTGTGCATCCCATATACCAAATCATCAGTCATTATTCTTGTGAACTGATATCTATTTCTTATTTCATTACGTCCATGGGATGAGAAAGAACATGAATAATACATCAACAAGCCCCAAGCACGTCAATGGGTTGAAGTGACAAAGGACTGTTTTTTTTTGTTGTTGTTGTTGTTGTTGTTGTTTTTCCATTTGTTTGTTTCTTTAGAGACAGGGTCTCACTGTGTTGCCCAGGCTGGAGTGCAGAGGAGAGATCACAGATGATTCCAGTCTTGACCTCCTGGGCTCAAGTTATCCTCCCACTTCAGCCTCTTGAGTAGTTGGGACTACAAGTATGCATCACACACCTGGCTAAGCTTTTTAAATTTTTTATAGGAATGAATCTCACTATGTTGCCCAGGCTGGTCTTGAACTCCTGGGCTCAAGGAATACTCCCATTTCAGCCTCCCAAAATGCTGGGATTACAGGCATGAGCCACTGCCCCTGGCCTAGAACTGGTTTTTAAGTCCTTCCAAAATTCCAGTTGAGGAATAATTGTGTTCATTTTGTCCAATTTTATCTGGAATCTCCATGTCTTCATCATTCTTCTTGTCCCTGGAGGTAGGCTCAAGAGATGATCCAGACTTCTAATTTTGCCTAATTCAATCTGTTTCAAGATGGGGGTGCTTATGCCATAAATTAACTGGGTGAGAAGGATATTCACAGTCAAGAATTCCTGGAGAGCACGTCTGGCAGAGAATTGGTTTTAAGCTAGGTTTCTGGAAAGAAAACTTAAGCCCTTGAAACAATTTCTTCGAGGAGTGCTGGAAAATCCACAGACTGCTCTGTGCTAAGAGTCCCACAGTATTGCTTGGAGACACCTGGGTGGTGACTGTGACAATCTACAGCTACAAGGCTTCTGTGACACACTCTTTCCTTTGCCTGGCATACAGCAAGATTCAAGGCTTCCTTTGGCTTCTCGGTGTAGCATCTCATGAGTTCTAGACTCACTGTTACAGGGTAACCATTAGCTCCTGTCTCTCCCCAGCACCCAATCTCTCCTCTCCCTCTCCACTTGGAAATGCATTCCCAAGTTCCATTCATCCCTTGCTTGTCCTGTTGCTTTCTACCTCAGCCTTACCCTCTTGTAGGGCAACCATTTATTTTATATATTCTAGGCAGACTCAATATCAAATGTTACACGGCTTTGTTATAACGTGTGTCCAGCTCTATATCGATTCTTAGTTTAGAACATACGATCCCATGATTTTCCCCTCATCAACTCCATTACTGAACAGTCCTCAAATGCTGCCCCAAGGAACAGTAGACAGCACACATTCAGCAGAGCCAGAGAGACTTGGGTTCTCACCTCAGCTGGACAAACTTGCTAGCTATGCAATTTAGGGCAGGTTATATCACCTCTCTGATTCTCAGTGTCCTCATCTGCAAAATGGTCATAATCACATATACTGCAGGGGGATTCAGATGAAAATAAATAAAGCTGGGTGTGGTGGTGTGAGCCTGTAGTCCTGGCTACTTGGGAGGCTGAGGTGGGAGAATGGTTTGAGCCCAGGAGTTCAAGTCCAGCCTGGGCAACATAGCGAGATTCCATCTCTTAAAAAATCTAATTAATTAAATGAGACCATGTCAGTAACACATTTAGTGTACTGTTTGGCACACAGCAGATTTGCAGTAAATATCTGCTGTTGTTATTTGTGAAATCATTCAGGAAGATAGGAGGTAGATTTGCTTCATTTGTGGAGGACACTGGTTCCTATTCTTCTCCTTCTTTTCTAAACTTCCTTGGAGCCTTCCCTGTCTTTTTCTTTTCCTTCCGTTTTCTTCATGCTGTAGTCTCTTCCACCTTTTTCAATCCCACCCACAACTTTGAGATGATGGAAAAGGATAGAGTTGTTTATTTTGAGAGTAAATTCAACATTGACCCTCAGAAAAAAAGACCCCTGCAATACGCTCTATTACCACATAAGTGTCACATTTAAACAAAGCCTTTTGGCCTGAACTGAAAATTACTGTCCCACTGGGAAGTATAAACTGGAGGGGCTGCCTGCATGAAGGAGGGATGCCTAGCAGCTGGCAGGGCTATGTCTGCAGGAAGGAGGAGCCGAGCTCTTTGCTTTATGCATTGATTTCATTTGGAAAATTGTGTTCCCCATTTTCCCTCCAAAGACAGGGAAAACAAGAGCAATCTGTTAAAATGTTGGAAAGGAGGAAAGCAACAACTACCATATAATAAAATCAGTGAAACCCGCCCCCCACCTCCCCCTTCAACTAGCAGCGGGAGAATTCTGTTAGGACTGCAGAAAAGGTCCAATGATACAGTCTAAAAATGGCATGTTGATAGGACTTTGCACAAAATATCAAACAAACAAAAAATGGCGGAGCAGAGGAACTTCCTTTGGCCTGGATAATAATAATGTTAATATTGATAAAAGCAGACATTTACTGAGTACTTTTCATGTACCAGGCATGAAACTAGGTGGTGACTTCACATATATAAACTCATTTACTCTTCGCAGCCACCTTGTGAGAGATGTGCTATTTTTATCCTCATTTTCGCAAATGAGGAAACTGAGGCAAGGTTCAGTAACTTATCCAAAGTCACACAGTTGATGATTTGAGCCCCAGCATTCTGGTTCTAGAACCCGTTCCCTTCACCCCCTTCTTATGCTGCCTCATTTGGTGGGAGATGGAAGTGAGTTTGCACACACTATATGTGCATACCTCCACACACCTAGCCAAGGACACTGAACAAACATCTCTAAAACTGCATGGATCTTTCTCATGGACCTGACACTATGCTGTCTTGGATAAAGTACAGTCATTTGCATGCACATCTTGTCGTCCCCTTAGAGATTGCAGAAACCTTGAGGATCTTTCCATTTCAGTGTTCTCTACAGGTCTGAATACTGCACCTGGCATAGAGCAGGGGCTCAATAAATAAATGCTTGTTGAGTTGAGAACAGGTAAGTGTTAGACAAGGCAATGCTGACTCTAAGTGTGAACTAGACATTTCAGAGAAGATTTAGATCCGTGCGGGACAGAGAAGCTGAAGAAAGTTATGGGGAAGAAATGGACCTTTAACATTTAGATAGATAGATGGCTCAAAAAAAGATGCTCAGGGTGGGGAAGGCACATGGGAAAAAAAGATGTTCAGGGTGGGGAAGGCACATGGGAAAAGGACAGATACAGGAGAGAGAATGGCATGGCAGGAGCTAATAGGGAGATCTGGTCAACCAGAGTGAGCACTTGAACCTGGTGCAGCTGGTGGTCACCTGGGCTGGCAGAGAGGTTCTTGAGCTAGGACAGTGCCTTGGGGAAGGCAATGCTTTCAGGATCCCAGGGAGCCAGTATGGCCCAGTGGTTAAGTGCATGAAGCCCTTGTCCAGGGCTCTTGGGTGTGAGGGACGTTACAGGAAGATATGTATATGTTTAAAAAATAAACCAATCTCTGCTTTATTTTTTTAAACATTAATATTTTCCTGGCACTGCTGGTTAGAATTACTTGTCTGAGTGTCTTCAACTCAGCCATTTTCCAGTTGTGGGATCTTGAGCGAATCACAAGCCATACATCCCTTTGAGGGTGTTGAGAGGATTAAATGAGATGATGTGTGGGCAGTGTCTAGCGCTGTCCCATAGTAAACAGTGCTGCCCTTATCTGTCTAAAGCCGTGAGGTCGAGGATGGTGTTGTGTGGGGGGTAAGTCTGAAGCCAACAGCAATTACAAGAAGAAGAGGAAGAAGAAGAAGGAAGAGGAGGAGGAGGAGGAGAAGAACAAGAAGAAGGAGGAGGAGGAGAAGGAGAAGGAGAAGAATCGTTAAGTAGCAGCTTTATACCCAGGCTTCTTGTTACATAATGGGGAGGTGAGTGGTTACCCTACAATTTTATAGGAGTTAATGAACTATTTGGGCTTACATGCACTCTGTCTGGCTTCCAGGCCAATGGGCTTTCTCCCACCATATCTTGCCAATGTGGTTCAGGATATGATGGGAGAGGGAATTTTACTGGTGGAAATATCCCTAGGCTACTAGTTGGAGGACATCAGGTAAGTGCCCTAACTTTAAGGAGGCCTCTTTTAATTCCTTCTGCCTTTTGAGAAACACACCAGCCTCCACCATCCTACCTCCTAAAGATTCTGCCAAAGGCACCTGTCCTCTTCTTTCTAAAGAATCACCATCTTCTGTGTTTCCCCAGTAAATGAGAAGCTTTGTGTGAAGCTTAACTTTCTGTAGTTTGTTTTACATTTCATTCCCGTTTTCAAACAAATTTGTAACATTGGGTTTTAAAATTTCTAGTACTAGAAGGTAAACGCCATGAAGGCAGGGCCTTTGTCCAGCTTGTTGACTGTTTTATCCTCTTCACTTAGAACAACACTTGGCACAGGGTGGAAGCACTATAAACACTTGTTGAATGAATGAACATCCGTTTTCAAACAACACATTATCCTTGGGGATTCTGTGTATCCCTGGCACATATCCGGAAGATGATAGCTAGTATTATTAGTATAGCAATACACTTGCTCATTTTCCCAGCCCCTACTCCACAGCTAGACTGTTCATTCTGTATGGTCAGTGTCCTGGGGTCTTTGGAATCTTTTATATCTTATTACTGAATTTTGTAAGGGGCACTGCACCAGCTAAGTGCTCAGTCAATGCTGAGAGATTGATTTGTTGGTGTTGTGTAAGTGCATGTGTATGTGTGCAGGTGTGTGTGTGTGCAGGTGTGTGTGAGTGTGCACACAGGTGGATATGGGTGTGGTTTCCATACCAGTCTGCCTTCCATGGGCTTGGAGGACATTTGCTAAAGTTAGTCAGAATGGCTGGGACCCAGGACTCTTGGGTTCTCTTCCTATGATTCATGGGCATTCTGGGGAAGTCTGTGAAGCCCTTAAACTGCAGTGAAAGCTGGTATTTAAAAAAAGAGGATGACTTAGTTCCTCGTTCCCTTTTGTACATTTTTCCACTAGCATACAGGCTCCTCCAGGAAATTTTGGATCTTTTGCCATCCTTAGAACAAGTCATTTCATTATTAGTATTTATTTTTGCTTTTTTTTTTTTTTTGCATTAGCTGTCTACTAATTAGGCATTTGCTTATAACGTTTCATTCATTGTTTAACACTCACTTACTCTGCCCCTACTGTGTGCCAGACACTGGCTGACACTACAGAAATGAGACACATCGCTGCCCCTGAAGGGCTCCTGAGGTGGGGTGACTGACAAGGGCCTGGGAGCAGGGACCCAGTAGAGAGGTTGGGAGGGTGGGGCAGGTTGAGGGTCAGGGTTCAGGGACGATTTCCAGAGGCGGGAGAACTCTCTGAATGAGAGCTCACGAGGTGCCAGGAATCATGCTAAGCACGTTACAGACATTATCTCATTCACTCCTCACCACTCTATGAGGTAAGTGCTATTATCCCTGTTTTCATGTCACTTTGGATGAATTACTTCACCTCTGTAAGTCTTAGTTTCCTCATCTGTAAAATGGGTTTCATAAAACCTCAGAGAGTTATGGTTTAAAATGTACACAAGGCATTTAACAACATGTTAAGCTGGAGTTACTAGATGGCTCATAAATGTTACCTACTGTTATTATGATGAGGGCATGGGGCCTGCAGAAGGTGAGTGGCTTCCCCAAGTTCCCCTAGAGAGTGAGGGTCAGAAGCCAGGTTTAGATTCTGTGCTCTTGGGTGCAGGCCACACCGCCTTGTATGTCTGCTTGGAAGTTTAGGAAGGGTTTGGAGAGTTTGTCCTGGATGGAAAGGTGTATTACTGAAAGATTTTCAGGAGGGAGTGGCCGTCCCACATCTAATCTACTCTACTCCATGATCCCATTCATAGAAGATGTGTTAGTTATCTGGTTAGCCTCTAACATGGACATGGCACCTCTTCCCTTGACTTCTAAACACTATAGCCCTTGAGCTAACGTTTCCTCTTTCTTTTGCATTGTCCAGGAATTATCTACAGTGGAAACAATGAAGCCAATAGAAGACTAGGGATTCTCGCCATGGAGTTTCTGGGTGGCAAATAACAAAAAGAAGTCATTTTTATGGGGGTGGAGGGTGGGTGGAGAGTAAAAAAATAAAATAGAAATAAAAGCAATCTGTTTCTGGCACTGGATTTGCTCATTGAAGTCATTTTTTATCCTCCGTACAGAGTCACTACCGAGTTCTTCTTGGAGCCACCTCCCAGGGCAGTTGTAAGGAGCCCTGATAAAGATTTATGTGGTTTGTTTTCTTTCCCCAAACTTTTGAAGATCAACAGAGGAGGTAATGTTTATGGTTGGTTGGTTAACCCTATGGCTCTCTGGGGTCTCCTTCTGCGACCCCTGGGCTGTTTCTCAAGGCAGGAGGCAGCAGGCCTTGGCTGCCGTATCTGGGGAACTGGCTGTTTAAAGGCCAGGGTTGGAGAGAGTTTCAGGCCCAATAGTTCCGGAGGCTTTGCTCACCACAACGGCGTCATCCCAGCCGAACGCCCCCACCATCTTCGGAATAGAACCAATTTATCTCACAGGGGAGTGAAGGCTTGAAAATCAGCGTCAAGAGGAAAAAAGAGGTTGGGGGTGATGCTTACAAGGTTGGGTTAGTGAGACACGAATAGATTTGGCTCTGAACTTGTTAATCCTGCTCAGGTGAAAGCAGAATTGTCCAGGGCTGTTGGGTGTGAGGGACGTTATAGGAAGATATGTACATGTTTAAAAAATAAACAAATCTCTGCTTTATTTTTTTAAACATTAATATTTTCCTGGCACTGCTGGTTAGAATTACTTGTCTGGGTGTCCTGAACTTCGTTTCTGAGACCCAGCTGAAAACCCTGGACAGCTGGAGGGAAGCAGACACCTTGGAGAACCGAAATAATTTGGTATGCCTTTCAGACCTTATTAAAAAACGAATCCATTTGGTTTTTTTTTCACATGTTCCTCTACATCCTAGGATAGCTACTGAGAGAACATTGGAAAAACATGTCTTTTTGGAGTTTCATTGGCCTACAGTTCAGGAAAACATAGTTCTTTGCTTCATGCAGGAAACTCTGATCTTAAAGATCCAAATCTTCCATTGCTGTTCAGGAACTCAGGAGCTAGCAGTGGGAGTCTTTAGATTACTCTCCTAACAGTCATAGGGGTTCCTTTGGGAACTTACACTCAGAAGAAATGTTAGTTTACCTATTTATTGATTCATTTATTGCTATTCTTTCAGTCAACAAACTGTCCACGAGGTACTCAGTAAATTTTCAAGTCATATCTAAGATTTCAGCTGGCCCACAGCAGTCCTATTAAGGGTAATGGTAGTAATTCTAACATATTATGGCCAAGGAAACTGAGGCAAGGTGAGGTTGAATAACTGGGTTGCACAGTATTTATGACTCTTTTCACTGCTCCAGGCTGCTTTTCCCAGAACCTATGGTAGAACAGTTCTAAACTTGGGAGCCAGAAAGACCTGAGCTCAAATTCCGTGCCTTCTATTTACTTCAGGTGAGGCCCTGGGCAAGTTGCTTAATTTATTCAAGCCTCAATCCATGCATCTGTAGAATGGGGATCAAAGCAACAATAGCAACTTTGCCAGGGTGGTGGTGAGAATCAAACCAGATGAGGTGTTCAGAGTCCTGTACAGATAGGTTCTCCATTGGAGTATGAATATTGTCATTATTAGGTTGAAGCTGTTATCTTTTGCTCTCCTCCTACAGTCCCAGAGGAGTGCTGCAAGTTGACAGAAAGCTTAACTGGCCTTTCTAAGGGGTAGATCCAATCTCGGGTGCTGTGCTGTCTGTGTTGGGCAGTGGTGGTCTTGAGAACTGTCAGCTTTGGTTTCTCCACCAGGAGGTAGAAATACTTAACATAACACAGTGACCTAATCAGGGGCATACCAGATGCTATCATCCATAAACAGCCATTTATTCAAGTCAAGCAGGCCCCACATGCCACAGGTAAGCTGGGAAAGAGAGATTGAATTGTTCAGTCCTGCAGGAGTGGAGGTCAAATAGAAAAGCAACACAACCCTTACTCATAACTTCCAATTGCTGCAATTTTTTTAAAGCAGGTTAAACAGGCTTTCCACTGGAAAGGTGTGGAAAAGACCCAAGGCGGGACAATGACAAAATTTTATTTTTTAAACAATCATCTTCCTCCTGGCTTTCTGCAAATTCTCTCATCTCAAACCATTCTGCCCCATCCCACATTTTAGCATTTGTCACTGCTCCTGTTTCCCACTCCTGAAGAAACATGGAAGGCACAAGTTAGCCTGATTCAACTCCAAAAAGGCACAGTCTTCCCAAATGAGCAAAAATATTGCCACCTAAAACTATACACAAAATGTTTATGAAACGAGAAGGGGGAGATTCAGAAGTTATAGGAGCCGGCAAAAAGTAAATAGTGCCCAATGTATGTGAGAGCACCTCTGATTGTTTCCTTTGCAATTGCCACTTAAAATGTGTAGACATGTTCTTGCTTCCTCCCTGGAAGGCCCCACCCTCCCCACCCCCAGTCCCAGCTGCACATGCACACAAGAACCCACATATATATGCATGCTCGCTCTGACTGAGGAATCCGGCAAAACACGGGGCTGTTCTTTATAGACCAGGGAGCTTGTTGTTTTAGTCTGTTGTTTTCATTTCTGTGCACCTGCACCCCTTGCCTAAGACCCCCACCACATTGCCTCTGCCTTGGCCAACAACACGGGGATGTGTGTTTCTGAATAAGTCACACATTATGCAATTTGGTTTCCTCAGGAATTTGGTAGAAAAACTCTGGATCCCGGTGAATTGGGCTTAATTGCATCCTTCAGGTCCTGGGCATGTTTCACCTGCCTTGGGTTTACTCTTTGGGATTCCCCAGTCCCCATCAGTTCCCTCCATCCCTCCCTCCCCCCAGGAGCTGCATGCATGATGAGGCTGAGGTCTTTACCTTTAGCAAGGCAATGAGCTGGGTATGTGGGTGGTAAGGACAGCCTGGGCTGCCCGGCATTCTGGTGGCCAAAGGGTGGGTGGAGGGTGGGCCCCAGACTCCAGGTTGATGAAGAGTTATTTCCATGTATTTGACATCCAGTCACCATGGGATCCTGTTTGCAAATGATAAGTAACCCAGTCAATATGGTACAAATTATCAATAGCAGCAGGGGGAATGCTGACTGCTGCAGCTTGGGCTTTGAAGAGATTACTGTGCTCTTGGTGCAATCCAGGGCCAATAAGGTCTTAAATCCAATTTCAACTTGGTAGGTCTCTAAATCATGGTGGAGGTGCCATTGCAAAAACAAAGCAATGGCTCCTCCATGGTGGGAGCAAGCCAGTCAGGCCCCAAATAAGATCCAGAGGAAAATCATGCCAGGGTTGCTTTGCATTGCTATGAAGGTGACCTTACTTTCTTAACCAGAGAGAAGATTGAAGGTTAGGAAATCAATGGTGGCTGGTTGGAATATGAAGAATGAGATGAAAAATAAAGAATTTGGGTTCTAAGCTCATGCTCATGCACCCAGTGTAGATATCACCTTCACAGTATCCTGAGAATTGGTGGTCCTGCTTCTGGTTGAACATAGGGATCTCACTGCTTCAGCTGTGAGTGGTACCATTCCACTCTTAGACAAAAGTTTTCATTTGCAATTATTTTTTCTGTTAAGGTTAAATTGGTTTCCTTCTCAGATGAATCTTTTGGTCACTGTATTGCTTATCTATCGCTGAATAACAAATTAACCTACAAATTTAGCAGCTTAAAAACAACAAACATTTATTATCTCACACAGTTTCTGTGGTTCAGGAATTCAGGAGCAGCTTAGCTGGTCGGTTTTGGATAAGAATAGCTCATGATGTTGAAGTCAACCTGTTGGTTAAGACTGTTGTCAAACAAGGCTTGACTGGAAGCTGGACAATTGCTTCCAAAATGGTTTGCTCATATGGCTGTTGGCAGGAGACCTCAGTTCCTTACCAGGTGAGCCTCTCCATAGGGCTGCTTGAGTATCCCTAGGACATGGCAGCTGGCTTCCCCCAGAGAAAGAGCATGGAGGAATCCACGATGCCTTCTATGACCTAGTCTTGGAAGTCACACATAATCATTTCTGCCACATTTTTAGTCAATAGAAGCGTGTCACTAAGTCTAACCCGCATTCAAGGGAAGGGGAATTAGGCTCCATCTTTTGAAGGGTATCACAGAATTTCTAAACATGTTTTTAAACTATCACGGTCAATTCTCCTAAATGATGCTACATAAAGTAAATCTACTTAACAATTGTCACAGTAATCCTTCAGATATTTCACTGCAGTTATCATACCTTAACACCTCTGGCTAGACAGCTTCAATTTCTTTGACTATTCTGTGCCTGACTTGGTATATATCTATTATCCTTGTATAGTGTGACAATGAAGATAAAACATGGTATCCCGGATTGAACATAAGACTCAAACTATGAATAAAGAGTACTATGTAACTCTTAGAGCTCATTAACACATTCTAAGCACAGTGCCAGGCATGTAATAGGTATTCAGTTAATGTTTGCTATTGAAAGAATGAACAAAAGAATGACTATATGAATGGATCTATTTCTGTTAAAATATCTAGAGATTGCACTAGTGGACTTTTTTAAAAAGCAGCTTTTTATACTGTGATTAATTCGAGCTTGTTAACTAAAACACCTGAATTAATTCTTTTTATCCCCCCAATCCTTTGCCCAGCTAAAATTCTCTCATCTTGTTCTTAGATTAACCAAATACAGAAATTATCTTTAATCTCTATTAAATGAAATCTGCTGGTCAAGACCATTTTGAATAATAGTCTATCATCTAGCATAAGCTATCTCTCAGATTTATATGGTCTAAAAGTGTAATCTAGGAGTTGTCCATACAAGTCATTGATCAAATATTGCTTCATCAGGCAACCAATTTATTTCTTCTGTGCAGGTCTGCTCTGCCACCAGGGCTCCTGATTTCCTGCCCCTCTCTGTCACTGGGCTCTGTATGCAATCAGCACTCCAAAAATGACAAACCACCCATAACTAACTTGTTCTAACTGCACTTAAATCCAAGCCATCCTCAACAGATGTGACTCGCTCCCTCAGTAAAGTCCTTTGGAGAGGGAGATTCCACTGCCTCCCACAGTTATCCATTTCCAGAGTCCAACATCTGGAGGTTAGGGAGAAAAGAGTAGGGAAAATGATGTATTGGTAGAATAATTGGGGTGGAGAGGATTTATTCTTGGCCTTTTTAGCAGGAACCAAAGTCTTTTTGGGGGTGAGTGTGTGGAGGGAAAAGTGGGAGTGGGAGGATAGTTCACAACCAAAATCTTAACATCCAGCAGAAGTGGCCATTTTAGAAACCAATATAGAGAGTAAAGAGGGGATGAGTCTCACACAGATGTCAGTGTCTGGGGCCAATTAAGAGAGTTCATTTGGATGAACCCAAAGATGTAAGGGAGGAATCTGAGTTTTCTTTGTTCAAATTAGACATGGCAAAATTCTGGGCTTAGTTTATTTTCTTTTTGACTTACTTTATTATTGTTTTAAATTACAGAAATAATATATGCTTTTAAAAATAAAAAGTCAAATAATTCAGAATCATATAAAAATGTTACTAATTTCTCCCTTCCTTTTCCTAGCTCAAACTCTGAAGTTAACAACTTATATTTCTTTTCATATTTATTTCTGTGTATGTTTATATATATACACACACATACACACACACACACACACACACATATATATATATATATATATATAAACATACATATGCATATAATAGAACTTAAAACAATGCTTATAGCAGGCTGGATTACAAAAATACATTTTATTCTCCCACTTTCCTTCCTTACCTTCTTCCAACCCATCATAGAGATCTTTCTATGTCAATGTAAATGGCTTTTACCCGTTCTTCATAACAATACTAAAGATGCAGCAGAATTTGTCCAATTGTTTCGCTATTTGTGGGCACTCAGGTTGTCTCCAGGTAGTTGTGTCACGCCCAGCAACTTTGCAATAAGCATGTTGTACAAATTTCTTTATCTACTACTGATTTTCTCTCTATTGGATACATTTCCTAATGTATTGGTTTTACCTGGTAGCAAGTTTTACATTCTTTTATGCTAGTCAATGGTGTGATAAACAACGTACTGTCTTCTCTCTCTTCTCTTTTTTGTTTTTTTTTGAGATGGAGTCTCATTCTGTCACCCAGGCTGGAGTGCAGTGGTGGGATCTCGGCTCACTGCAAGCTCCACCTCCTGGGTTCACGCCATTCTCCTGCCTCAGCCTCCCAAGTAGCTGGGACTACAGGTGCCCACCAACACGCAAGGCTAATTTTTTGTATGTTTAGTAGAGACAGAGTTTCACCATGTTAGCCAGGATGGTCTTGATCTCCTGACCTCGTGATCCGCCTGCCTTGGCCTCCCAAAGTGCTGGGATTACAGGCATAAGCTACCGCGCCCGCCCTCTCCCTCCTCTTTTAATTTGCTAAGTCATTATTTTATTTTGTTATGCAGCATTTTCTTTTTCTATTATTATTATTATTATTATACTTTAAGTTCTAGGGTACATGTGCACAACGCGCAGGTTTGTTACATATGTATACATGTGCTATATTGGTGTGCTGCACCCATTAACTCGTCATTTACATTAGGTATCTCTCCTAATGCTATCCCTCCCTTCTCCACCACCCCACAACAGGCCCCAGTGTGTGATGTTCCCCTTCCTATGTCCAAGTGTTCTCATTGTTCAATTCCCACCTATGAGTGAGAACATGCGATGTTTGGTTTTTTGTCCTTGTGATAGTTTGCTGAGAATGATGGTTTCCAGCTTCATCCATGTCCCTACAAAGGACACGAACTCATCATTTTTTATGGCTGCATAGTATTACATGGTGTATATGCAGCGTTTTACTTTTCAAAGTGACTATTTGTCTGAAGTAAAATCCAGGAAAATGCATCTGTTCACTGTTTGGGTCGGGGAGTGAGGTGGGTTAGTTTATTTGGATGCAGTTTTGAGATTGGTCTATATGTGTTGGTGAGTGTGTGTATATGTGTGTGTTTGTGTGTGTTTTAAATGACTCAGCTGAAATGCAAGGACTAACCATATCTAAATATCACTCCATGTTAAATAAAATAAACGGGTTTTAATATTGAGGCATGGTATAGGATTTAAAGTCAGAAGACCTGCATCTGAATTTTCTGTTTTTTTTTATTCCTACTGGCTATATTCTCTTAGAGTTGGTATCTTCATTAAAAAAAATGGGCACAATGACACTGCCCACCTTATACGTAGTGAGAATGAAGAGCAAGATTACATTGTAAACCATACGGCCTTTCCCATGTGTTTTAAATTTACTTAATGCTAGCAAAACACTCCAGAGGAAGGTGCTATTCTTTTTAAACAAGCCAGCCAGCAAGCAAACAGACAAACAAAAACATAAAATTAGAAAAAGGTCACCAAGACCTTATGTTGGAGGGGTCTTCCAGAGACCCAGGAAGGCACATTCCAGAGGCATCCAGGGACCACAGAGGGGATGGCCAGGTTGAGTGGAAGGAACCAGAGGCTTAAGAGTAAGAGTGTATTTCAAAACAGTCACACACAAAATGCTGTTCAAGCATTTTCCGCATTTGAAAGTTCTTAAATCACCTGGCTGACCAGGATTACTTTCTTTTGGGGAGCTGTCTGGTTTTGGTAATGGGTCTAAAGATGATTGCTGATAGATTGAGGCTGTTTGCTGGTTTCGTGCTAAGGAATCCTTGTATACTTTTCAGGTGTTTTCTTCTTTCATTGAGGCAACCAGTTCCTTGGTGTGCCCAGGACCATTCTGGTTTTAAAACTGAAAGTCCAATGTCCTCAATGCTAGGCACATTGGACAGTTGGGCATCTTATGTCTTGATCTTCATACGTGAATAATTAAAACTGTTTAAAGAAAATATGTCATGATCATGAGAGTTGTCCTCCATCTCTCACTTCCCTAGGGACTATTCTTGATTCTTTAATTTTGCTTTTGTAGAATATTAATGTTCTGTGAGATGAAAGAAGGGGCTTTTCCATTAAAATGGAATAACAGCTATTTTTTTCCAATTAACAGAAAAAATTAAGATGACAGAATTTTCTCAATTTTAAGTCCTGTATTCATAATATCATTTACCATATTATATTATAACATATGATTATATGTTAAATAAGAATTTTATATATAGATATGGCATACTATAAAAGACTGTGGCTTTTAATGGGCTTTATGCAATAGAGTAAACTTTAGGGCCATTTTAGAAGAGATTACCTTGATGGAGTGTTAAATAGGAACTTTTTGAAAGGCTATAAAAGAAGGGGATCCTATGTCCCAGTTTTCCCAGGTAGTCCCTGGTAAGCCAGTGTCCCAGGATTCTGCCCAGGTAGCACCCATTCTCACTATCAAAAGTCTGATTGATAAATTTTATTTTCTCCCCCTTTATAAGGGACCTGGCAGGATGGAACAATCTTTCTTTCTGGCTAACATTTGCCAGTGACACACCAGGCATTGGTTTGATCACTTTCCATACATTTTGATCATTTAGCCCTTAAGACCATAAGTAGGTGCTGTCAGAGACAAAGAACCTAAGTCCCAGAAAGGTTAAGTAACCTGCCCATGTTCAAAATGCTCTTAAGGGACAGAGTCAGGAGTAGAACCCCCGTCTGGCAAACTCCAGAGCCTGTGTGTTTAGCTGATATACTGGTCAGAGATGTTGGACTTGAGACCTACCTAGCCACCTGAAACCCTCAAGAATTCCAAGATGTAACCTCAAGTGGCCAGCAGGGCTTCCTTCTGGGGAAGCCGTGTTCCTTGGTTGAGAAAATGAAGTGTTTGTACTCATCTGAGTATTTCAGATAATCCCGAGGGACGCCTTGTCCATCCCTCATGGGTAGGGCTGGCTGTTTACAGGCATGCTTTTTTTTTTTTCTTTCGCAATTAGAGTATAAGGAATCTGCTAAGACCTTGTCCCACATAGCCCTGCCAGTTGGGTGTTTCAGGGTAGATAAAATGAAGAAGTAGGAGTCCAGTGGCCTGCCCCAGGGTGAGAAGAGAAAAGGGTAAATCTGTGTGCGCCCTAGCAGCCGGCAGCTCTCCCTGTGCTGTGGCCTGTTCTGGGACTGCCAGCCGAAGGAGGCTTGGAATGGCTTAGACCTGCCTCTGTGCCTTTCGCCGTCCGGGTAAAAACATCACCTCTCTGGAGGCCTGTGCTGGAGCACAAACCCACGTATTGTCTGGCCCCTGGCAGGCTGGTCTGTGGAGGGGACACTCTAAGAGCTCTATTTTAATCTTTTGGAGCTGGGCCAGGGTAGGAATTCAGCTGCCAGCCCCAGGCTCCCCACCCCCCTGCTCTCACCCTGCCCCCCACCCCCTTCTCCTGGTTTCATTCGCTCTGACCTCCCATCATGAGAGGTGCTGGTGTTCTTTCTTTCTCCCTTTCTCTTTTTTCAACTACCAGGGCTCTTTCATTGATTTGACCTCCCAAAGTGAGGCAGACCAGGGCTCCTCAGTGGGCTACTCGGGGCTCAGGGCTGGCATGAGGCCAACCCTTGAATCCTGAGATTTACCTCCAGATGTGTGTGCCTCTGTGCTTGTATGGACGTGCGTACTTGTGTTGTGTGTGAGTGAGAGATCTGCGTGTGTTTGTGCGTTTACGTGTGTTTTTTGTATCTCTATGACTTTTCTCTCCATGTGAAGAAAATGTATGGATGGAAAAGTTGAGGAGAGGAGCAATTAGAGGCAAAGAAAAAGGGTGGCCTAAGTCCATAAACCTCCTCTTCTCCCTCTGCCAACAGTGCTTTCCCTGCCAGGAGTCAGATAATTTCAGCTGTCCCTCAACGGGGTCTTCTTATCCCCAAGTTTCTTGGGTCTGCTTTTCTGCGTAGGCCTGAATCCTGCAGAGAGACCACGTAGTAGAATGGGCATTGGACTCCTATATTAAACTTGAATTCCAGGCTTGGCTCTGCCAGTTGCTGGTTGTGTGATGCTGGGCATGCAGTTTTGCTTCCTTTGAGCCTCAGTTTCTCAGTCTGTAAAATGTGGATGATAATGCTGTTGCTTTTCACAAAAAGTATAAGGTAGAAGATTAAATGGTACTCAAAAGATGACCCATAAATGTTAGCTCCTTTTCTGCTTGCCTATTTCTCCCAGGATCAAGTCCTAAGGCAGCAGTTGGGCCTGGCTCCTGGTCCCCGTGAGGAAGCCCTCAGCTGGTAAGGAGGGGCTATGTTCTTCCTAAAAGGGTGGAAGGGGGAAGAGGGTGTGGTCTTTCTCCCCCACTGGGAATCTCCCATCTTCCCTCACCCCCATCCTTCTGGCCTCTGCCAATGATGTGCATTTTCCCCTCTGCACCGGCCTCCCAAACTGACTCATTACCTCGACAGGGTAGCAACTTCCAAAACAAAACTCTTTCAACCAAGGAAAATATAACTATGGAGAGGAAAACATTTCAATATCAGGCCTCCTGGGACCCAGGGAAATGTACTGAATGTTTGTCAGAGAATGATGATGTCCTGACTTCACAGACTCTGCTGAGGGCAGAGGGAGAACAATGCCTGACACTTGGATCTAGCCAAGCCAAAATGGCCCAAGCAAAGTCCAAGCTGGTGCTCAAGTTGGCCCAAACTTGGAAGAGTCAGATGTGTGTCCAACACTGAGCTGCTAAACAGACCCACTGTGGGCTGATAAACATCCTTCATAAAGTGGGGCCCGGTGCCTTGTTCTATACCAGGCTCTCATCTTCCCCTTGACCCCAAAGGAGATGCCCAATTCAGGCTTGCTGTCTGGCAAAGGGCCAGCTTGCTTCATGCCTGGGTTCTGGGAAGTGGCTAATAGAGCACATTCCACACTTAATAATAGTGCCCCCTGGAGTTGTGCAATGCCTTGACCCTTTCTGGGACACTCCAGGGAAGTGATCTTACAGCAGCGATCAGGCAAAATCTAAGAGAACAGCTGGTGGGCGGTGCTGGTGTCAGATTAGATGCTGGGGAAGGTCCAAGGGATATTCCAGACCATAACCACTGTGATCCCAGTGACTTGGACAGCAAGGAGAGGGGAACTGAAATAGGTGAAATTGTTTTCTGAGAGAGACGGGGGTCAGGTGAGGCAGAAGCCTGATCTAAATCTTTCTGCGATGAAAGATTTCTTGCAGGGCAGGGGAATACTGGGGACACTGAGCATGGACTTCCCACAGTTTCTTTCTCTATAATAGATTCAATGTCATCTACGTAGCTCCCACAACCTATGCACCCCCAAAAAACAACAATAACACAAAACGCATCCCGAAAATAGAAACATTCTGAGAATCCCTGCTTATCTCTGATAGGTAATCAATGTGAGTGTAAATTCATGGAATTTCAAAGCTGAAATAGAGCTTACACATTTTATAAACGCCTTTATCTGTAAGTTCAGAGAGGAAAAACACACAACTCTTTCCCATGAGGCCCAGGTTCTAGCTCAGAGTCAGGCCCTCTGTGACTGCAAGAAAAAGTGTCTTGATTGCAGTCACAGAGTGCCTGACTTTGCCTTGGGGGAAAGGGTTTGTGTGCTTTGTTGTCTTGTTTGGCTTCATTTGCCATCGTTATCTGTGTCTGTGTAAATGTCGCTCGCATGTCTGGCTGTTCAGGGTGTCTTCCACAGAGACAGCTTCCAGTGGCCTTTTTAATTTTTTTTTTTTTTTTTTTTTCTCAAAGGACCTAACTCAATGGCACGTGGCACTCTGGAAAGTGAGGAGTCCTGGGCCCTAGTTTTCACTCTACTGAGCCTCACTCTTTTTATTTGTAAAGCAGAGATATACGTTCTTGTCCTGATAATCTCACAGGGCTATTTGTTAGGCTCAGAAAGGATGGTGCTTGTGAAAAGTGTTTTCTAAACATATAGAAAATTGCAGTTATTAAAGCTGGATGAGGAAAATGGTGTGTGCAAAAGCAGCCATACTGGGCACGAGGACGAGACTTTTGCAGGTTTTCTGGGTATTCAGTGGGTGTGGCTGAGCTGAGTGATCTGCATGTCAATTCAGTGGTACCCAATCACTGGGCAAGATATCATGACACTCTGAAAACTGCTGGCCATCTGGAGGTGCATCTTGCACCACAAGAAAGGGCAGGTTTCTCCTCAGACCCTTGGCTTCCATCAGGTGGGCCAGCTCCAGATTGGACGGTACATTCCCACCCAATCAAGGTTCTCTGGAGGTGATGTGTGGGGTAAGTGGTGCAAGTTTTCAGGAAATCATAGAGAAATACTTTCAAGGTACCCTGAGGGGACAAATTGAGCTTCATCTGAGCCACTTTAGAGAGTTGCAGGCTGGTAGGCATGTGAAAAAGTCTTAATGTCCATTCTTTATGGAGAAATTAAGCAAGGTATGGGATTTAACCTGATTTTAAGTGCGCGCTCTACAATTTCTGGTGGTCATCGGTTTATTACCCATTTAACAGATATTTATGTCAGGTGCTATAAAATGTGCTGGGGTGGGGTGACGGGTAACAAAGCAGCCAGTTGTTTTTCTCTTAGAGCATCGGATCTAGTCTAGTATGGAACTGGTACCTGAATTCCTGTAGTCAGTATCTAACACTAGTATTTTCTTTGGCAAAATATCTTAATGCAACGTTTGACAGGACAGGCCACTAGAAGGAGCATCATGTAAAGACGGGAATGCCACATGCTACCTGAAGAGGAAATGCATTTGCATAGTCAAAAAATCATTGCAAAGATCTAACTTGCTTGATATTATGATAATATCAGGTAAGATAATTTTCTTATGAATGTTTTTCTCCTGTCTAGGAGTCACTTTAAATTGATAAGAAACTGTTGGTTTAAACTTGCTTACTTCCCTAAAATGATTTGTTTTTATTATAGAGAAGAAGGAGTGATTTCTTGTTGGCAAACGGAAATACTGCATATTGCTTGGCATAACTTATCGAAAGGGTTAGGCATTCACTGAAGGCATACTTCTTACTTAGCAGGTTACATTTGAAAAGGCTCCTCTTACTCTTTACCTCATTCTGTCCCTACTCCAATACCACCCCAAGAGTGCTCATAGAAGACAGGGGATACTAGAGAAGAATGTCATCTGTTTGGTTTGAAAAAGAAGGTAAACTTTTATTTAGAGAAAGAATTAGGAAAATAAAGTAATGGTTTGCTTAGAAAGATGACAATTTACAGAGGGAAAACAGCATATTTGGCCAGGACAACAAAACAGCCCTCTGAGACTGTCAAGAAAGCCGACCACAAACATGCCAATAAAGAGTTGAATTCGTCTGTGTGTAAAAGAATTCTGTAAAACAGCATAAGACAAATGTGGTCCAAAGCAGCACATTTCCCACCCTTGGGAATTCAGGGGAAACTTTGTACAGGTTCCTAGGGTGGAAGCAATCTCTTTGTAGTGTTCTCAAACACAGAAGAAATCTCAGATCTCAGCCAGCGGGAGTGGGGGTAGAAGGAGCTTCATGGGTGTGGAAACAGAAGGGATGGAGAAATTGAGATGGGATAGCGCATGCAGCAATGCACCAAAGACATTTAAACGTGCATGCAGTGGAGGAAGACGCGAGATTATCATGGCCAAGCTCCTGGGTGCAACTTGGTGAGAGTATTTGCTGTGGCAACCTGCTGCTGTATTTTCAATTCTTGGCAATAACCAATTATGAAAGAGAAATAACTTGAATGGTACAGATTAATCAAGAGCCAGCTGGTCAGACTTTGCTGATAATTGCCAAAGCAATGCCACAAATGATAATTCTTCCAAAGTTTCAGTGAGGAGATTTTAAAAGCTCAGGATGAAAAATTTGTGTCTTTTTCATGACATGAAAAAGCATTAAGTAAGCCAAGTATTAAGAATTCTATTTGTTTATTATTGAATCAACATTTTTCCACACTTAAGACAAATGGGCTTGGAAACTGTCCCTTAAACAGCAAAAAATCTAATGAAGAATAAAAAATATTTTTTGACTTCATGCTTGACTTAGATATCAACAATATTAGGTAAGACATAAAGTATAATTAATGCTTATGAAATAAAGTCATTCCCTCTGATAGCTTAGATTTCTTCTGTCGACAATTTTTCTTGAAAATACACTTAGGCAGGTAAGAAATTACCAAAAATACTTGCCATTAGAAAAATTAACTTAATTCTCATTTATCCCTGACCTCTTATAAATTGGTAGGTTGAAGAGGCATACATTTTACCAGTGCTGTTTTTGATTGAGGGTACTGGACATTTACAGTACACATTTAGATTGTTCAAATAGTTTTCAAATGTACATACAAAAAAATTATTGTTTCAAGAGTGGAAGTCACATTTAACACACCATACATGATTCATCTGCATGTTTACAGAGGTTTAAAGCACACAAAATTGTGCAGATAGCGTACTGAAGTCTAAACTTTAACATACACTCAGTTGCATACATAGCAATAAGACACAATAAATTCTGAACAAGTAACAACCAATAATCAGCCAGATTGCTATGTACACATTAGGAAGGAAGCAATTAAATACTGCCAAATGAGAATGTCACTTAAATTACTTTTTCTATGAAACATCTCTCTGACACCACCACACACGCACACACACACACACACACACACACTTTTTTAAAAATCACAAACATCAAACTGATGCTTGTGGTCACATACATGGATACCCCCAAACATCTGATTTTCACAAGGCAAGAGGCAATACAGCGACTCAGAGTGACTTACTATAATTTGCCACACTTGGCTTTTGAAAATCAGTCACTGGAGGGTGATTACTGTGAAAGTATATTCAGACTTTCATGGCATGGACTGCAGGAAGAGGAGCAAAGAGCCTTAACTAATAGCTTCGTAACCTTTGCCACTAAGTTAAACATTGGCTTTTGCTAAAATAAAAAAAAATCTGTAGGAGAAAGACCCTATGATAATATTTAAAACAACAACAAATCTACTTCCTTTATCACAATAGAATATTTTTCACAGCCCACCTATCCAATTGTTAAACAAAGCCAACCATCCTTTTGAATAACTGTTTTACAAAGTCATTATTAGTGGAAATAGAAGAAATAATTGAAAAAACAAATATAACTACTGTGTGCAGATGCAGTGGAAAAAGCAGAGACCCGAAATATGGCAAAATCAGTGCTTCATAAACAGTCAATGGATTTTTCTAAAAATACTTTTTGCTAATGGCAAAGTTCAACACCTCAGAAAAAGTCTGAATTAAGATCTTAGAATAAGTTTCCAAGTGGTACAACATGGTTTCAAATACACTACCCTTGTTGTTTGTAAGGCCGCATTGAAGTTTAGCTTAACAGTCATAAGCCATGTGTTTGAACATCTTATGAGAGGTGACCAGCAAAGAAAACAGTTTTTTTCCTTGCTCACCCTATTACCTATGAAGAGATACCATTGCTTTCCAAATAGCTATTTTAAAAATTTCCTTGAAGATACGACCTTGAAGAAAAAAGTCCAGGTTTGCTTCATTAAATCATCTGGAAAAATATTTAGACTTTGTAAAGTGACCATGCAACAGTTTAAATTCTCAGAGAGTGTTCCTTTGTTAATCTACAGCTACCTTCTCTAATTGGTATGTGATAGCTTAATAAGCACATATACCAAGAAATACACACTCTTTGCTGTAGCTCTGCTACATACGAAGTTGAGAGAGCTGTAGAAAAATGTCATCACCTTCCTAACATGTGTACATTTTCAGAAGCCAGTGAATTCTGTGTCTTGTTGACATAACTAGGCAACTTAAATGCGTTGCAGACATACCTTCTCTTGGAGAACTCACTTAAGCTGTTAAGTGAGTTCTCCAAGAGAAGGTAAGTACATCTTGGTTGCAGGATGAAGAACCAGAGGAGGCCAAGCAGGTATTTTCTGGGATGCCTCCTCGTCTAACAGAGTTATCTTCAAGGGAAGAGCTCCAAACTCACCAGGGCGCACATTTGTGTGGCAGGATAACAATGAACGAGGGTCCAGTCCTCTTTTCCACTTCTCTGGCATGATCTCCTGGCAAGGACACAGTAGGTGTTTGCCAGGTGGCTCCTGGACAAGGTTTCTTTAGGGGAGTACAACAAGGCTTCAGTCATTGCTTTTCATAAAGTGCTTTGGGATCCTTCAGGAAAGAGGACTGGCGAAATATTATTACTAACTTGCTTCAATTTTCAAACCAAATGAAACAATTTCTCCAGTGTAATTATTGCTTCGAGCATTAGTGAATGTTCTTTAAAGGGAATGGCTCTCATCTTTAAGTACCTACTTCTTAAAATACTCATTCCCTGGAGTGAATGTTTTTAATTACTGTCTCCCAGGCACCCTCGCCAATTAAGAGGATGTTTTAGCTTTGTTAAGTAGTTGCCAAACATATACTTCCATGACTTGCATTTTCCAGGTTGTACTCCCTCAGGAGTCTGTACAGCAAGAAGAAATCAAAGATGTAGCCCAACATGCACTATGTCTGCCTGGCTGAGGAGACAGGCTCCTGCCTCTTCTAAGAGATTGTTGAGAAGATGTATGGTGAATGTATGGCTACATTCTTAGATCAGATTGTGAGCTTCTTGTGGCCTAGGACTATGTTTCACACTTGATTCTTTGGATCTCAATGGGACTTAGAATTGAGATAGACATATGGGAGAACCTCAGTCAAGGATTTTTGAGGATTTTCACAAATGATGAAAGCTGATCAAGCATGTTAGAAAACCCTGGAAAAGAAGACCTGGGACAGTTTCCTTCAGAGGCTCTCATATTGGATTAAAAAAAGAGTGAAAGACAAAAATCCATTGTATCCAAAATTAAACAAAACAAAAACAATAAAATAAAACAAAATATCCTCAGACATTGTAAAGTCTCTGTAAGTAGAAGGTCGGCCAAATGAATAAAGGACTGTGAATTAGAGAACACAGTTGTCTCTCACAAGAATGTATTAATTTAAACTGGGCTCACAAAATATTGCAAAGTGAAGGTATGGGGAAACCTACCTGAATAATAGCTAATTATGGAAGCTACAACATACCCACTTTTATTTAAGAATGTTGCTAAGAAAATGCATTTTCAATTGATTTAACTATGCCCATTAAAATGTAACATGCATTATTCTTTTTGTGGGCATGCCTTCTTTCCTCACAGAAGATGAAAAAGTAACCTTATGTCCCCAATATAAAATAGCAGGTTTAAAATTAATGCAGTTTTGGTCCAGTATGCCAGAACTTACTGACCAAATGAGGGGTCAGAAGGGTGGGTCAGTTTCTGCCTCTCCTGTTTGTTGAATGCCTCCCACCTGATTCAGTCACAAACTTCCTCCTATGCCACCAGAATGATCAGGATCAGGAAATACCTTGGATTCTTAGTTTTTCACAATCCTAGAATCTCATCTCACAAACTCATTGAACAAAGTAATCCATTTTATAATTAGAAATAAGTAGAAACTGAGTGCAAATGACTCTGCCATTCTTGTTATTAACTAAGAGGCATAATTTGAAATGATGTTTTTCCCAAATTTGCTGTTTAATTAAGTTAACTTAGATGTGTATTACATGAAGTCTGTATTCCTTGGCAACAAGCAGCTCTGTAATATTGGAAACTTGTTAGGTAAAGGTTGAATTTGAAATCAGAAGTAGGTAGATGATCTACAAAATAGGAGATTCCCTGTAGATAACAATCAAGAGGTAACTAGGTGTGGACCAATTCCCAATGGGACGGCCTGCTATAAAGGGAATAATTCTAGTTCTGACCCTAACTCTGAGACTAAACCAGCTCCGTGACCTTGAGCATGTTACTTAACCTCTCTGGGTCTTAATTGCCCTACCTGCAAACCCACGGACTTAGATAAATTTTATGGGCCCGTCTAGTTCTAACACTCTCCATGCACATAGAATTCACTTAGACAGAAGAAAATTGCATTTTAAAATCCTCCCAGTCATGAAAAAGGAGCTGTAGTGATTCTGATCAAGATTCTTTGAGGGTTTCATTGAGTATAAAATCTCTTAAAAAAATAAAGTCTGAGCTCTGGGCTTTAGTTTTCTAATGACCATAGGCCATGGGCCAAATCTGTACCTTTGCAGCAGGGTAATTATTTATGTTTAAATCAAATGTTTTTAAAATGGAAGGGATCAGAATAACATTGTGAACAGGGGACTTTGTATGAACTCCCATGAGGAGGAATGGTAGAACTCTGTGGACAAGGATAGGGCCATAAAGAGCAATATTTAACTGAAATGCCTGTGAAGCAGAAAAGGATCATTTAGAATGTCAGTGAAGTGAATGGGTCTTGGCTCCAGGAGATGAGGAAACTTGTGCCTTTTCTGAATATGCAGTGTGATTTGTCTAATTTGGATTCCTGTGAGAAATTCAGATAGGAGGTAATGAGACCAAAGCAAGATTTCCAGATGTTTTTAGCACATCCTTGGAATTAACCACTTGTAAAGGCTTCTGAGCATATTTTCCCTGATGCCAATTGGGCCAGATGATTTTGAGGCAAATTTGACCTAAGGAGAGGTAGGTTGAAAGGGAAAGGCAGCCACCCTAGCCCTGGACAATCTGCCCCTTGATCTATGATGTAGGGTGAGTGGATAAGCCTGTGGGGTTGTGAGGAGCCCATTGCTGACTGACCGTATCTGCAGGGCACTTTCTGGTTCAATGACAATTTCATCACCAAAGAATCTGGAGCTGATCCACTATGATTTTCAGAGACACAGCCCCCATGGACTTACTTTGCTTAACTTAGAATTGTAAAGGAAATATATTTCTGCCCATGTCTCTCTCCCTCCCCTGTCTTATCTGTAATTCAGGCTTTCACTTTGCTTAGCCATCTCCTTGACCCCTGTAAAAATCTATGGATCATTTTCATGCTTGGATGGGAGCTGAGTATACAGGAAGGGCTACTTTCTGTCCTATTCTATCTTTGCAAGGTAGAGCTGAAAGAGAATTCTCCACTTTTGTTTCTGGTGGTCTCCACACAGCACTATACGAAGAAAAAAAGGCCTGTCAAGGCCTATTTAATCAGATAAGTACTGATGGATAAATTGGATAAGGTGAGCCCTGAGAATTCTGCACTTTGGAATGACCTAGTTTAGCTGACAGGGAACCAAGGTCAAGCCCACCTGACCCCGTGCCCTAGAGACACAACCTGGTGTCTTTCCCTCAAACTCTTCTTAAGGTTTGGAATGGAGGGAGAAATGATGCTAATCTTATTTTCATTTATAGAACTTCTCTTCATCAATCACAAATTCATGAAAGAGCCCTAAACTAGGGGTCAGATTACAGAACCAGCTGCAGAACAGAGGGTCTCTCTTTGGGATGGCCAGCTTCAGTCATAGGTGCCACCAACAGGGTGGCATGTTTGAGTCACTGTATGTCGTATTCCATGTTGACACAACTCCCCCATGCCCTTTCTAGGCTGAAGTGGGAATGGCACTGGCAACTCTGGCCTCCACCCACCACTCTGTTCCAAAAAAAGAGGACCTTGAACTTGTAACCTTTGTATTTATAACATTCAAAACGCTTGAAAATGAGTGGGTACACAGTGGGGCAGGATGGGGGTAAGGGTGATGTAAAACGCAGGTAGCAGCCATGGAGGGGTGGACAGCCGGGATGGGCCTCCCTAAAGCATGCTGCTGAGTATTTCTGACATGGGAGAGGCGGTGGGGCCCTCCTGACTCACATCGGGGCCAGTGGGGCTGGGCAGGGTGATGCGGCCTCCAGAGGGCGGGCTCAAGCTTGCCCATGGTTTTTCGTCCTGGGCCACCACGGCCGCTGCGTAGGGCTCCACGTAGAGGCGGCGGACGGAAGGCCTCGCGTCCTGGAGACTGCTGTTCCGCTCCTCAGGAAGGCTGGCAGCGTGGGCCAGAGTTAGGCCCCTGGGATCATCAAGGGCAGGGCCGGCCCGCTTGGCCTCCTTGGGCTCCTGGGCCAGACCACAGGCCTGGGACAGGTGCTGTGTATAAATGCCCTCAGAGAGCGATAGCGACTGGGTCTCGCTGTGGATGCGCAACCAGCGATGATGGCGGCTGAAGCCGCCATAGTGGGGGTGCTTGCCTGGCTTCCGCTTTCCCAGGAAGCCTAGCGGGGGCCGCCCACCGGACACAGTCTTGGCGTGGTTCTTGGGTGTGAACCCCGTGAGGGTCAGGCTATGGAGAAACTCGGCACATGAGTGATCGGGATTTGGGCCCTCGCCCTGGGGATCCTGGCCCGGCCCCAGAGGGGTTTTCACGTCGTGCACTTGCAGGACGTCGGGGGCGCTGCCGCTTAGGCCGCTAAGGGTCTGCTGCGCAATGTCGTGAGATGATAGGTAGACCAGGTCCAGGTCTCTGGGGCTCAGGGCATCGCTGGAGTCGTAGTCACTGTTGGTGGGGAGGAAGACTTCTGAGCAGGCTTCTTCATCAGAGCAGGGCTGTGAATCTGCGAAGCCAGAAACTGAGGTTAGGAAAAATATAGTCTTAGCTAGAGCCTGCTTCACAGGCATAGGAACAGTGCATTTGACCCCGCACTTAGAAGGGGCCTGTGCTTCGTTTAATGCCCTGCTGTCACCTCCTGAAATGCTGACACATTTTGAACTAGGGGCCCCACATTTTCATTTTGCACAGGACCCCACAAATTATGTAGTGGGCTCTGGTCTTAGCGTAAGGGAAAGGAAAGAGAGGAACTCTGACAGGTTCAGCCCAGATAGAAGTAGAGGAACCTTCCCTCATTTCCCACACACGCTTTTATTATTAGCTGGGCAGCTGTGGAGAGGATGAAACAGGCTAGAAAGCTAAATGTTATTCATTTCTTCATTCCCTATTATTTCAGAGATGATTTTTGCATTTGACAAAGTAGCAGGAATTTAAAAGGGTGAACGAAGAAGAGGAGACTCCAGTGGTGGAAGTTGGTAAACCTGGTTTCAAATCCTAGCTGCCGTCCACCTCCATATTCTGAAGGACTACCTTGCTCATTAAAAAATACAACAGTTAATCGAAGAAAAAGCCCACATTCTAACCAGGTTACAGTTAGTCTGTTGATGGTGGAAAATCAGACGTGATTATCATCGGAATATTGCAAAATTCATGGATAAAGTCTGATTTGTTAGGGAGTCAGTATCAAGGTTTCTTCTATTTTAGGGACTAGAACTAGAAGGAATGCTTTTCTTCCTTACTGTAGGAGATGATGTGCGTACTTGCTCTTAATTGGCAGGGCAAGATGTCAGTTTTGCCTTTTCACTCCTTGTTGTTACCCAGTATCCATTATCCAGTATCCATTATTGTTTGTTTAGTTACAAAATCTTAATTTTAATTGGGACACCAACGCACTTATGTAAAAGACCGCCTTTTTTCAGCTTCCCCTGCAGCTAAGCATGGCGATATAATTAAGTTCTGGCCACTGAAATGGAAATGGAAGTATGGTATGAAACTTCTGGAAAGCTACATAAAGGGACCTGGCTTAGCTGGGTCATTACATTCTTTCTCTTTCCTTCCAGTTTGCCTGTAACTAGATGTGTTGGATGAGGTCATGGAGCAACCTTGGAGATAGAAGCCACATGCTAGGATGGTGGGGCTGAAAAATAGAGCTTGTTGCCTGAAGACCATTACGTCTGCATATCAACCTTGAATTGTCTCCTTTTGAGCTTCTTTCACACAAGAGAGAAAGTATCTTGTGTTTATGACATTCTTATTTGGGTCTTTGGTAACACGAACCCAAAATTTATCCTAACCAATAGGAGTACGGTTAAATAAATTGTGGCGCATCTGTATATGGAATATTATCCAGCAGCTACAAAGGATGAGATAAATTTATATGTTCTTTAAATAATGGCTACCAATAAAAGGATTCCCTCTTCTGCCTTTTTGAGCTCCACTGATCTGTTCAAGGTTTTCCTCAAACATAACCTCCATTAGGAAGGAGCTGCCCCAGCTGTTGGGGCAGAGATATTTAATTACTCTTGGGGCAGAGATATTTAATTCATCCATTCATTCACAATGAAGATTCTATATTACTTGAGATCCTGCTCTAATAGAAGCACTGTACTTGGTGCTTGAGTGGATATAAAATTAATAAGAAATTATATCTGTCTCTAGGGAGTTTACTGTTTTAATGGATGTATAAAGAAAGTATGCATCTGTGAGACTGTGGCAGAACATAGGTTTTATAAGAGAAGTTCAGCAAATAAGTGTAGGTATATAGGAAAGAGGGATTATATTTTATCGGGACAGGATTGATGAAATACTCTATCATCATTTCATTTATTTTTCTCCCTCCATTCATTCATCTCTATGTCTGTATTAATTTATGTCTTCATCCACTTTTAAAAATGACTGGAGGTAGCTTTTAATAGTAAATATACAAACGATAAGAGGATTAGAAACAAAGAGGATAAAGAAAGAGCACAAGTAGTCCCGTTTTGATATTATATGAGTTGTATAAAATGTTAAAATTGTGGGGGGCTGGAGGAAGGGTGCATGGGATTTCCTGTACATTTCTTTGTAATCTTCAGGGTCTATAATTATTTCAAAAAACATATTTTTAAAAACAGCATTTAATTTTTAAAAAGGTAGGGTGGAACCAGAGGAGGGTACTGAATGCTTAGATAAGGAGTTTGTACCTTATTTTGTAGCCAGTGGGTAGTCATCAAAGAATTTTGAAGAATTGACAAGATGAGAGCTATGATTTAGGATAGCAACTAGGATGTAAGATGAACATGCTGAGGAAGAGATAGCAGGGAGGCCAGCTGGGAAGCTGTGGTCCAAGCTACATTTTCCCTCCAAATATTTACCTTGTTCAGGCTGTGGGGCTAAGCAAGAGCTGTGGTTGTGTGGAAGAAAATAGAAGTCCAGGAAAGTCATTCATTGAAAGATGTTTATGGAACAGTTATTTTGTGCTAGACAGACATGGTCTCTGCTTTCAAATAGCTCAAAGAGAGTGGGTTAGACAATAAGTCAGAAAACACATAAGATTAATTTTGGGTAGTATGAAGTTCTGTGAAGACAATGAAAGTGGATTTTAATGAAAGAGTGACTTAGGAGGAAGATGCTTTCGATAAGGTGGCCAGGGGAGGAAGCATCACTGTACAAAGGGGAGTCTGGGTAAGAACCCAATGATCAGAAGGAACCAGCTATGTGATAGTTTTAGGGACAAGTGTTCCAGATAACTGGGAGAAGCGAGTGTATAGGCCTCAAAGTTATTAGTAGATATCAAACTGTGATTCCTGGGAAGATAGGAAATTAAACTAAAGGAGTTAAATTTCAGTCCTGATTTGGGTTGGGTGGTAGAATCGATGGTTTAATTTGGGACAGGTTGAGCTGAGGGGAAGCCAAAACATCAAGGAGGGGATGAACTGAGAGCATGTGGGTAGCAAAGCTGAAGGAAGGTATTTGTGAGTGTGGAGAAGAAGAAACTATTGGAGAGAGAATGGTTGAATATATGAGTGGTGAGGTTGATAATATAATAAGGAGGGGTGATCAATTGTGAGCACCAGTGCTGGCATTGGTGCTTAGTGAGAAAGATGGAAGGACACATTGTCCTCAGAGGTAAGGGGTTAGGAAAGAAGAAACATATATTTCCAGGTTAAAAGGAGAGAAATGTATAAAGACCTGGGCTAAATAACTTTGATATTCTTTAAAAAAGCCTTAGTACTTTTTCCAATCTTTAGTGGGAAAATTAGGACACTGCAAGTAATAGGATTTCAAAATTGTTGATTGTTTTTGATGATAGCAGGGGCAGGTGCCTTAAGAGTGAGGAAGAAGAGAACATAACTGAGGATTTGAAATTGCTCTTGAAATAGGACCCATGCAAAGAATTCATAATTGACTGTAGTTGAACTCCCTTCTTCATTTATCTGATCAGTGTGTTCAGCTGTGTGCATGTATCCACAATGGTAATAACAATATCTGATATTTACCTAGTGCTTACTGTGAGCCAGCCATGATGCTAAGAACTCTGAATGCTTTATTTTGTTTAACACTTACAGCAATTCTCATTTTGCAGATCAGAATACTGAAGCTTAGGCTTATCAAATTTTCCAATTTGTATTCTTGATAAGTGGTAGCATAGGCAGCCAAATGTAAATCTGTCTCACTACAAAGACTTGCTATGCTGCCATCCACCTTAGCATTTCCATGACTCTCTGTGGAAACTTCCTGAGGAGTGGCACTTAGTTCATCTAATTCACTTTTTGTGGTACACAGAGTTAAATTACTTAAACTCTTAGGGCTTCTTGACATTGCTGCTACTAGAGAAACATACTAGATCTTGTATTAGTTTCCTGTGGCTGCTGGAACAAATTACCACATACTGGGTGGCTTAAAACAACAGAAATTTATTCTTTTACAGCTCTGGAAGCCAAGAGTTTGAAATCAAGGTGTCAGCAAGGCCACACTCCCTCTGGAGGTTCTAGGGGGAGAATACTTTCTCTTGCCTCTTCTAGCTTCTGGTGGCTGTCAGCATTTCTTGTGAGCATGCCACTGCTATCTCTGCTTCTGACTTCTCATGGCCTCTCTTCTGTGTCTGTGCCTTCTTTTCTGTCTCTTATAAGGGAACTTTTCATTGGGTGTAGGATCCACCCATATAATCCAGGATGATCTCATCACAAGATCTTTAATTTCATCTGCAATGACCCTTTTTTCAAATAATGTCACATTCACAGGAAGGGGAACATCACACACTGGGGCCTGTCATGGGGTGGTGGGAGGGGGGAGGGATAGCATCAGGAGATATAACTAATATAAATGACGAGTTAATGGGTGCAGCACACCAACATGGCGCATGTATACATATGTAACAAACTTGCACGTCGTGCACATGTACCCTAGAACTTAAAGTATAATAAAAAACAAATAAACAAACAAACAAAAAAAACAAATAATGTCACTTTCATAGGTTATGAGGGTTCAGACATGGACATAGTTTTTGGGGGCCAGTAGAAGACTGATAGTAAAAATTACTAGAACTGGAAGCAACCACTGAAGTTTGCAACACTTTCAGTCCATAGTCAAGCACTTTGCAAAATCTGTCTGTATTTTGATCTCCCAACATACGAATAGTGAGAACATACTGTTTGGAGGGGACTAAGGAGTATACGAAATGTGCCTTAAATGAGCTGACAGTGTAATATTTTAATGGAGTATCATATTTTAAGACCCAGTCTCTCAAGGAAAGCCTGTATTGTTTTCCCCAGGTGGAGTTAGTTGCTCAGTTCTTTTGCCTCTTAGAGCATTGTATTTATATCTCTGTAACTGCATTTACCAAGTTTTATTATAAATTATCCATTTTCCTATTTGTCTTCCTCATTGGACCATGAACTCTAGAGAGCATGCAGTATGTATGTCTTACTCATCTCTGCTTAGTAAATATTGAATAAGTCAGTCAACAAAGGAATGGACTAAGGAACAAATTAAGCAAAGGGATGTGTAGAATCTTTTGTATTTCCCAGATCATATAGTCTGAACATGGACATATGAGTGGACTATGAAGACCTCCCAACTACACTGTGTCTTAATCATCATTGTATTAGTAACCTCTTGTGCTATAAATGGTACATAGAAGGCTCTCAGTAAAGCATGTTGAGTGGAATTGAAACTGAAACAAATATTGAAATCTGGGAGCATAACGAATAGTGATATTTGACTGTCTCTTAGAAATAATACTAAAAGCAACGCATCCTGAAAGGATCTAATTTACTTAATCTACCATTGATTCCTGAAACAATCACCCAGATAATTTTGCTTTATCTTTGCTGATATTTGACTGAAGAGCCAGCCCAAATATAGCAGAAAGAACAATTGTCTTAAAATTAGAGAAACCTGGACTGAAGTCCTGTCTTGCTAACTACTGCATATATGATCTTGAGCAAATCATTTAGCTTCTGTGAACTGGTACTATGAATAAGTACTATGAGGAGTAATTTAGTTTGTCAAAGATACTTTAAGTGGGCTGGGTGCGGTGGCTCACACCTGTAATCCCAGCACTTTGGGAGGCCGAGGCGGGTGGATCACTTGAGGTCAGGAGTTCGAGACCAGCCTGGCCAACCTGATGCAACCCTGTGTTTACTAAAAAAAAAAAAAAAAAAAAAAATCCAAAAATTAGCCAGGTGTGGTGGTGGGCACCTGTAATCCCAGCTACTCGGGAGGCTGAGCACGAGAATCACTTGAACCTGGGAGTCAGAGGTTGCAGTGAGCCAAATTTGTGCCACTGCACTCCAGCCTGGGCAACAGAGTAAATCTCTGCCTCATAAAAAAGAAAAAAAAGATGCTTTAAGTGCCTTAAAAACAGAAGATATTAATATTGAAATTCTCTTCACCCTAAATAGAGAATAACATATTAAGATCATTAAAATATAAACCAGTAATCAGATATACTTCAAGGTGAGAATGCTGTTGATAATAAAGGTGAATAATAATTTCTTGTATGGTATCTTCTGCTGGTGATGATCTAGTCCAGTAGATTTCCTAAACTACATTTTAGAGTGAATTAGTGAGTGATATAACTGATTTCCTGTAGCTCCCAGAACATGAGAGATAGGAGATTTCATTTCAGGAAAGATGGGGAGATGACATTTCAGGAAAGACTATTGACTTAAAGCTTCTCTTGATTTCAAGAGAAGACCTAGTTATAATCATGGTAACCTAGGAAGGAGATACAAAAGAGCTTGAATATTAAGGGGTAAATATTATCTCCTTGGTTCATGGACCCACACTTGGGAAACACTGCTGTAGTGGGAATCTAAATATTTGACTTGCATGGTGATTGTATTATTTATTAGAAGACTTAGTGGAACCTATTGCTTAGAGTGGGATACCCCTCCCAGAACAGTCTGGGAAAATCTCCAGGATGCCAGCCAGGGCACTGAGGAGAGTTTCCAAGGACTTAGGCCACTGCTGCTCCCTCCCTTCCTGGAAAAGAATGCAAAGTGCAGCTTCCATCCCCAGATTCAGGCCATATGCTCCATTAACCACTGTAGGCACCTTGCCCAGTTGTTATTTTAATAAACTTGCTTATGCTCCTCAATTTCCCTGAGAGGGCCCACTGGGCAGGCCAGGACTGGTAAAACCTTGAATTTCCCCTCTGGTTGACCCAGGAGCTGTTTGATGAAAGTTCTGCTCATAGTATTAGTGCTGGCTTAGGAAGCTTGGCTTTCTTGCCATTGTAATGAGTGTTGTAACTCCTGGTCTCTGTGGGTCAGGCCAACAACAGCAGAGTAGAGTTGATGTGGATTTTGAGGGCGTTATGGGGAGATGACATTTCAGGAAAGAATAATTGACTTAAAGCTATTGCTTTTTTCTTAAAGGCAGGGGGCATGGCAGAACAGAAAGAAAAGAATAATAATCCATATTTGCCCAAAAATCTATCTTCACAGTTTTAATGTACCACTGTCTATATATATATATATATATATATATATATATATATATATATATGAAATTTGTGCTTCAGTGAATTTATTTCCACTGTGTTTGAGTAGACTTTAAATAATTTATAAATGAAGACTTTTATTGAATCTTTCATCAGGCCTTCAGTAGAACCTCCGGGGTTTGTTCACCTTCTGATATCCCAAGAGAAATAATATCTCCAGATTCTTGTTGATTTTTTTGAGCTGTGTATTTTATGCCATAGTACTCTTAACATCATCTGGAAAAAGGTTACCAAGATTTACATTTGGAAGATCAGGATAACCTTCAAATGCATCTGAAGGAAACAACACCCCCCTCCCCTCTATTGCCTCACCCATGTGTCACTAGGAGAAACAGCAGTATTGGAAAAAAAAAAAATTGCTGCTGCCTGTGACCACTATATCCACAGAAAAGGAGCGGGAGAGAAAACACCAAAATACCCATGTGATGGACCAAATCATTCCACTCCCTGCCTTGAGCTGCATTTTCTAGAAGCCAACTTTCCCCCTTGGGTCCTTGAGAGATGCTTAATTTTAATTGACGCACAGGAGTTCTACTTTGTGTTTTGAAAACCACACAGAAATGGGAAGTAAGCGAAAGAGTTCCATTCTCCATCCACCTACTCCCAAAAGATATACACAAACCAATTCAAGATACTCAACAGCCTTAAAACAGAATCTTGGGCTGGCATCAGAGGCTAGGTTTGTGATAGGCTCTATATTTCTAGCAGGCTCCTTTGAAGTTAGTGAATCCTATACACACAGAATGGAATTATGCTGCAAACTTTGCCCTCTGGGTAACCCAGCAGGTATGTTCTTCTAAATTGCATTTCCCCCTTTTCATAAATGGCTTTTGAACAATTCAAAGTGGTCACACTTGTGGGAAGGACAGAGAATGCAGTGACAGATTTCATTGCTCTGAAATGCTTCTGCTTTTGTGAGGGGTAGGACACTAAATGTTTCTCCCCAGTTTTCAACAGCACTTCCCCATCATTAGGTTCCATTTGTCATTTGCTGCTTTCCACATCTTTGTGTTTCATAGCTCATGGAATCTTGGCTTCCAAGAAGTAAATGGACCCAAGAGAGCGTTATATTTTAAGAAACAGAATGATGATCGCTCACATTTTAAGTTAATAATAAAATCTGAATGTAATTGGCCAGATCCTCTTAGCAGGGAGTGGTGCAACCCGTCTTCAGGCCAACGTGAGAGTTTGGCACTTCTGTGGCATAGAGAAGGCCACCCTCATACAGCCAGGGAGGAATCCACTAAGAACCCTGTGGCCAAGAGAAGATTAAACACTGGGAAGGTTCTGTGAGCTGAGAGGGCAGACAGGGGCTGCGAAGGTGGAAATAGAAATGAAGAGTTGTTTGTAGAGTTAAACAAATTGTGGGACATCGTAGCATACATAGCTTTCCTGCCTTAAAAAATGCCCTTTCAACCCTACACTTCTCTAGCTACTACCTTCCCTCCTTCTTCCCTTTTGCAGCCAAGATTTTAAAAGAGTGAAAATTCCTGTCCTACTTCTTTACCTCTCATTTAATCCCTGATTAGCTTCTGTTCAGTTTCTATTTCTTTCTTTTCAAAAACTGCTCTCATCTAGATCACTGATGACTTCCTTGTTGAGAAAAGCAAAACAACTGAAGCTTTTCAGGTTTTGAATTTAACCTTTCTCTACACATTTTGATTCTGTGCCACTACTCTCTTGTTTTTTTAATCTTCTTTCTCTGGTTGTTCCTTCTTAGTCTAATAGGTCTTGATGCTCCATTCCACAGGGATCCTTCCACAGTCTCCTCTTCTTATTCTACCTCCTCTTTCCAGGGAATCCCAAGCATTTTCCTAGCTTCAAACATCATTCACATGTAAACAAATTCTTAAATCTATAATATTAGCTCAGTTTTCTTTCCTGAGTTCTAGACTCCATGCAGCTTGTTTTCTCCTGAATGTTTCTTTTTTACGGAATGTTCCAAAGCCAACGCAAATTCAACATGCCCAACCACCCAAGCTTGTTTTTCCTTCTCTCTTACCTTTTTTTTTGGCAAGTGCCATCATGATACCATGAGGCACCCAAGCCAGAAAACTTGGTGTCTCCTTTGTTAATAACTTTCTAAGTTGCCTCCCTGCTTCAATAATTTTCCCTTATGGTCTCTTCATACAGCAACCAGATTTGATTTTACAGATCAGATTATATCAATCCTTGCTTAAAAGTTTCCAATGGCTTTCCATCACAAGCGGGATAAAATCCAGACTTTTTACTATGACCAGCAGAACCCTGCCTACTCTGGCTTCTGGCTTCTGTCTTGCTCTCTACCCTGTCTCTCACGATCCGCCCTTTTGTTCACTGTGTGTCAAAGATCTTGGCCTTCTTTCTGTCCCTCACCTACCTCAGGGCCTTTTGCTGTTTTATTGTCTGGAATATTCCAACTCCAGAACTCTGCATTACTAGCTTCTTCTTCTGGGGTTGGTTCAAATGTCATCTTTCCAGATAGGTCTCTGCTGATCATCATCCTAGTGAATTCAACACACTTCCTGCCTACTCCCACCCCTACTGCTGTTTTGTATTATACACTGGAATTTTCACGATCTGAAATTATCTTGTTTGTTTATGTTTTCACTCTTTGTCCCTGTTTCTAGAATGTAAGTATGCTCTATGGGAGCAGATATTTTGCTTTATGTATCACTGTATCCCTGTTACTTCGAAGAGAGCCTGGCACATAGAGGGTGGCCAGTAAATATATAGTTTTTAAATAGAAAGAAAAGAATGAACAATGTTCTTAGATCCTGAGTTTCAGCCAAACTGCTTGCAATTCCCTAAACTACAAACAGTTGTACAATCTGCTTTCTCTGCCTATAATGCTCTTCTCTTTCCTGTTTTTCTGCTCAACTCCTGCTTATCCTTCATACCAGATTCTGTCATCTCCTCCAGGAGGCTCTCTTTGATCATAAGAGTTTAATACTGATAACTTCATAGCAGGTAGGCAATTACCAGGTAATTTTTTGTTAATATATCTGTTTCTCTTATTAGCCTAACTTCTGGCAGAGATGATATTTGATTTGTATCTCTAGCCCAGTGGCAGTCTATAAAAATGCACTCTAGAAACTCTACTTAAATATTTTGTTATTTGGTAAGTCATAGACTCCTTTGGTAATGTAAATTAGCTGTCTCCTAAGTTCTTCCACTTGCCAAGTTTTGACTTTACACATTGGAGTTTTAAAAATATAGGTGCAGACACAAACTTACTCATAGAAAAGGCTCAGATTCCCAGTAAAGTTTTCTATAATAAAAATAACATTAAATAGGGTATTGACAATATATTGTCTATTATATGACATGCATCATTGATATAGTTTACCTTATTCACAAGTAACTCTTCAAGGTATAGGTATTATTCTCATTTTACATACATGGAAACTGAGTGTCAGATGTAGTAATCTGTTCAAGCTCATACAGCTAGTAAAACAAAGCTGGGATTTGAATCCAGGTCTCTGATTTCTAAGTGCAAGCTCTTTCTGTTACACCATGCTGCCCCCTATGGGACAAATCCACAAATCAGGCCTATTTATTAAAAATATTATGAAGCTTACAAAATTGGAGCTCTTGCAAACTATAGAATCAAGAAAGATGCTTTGAATCGCCATTACTTTAATTGACTAGAAAATGGCACTAGCCTTAGCATGGCTAAGAGCTTTTTATTGCCTTTACCTAGTATGCTTTCTTTCTGCTTATAAGCATAGAGGTATTTTGTAGAAATTCATATTAACCCAGTCAGGTTTTTGCTGTTAGACTTCATACTCAAGGGTGGAGAGGTGCCTTGCTAGGTATCTTCTCCAGCTTGTTTAAAGTTCATTATGTCCATGATGAGGCCAAGCTACTTACATGGACTCAGTTTCAGGATTCTAGTTTATCCAAGGTTTCTCTCTTTCCCACCTTCCACTCTAGAACATTGTGCTATATGGATGGGAAGTTTTTCCCAAACTCTCACCCAGGTTTGGGCCTGTTTCCTGCCTCGTTCTTGTCAGATGCTATTTAATAGAGGTTGGGCCTGTTCTCTTTCCTTAGTTTGTCTTGCTCAGATTCCCTTGGCTTTTGTGGCCCTCACTTGGCATCACAGTGGTCCCCAGTCTGCATCTTTGAAGCTGTATCCCTGTTTTATATCCTTTTGCATCTTGTAAGTGTGACCTAGAACTGGAATGACTCTTCCCTGTCCCTAAATGGCATTGATCTTAGGTTACTGCTCTAGTTTTCCTATTCCTCTACTATTCTGATTTTGTTTCCTCTATGCTGTTAGACTCTTACCCCTGAGCAGTGTTTTCATCCACTTTCTGGAACCAATACCTCAGCATAAAAGTCCTCATCAGTGAAGAGAGGATCAAAAGTCCAGGGACTAAACAACAGAACTTCAGATCTCATTGCTTACCACTCACTGTCTTTCTTCTGTGCATCTCTGGGGATGGGGGTGGGGATGGAAGACAGTCTATATGTGATGATGATGTAGAATTGATCTTCTTTAGGCTCTGCTCATCTGAGGGGTCTATCAGCTTAGTGATGGGCAAGCCAGAAACTGGTTGTTTGTATCTTGCATACTGTAGAGCATCCATGATCCATCTCATTTCACGCCAGACTTCATCTATTTGCTTTGGAATAAAATGGTAAAAGACACTAAGTTATCAAGCAGTGATTAAAAAGGAATACATTTCCCTGAGAGTCCAAGATGATCCATTTTCCGCAATATTGGCTTTGAGCAAGAGTAAAATATTTTTAACATAGATTTGTTAAGCCAGAAAATACCTCTCTTTTTGTAATATTTTTTGTTTTGCGTATTTTTACCAGAGAAGCTCTGTCATTTAGTGAAAATAGTAGAAGACTTAGATGCTAGCTGGAATATATCACTTATTAGCACTATACTAACTCATAGCAAGTCACTTGACCTTTTTGAGCCTTAGTTGCTTTATTTGTAAAATGTGGCCAAAACATTTTCCATTTATACCTCCCAGGGTTGCTGGGATGATTAGTTGAAATAATGAATTCGAAAGTGCTTTGTGATGCCTCAGGGTACATTGCTCATACATATAAAGGGTTATTATATCCCAGATTATAATTAAATATTCCTCATTAAGATATTGTGAAGGCATATGATAAAGCCTGAATTTCAGAATATCTTAAGAAAGAAATGTAGTCCTAGTTCTTATATGTGAACTAGAAAAGCAAAGCTCTACTGGAATATTTTTGCTAAGTAGAGGTTTTTGGACCTATGTTAATAGAAAATAATTAACTTCATATATTAGACTTACTACTTTCTTACATATAGAGTAAGGGCTTCTAAAGTTCAAAACGGCCTTAACAGTTTAATCTTAAATAATTTAAACATCCTTACATTTCTAGAGTAGTCCATTTTAGGTTGTTCCATTTTGATTTTTGGGTTATCAAAGTCATTTTAATGATATTTTCATTATAAAGTACAATAGTAGTTTCCTTGAAGCCTATTTGCATAAAATTCACTCAGATTTTTGTGTCTCTCTGTATATATAGATGACGAAAGTTTTCCAGATCTTGATAGACATGGGCCATGAGCTTTTTTGTTATTCCATCTCAAGGAGGGGCTGTTGGTTAAACATATTTTTTCTTATGACCCTGGAATTTGTAGTAGGCTTTCTATTTAATTTCACTCGATGACTTGGGCAAGCCATTAACTTCTTGGGGCCCATTTACTCAACTGTAAGAAGAGGTAGTTAGTCTACATGATGCTTAAGTTCCCTTCCAGCTCTGAAACTTTAGGATTTATTTTTCAGGAACATTTGGAAATTTGGTATTACCTAACTTCCAGATAGAAGGTATTCATTATGTGAGTCATGCAAGGTTAATCTCTCTCTCTGATTGTGGAAGTTTTAAAACTAAAACACTACCCAGTGTTATATTTTATTTTCAAAATTTCTTGATAGGCCTTTAATCTGTACTTAAAACCTACTCATTAAGAATATCCACAAACCTGGTCCTCCCAACAAACACACAGTAGGTCTGACATTCAGTCCGCCAAGTTGAGTGAAAAGCTAGCTAGAGTGAACTAGTGAATGGCAGTGTATGGTCTTACAGCCGTTTTCCCCTGCTTTCTAGTTCTTGCCACTCCTGTGGTGACAAGACTCAGCAGAGTATTCAGGGCCAGTGATGAAAGCATGAGATTGAGCTTCAGGCTTTTTTAGCTTGGTCAGTTGGGCAGGAAGTTCAGCAGTAGGCAGGCCCATGAGGAGACACTAAGCCATTTTGAAGGGAGAAATCTAAAGTCTGGGGATAAAGCCAAAGTGGGAATCCCAGATGAGACTCAGATGAATTTTCCCAGTGAGATTGTTGTTCTCTCAGCTGGCTTTTACTGGCCCTACCTCATGCAACATAAGCTTGTTGAAAGTTATTTTAAAGGCACCGCATGACTGTGGATAGCTTTTAGAGTGCCCGACAAGGACAGGGATTGTGTTTTGGTATTTTTTTGCTTTCAGCTTTGCAGAGTAGGTATGTACTCAAAAAATGACTGTTTAATGAATGAATGAATGATCTAATTCTTTAGATCTCTACCCACAAACAGAGTTATTATAAGGATTAAGTAAGATAATATAGATAAGTGTACTTTATCAATTACATATTATAAAATTTTCAGTTTTTATAATGACAATCATGATTACTGTAGTGGGCTGAATATGGAACCCCCCATAATACATCCATATCTTAAGCTCCAGAACCTGTGAATATTATTTGATATGATACGAAGTAAATATTACTTTATATGGCAAAAGATATGATTAAGTTTAGGATTTTGAGAGGAGGCGTTTATCTTGGATTTTCTCTGTGGATCCTAATTCTAACAACAGATGTCCTCATAAGGACATTCTTATAAGAGTGAGGCAGAGGGAGATTTGTCAGACATAAGAGAAGGAGGCAACGTGAGTACAGAAAGAGTGAAATGATGTGGCCAGAAGTCAAGGAATGCTAACAGCCATCAGAAACTGAAGAGGCAGAGACTAGATTCTCCTCTAGAGCCTCCAGAGGGAGTGTGGCCTTGCCAACACTTTAATTTCAAACCTCTGGTCTCCAGAGCTGTGAGGGAATACATTTCTGTTATTTTAAGCCACCCAGTTTATGGGAATTTGTTACAGCAACCCTAGGAGGCCAATATAATTATTAATAAATAATCTACCTGCTCTCTTTGGATAAGATTGTTTCAGCTTTATTGCTGAGGATGAATAGAGGGATTTAGCGTAGAAATTTTTTTAAAAGTATGTAGAAACAATATTTACTTCTTAATTTTTCTCAGTGACGTGAAGAGGTCTTAACTGAAGAAAAAACTTAAAAACCATATGGGTATAGGGAGGCCTGTGGATTGAGTTTAATGAGACTTAGCTAATTGCTCCAAAAGAAGGCCAATTTTCACCCATTTTACCTTATACTGCTGATCTAAAAGTAACTGACAACATAATCCCCCTGATTTTAAGGTCCAAATTCACCTTCTAAAGACTTGCTGACACATTTTAAAAAAGAAAGACCATGAATTCCCTAGGTCTGTTGATTAAAAGTTATGCATCCATTTCTCACCCTGCCCCTTAAAAATTTCAGTTTTCATCTCGTAAATTATATTCCTTTCTCTTTACTCAGGCAAGATAATATTTTTATTAAAATGTAAAGGTGATTGGTTTTCTCACAGCACAGCTACAAGGTGCTCAAGGGGATGATAGATTGGCTATATTTAATGAGCTGTGTTTCTATTACAGCTTAGGAGCATTTGAAGCATTACAGTATATAAATTATAGCCTAATTGCCCTTTAGGCTTTAGCAGCTCAAAATATGCCAAGCTCCAGGTCTTCACACTTTGACATTTCTGCTGCATGTGCTGTCTATAAAGCCTGTATGCCTTATCTATGATTTTCTACACCTCCCGTGGCCCAGGCCTCCCCCTTTCTGGCCGCACTCCTTGGCTTCTTTTCCTAACTGTATTTACATAGACTCCCTTGCTCTTTACAATGTTTGGTTTGTGTAGTGACTTCAACACTGTCTTAGATCTGGAATCATACAAATGCTCTCACAACTGGCGGTCACTTCTGCAGGTTATGGTGTGTGGTGGGCTGAGCTGTGAACACCAATGGGTGAGTGGCTACAGCTGGTTTTCATTTTGAGAGACAGAGTGAGTGAGTGAGTGAGAGAGAGAGAGAGAGAGAGAGACCACAAAGTCAACATAAAGGGAGAGATGATATTGAATTGTCTCCACTCAGTGAAGTTATCCATGTTGGGAGAAGCAAGGTGGTTCATTGAAGGCTATGGGTGTAGGGAGATGGTCTTGTTTTACCCAGACCAAGAAGTTATATTTTGAACCCTTTGAGAATTGGCTTTTATCCAAGTCTGTGTGTACCTGGCTGACTGGAAGGGAAGTATGTAGAGAGGGCTCTCAAGTTACCTGCTTTGGGAGACCAGAGCGGGCTAGAACTTTGAAGAATTCCCAGCCTGGCCTGCCTTTATCCAACCCACTTAATGGTGTGACATAAAAGAAGAGAAAAAGGCAGTGGAGCCCTAGGCTACATGAAAAAGAAAGGAGCAAGGGTAGTAGTCAGGGAGTAGGAATAAAGCCAGGGAACTCTGGGAGGAGTTTGAGAACACAACAGACTGAAGAAAGTCAGCCTCCTTGTTGGAGGAACATACTGGATTCAGGGAGGCATAAGTGGAATAAGGCAGAAACAGAACCTAAGGCATGGGTAGAGAAGTGTTCCTCTAAAAATATCTCTGGTTGTTAAGTCATAAAACGTTAGAGCCAATTAGACCCACAGAAGTCATCTAGTCCAGTTCTTTCATTTTACATATGAGGAAATTGAGGTCCCCAGAGATCAAATGAATTGTCCAGTACTCCAGAGTTTATCAGAAGATTTGGGACTAAAAATGTGTGCTCCTTGACTTCTTTTTATTTTTTATTTTTATTTAATAGAGATGGAGTCTCACTGTGTTGCCCAGGCTGGTCTTGAACTTCTGGGCTCAAGAGATCCTACCATCTCAGCCTCCCAACCTCCTCTGGGACCAGCTTCTGATCTGTTGTTATTCTTACTATGCTCCACTATCCTTTATATGGGGTTCAAAAATGAGCCAGTCTTTCGTATTCTCCTCATGCTACACTCTTCCTTTTCCCACCCCTTCCCCACCATCTGTGTTCCATTTTTACTGGAAATGAAATCAATGAAGTAAATGTTTTGAATGTTTAAATTCTACATTCTCAGACCAATGGAGAAAGTAACTTCTTGAAAGTTCTTTCTCTATTCTGAGAGGTCACCTAAGATATCTCATTCACGGGATGAGGAAAGTAGGATAATCCTAAAGATTTTTCTGCTCTCCACTTTGCAAGTAAATTACAATATTTTCTTCCTGAGTGTTTCAAACACCTCGAATCTCACATATTCATATGTCAAAGAATTTCTCCTTCTTGTGAATGAATGAATATATAATGTATTACATACTTACTATGTGCCAGGCATTTTGCCGAGTGTTTTATATGTATTATCTCATTGAATTCTCTCAGTAACATTATGAGATAACCCTATTATTATCATCCCTATTTTACAGATGAGGAGATTGGGACTGTTGGGACTGAGAGAGATTTCTTTGCCCAAAGTTCACAGCGTTCGTTCATCTTAAGTCCTCATAACAAATTGTCTGGATAGTTATAATAGCTTCTTATTTGGTTTCTCTGCCTTTAGTCTTCTCAAATCCTTATTTGGTGAGCATGACCAATAAGAGTGAATGCTTATAATAAACAACCAGTATGGCTGTACCAATTATATGGGAAGAGTATCCTCACTGCTTGAATCTATCCTAAACAGAGTTTTGAGAGCCTGTGACTTAACTTTCTTCAAAACTTTGGGTAGCTCCCTACTGCCTACAGAAAAAAAGTACAGATTTCTTAACTATGGCTTTTAATAAAGCCCTTGTGATCTGCTATCATTGACATCTTTCCTTCTTGCCTAATTTCTACCTCTCATCACTCAATTTATGCCCCAACCAATCTTGACTATTTATCATTCCCCAAATACTATTTTTCTGCTCTGTCTGCCTCATCTGTTTATACTTTCTCTTTGAATGCTCTACATTCTGTTTCACCTTACTGTAATCTAACCTATCCTTGTAGGCCAGGCTATATATCAATTACATCCTTCATGGGAATGTTTCTGATACAAGTGAAAGTAAATTTTTACTTTCTTGTGCTGACACAAAACTTATTTGTTTGTTTGTTTGTTTTGCTTTGGTATATCTTTTTTTTGGCACCTAGCACATTTTACAAATTGTATTTACACACATTTCTTATCTACCCTGATGGATTTGAAACTCCTTAAGATCAGAGACCATGTCTAATTCAACTTTATGTCTCGCACACAGTGTCTGACACCTGGTTGTTTAATAAAGGTTTATCAAATTGAACTGAATATGTATCATAGTGATATTTATCATGGGGCTATTGCTATTCTACTCATTTTGTGAATTGAGTAACTGATGGACAGAAAGATTGAAAGATTTGGCTAAGGGATTCAGAGGCAATTTCAGGCCAGATCCAAATTCTCTTGATTACTAGTCAGTACCCCTTTCACAAGACCCTGAGGTGTTACCATAGGCTTTACCAGAAAAGACCATGGGAAGGGGAACACATTTTCTGATCTTAACAGCCACATATTAAAGTGTCAATTCTGTGAGAAAGAAGCCCAAAACATGAGGAATTTTAGTTCTAATTGGATCTGGGTTAACATAAACTGGTAGGTCATTTTATTTTCTTTTTCTCTGAGATATTGAATTAATTAATACAATTTTTCTTTCCATTAGAATTGTCAATGGGCTACAAGGTAAGAATAATATTCTAGTTACTGCTTCTGGGGGGTGATTTTTCTCTCCCGTATGGAAAGCTACCACTACCCACCATGGTGACTGATAACATTTCTTAGTAATATTGTGAATTATCTGTAACTTTTTCTTAAGGCTTTGTTTGAAAACTTATCTGCCTGAGCTCCACATTTTAACCAACTCAATAGGCAACTTACACACCGTGTTCTTTGAATCAGCCTGGACTGCTGTCCTTTCCCATGCTTGGCTTTTCACCCTTTCCACCCTGCCTCTTCTCCCTTCCTTTTACCCCAGAAGGAACAAACAATTACCTGAATGAAATCTAAAACTTGCTGGTGTCTTTGTTTGGCAGCTGCAACCTCGCTGTCTGAGATTGCTTCCCTGAGGGACTGTTGGGTGTTCAGAGAATCCAGCTCCACAACAGCAGAAAGGCGGCAATACAGACTAATAAATTTCTCTCTGTAGCTGCAAAAATGAACTGGAAAATGGACAAGCAAAATAAAACATGTTAAGATCTGGTATCAAAATAGAGAAATTCATACCTCAGAGAAAACAAGTTGAATGAAAACATGATTTATTAATCCTATCAGTGGAAAATATTAAGCCATAAATAAATTATAAATGTGCTCTTAAGGGGCCAGTTGTCTGGCTTTAGTCAGACAGTATTCCCTTTTAAGGTTTACCAACTCCTAGTAAGGTATGGGGAAGTGGGGTTGGCTAAAGCTGCAGTTATGTGGACTTTTCCCTAAAGTTGGGGCTGATTGAGTGTGTGTGTGTACACACACACATATACACACACATACTGGGAAAATAAGCTTGCTTATCACTTTAAAGAAAAAAAGCCAAGTAGCAATTTGAAACCTAGTTTTGGTTTTCATGTCTGATTTCCAGTACATATCTTGCCTACTCCTTTCCAAGGCCAGAACCCCCAGAAGACAGAAGACATGCTTTTCTCAGAGTGTCTTTGGTCTGACTACAAAACTTCCCCAAGGGCCTATTATGATAGGCTTTGATCCTCTTCTGCCTCTCCGCTTCTTGGCCCCTCTGGATGGATGATATGAGCTGTTGCTTGGACAGACCATTTCTTGTCTTCAGCAGACTTGGTTTTCTTCTCTCAACAGATAATTGGACAGATATCACAGGAAAGAGTCCAGCCTTCGTCTCCATCATTTCCTTTTTTCAGGAGGAACAGAGCAGTGTAGGATTGAGCCTGGTATAGGCAGCTTGAGATGGTCAGATTTCCTGTACTTCTCTGACCAGCTCTGATCTTATACCGTAACTTTGGATTCTAGTAGGATGAGGAAAGCACCCTGATTCAGACTATCATAGTACTGGTTTCTTCCAGGGCATTGATGAATTTGGAGACTCATTCTTCAAGAACCTCTTTTACTCTGTTTACCTCTGGCCTGTACCAGTGTGTTCCATGCTTTGGAAATAGGGCTGTTACAACCCAACAAGTCTGTTGAAACATTTTTATTCTGGCTTCTTTAGTGAGGAATTCTAGGAAGAACATCTAATTACAGGTAGTAATTACAGGTAGTAATTAGATGTTGATTCCTGAGACCCAGATCTGGCCATTTAGGGAAGCTAAAACCACACTACCTCAAAATGGGGCATTGGTCATCTCTACACCTCAATGAGGAAGCCCTACTTTTCTGCATATTGAGAGATTTTTGTCCACCCTACAATTCCCATGTTACCACTGGCTACTACTTCCTTGCTTTTTTTTCTCTGGGGATAAATCTTAGGTGAATGCCAGGGCAGTGTGCTCTGTCTTTCCTTCCATGGAAGTAGAAGAGAAGAATGGGGTGAGAGTGTGAGTGATCCATCCTTACTCCAGCTATGCCTCATTTCAAGGAGGTTTTTCTCAACTCAGGAGGCCTCTGTCCTGGTTTGATTTTTCTCTGTGGTGTCAGATCCTTCCTTCTCATCTTCTCTGCTCTGTTTAGCACTTTTTTTTGCCTGACACAGAGAACTGATTTCATATGCCCTCTCAGTAAATGACAAGCTATGGAGCTTCTCCCAAATGATCGAATTCTCATACTATTTCCCTGCTTAAAGACTTCTACAGAGCTCCCTCTGGACCTGAGGACAAAATCCAAACATCTCTCCATAAGGAAAACTCCCTGTGATCTAGGATTTGAGAATATTTTCAGTCATACCTTCCCTCATGCTGCCACCTTCCAGCCCTAGTTCCTCATCAACCCTAAGCTTTGGTCAAGCTGAACTTATTATGAGTCCTTTTATACTTCCATGCTTTGAAACATGCCTTTTCCTCCTCCTCACATACCTTTCTTTACTAATACCTCCAGGTCAACTTGTGATACTTGAAGATTCACGGTAAATGTTTTCTCCTCAGCAAAGTTTTCACTGACATCTCCCTGCCAGGTGGAACTAGTTTCTCCCTCTTTTGTGCTCCTAGAGCATTTGTTTCTAAACATTTCATGACACTTATCCTACTACATTGTACTTATGTGTTTACTTTACTGCCTTGGCATTAGATTGTGATTTCTTTGAGGGCAGGAACTATGCCTCCTATTAATTTTTATGTCCTTGAAACATGGAACATTGTAGCTTCTCAATTAAGGTTTATTGACCAAATGAATAAATAAATAAATGCATGAATGGATCTGAAGAGGCAGACCCTTCACCCGAAGGCTCCTCTTTTCTCCATTGTCTTTCCTTTACTGTGGGCTTGATTTTCCTGTTTGGAAAGGTGTTTCAGGTCTATAATATTTCCTGGCAGCTCCACAGGAAGGAATCTCAATGACTTTTTAGCTTACTCTTGACCCTAGTAGCTCCCTGAATGTGTCTTTATGCCTTTCAAGGAGGGATTATGTCCTGTTAGCACTTGACAGATGTCCTCTCTTGGCTGGAAAGTGACAAGAGTGAAGTGTCTCAAACCCTGCCTTTCTGAACCAAGAGGTAAAAAAAAAAAATTGTTTTTTTTCCCCTTTCTAAAATATGACTGGAAAAATAGGGAGAGGCACTGAATAACTTCTTTAAAAGAAACACTATCAGTCTGATCTGAATTCTTACAAGCCGGGGTGTTCACAGCTTTCTCTTGTTGTGTCCCTGTGGTGGGAGCCTGGATCAGTGGGTGGTCTCACAGCACCCACACTGTCCATGCCATGCACCACAAGTGAGTTATGAGGAGGTTTCAACTATAACGCTTCAGTTTCCCCGCTCTTGTGGTTTTTTTTTTTTTTTTTTTAAATCCAGACCCTTTAATGTTACTTTAACAAATGTTACTTTAACATAGTCTTTTGTGGTTTAGCAATGATACATTTGGTAGCCATAACTGAGGCAAGAAAGACAGACTGGAAGCTTCTAATTTTTAAAAATGTGAATCTCATGCATTTTACGGATAAAATGGTATAAGGCTACAATAATGTCATTAGCTGGACCACATGATTTGTTAATAATTCACAGACTAAGACTAATTTTCTATGGTATTTTTCTCCCTCTTTTTTCTACATAAGATAGTGGCAGACTAACATAAGGTTGGCATCAACACTAGGAATATAGTACAGTGGAAAGTACATGGGCTTAGCCATCTGACGGACCTGGGTTTGAACCATACTTCTGCCACTCACCACCTGTGTGACAGTGGGCACGTGACCTCTGGGAGTCTCACTTTTCTCATCTCTAACACAGGGATTATAATGCCTACCTAGGATTAAGTAATACAATGTATATAAAGTGCCCAGCACAGCATATGGCACATACCTGATACAAAATAAATGTTTGTCCTTCTGCCACACCTTTTTACTACCCTGAAAGAATGAGGCATTTAGTGGTAGTGATTAGAATATTAGAACAGGACTGGAATTAAAATATTCTTCCTAAGGATATCTAACTCACTAAAATCCTAATCAGTCTGGGCCATGTGGCCTAGTTTGGAAGCCAAGGAATCAACAAGATAACCTCCTGGGGTCCATTTAGTTCAATGAGTCTTTGCCAAGGTGTCAGAAAGAACTGGGGCACAAGGTGCCCCTCTAAAGATTCCTAGTAGTGAATGAGTTGACAGGTGGAATAAAGGAATGATCTCTTAAATCATGTAAAATGGGTATTAGGGATGAAGGTTGACACTATGCCATTTCTTGCAAGCCTGTGGCCTGGATTTCATTAGGCTCACTGCCTAGATATTCCATAGGTTCCTCAAAACTCATCATTTGTCATACTGACCTCACCATCACTCCCCTGCCCTAAACCTGTTCCTCCTTCCTATGGCCCATTTCAGTAGACGGTAACATTATCCGTCTCGGCACTCTTATTCAGACTCTCTGGCTCCTTCATCTTGCTCTTCAACCACATCCAATCAATCACAAAGTTCCATCATTTTAACTCCTAAATTCCTCATCTCTCTGCTCTCTCTTCTATACCCCCACCAAGGCTGCCTTGGTTTGGACTCATGGACCTGTGAGATATGACCAGGTGGACCCATGAGGTAGTCTCTTAATTGTTTAATTGTCTCATGATATCCAGTGTCAGCCTGATTTATTTGTTTTTTACTCTCTTGCAATCAGTCCTCCATGAGCTGTCAAAATCTAATAAGACCACATCATCCCTTTTCTTAAAATCTTTTCTTTGCTTCCTATTGCCTACGGGATAAAGTCATACCCTCTTAGTGTTATATAAGTAGCCATGTATGATTTTGATCTTTTAAACTTTTAGCTTCATCCTCTGTCACTTTTCCTCAGATGCCTTAAGCATCCATCACAATGAGCTATTAAGAGTGTACTTAATCAGGCTGCAGGTCTCTGAGCTTTTGTACATACTGTCCCTTCTGCTTAAAATGTTTTCCTTTTCTGCCTGCCTTTTCTTTCCCATTCTGAATGTCTGTTTATCCTTCAAGATACAGCTCAAGTATTATCTCTGTAAGGAAGAATTAGATGTCTTTCCTTTGAAACTCAATAGCCTGCCTCTTATAGGAGTGCTTTCGTTTTATGAAGAATATCGGTAGGGATACCTGTATCCTCTAATGGATTTTGAGCTTGTGATGGGCAGATGGTGCCTTATTAATGTCTGTATGGTTCAGTCCCAGCACAGTACCTGGCATATAGCAGAAGCTCAGTAAATGAAATATATACCAGGCCTCAAACTATTATTTTTTAAAATTCCCTAGTTTTTTTTTTTGTCTTTCTAGTCCAATTGGTTTAAATCATAAAGCCAAGGAAATCAACAAAGGCCAACTTTCCTTGTCATAGGCCGGCTGTCAGTTGTGAGCACCCACAAGGTCAGGGCAGGGTGACCTCCTCTGTGCAGGCTAGGCAAGTCCTCAAGGGGCCACGTCACCTGATAAAGTTTCTAAGGGCTCATGATGCTGCTTTTCCTTCTGTTCCTGGGAACTTTGTAAATAGTAATGCTTGTAGGACCCCAGGAACATGCTTTATTATTGCAAAGGGGTCCTATCCTGCTCCCACCCAAAGGATGGTAGAGTGTCAACCTTCAGGCTGTGGAAAGAGGAGTGGATTTTTGGTGAATTCATTTTGCCCCAGCTCAGTCTTCCTCAACCTGATCTCATAACATCCTCCAATAGGACAATTTATCTTGACCCCACAAGTAATCCTGTGAAGGAATAGCCTGTGGGTTTGCTACAGTCTAGACCTTATTCCAGGAGACAGAGAACTAAGCTCCTTTATCATTTTGTCTTTGCTAGATCTATGCAGTGCTGGAATAGGCACAGATGCAGTTTCCATAGCTGGTTAGCAAGTTATTTATGATTCACTTAGGCCACTGGCAGGAACAAGGTCAGTTTGCCAAATCTCAAATTCTTTCATGGGGACAGGGATGACTTATACAAGTCAAACTGAAATATAGTGCAATGCTTTATTCTATTATAATTTACATATTCCCATAATTCACACCTTTTTAAGTTTCATTAGAATTCCCATGTGGTTATTAAAATTTTCTGAGTTCTGACTGAATTTCCAAAAACATTCTCTCCTTTCTCAGAAATGCTTAGTGTATCTCTTGACCCTTTACTATGTAACTACCTATGAATAGAATTTCCTACTTATAGAAAAAAATAATGCTTAGCATCCTTCTTAGAGAGGCTTAGGACCACTGTAGCAGGCCCTTGGAAGTTCCTATATAAGGTGTCATTAAATGCTTAGTGGCCAGATGCCTGATGGAGGAAGTAGTTATGATAAACTTCCTCTTGGAAAGCTCTGATTGCTTGGGGATAAGATGGAGTTTGTCATGATTCTTATTGAGACCAAGGCCCAGAAGTGTTTTTGAAATTGTTGCTGGTGGTGCTCAAGTACAATAATCATTGTATTAGAGAGTGTATTAATTTTCTGCTACTGGCAACATTTCCTCCGGTCCCTAAAAAAAGACTAATAGAATTGTTTATGCCAATGGAACCGAGCCCAACCAAGTGGTCTTTTCTGGAAACTTACATGGTCCTCATTAATCAGTTGGATTACCAATGATATGGCAACAAGGGAGGACCAAGAAGGTGAGAAAGTATGTCTTACTCTAGGAAAAAACCATCTTAAAGTCAGGCTTTGATCTATGGCCTATTTTTCATAGATGAAAGAAAGTATCTGATGCTCTCATATTGCTTCTAGCAATGTGAAGAGGTAAAACAGGTAAAAAGGACAGGCACAGTTGAATTTGCCTGAATTCCTTTGTTAACCACATCTCTAGTTTTGTATTTATGTATTAATCTCTTTGTCATAGGCAATACTACTTAAATTGTAGTCCATGGATTAGCAGCATTAGTATTACCTGAGAACTTACTAGAAATGTAAATTTTCCAGCCTCCTGCTGGACCTACTGACTCAGCATCTCTGGGGTTGGGCTCCAAGAATCTGTATTTTAACAAACTCTCCAAGTGATTCTTATGCAGGTTAAAATTTGAGAAGCACTGTTCTAGGGCTATCACATCCCAAAGTATATGTTCTATGGATTATTAATAGGTCCCATGAAAAACATTGCTCTAGTCATCGTCAAATGAATTTGGAAAATGCTGGGTTAAACAAAGTTGAGCTTTAAAAAAATTATTTTTAAAATTTTTTATTTTTTAGGGGGATGACCACTGGATTTTGCAGAGCCTTTCATACGTTACTCTACCACTCAAAATCCTTCATTGGATTTCCAACATACTTAAAGTAAAAATTCCTTAACATGGCCTGTGAGGCCCTGCATGGTCTAGCTCCCATGACTCTCTGACCTCATCTCCTATCTTTCTTGCTTTTGCTTACTATGCTCCAGATATGCTGATCTCTTAGCCAAGCACACTCTTACTCTAAGGCCTTTGCACTTACTGTTCTCATTGCCTGGAAATATTAGGTCTCTGCTCAAATGTTTCTTCTTCAGAGACCTTCCCAGATCACCCAGCTGTATAAAGTGCAGCTTACTTCACTTGAGTCCCTTAGCCAGATTTATTTTCCTTCATGACCTTCACTTCTCTGATATTTACAATATTATGGTTTATTGATTGGTTTGTTATTTGTCCCTTCCACTGGAATGTAAGCTCTTTGAGAATTTTTTTCATTGTTGATTCTTCAGTGCCTGGAATAGTGCCTGGCACATAGTAGGTTACTCAATGAATATTTATTGATGAATGAATGAAAAACTGAATCAAGAAAAGAAATGGATGCTAACAGACTTCACCAAATTATAGAATGAAGAAAAATAACAGTGGGACAAAGGGTGGCTACTCAAGAAGAGTGTGTGAGTCTCACAGAAACAGGCTAGAGAGGATATTTGCATGGCTTGGACCTTCAGGGCCTTAGGAGTCACGTATATTATAACGATTGATACCAAGTTGTAGATTGTCCCCACCAAAGCCATTGAGGCATGGGGAAATGAATTTCATGTATTTTTGCCTGTAATCATGGAATAACAATGACTGTTTAACACAGAATGGAATCCTGGTTAGCTCTCCAGTGAAATGTTTTCTTTAATTCTTTTCTCTGTCAATTATATATCCCTGGGAAATCATTCATTTTCATGGCTTCAGCTGTTATTAATAGACACTGGACAGATCTCTGTGTTTAGTATCCAATTTCTCTCCTGCGTTTCTACTGCCAGTGAAACATGTCCACTTGGATGTTGACTTAGCACCTTCAGTCTCAACATATTCAAAGCTAAAAGCATCACTTCCTTCAGCAAACCATTTTTTCCCCTCTGATTTCCTTACTTCTGATAAAGGGAGCAATAGCCTCATAGTCATTGAAGCTGAAAACAATGAGAGTATTCTTTAGACTTCTCCCTTTCTCATTTAAATAGTTACCTACTTTGGGGCAACTTTTCTTTTTTTTCAAATATCTGTATTTCTTTCTTTTTTTTTCTTCTTATTTTCGTTCCTACCCTAACACTGGATGAATAAAATAATCTTTGAAGTTTTTGACCTCTGCTTCCCATCTGTCATAAACAGATTTCTCAGCCTGATGCTGGAGATATTGCCCAATATGGCCCCACCTTGTCTGTACAGATTTACATCCCACCTTTTCCTCACATTTCTCTGATCTAGCCAAACTGGACCACTTGTTCTCTTCCCGATTCTTTCTGAATTCTTCTGTTCTCATGTTTTTGCTCATTCTACTCCCCCAACAAGAAAGGTTTTCTTTTTATTTATGTTTATTAACATCCTGTTTGTTCTTCAACACCCCACATCAGATACCCTTCCCTCCATGAAGGCTTTCTCATATCTTCTTTGAGAGAATGTGCTTTCTTTTTTTCAATATTAACACTTCCAATTTCTGGCATATTCTACCTTGTTTTGTAATAATTTGTATTCTCATTTTACTCCTGCCACCATAAGAAAGCCCCTTGAGGGAAGAACCTTTGTCTTACTCACCTCTAAATCTCCACAGTGGGCACCGAATAGACACTTATGGAAATACCCTGCCCCAAACAGTGTTGTTATATTACAGACTAAAAATGCTTTTTGGCTGAGGAACTCATTAAATGGTCACATTCACATCCAGGCCTCTTGGGAGTGGTATGGCCAATGTGATTAATTGTGTGACACAGAAAAGGTGTAGAAAGGTTAAGCAATTGCCAGTGTCACACAATAGGGAATCCAGGACTCTCAAGTCCCAGTCTACGAGTCTGATTTGAGCTTCTTGTAAGAACACTCCCTCCTCTAGAAAGTAACAATTGCTGTTCATCAGTTTTTGGGCATCTGAAGTGCTTGGACCAAGGAAAACTGAGAGGCTTAAGCATATCATCCTTGAGGGATAAATTCAGATGCAGTTGCCCAGGGCTCAAATGAGACATCAGGCAGTGGCCTTGTCTGCTTCTAAATCTGGTGGCTGGGGAGCAATCCAGAGAGGGTCTGCCTCCATTCCACCCACCCACTCACTCACCCTCCTGCAAATTGTACAATTCATTTGAACTGACCGAACTCTTGCTAATTGCCTCTTACTGGCCTGTTACAAGATGAAGCATGGGAAGGGGACAAAGCCTCCCTATTCACAATCTCAGTGGGCAGCAGGGGTCTCTGCAAAAGTAGAGAAACTGGAGCCCAGGCTATTCATTTTTGAAAGTCAGGACAAGATCTTCCACCATTCAGAATCCCACATTATAATCACAATATTGCATCCTGGGAGATCCTGTCCATTTCTCAAATGGTCTGTCAGAAATTTAGAGTCTATTTAATAAGTCAGTGCTACTTAAAATTGTAGGCTTTTTTCCCCTCCAAAGTGATATGCACTCTACATTTAAATTTCATTATTATTTTTTTCTCTGGTTGGGGATGTGGGGACGGTGAGAGAGAAAGGGAGGAAAGGAGAGAGAAAGGAAGTGGGGAGAGAGAGGGAAGGGGAAAAAGAGAGTGAGAGAGAGAGAGAAGGGGCAGTGCTTTTCATGAAAACATCGGTTTTTATATTTACGTTTTAAGAAAGCAGAAGGGAGGCAAGAAGTCCAGCCTGATAACTGAACTTTCTGTTTAGAATTCCTTCTTCTCCATTGGGCCTTTGCTAGGTTTCAATAATTATTGCTCAGGCACATAGTCTTGGAGCTTTGCTTTTTCTCAGACTTGTACACAGTTCTAGGAAGGGTTGTTGCCAAAGCCATCATGTGATTTATTGACCCTCCACTGGGACAAGGGGGAACAGATATAACTTTGTGATTTTATTATAAGGAGGCTGGGTTAATATTTCTAGGTGAAACAAGCTACTATACCAAGTTCAAACATCTGAAGAGGGAGGTTAAGAAACCCTGAGTGTGGGGTGTAAGGATTATTCTGTCCTGGGGCTGTACAGACGTCGTCTGAGGCAGGGAGCAGGAGAAGAAAGGACACATTGTGACCCATTTCCAACACCTCCTGTGTGTAGAGGCGGAAGTTCCTTGCCTGCAGAGGGACACGCGCGGAGGAAAAATAGGAGAGTTACAACATGGCACTTACATAAACAACACCAAACTGGCATAAAACATCTCACAAAATTACACAACTTCAAGCTTGGAATTTTTATACAACATAAATATTAGGGTTCAGCCCATTTAATAATGCTATATAAAATCAAGATTTAAGGCAGTAATGTTCCACATAAACTCTGAAAACAACATTTATGCTTCTTATAAAAGCAGAAAATGATTGCATTCTGTGGGCTTTTCAAAATGATGACTATAATTACATGAAGCAACAAAAATGGATTGAATTAAAAATCCACTAGTTTCAATTTAAGTTGGTTAAGGGGGAAAAACGTAGTTTCTGGCCAAGGACTGAGAAAATTTTACAAGTATCCAAAAAAAAAAAAAGTTGTATGCACTGTTAGGCAGTTAGGCAGCCTTCTCCCAACATGTATATGTAGCCCAAGAGTCACCAATGAAATATGAGCTGCTTCAAACCTGCTAAGTCCAAGAAACGCTTTAATAGTATCTAGTGTCACAAGTGGAGCTCTTACTTTTTTTTCTCCTAGTGAACACACGGCCACCTTTAGAATAATCCAGTTGCTTCTCTATTGTCTTTATGGCATCTTGTGCAATTTAGTCTTCATTAGCGTTGGCTGTTTTAGACTTAAAATCGAAAGAGCACCCCAATGGAAGGACATTCTTAGAACTCTAATTTATTCCCCTGCCTCCATGGGTTAGAGGCCAATTCATGGTTCTCTCTCGTATTTAAAGAGAGCCAGTCGCTCCTCTAATGGTCTCCCAGTTTACAGGCTAAACTTGGTTCATTATGTGTGTGTGTGTGCGTGTGTGTGTGTGTGTGTGTGTTTTGGGGAGGGAGGCAGGATTGATGAACATAGGTCCCCCCGCCAAAAAAATTAAATAATGCTACCTCATGTTAACCTATTGGGCAGAGCCTAAAAAAGTTTTACTATTCTCCTTTATGCCAACAGTTTTTCTTGAAGTTGCTTATTAGTGGAGGTTAGATTTGTACATTTTGATTTAGATACAACAATAATTTTGACAGAAAGTTCTCTGAGAAAAAATAGCATGGCATATCCTTGGGACATTGCTGTAGATTATACCACCGTTATCCTTCTATTCTTAGAGAAATCATTTGTACATGTGAGTACACCTTTATTTATATGTTCTCTTTGCTTTATGCTATCTTGAAGCTGAGCCTGGTTGTCTTTTAAGGTAGACTAGCCATTGATTTTTTTTTTTTTTTTTTTTTTGCTGACCAGACCATAGTACAGTGGGGTCCAGAAAATGTGAAAGAGGTCCAACACAGAGGAGCTGGAGGAAAGGAACAGAAGCGCAGGCTGTGTCTACCTGTGGGCATTAATTCAAAATGTGCATGCACTTGCAAAGTGGTGTTTAAGTAAAGGAAAATTTACACACACACACACACACACACACACACACACACCCCACTTAATGTTACAATGCAGTTTCCATGAGCCATAAAAAAAGAAGATAAAAATGGTAAAGTCTAGTACCTGGTGTAGAGGTATATTGATCTGCTGAAGGAGAGCTTTCACTGCCATCTGGAGCTCGTAGAAGAACAATTGCATGGGGCAGTCAGAAGTATGATCCACACTTTCCATAGATTCAGAGCCAGAAAGCTTTTGGATCCATTCCCATTCCTCTCTGTATGTTGAGTCAAGTTAAAATTAGAAATATAACAAAAGTTCAGAACACAGCTCAGAACTTTCTTAGTGTATGTGTCCAGAACCTGGATAACCAATGCTTGGTGGTTAAAACTCAGTGTAATTCATGAAATTTGAACATTTTGCCACCCAAATGGAGCTTAAAATGATCTCTTTCTAATTTCAGCTTAGTTCACCTATCAAACCACATATACCTCAGAACAGTAGGCCTAATTTGTATGAATCAGTTTTTGAGATTGGGGTTCTCAAATATTTTGTAATAATTTCCTGACTGTCTTCATTTTTCTTTCTCTGCAGATCCCCTGTAAATTCTAAGATCCTACGTTTTACCACAGGGGCATCTACTGGCTAATTCTGCAGTTTAGTAACCACAGGACTCTGGTCCAACTCAGCCAACAAACCACTTGGCACATTTCAACCCTGGCCTGTTGTAATCATGGGGGATATTTTGGTTTTTCTCTCCTTCCAAAAGCTTGAGGAGAATCACAAACAGGAATACCAGACAATTCCAATATAAGGAACCAAGGGATGCATATCACTGCTTCCATCCTCCTTACAAACCAGTAATCTGTGTCTTTATTCTGCATGCTCTATAATCCTTCCTAATGAACTTTTCCAAATGTCACACAGAAGGGAAGGGAAAAGAATGGCAGTGGGAGGAAAGCACATCTGGTTTGCCCCCAAAGGCTGCTCTTCAAAAGGAGCTTGAAAAGATCAAGGTAAATGCCTCTTGGGCAACATTGTTTCCACAGGTCTCTCAGCACAAGTCTCTAAACACATTCAGTTGGCCCAGATTCTCCTTCGAACTCTGCAGGGAGCAGCAGTAGGCTCTCAGGAGCAGGCTAGAGAGGAAAGGAAAGCCCTCCTCTCAGGGGATGGAAAGAGAGGAGGTGCTGACATATGTTCCCACCCTAGTGAAAACTCTCTGAGGCTTTCCCCAAAGGGCTCTACCAGGCTGGGCTCCAATCTGTGGGTCAGAAAACCAAATTGAATGTGGCATGAGCTTTTCATCAAAAACTACTCTCTTTTAACTAACTACCCTCTTAGAAAAGTTTCTGTTTTCAAGATATCTGTTTTATTTCAAGTATCACACTGGACAAGACTATGGAAAATTTACCCTTTGTCCCAGTAAGAAAAGAACAAAACCTCAAAATTAAATCCTACTTCAATCTGGGCATACTGTTGGCTTCACAAATAATTGAAATATTTGAGAACCTGCTTGGGAAATGTTTCTTTTTTCCCATCACTGATATGGAACAAAATGAGAGTTTTGTGACTAGCATATGCACGCATAAACCTAAAGGACAACGTGGCTAACATAGCGTTTGTAATCAAGTTAGAAAATAAATTACCGGTAGGAATATCGTAAAAACACCTACCACTAATCAGTTTCTGCTAGAAGGATGAAGGAGATGGAACTGACAGAGAAAAGGCTACTGGAATCTTTTGTACAAATGAAAACTGGATCCTTGGCAAGGGAAAATTAGTTGGTATAACCACTAGGAGATAGAGTTCAAGCCTTTAAGACACAAATCTAGAAAATGGATGAGTGTAATGTAACCTTTTGGGAAGGACTGAGGCGATAACGAATGTTGATTGTGGCAATGACCACCAGATGGCAGACTTAAAATCCAGGTGTAGTTGATAAGTGAAGAGAGAATATGGTAGTCAGTGAGTTCCCTCCTCCTCCTCATCATCATTTCCTCCATTGTCATCAAGCAATACTTAAGAAACCTAGTGAGACATTAGAGTTGATAAAGTCTTGCCACTTTAGGGGTCACATTTTAAATGACCAAATTAGAGTCTCCTTTGGCTAAGCAAATCCATGAGTGTAACTAGAATCTAGTTTATACTCTTTGGGAGTATCTAGTTTATGCCCTTTGAGGTCTGAAGAATTCTGGATAATTTCTTTCTTTTTTTTTTCTTGTCTATTCCTTCCTTTCCTTTTTTTCTTTTCTTCTCTTTCTTTTTTTATGTTGAGCACAATTCAGTTCATTATAGCAGACTTTCAGAGGCCTGCTATGAGGGTTGTAAAGTTGAGCCAGATTACCAAGATTGGGCAACTTTCCCAAAGCTAACAGGGTAATTCACCAAATGCCAAACTGTAGAGCAAGTTTCCAGAAGCTCGGGCCTTGTTACTTCTTTTCTTCCATAGAGAATTATAAGGGTTGTAGAAAACATACAAGGTCCTCAGGCCAGAGGGTTAGAGTTAGGGAGAATGAGGGTGAGGAGATTTTTTAAGATCGGGGGAATCATTGGCTCTATGAAACCCATTCCTGTAGGCGATATTTAAAAACAGAAAGCAAAAAGAACATGGCTGTTTTAGATTATAAAGAAAATATACTGGAAATAGCAGTGTTGAAAGAAAAGGTCAGCTGTTCATTAACCGATTGAACATCAGTGGTTTTACCATGAGTAACATAGAGGGGAATGTGAAAGGACAGTATCCTCTTTAATGGGCTCATGCCTTCCACCAACCATCAGGCAAGCCCTCCTTATTCTAATGTTAAAACTAAACTCTGGCCGGGCACGGTGGCTCATGCCTGTAATCCCAGCACTTTGGGAGGCTGAGGCAAATGGATCACCTGAGGTCAGCAGTTCGAGACCAGCCCGACCAACATGGTGAAACCCCATCTCTACTAAAAATACAAAGTTAGCTGGGCGTGGTGGTGCACACCTGTAATCCCAGCTACTTGGGAGGCTGAGGCAGAAGAATCATTTGAATCTGGGAAGCAGAGGTTGCAGTGAGCTGATATTGCGCCATTGTACTCCAGCCTGGGTAACAAGAGTGAAACTCCGTCTCAAAAAACAACAACAACAAAACAAAAAAAAACCCCAAAACTAAGCTCTGCCCCACTTCAGTGTGGCATCTGAGGACACCTCACCATAAAAACTGCCCTGGAAGTAACACTTCAGTTTCCTTCTGGCACATCAAGCTGGTCACTTGAGCCACTGTTTCATCACAAGGAAAATCTTAACTCCTGATCACTTACCTAGAAATATTATTGTTTTCACGGATCTTCACGTGGCAGAGAATGTTGGGCAACTTTTGGGTAACAAGAACTTTGATTTGATCCACAGAGCTACAGAGCTTTAGGTAACCCAGATATAATCCAGGAAAGAGACGCTGATGACTCCTTTTGTGATAGGATAGAATATCCTGTAGGGTTAAAAAAAAAAAAAAAAAGAAAACAAGAAAACAACTCGAAGGGCAATCTCAAAACCTTTTCCTTTCTAAGGAAGGCTTGTCATGAATGAAAGGAGCTGTCACTAAGTAATTAGGTGAGAAACCTCAGGTATACCATGAATGCTGGGGAAATAGTGGTACAGCTACTCTTACCTTCAGCAGAATTCTTGGCCAGGTAATCAGTTTTTAATATATTCTATATGCTTATTTGCCTAAGATTTCTGTGCCAGTGTAGGTGTGTGAGTTGTGTTTGGGAATAGGTGGTGGTGGAAGCAGCTAATAAAGAAAAATTGAGTTGATAATTTCTGTCCTTGAAGATTTTAATGTTTAGCTGGGAGAAAACAGATATTTGCAAGTGTAAAAGCTGACAGCACAGTTAAGGAAGCGTTGTAATTTCTGGATTGTTAAAATGGAAAAGTCGTTTAAGAAAAATGATTTAAAATAGAATCCAAATTTTATAGTAAGTAGGTTCCTTATCTTGAAAATTAAAAAGGTACTGCCAAGAGGTTTATTGAATTTTATGTTAACATTTAAGTTGTAGCTATAATTACGCACTAATTCTGAGAATGAAGAAAGAATGAATCAAGCACTGGTTATTTTTTGGCTTGATTTTTAAAATTAAATTGTATGATAGCTAAAATGATACTACTTATATTTGACTTTTACAATGCAACCACGAAGAAGATAATGTTTATAAAAGTATTTGAAGTCTTCACATTTTTTTCCAGGCATCTTTTAAAAAATGTTGATATTCAAGTCACACTCTTATGAAATCCTTGCTTGTGTTATGTTTTTCAAATCCTTAACTGGTCTACCACTTCTAGATTCTCAGTTGTCAGTGGCTTTGCATGTTATTTGATTAGGTCTCTACATCATCAGCTTCACTGAATTCTGTATCTTTTACAAGATTTTAAATTTTGCCCTGTAATGGATTTTCATTGAATTTGCATTATATTGTCACATCATAATATTCCAAAAGCAGCAGAGACTGAACAAAGCTGTTGATTCAATAGTAAGTGTCAACCAAGTTAAGTACAGGGATGTTTGAATGGAATCTTGTTTTTTGTGTGGTCAGTTCTCCAGTGAACTATTTGGGTTGTGACTTTTGATTCTCTATACAACTGCAGGGACTCAGATAACGAATAATTACAAAATTCAGATACCATCCCTCCACATCAGTAGGTAAAACTTTTACATTTGGGCAGTGGGGGTTGTGACACAAAGTTAGGAGTGACGAGTCAGGTAACTTATTAATATGGTTTGGATTTGTGTCCCCACCCAAATCTCATGTTCAATTGGCGGAGGGGCCTGGTGGGAGGTAACTGGGTCATGGGTGTGGATTTCCTCCTTGCTGTTCTCATGATAGTGAGTTCTCACAAGATCTGATGGTTTAAAAGTGTGTGGCACTTCCTGCCTCACTCTCTTTCTCCCGCTCTGCCATGGTAAGACGTGTTTGCTTCCCCTTCACTTTCTGCCGTGATTGTAAGTTTACTGAGGCCTCTCAGGCATACTTCCTGTTAAGCCTGCAGAGCTGTGATTCAATTAAACTTCCTCATAAATTATCCAGTCTCAAGTAGTTCTTTATAGCAGTGTGAAAATGGACTAATACACTTAGTATAGGAGAAAGTTTCCTGTAAGTAGGAGCATATCCTGGTTTTCAAAAAAACAAGGGTTAAACAACTAAGAGAGTAAAGTTCAGGTGCCTTACCACAAAGAAATGATAAGTAAGTGAGGTGATGGATATGTTAATTAGCTTGATTCAGTCATTCTACATTGTATACATATATCAAAACATCACTTTGTACCCCACAACTATATCCAAATATAACTTGTCAATTAAAATAATACTAATGAAAATATTTAAAAGGGTAAGGTAAAGGGAATCAACTCTACCATTAAATTCAGGGAAGGTGAGAAAACAAACATTGAAATGTCTATAGAATTCTATATGGAATGGAAAAGTATGGGATCTTCCTTGACCATCATACTCTAGAGGAGTGATCTTTCCTCTGTAGAATTAACCATCTGCAACATCTAGCAGATGTTATTGTACATTGTCTCCTCTGTCTCATCCTTTATCAAACACATATTGAGTCCCTATAATGTGTCAGGCACCATGTGAGACATTGGGGTTTCAGATGAATATGATGTCATCCCTACTTTTGAGGAGGTCAAAAAGGAGAAGTAAACAGATGATCACAATATATTGAAATCAGTTTTATAATAGAGGCAGTGTAGGCTTACAGCAGAAGGAGTACTTATATTTTTCTTTCGTGTTATTTTCTTGAACTAAACTGTGAAATTAATGGTAAGGCTATGTTTTTCATTGCTTTGTGTCCTTAGTACCCAGTACTTTTCTGTATAAAATAGGTACACAACATGTGGAAAATTAGGACAGATGCCTTAAACAGAACATAAGGGAATAGTAGAAGAGGGATAGAATAAGAATGGTCACAACTGGGAGAAACATCTAATGAGCATGTGCAGAAAAGCAAAATCTAAACAATTTTTTAAAAGATCACTTGGCCAAAAGAATAGGCTAGAAAAAAAATTTGATCTCATGATCAAGAAGCAATTATTATTAATATCAGGATGGATAAGGCTGAACTTTTTAATGTCTTCTATCCTGTCTCTTCAGCCTAGATCACAAGTAAGTAGTTGACTACAATAAATTCAGTCAAGGTGGAATTTGGGAAATGAACACTAATCAAAGGAAGAGAAATTGTTAATGAGGGAAGGAAAAATGGAAGTATTCAAATTCACTGAATTTGATGATATGCACCTTGGGATACTTGCTAGACAAACAGATGTGGCTACAGACTCACAGGTCATTACTTTTGAGAAGTCATGGAGAACTGGAGAAGTCCCTAAAGACCAGAAAAGGACAAATATGGCTGTCTTTGAAACAGGAAGGGGAGAAACACGGAACGACCCTAGTAATTAAAGACCACCAACTTATTGATCTTTAGGAAAAATGAGAAAGAACCATCAAACAATCAATTTGCAGTCATCCAGGAAATCTTGAGACACTGAAGAGGAGTCAACATGGTTCTGTGAGAGCAAATCATACAGATTACCTTAATTTATTATAGCAATAGAACAAGACCAGAGAGAAGTCTCCAGTATAATCTGTTTCACTGTATAACCTCAGAAAAGTAGAATCTGGACTACGTTGCTTTTAACAAGCTGAATATCTGGGTGGAAGATTTGTAGATAATGGAGATGGTGAATAAATAGTAGACATATTGAGTGATGGTCCAGTAGGGATTGGTCCTGAGGACCAGTCTGTTCAGCTTATTTATTGACATTCTGGACAAAGAAATCAAGAATGTGTGCATCAAATTTGTGGGTCCCAAATTTGGTATGGTTTTGCTTTTCTGGAAAACAGTAATAAAGTTCTAAATGACCCTATGCATTGAAAAAATAAGGCTATGATAATTACGGTTGAAACTTAATATGAAAATGTGCTTATAAAGACCTACATCCAAGAATACAAATATAGGATAGGTAAGAGTATCACAGAAAAACATGTGGGGGTCAGAACTGACCACAAATAGAATGTGAGCTAGGAGTACACTGTGATTATATAAAAACCAACAGCATTCTGGGATGGAGTAACTCACTCTTTCATTCAATTTTTTAAGACTATTACTGAGCATCTACTCTGTGTTTTCTTGCCTTTATGTAGTCATTTTTTCCTCTTTAAAATGTTTTGGAGCCTGAGAAATGTGTGGGAATGGAAAGAAGCTGTCTCATCCACATAATCCATGATACACTAGAAAAGCCATCTTTTTTTTTTTTTTTTTTTTTTTTGAGACGGAGTCTCACTTTGTCGCCTAGGCTGGAGTGTGGTGGCTCGATTCTCTGTCTCCTGGGTTCAAGCGATTCTCCTGCCTCAGCTTCCCGAGTAGCTGGGATTACAGGCGTGCACCACCATGCCCACCCAATTTTGGTATTTTTAGTAAAGATGGGGTTTCGCCATGTTGCCTAGGCTGGTCTTGAACTCCTGAGCTCAGGTGATCTACCTGCCTCAGCCTCCCAAAGTGCTGGGATTATAGGTGTGAGCCACTGCACCCAGCCTAAAAAGGCCTTCTAACACCAAATTGAATGCCTGTGATTCTACATATTACCTGATTTGACCTCTAATCTGCTTTTCCAACCTCCATTTCCACTATAGCCCTTTTGTGTTCCTTATCTCTAGCCAAAATGGATTGTTTTTTCTTTCCCCATACATGCCCTAGTCTCACTGTTTTGATTGTTGTTTCACAAATTCACTCATTTTACCAACTTTTACTGAGCACTTACTATGTATCAGTCTTGTGGCTAGGATATTGATGACATCGAGATGAATAAAACATGATCCTTCCCTTCATGGAACTCACATTTCAGTGTGAGAGAATCATGTAAGCAAGTTTTTCTCACCCAACATCATAGAGGCCATAAGAAGACTGTGTAAGGCCTATTGTGGGCCTAAGGGAGGGTGAAATCCACTCTTCCAGTTTCTGCCTCATTTCTTTATCATGCTCTCAATTTAATTCCATCTATTTAATTCCTTCTTTCTTCTCTCCTTTATTTTGTTCTTTCTCTCTCTTTCTTTTTTTCCACCTGGTTAACTTAACTACCCTCATGGCTCAGCCAAATGCCATCTCTTCTGCAATGCCTTCCCTGATATTTTCAGGCAGAATTAATAGCTGCTTTGTCTGTGTTCCCCATAGTACACTGTTTGTACTGCTATCAGGCTCTGGTTTAATTCTGTCTTGTATTACCTTGATTTGTTTACAAATCTGTCTGTCTTCGTTTGACTGAATTCCTTAAAAGTAGGGACCTTGACTTATTCATTTGTTTTTTTCTGTAGCACCTAGAAGAGTGTCTGGTACCTAGTTGACACTGAAAAAATTATTCATTAAATATGAAGTGAGAAGATCAGAGGAGGTGGGGTCTGGGGCTGGTCTTCAGGGAGAAAATATGCTGTGCTTGCACAGTGACTAGGAAGGGTATATCCACCTTCTCGTCATTGATCAGAGATCCTGAGAGCTTGTTAGAGGAACAATAGGTAGTTGCTTTTTCAATAACTACAGCACTTTTATTTTGTTGGATGGAGTATGAAAACTCAACCATCCATGATGGTAGAGGTGACAAAATGGTGGCTAGTGGTCTTTGTAGGTCCAAGATTATATGGACTGCAAATAATTTAGTTTTCTGAATTATTTTCTAAATTATAAAAATAAAAAGACTTTACCAAAATTTTTGATTTTCAACTTCTCTTCAAAACACTGAAAATATTTCAAGACTGGGACCACATTCTTCCACTGTAATTAGCTGAGGCTGAATCGGAGCTGCTGTCTTTAAAGGGGACAAGATTAATGTAGTCTCTTTTACTTACACTTGTTTCTTTTTATTTTAATTGAGTTATAACTCATATACCATAAAATTCACCCTGTTCAAGTATGTAATTCAGTGGTTTTAGCGTATTCACTTGGTTGTGCAACTATCACCAGTGTCTAATGCCAGACCATTTTCATCATTTTAGAAAGAAACCACACATTCATTAGCTGTCATTCCCCTATCTCTCCGCCTGCTGTTCCTGAAACCACTAATCTACTTTCTGTCTGCATGGATTTGCCTATTCTGGGCATAGCATATAAGTGGAATCATACAACATTTAGCACTTTGTGTCTGGCTTCTTTCACTCAGCATTACATTTTCAAGGTTCATCCAAGTCGTAGCATGGATCATATGTGATTCATTTTAATGGCTGAATAATATTCCATTATATGGATATACCACATTTTGTTTACCCATTCGTCAGTTGTTTGCCATCTAGTTTACTTCTACTGTTTGGCTATTGTGAATAATGCTTCTATGAACATTGGTGAACAAGTTTTTACATGAACCCAATTGTTTCCTAAGTCCAGCCCAATTGCCTCATTTCCAGCAATCTTTCTGATTCCTGTAGTTTTTGATCCTTGTGTTTGGAGCTGCTTGGGGGTAGAAAGAGTAGGAATGTGCTGGAAAAAAAGCAGAAAAGGGAAGAAGAGGTCCTGGGCACCTAGGGTGTAAGAAGAAGACACTGAATACCTAGAGGTGATAAGGAATGCCTAAGCAGAAGAAAAGGAAAGCAGGGAAGAGAAGGAACAGAAGACATCCTTCGCCACAGCTTCCCTAGGATCACAAAGGATGCAGAGAAAAGCAGGGGTGGGGGCGGGGAGGAAGGTGTGTACAGCAGCATGGTGAAATGGGAAGGCCATCAGCCTAGGAGTCAGAAGTTGTGGGTTTGGTCCCTCTTCTAGTTGATATGACTTGACAAGGTACTTCCTTGAAATTCACGGCTTCTTCTGCAAACTGGACACAAAACGACTCACTCATCCTCTTTGGGTTTGCATGAGGATCAAATGATATCATAGATGTGACAAAGTGTTGGAAAGTTGAATATATAGTACACATGTGAGAGATTAAGCTTCAGGAAAAAGCTTGCATGTGAGGCTTCTAGGGACTGAAGTGATCCCTGAAGAGAATGGTCGGAGCAACTTAGCACCTGAGAGGGGCCTTTCTGTTGGAAATACTCTCATTGCCAATTACTTTGCTCATAGGGACTCTTGTCCACAATAACTCTCTTTTCCTTCCCAGGCAAGGGTGAGGAGGATTTTTTGCTCTTTCACAGATAAATGAGAGAGGCCTCTTTTGAAGGCCTGGGATTTGAGAAGGTCAGGAATTTGAGGGAGTTGGACACTGGAGTTTCCCTGGGGCCCTAGGGATTCGTAGATTATTTATGGGCCCAGATTTTGTTAAAGCCCTATCTGTTTTGAAAACCCCGTCGTGGATCATAACTTTTGTACAGCTTTTCCTTAGTTGTGATGGAAAGGTAGAAAACATGAAAAAATGCCCCACAGAATGATTAGGCCATTACCAGAGGTCTCTGTGGACTGGGTGTGTCCTGAGGGCAGCCTAGCATTGCTTAAAATTTTCTGAGACATGAATGGTGATTATTATTAATACAAATTCAAGAAACAACAGATGCTGGCAAGGCTGCAGAGAAATAGGAAAGCTTTTACAGTGTTGGTGGAAATGTAAATTAGTTCAATAATGTGGCAGATGGTGTGGCAATTCCTCAAAGACCTAGAATCAGAAATACTATTTGACCCAGCAATCCCATTACTGGGTATATACCCAAAAGAATATAAATCATTCTATTATAAAGACATGTGCACACGTATGTTCACTGCAGCATTATTTCCCATAGCAAAGACATGGAATCAACTCAAATGCCCATCAATGATAGACTGGATAAAGAAAATGTGGTGCATATACACCATGGAATACTATGCAGCCATAAGAAGGAATGAGATCATGTCCTTTGCGGGGACATGGATGGAGCTGGAAGCTACTATCCTCAGCAAACTAATGCAGGAACAGAAAACCAAACACTATGTGTTCTCACTTATAAGTGAGAGCTGAACAATGAGAACACATGGACACAGGGAGGGGAACAACCTACATTGGGGCCTGTTGGTAGGGGCAAGGGGAGGGAGAGCATCAGGAAAAATAGCTAATGCATGCTGGGCTTAATATCTAGGTGATGGATTGATAGGTGCAGCAGATCACCATGGCACACCAATGTAACAAACCTGCACATCCTGCACTTGTACCCTGGAACTTAAAGTAAAATAAAAATAAAAAGAAAAAAAATTTTCTGAGACATAATAAAAATCACTAATATTTATTGAGCACTACTTTGTGCTACTCTTTTAATCATGTATGTACTAACTCACCTATCTTCATTAGAACCCTATGAAGTAGGTTTTTTGCAGAGGAGGAACTGTGAGGGATGAGAAGTTAAATAATGCCCTGGACACATAACCAGAAAGGGTGGAGTCGGTATTCACACCCAGTCATCCTGATTTCAAAGTGGTGCACAGAATGTGATGTGATGTAGCAGACAGAAGCCCAGGCTTCCAATGAGAAGGCCTGGTGGTCATCACTCCACCACCCCTGAGAAAAGAGAGTGGTCTGTGGCCTGTTATTGTGGGAATTACCAGCCTGCTTTGGGTACCACCAAGACCTATCTCTCCCTTTATGTTGAGTTGGTGGGGCCAACTCCTGATATAATTAAATCTTAAGTCTAGGAGGGATTGGATACCAGCCCTCATAGTTTTATTCCCCATTTCCTCTCTAGTGTGAGACTTGTATGGGAAGGAGGGGAGAGAGAAGAAGTAGGGGGAGGAGAAGGGAGAGTGGGGGTGGGTGGGAATGACATCAGGTGGGAATGTGCCAGTCAGCGGGGGTAAATTTTCCACTTGGATCTGTGTGGAAACCCGATCCTGCCTCTATTTTTGGTTTCCTTCTCTAACAACCTTTCACCAGATTGGAATTTTTCTGCACCTGTAACACATTTTTAATGTAATAAGTCTAGGAGAAACCAGGTATTATATCATGTTGAGGCCTGTGCTGTGTTTCTAGGAGCAAAGGTAGCCCAGACCCTAGTTTATCCCTATAGGGGATTAGTGTATTAGTCACCCTGTAAAAGCTCAATTTATTATGATTTTTTAAATGTTTCTTTTAGCACTTGCTTATAAAAGGTGAAGAGGGGAGCCTCAAATGTGTCTGTGTTCCCTGCCCCCACCTCCTTCACACAAGCACATACTCTCTGTCAATTCCCTATGAACCCAAATTCCACAAAATTAAATCCAGAGGTATTGGCTTTGACCAATTAGCTTACCTTTGCTTCATTGGCCTTTGTCCTGGTTTGGGCCGGTGCAAGTAATGAAAAAATGAGATTATTGTACTTGCCACCCCTTGGCGGGGAATGAAAGTAACTTAGAAAGTAAGTTAGCCGTTTAGGGTGACCACAGATGGCTCCCAGGACGGAAGGTCAGATTTGGGTTGTTTCTGTGCAACTGGGTCCTTCCTTCTCTCTGTGGCTGTCTGTGGATATGCTACTGCTTGCAGGGGGCTCAGTGTAGATGTTTCTGCCAGCTTTTCTACCTAACCTAAGTGTCCTATACAATTCATCCCTATCACTGGATTAAAAAAAAAACAGAGAAAGAAAAAAAGAAACAGTTTGAAGCCCATGTTCACAAAAGAATGTGTGAGGCAGAGAGAGCGTGCTGGACTCAGGAGCATACATGGGTTGGTGTCCCAATTCCACCATCCAGGCCAAGGGCTGCATCTGAGCTACCTGGATTTTGAATTTTGGTGGCTATTCAGTATTCAAGTAAGTCTTTTATCCTTTATTTCATTTCCTGTCCCCCACTCACTAAAATCCTGACTTCTACCTCAAAATATGACATAATGTAGCAGAAAGAAGCCTGATTTGCAATCAGAAGATCTGAACTGAAGCCTCAGCTCTGTCATTTTCTAGCTGTGTGCCAAGGGACAAAATCAAGTTTTGTGGAGACTCAAGTGGATATAGTTTCTGGTGTCTTTTTTAAGGAAAACAACACAAAGTTATGAAAGCAAAGCTGCTAGGGTCCCTGCAAGGACATAGAAGAGGCTTGTACAAGTGAAGGCTGAAGGACATCAAAGCTTCATTAGCTTCACTAAATTGCCTCTGTGTGTAGCTCTATGTCATTTAACCTCTTTGAGCTCTAGTTCTTTCTTTCTTTCCCTTTTTCTTTCTTTCTTTCTTTCTTTCTTTCTTTCTTTCTTTCTTTCTTTCTTTCTTTCTTTCTTCTTTCTTTCTTTCTTTCTTTCTTTCTTTCTTTCTTTCTTTCTTTCTTTGTTTCTTTCTTTCTCTCTTTCTTTCTTTCTCTCTCTTTCTTTTCTTTTCTTTCTTTTTTTTTTTTTTAAGATGGATTCTCACTCCGTCACCCAGGCTGGAGTGCAGTAGCGTGATCTCGGCTCACTGCAACCTCCACCTCCCTGGTTCAAGCAATTCTGCCTCAGCCTCCTGAGTAGCCGGGATTAGAGGTGGCTGCCATCACAACTGGCTAATTTTTGTATTTCTAGTAAAGATGGGGTTTCACCATGTTGGCCAGGTTGGTCTTGAACCCCTGACCTCAGGTGACCTGCCTGCCTTGGCCTCCCAAAGTGCTACGATTACAGGTGTGAGCCACTGCGCCCAGCCTCTAGTTATTTCATTCCTAAAATGGACTTAATCATGCCTGTCTGTCCCAAGGGAGTATCGTAAGGAACATGCAGGAGTAAATATGTGTGAGAGTGTTTTTGTACATACACACCCATGTACACACACTCAAATACACACACATGCACACATATATATACAATTTAGAAATGTATTGTCATTACAGTTCATTCAGATATTGGTTTAATGTTTTGATTATACTATCTAGAGATTCCCTATCCCCTACTCAATTATTGGTCTCAATGTTTGTTTTCTTTTCTTTTTGAGACAGAGTCTTACTCTGTTGTCCAGGCTGGAGGGCAGTCGCACAATCTTGGCTCACTGCAACCCGCCTCCCAGGTTCCAGCGATTCTCCCCGCCTCAGCCCCCCAAGCAGCTGAGATTATAAGTGTGCACCACATACCCAGCTATTTATTTATTTATTTTTTTGTATTTTTAGTAGAGATGGGGTTTCACCATGTTGGCCAGGCTGGTCTTGAACTCCTGACCTCAAGTGATCTACCCACCTTGGTCCCAAAGTGTTGGGATTACAGGCATGAGCCACTGCGCCTGGCCTCAATGTTTCTTACTGGCTCATTGGCCAGGGCATGAAAATGCTTTATTAGGTGCCCACTATTTGTATGAATGAATTCCACATCTAGGGAGTGATAAATAAAAAATAAGCTTCTGCATTTGCAACAACATATCTCTGGACCCTCTCCACTCCATCACTGCATATGTAAATGGCTCTTGCAATATTTCACTAGACCTTCAATAATTGGGTTTGGAACCTTAAGTATACCCGGGAATTAAGAAAAAAACTACATACCTGGATGGTTATCAGTAGAATGTCTAAAGCTGTTGGCTCCTCAGGTGTTGATAGAGACTTTCTCTGGCTTTGCAGCTTTGAGATCTGCATCCATTTGCCATTAAAAAATGAATAAAGCATCTCCACCTCCCTGATGGTGACTATGAGTATGTTTCCATGTCGATCTTTAATGGGCTCATAGTAAACTCTTCCCAAGTTGTGTGTCCCAAGTAAATTCTGGAAACAAATGGATTACCGGTAGCATAGAGGGTATTATGCTAACAAAGCAACACAACGGCAACAAAAGACACCGTGAATAATAATCTGATTTCTGAGAAGCTGTTTGCTCTCTTTTTTTTTTTTGCACTTAAACCTAGAATATATGGCATCATAGACATGTACTTCACAGAAGCTCAAAGGTCTTTACAAGGCATTTGTAAAGATTGCAGAGCCTGCAAAGATTACAGCAAGATGCATAAAAATTATGTTTTTTTAAAAAGGCAAATTCAGTATCTGTACATATTTCTTACCCACATAGGCACACCAGTACATAAACCTCAGTTACCAGCACTTGAAGAGAATCCCAGATGTTTTAAAGAAAAATGTCTGATATTTAAAGTATGCTTCTGTGGAGTTCTCAGGAGATCTGCAGTAAGCTGGTATGAGGTGGGGTTGTTTAAAATGAAGAAGTGAATTGACAATGTAGCACATTGTACAGGTCCCCAAATGACTGCACATTCCCTTCAAGATACTTTAATTGGGAAATTGGCCTGATTCGACTTATCTGCATTTCAGGGGCTTCTGTTTATTTAAAAATCTGTTAAAATTGCTTATAAACTGGGTCAACTGAGGCAGACAATGCTTTTAGGAAGGTAGGAAGGGAAAGATGCCACACTCAATATGGAGGGGCTCAGGTAGTTATTCCTAAAATAAACAGGAGTTTTACAAATATGCAGGGTTTGAAGATTTCTAAGCTAGAACACTGGATGAATAGGATAAAATCCCCTCTAGCTTTAAATATCTGTGATTTCTAAACATTATAAATCATCCTAGAGCTCCTAGCTGTTACTTTTGTGAGCTCACATAAGAGGTGGTGAGATGCCCTGTTAGCATGAATACAGAAATAGAACTGGGATTTGTAAAAGTGACAAGGATGACCTAAAAATGAATGAGCCAGGAAGTCAACATCTACATCTATGAAAACCCCGGAATTTTCCCTCACAGGTAGGGACTGCGGCCGAAACCTTATCTTCTTCCTTACAAAGACCAGACATAGGACAAATAAGGAATTTCATAAATAATTTTTGACATAAAAATTCATTTGGCAAGATTATGATTTTTTTGCGATGGCCTAATCACTCAGTCATATTTTTTCTTTCCAATATTTGACTTCTAAATCATAGAGAAGTGGGTGTGGCTTTTAGTCCAGCCCTGTGGGGTACTAATAAGCAGTGTGATGCTGGTAAACTGGCTAGTGAAAAAGGAAAAAAAAGGAAGAAAAGAAAAGAAAGCCCTGATTTGTAGCATATGCCGGTTTCTGTGGTGTAAATACTCTTGCTGTAGTGGGATTTCAAACTACCCAGAGTTTGACAACAGGCTTTCAAAATCCCCGAATATTTAACAGTTGGCTCTCTCGGGCCAGTACAGGTTGGCTCCAGCCTACCATTGCTATTAAACCTTTACTTATATTTGGTATTGAATTTCAGGGTTGGCTACCATTTATTAACTGTTGGACTTCTGAAAAAATTATTTACCCTCTCTGGTCCTGAGTATCATCATCTAAAAGTAAGAGTCTTTACAGCTCAGACAGCTGTTATGCTAATCTTTACCTCAGTGAATGTTTGAGGGATTAAATCAAGCAACTCATGAAAAAGTATTTTGTAAACCCTCAAGCTCGATGCAATGTAGGGTGGGGGCTTTCTTTACTGCTCTAATTGGAATCCCACCCAGGCTTACATCTACTCCTTTTCAAGACCCATCCCAGATTTCACCTCCCCTGGGAAGACTTTTCCAACTCTCTAAGGAAGACTTTACCATCCCTCTTTTTTCCCTTACTGTTTCCTCTACAAACTTCCATCTTAGCATGTCTCTGGCTTTACTGCATGTATTGGTGTATGAGTTCACGTTATGAATTCATAGTTGTTTCATCTTTGTGTCTCTGTGTCCCTTGCACAGTGCCTGCCCATGGAAAGGACTCAGCCACTTTTCGTTGACTTAATTAACATATTGTATTATCATTAAGACGCCGGAAAATGTGATTCACTTTGGACCAAAGCTGATGGGTAGACATTGACTACGGTGGTCTTTTCACTTAAACAAAGTTATTATCAGTGGTTCACTATCAGCTGTAGATAGGTTTTCTAAGGGGTTGAATAAGAAAGCACTGTAAGTCTTCTTGAAATTTTTTATTGACATCAAATTAGGTTGGATAGCTAGCTTTGAGGAGAGCCCAATTTAAAAGTAGAATATTATTGTGAAAATAAATTGGAACCATCTTCCATGAGGGAGAATTCAAGGTTCTTTAGGGCCTAAAGCAAAAATAGACCATGTTAATACCTGTCATAATCAAGGTTAGGTGATCTAGGGCTCCTGATGATCCTATAAGAGCCACCTGATGGCTAACAGGAATGCATCTAGGTTATAACCAGGACAAATCACAGGGCTGTCAATAAGCCCTAGGCAGAGGCACAATATTTAGAGGTCTTTATTCAGTTTGGGGTGATGTGGACATGGGAAGGTGAAGGAAGTCCAGAGTTGGGATAAGGAGGCCTGAAAAAGAAGAGCAAAATTTTGGGAAAATCTTTTCTCCCCTTAACAAATGTAAAGAACACGGTATTCATATATTGTTACTTAGCTCTTACTCACTAACACTCATTTCTAAAAGCTATGGAGGAGGAAAGTTTAGCACAATCTGCAGTGTCAGATTTTTACTGTTTTGGGGGGATAAGTAGCTTAGACACCTTTCAATGTAAGAGCAATGTACACTTCTCCCTCTTTGGGCCCTCTGACATTTTCCTAAGAGAAAGAAAAACAATGTGGGCTTTTGGTCACTTACAGGATTTCTCATCTTAATTTTTTTTCCCACATGCTGAGATACTTATCTCTCCTCTGGCCTAGGAAATTTTAATTAAGAATAGACTTCTTTTTCTTTTTTACTATAATATGAATAATTTTTTCTCTTTAAAATTTTGTCTGCTTTTTTTGTAAATTACTACACAGTAAGATGATGAAGTACTGGAAAGGAAGCAGGCTTTGGAGTTAAATAAATCTGGATTTGAATCTAGAATCTGCTACTTCCTATCTATGTAACCTTGGGCACAAATGAGCATTTCTAGGCCCTAGTGTTATGATCTGTTAAAAGAATACCATAATAGTACTTTCTCATTAGGTTGTGGCAAAGATTAAATGACAGTAAAGTTTGTAAAGCACTCAACACAGTGCCTGGCACCTAGTCTGTTAAATAAATGAAAGTAGTCACTTCACGGTTACTATTTACTATTATATATTAAAGGAGCTCACTAGAGAGCAGAAACCCAGAAAACAAGGTGCAAATTGCACAGTGCTTGATATGCACTGTGATAAAGGTAGGTCCCCTGACTTGGACACAGTGACTAAGCCCAGTGACTATGAGCGCAGATGAGGGGGAGAAAGATCATGATTGAGGCCTTTGTGAGCCGTGATAAAATGTCTGAGCCACAGCTGGAAGAGTCTAAGTCAGAGAATGCCTTGGTCAGAATCTTTTAGATTGGCTACTCTGGCCAAAGTATGGAAAGTGGATTGGAGGCTGTCAAGACTGGTAGCAGAGGGATGACTTTGGAGGCTTTTGACCAAATTGGAGTAATCAGGCAGTAGTATACAAAACTGGAAAGGAGAGGAGAGTTAAATGAGATGCACCAGAGGAAAATCAATAGAATTTATTTATGGTTGATGCCAATCAAACTATGTATAATGCATTTTTACTTTCCTCAGAACATTGTTATTTTATTTTATTTTTTTGTGAGACAGAGTTTCACCCTTGTTGCCCAGGCTGGAGTGCAATGGTGCGATCTCAGCTCACCACAACCTCCGCCTCCTGGGTTCAAGTGATTCTCCTGCCTTAGCCTCCCGAGCAGCAGGGATTATAGGCATGCGCCACCACGCCCAGCTAATTTTGTATTTTTAGTAGAGACGGGGTTTGTCCGTGTTGGTCAGGCTGGTCTCGAACTCCCGACCACAGGTGATCTGCCCGCCTTGGCCTCCCAAAATGCTGGGATTGCAAGCGTGAGCCACCGCGCCTGGCCACATTGTAAAATATTTTAAATTAGTAGAGTGATCTAACATATTAACTATGTGTCAATCCTCAAATTTCTTTTTCTTTCCCTTCAGAAAAGTTTTTCTATAACTTACGCCTCCCTTCCACCGCTCTTACCTCCCTCACCAACAAAAGGTGCCTTCAGTATTTCCAGACATCTTCGCTGTACAGACTAGTAAATAGTTTGGGCAATAGGTCCTACCAAAAAAAGTGATGAAAGCAACTTTTATCATTGAACTAGGCATAAAGAAACTTAGAGAGAAGGGCATGCATACAGCACTCAGGCCTTGATGGGGGCACTGTGAAGGTGACCATTTATTGAAGACTATGAGGCTCTCCGGTCACGGTGCAGGACCGGAGAGCTATCCATCCAGGTGGTAACTATGCTACAAAACTACAAAACATTTCTGTGATCCCTTTTCCCTTTGGCTAGATAAAGTTTCCCTCAAGTGTGATCACTGGGGTACATGGGTTTGGATTGACAGATATATTTATTTATCCAACTTGTACTTACTGAGTGTCTACCACATTCCAGGCATTGGGGATATAGTGGTAGCCAAGACAGACACATTCCCTGAACTGAGGAACTCACAGTCCAAGTGGGGCACTAAACAGATAATAATACAAGTAATAAACTCTGGGATTCTGATCACTTTCCTGAATGAAGAATACAAGGTGCTATGAGAGTGATTCACTTAATCAAGGGATCAGAGAAAGGCTCTTTAAGGAAGTATAAAAGTTAAGCTGAGACCTGGAGGATATATAGGAATTAGTAAGGCAAAGTGAGGAAAGAAGGGGATTCTAAGCAAAGGAAACAGCTTGAAAACTAGCAAAGGATACGGAGAAAGACCAGCAAGTTGGAAGAAAATCGGAACAGTGTGAAATTGTGGAAGCCAAGGGATATGCCAATCTCCAAAAGGAGTATGGAACCAAGTGTATAAAATGTTGCTTAGTGAAACCAAAGTCATTGGCATGACTAGATCTAGGTTTTGTGGGTGCCTGAACTATACAATTTTGAGGCACTCTTTAAGACAGAGAACACAGAATTTCAAAAATAAGACTAGGTATAAAAGTGAATCTTTATCCAGAAGGATAAAAGAAATTTCCTTCTCTCCAGCAAATACTAGACTGTTTGGAATTTTGGGTCCCCTTTCCTCCAGAAATTTCTTTAGAAAGTTTGCGAGAAATGCTTCCTGACTGCAATCCAGCTTCCCTTCCCTAAAACACTGTGGGTTCCACACTTACAGGGGTCCCACACTCATAGCTCATGCAAGTGAGGGGTCCTGAAGCTCCAGCTTTGGCAGCATCATCTGCTTCTGGTTTCTGGTGCCCTTAAAGAGCAGTTTTGTATGCATCATGGTAGCAAAAGTCAGAGAGAGGTTTGAGAACTGGTAGGAAATGGAGATGTCAGTGGAGAAAGGGGATGTAGGTAACTCTTCCAAGAAGTTTGGGTGTAAGGAAGAGAATAGTTTGGTAGCTGAAGGGGCATGTGGGGCTATGAGAGGAATTTAGGGGGAGATTTAACTGGAAAGACTTGAGTATTTTAAAATAAAAATGAGAGGGAAGAGATGGGACCCAGAGCACATGTGGAGGAATGAACTTATGGTAGGAAATGTGAGACTTTACCTTCTGAAATAAAAAGAAAAAAAAAAAGAAGGTTCGGTCTGTGCAAGGAGGTTTATAAATTTGGCAGAAAAAATCATTAATTTCCATTTTTTTCCTTGATGAATTATACAGTGAAATCATCACCTGAGATGTGAAGGAGAGTGTGGGGAAGGAGAGTGTGGGGAAGGAGAAGGGATGTGGGAGAATGAAGAAGGTTTTATTTTATTTTATTTTATTTTATTTTTAGACAAGGTCTTACTCTTTCACCCAGGCTGGAGTGCAGGGACACGATCTCAGCTCACTGCAACCTCTGCCTCCCAGGCTTAAGTGATCCTCCCACGTCAGACTCCTGAGTAGCCAGTACTGCAGATGTGCACCACCACATCCAGCTAATTTTTGTATTTTTGGTAGAGATGGGGTTTTGCCATGTTGCTCAGCTGGTCTGAAACTCCTAAGCTCAAGTGATCCACCTGCCAGCCTCCCAAAGTGCTGGGGAGAAGGTTTTAAAATAGTTGCTTTACAGTGTGAGAAAGCAAATTTAGTAGAGAAAGGAAATTGGACCACTAACATTACGTGTGAGAATTGTAGTCATGAATTTAACATAAAACCAGTCAGCCCTTTTTTGTGATTTTTTTTTTTTATGTGGCAATGTGTAACTACTTTAGACATGTTGGATTCATCCAGGCGTGGGATTTTTCCAAATAAATAATATGAAGGAGAAAATGGAATATTTTCAAGGAAGTGATTAAGATGGGCTAAGGAATCTAAGCTGGTCAAGGAAGGAAATGACTTCAGAAGTGGGCTGATGCATTATGAAAAGTGGTGAGGTCTATAGATTTGGAAGCTGAGGAAGTCCAAAAGTATTGTAATGGGAGTAGTTGAGTAGGGTCACACTGGCCATCATTGCATCACTCAGCGTCTGACTGCACTGACTTGTAACAGCCTGATCCTTCTCACATTGCTGATATCAGATGAAAGTTCTAAGAAACCTCCAATAAACACATAATAAAGAGCCCCCCTTGAAATTCTAAGGTTTTTCAGTCTGTGATCCAGGCATGTCTGGGCTGTATGGTAGGATGATGGGAGGATCCACTAAGGAGTCTGAGCCTCTTAGGAATGTATTTATCCTAAAGAAAGAGTAGTGTGAGGTGCAGTGGCATGGTCCAACTCAAGTGGGTCAGTGATGAAAGGACGAGGCACTTTGAATTCAGCACAGTCATCATGGCCCGCTCCAAGAACTGCTTCTTGAGTTGGAAGAGAAGATTATGCAATCAAGAGTGAGTTGAGGCCAGGCACGGTGGCTCATGCCTGTACTCCCAGCACTTTGGGAGGCCGAGGCAGGTGGATCACTTGAGGTCAGGAGTTCGAGACCAGCCTGGCCTACACGGTAAAACCCTGTCTCTGGTAAAAATACAAAAATTAGCCGGGTGTGGTAGTGGGTGCCTGTGATCCTAGCTACTCAGGAGGCTGAGGCAGGAGAATTGCTTCAACCCAGGAGGCAGAGGTTGCAGTGAGCCAAGATCACGGCACTGAACTCCAGCCTGGGAGACAGAGAGAGATTCCATTCCACCACCACCACCAACCCAAAAAAAACCCGAGTGAGTTGAAATGAACAGCTGTTTGCTAAAATCTCACTGAGCATACAAAACAGCAAGCTACCTGTGTAATGGAATATATCACAGAGGAGCAAAATTTGCATTTCTGAATTAATTGTAATAGCAACAAAATATTGCAGGAAGTTGAATTATTATTATTGTGAGGGTTTAAGAAATGACATTCCTATAATTGTAGGTGGGGGGCAAAGCCATAGAAATTTTTTTTTGTTATTGTGACTTTATTTTTATGCTGTGACCTACATGGCCTGGCCAAACACAGCTTACATAGATTCCTGTTATGCATATTTCTGGGGTTGATGTAACTGCAGATTTGTAGGTAGATACCCGTTACTGATAAAGGCTCAGCGATCTCTTAATGGCTCCAATCCCATGTAGCAGATATTTTTTTTTCTGTGCTAAGATTCACAAATTCACTTAATACCAGAAAACAGTAAGAGGAAAACCCAGAAAATCTTGGTTAGAATTTAATGCTACTTCTAGGAGGAGCTCTGTAACCTACAAAGATTGGGGACTTGATCTGATGTGACTGAGAATATGGAAGGATAAATCAATTCAGGCTTAAAGATAATCTTTTAAGCGTTGTTCTCTATTTGTTTTTTTTTTATAAGTAAGCAAAAATGTCTATGCTTTACCAAAATCATCACACCAAGAAACTGTTCAAAATATCTGCTCGTCTCTTTTTTCCATCTTCATATACTCATTAATGCATAGGACGGCAGAGCAGCAACAGTCCTTCAAGAGATCTCATTAAACTTCTCTTATTTTGCAAGTGATGAAACTGGGGCCCAGAGAGGAGAACTGAGTCGGCTGACTAATATCAAATCTAGAACTCAAGTCTCCTTACTCCTTGTTTAATGAGTTACTCCTATATACTGTTCAAGAGAGACTCACTTGGAGGAGACTGCTAAAGGTACAGGTTTCCTATATGAAACCTGCATACCTACAGGTACGCAGCTCCAGCTGCTCAAGAAAACTTCATATTCTTAGGGGTCTGAAAGAGAAGGGAGCCCATCCTTTTCCTTTCTAGGTAGGACTGGTAACTGAATTTTCTACATTAAAAATATTTTCCTTGGGGGCCTGGGTTGAAACCTGGTCCCTTACCTGTAGCTGTGCTGTTGCTGCGAGCATCTTCTGCCGAGTTTGCAGCACTGTGGATGAGGATGAGGATATTGGTATGCTTTGCCTCAGCCACCTTATATCTTCCCACATACAAGACAGCTGCAAAAGAAGGCATGCAATCATGTCATCGTCCAAGCCAGTACATGATTTAGGTTGTGGCATCAAAGCAAAGCAGGGAGAAAGAAATCTGACCCCTGATGTTTATTCTCCAGTCCATTTTCAGACACACACGAAACAACTTTTTGATCTCTGTCCAATTGGAAAAAGATCTGAATGTTAATGAAACGGTCAGATCCACATTTTAGTCTTTGCCAAATGATCCCATAACTCAGAACAGTGGAGACACATTGTGACAGGATGCAAGTCTCTTTGCTTTGAAAATGTAGCGCACACGTTACTTTGGTGCTTTTTAAAATGACATAGGGCATACCAGGGCTGAAAAGGACCTTGGAGATACTTTATTTCTACCCCAAAACTCTGATCGCTGGAGACCCCTCAACTAATGTTTCAGAGATTTTTGTGCAGTAACATTGGTACAAAGTAGGGAAAAATGAAATCAGAACTTAGTATACCTTCGTGAACCACAGAAAATCTTGTGTAATAGAACTGGTGTGAGAGTCATCTATTTCAACAATTGGTACTTGATCTTCATTGGTGACTAAGATATTGTCTTTGTAATAAAATATAACGGCTATGTAGAGTCCCCTAAAAAGAAAAAGGAAAATAAAAGCATTGTCCTCAACCATCTTGGAAAAATATTTTTTTGGATGTGATAAAAGATGAATTTAAAATATACCTAGGAACGTATTCCTGCTAAGTATCATAAGTTCACTAGTTACAACTCAAAAGAGAGAAAATTACTGTCTTACACAAATTCTCAGGAGAAAAGTGAATTTTATTGTTTTGAACACAAAAAAATTTCTACCAAGTTTCTACTCAGAACCAAAACCAGTGCATTCTTGAAAAGTTAAGATTTCCTGAAAAAACTACATAGAACCCACCGTTTTAAGGTCTTCACAAACTTGTTCGAGGAATGGAACAGGTGTTTCAGGCTTCTTGAGACTGACTGCTTGCGGCCTGTGGTTTGTAATTTTGTGCTTTCTGGAATGTATTTTAAAAAATACAGTATAAATTCCACTGGGCAGATCAACACCCCCAATTCCATTTTCCTACCTTCCTGCCTTCCCCTCCCCCATCCCTTTAGTGTCACTTATCCTCAGGTTCATGTAGGGATTCTGCTCATTCATGCCTATAAGAAGCTCTTGTAGCCGGGCACGGTGGCTCTCGCTGGTAATCCCAGTACTTTGGGAGGCCGAGGGGGGCGGATCACGAGGTCAGGAGTTCAAGACCAGCCTGACCAACATGGTGAAACCCTGTCTCTACTAAAAATACAAAAATTAGCAGGGTGTGGTGGCGCACGTCTGTAGTCACAGCTACTCAGGAGGCTGAGGCAGGATAATCGCTTGAACCCGGGAGGCAGAGGTTGTAGTGAGCCGAGATCGTGCTCTCCAGCCTGGGCGACAGAGCGAGAATCCGTATCAAAAAAAAAAAAAAAAAAAAGAGAAAAAAAGAAGCTCTGGTATCTTGAGATGCCAGTGGTTAACTCAATGAACAACTCCTCAAAAATGCTGGAGATAAGTAGTCTTTATAACTGCAGAGGAGACCACGTAGGTGTTCTGTTGATACTCTCTGCTTTGAAATTTTTGATTTATTTTAAGGTAGGATAAAAAGACATGGAATCAACTCCTTTGCCCTTCTCCCAACTCCCGCAATTGCCTTCTAACATTCATACAATTCTCAATGTTGGTAAAGCATTCCCTGTAAGTCTACGTATTGTGTTAATTTTTTTCATTATAAAATTAATGTAAGCACATTACAGAAAGTCTGGAGAATAGAAAAAAAAGAGCAAAACCCCACCCATATCATCTCGTCACTTCTGTATAACCACTGCCAGCATTCTGGAACAGTTTTTTTCTTCATTGTGTATGTTGGTTTACAAAAATGGGTGTAGGGATGGGTATGATTATCATCCTCATTATTCAGAAGAAGAAACTGAGGCTGAGAAGTGAAAAGAATTGCTCAAAAAGTCAGTGCCTGGGAAAACAGACATTCATTAATTGGACAAATATTTATTGGGGGCACTACTATGCATCAGGCTCTGCAGGTACAATGGTAAGCAAATAATTCATTGCTTCTGTTCAGGTCTTCTGCTTATAACATGGAGCTTGCCCTAATAAAGGTAGTAGGCTTCCTATACTTCCTATAACAGCCTTTGCAAATAATATTGCATGGAGCTGGGCTACATAATCACTGATTTTAACTCTCATATTCTATGCAATGAAGGGAAAATGAGGTTGTTGGTATCACCACCAGACTGCTGACAGACATGTCACTGGAGATGAGAATATGGTCCATATGACTGCTGTTAGGCATAGAAACCTGGACAGGTGGCCCATGACTGAGGGCCAGTGTGTCTTTGGCTATGATTATATAGGAACAGCTGACTGACACAAGCATTCATGCCAGTTTCAAGCTTACGTTGGTAATGGTTATTCCTTGCAGAACAAAGCAAAATCATTCTTTTTTCTGACTTGAACATGAGTTTGGCTGCTTGGAAATAATGCTGCTGGGACTTCCAGTTAAATATGGAAGAGTGAACATATTCATTACATACTACCCTTTCCCCAAACCTCACTAAAAGCAGAGTAGAAATTAAGAAAAGAAGGAAACAACATAAATTTTTAAAGACAAAGAGATGGGAAAGGAGACAAAAGTAAGCAAATCTCAGTAGCTGGAAAGCAGATGGATAGAAAGATTTAAGACTTGAGATGGATGAAGTCAAAGACAGCAGTGGAGAAAGTTCAGAAGTGATCTGATTCACTCCATGGTCTCCATGGACTGCTGGAAGTGAGGGGTGAGTGTGAGCTAAAAACAAGGAGGATTTGTGAAAGCCTGTTCAAAAAGTAGTTAGACTTCTAGATCTCCTCCTCTACTACATGACTGGACAGATACCTCTTCCCTACTCTAGAAGAAAGCTAGTGGCTTGTTCTCTGGAAATCAACAGACAAACGAACACCCAAAACAACAACAACATACATCTCCGGAGTGGGAGACATCAGGTAGTGTTGAAAATGGGGTGCTGATGATGGTGGCAGTGTACCCCAAATGGGCAGATTTGTGCATAAGCTTTTATACATAATATTTCCCTATTGGGTTCTCAGAACACTGGTATCCAAACTTATACCTTCCAAGCAGGACACTGGAAGAAATTTCTGTGGAAAATTTGACCAGCCTAAGAGAACGTACCCAAAGATTCTGACATTGGGGATATCTCAATGGAAAGGTGGTGCCAGGTCACCCTACAATGAATCCTGTAAGTAAAGAGCCCTACGCATGTGCTCAGAACTTCCCAATGGCTATTGATTTCCCTTCTCTGAAATCTGAGCATTCATTGAAGGATCAACAGGCAGTTGAGAAAAGCATCTAACATGAAATACAAAGGCCAAAAATTAGTAAACCAAAGACCAACTTACAGAAAAGAAAGATTATTCTGAGGAAAGAAAATATAAAATGAAACAAAGCCTATCATTAATATTCTGAGAAGTAAGAGAAGACTTGCATCCCTTATAAAGAGAGTAAGAGTCTATAAAAATAACCAGAGGACAAAAGAGAGCATTGGCAATTAAAAACATGTTGTCAAAAGCTAAGAAACCGAATAGAAGGCTTAGCAATTAAAGCTGATGAAATCTCCAAGAAAGTAAGGCAAAAGGATGTAAGGATGGAAAGTAGAAGAAAAAAAGAAAATAAAATTGAAGGACGAATGTGGGAGAACCAAAATCTGAATAACAAGAGTTCTAGTAAGATAGAGGAGAGGAAAAGAAGGCAAAGAAATACTTAAAGAAGTAATTTAAGAAAATGTCTCACAATTGAAGGGTATAACTTCTCATGTTGAAAGGACTTTCCAGGTGCCCAATATAACAGACAACAGATGCCTTAGTACATCACTGTGAAATTTTAGAACATTGGAGTCAAAAGAAAACTTAAAACCTTCCAGAGAGGGGAAAAAAAGGTTTCATATAGAACCTCTGGAATTAGAATGACATCAGACTTAGTCCTGAAAGCTGGAAAACAATGAAACAATACCTTCAAAATATGAAAAAAAAAAAGGATTTCAACCAAGAATTCTATACTCATCCAAAACCTTGAATAAATGTTAAGTAGAATAAATACACCTTTAGATATACAATTTCTCTGAAAATTAGTTCCCAAGCCCCCTTTCAGGATGCTGTGAGGGGGAAAGCTCCACCATGCAATACAGAAAGAAGGAACCCAATATTGGAGAGCGATAAGAAGAGTCCTCAATATGGTAGTAAAAGGCAATCCAAGGGTGACAGTTGTACACTGGGCAACAAGTGACCAGTCTAGACTGGAGCAGGACAGAGGACTCCATGAATGTTTCCTTAAGAAGATGCAATAGAAACATCTAAAGCATCTGATTATATTGAGAGAAGACTGATTTAATTCAAGAATAGTTTGGGGATTAATTATTATAGCCATATAGAAAAACAAGCAAATGCACAATAAATGATTATTAACTACAGGGAAAACAAAAAGTTATCCAGGAAAGGAAAATAATCATATAATTTATCATTATAATGTAAACAGTAAATACTGATCTTACTAAAATTCAATATACATATATTAAGAGATTGAGAAGATAGGAACTATGCACGCAAATAAGGGAGGGGTGGGGTAAAAAGAGATACATCATTACTTTCTTTAGTGAGGTAATGACTAAAATCGAAAAACATTATTAGAAATATGAGCACGTTACTTAGAGATATGGGGAAAATACTAAAATAATTAGCTAAAGGTTAAGAGGTTATCTTTGGGGAGGAAAAAAATGGAAGAAGGAAGAAATTGCTTTTAAGAAAATAATAAAACTGTTTTAACTGCTTTACTGAAGTTATTCAATCCTTAAACAATGAATGAATGAGGTATATATAATTATTATCTGCATTTTAGAGACGAGAGAAATGAAGCACAGAGCCATTTAGGCAGTTTGCTCAAGGTCACACAGCCAGCAGAAGTAAAAGTACAGCCCAGATTTGAACTCAGGCAGTCTGGCTTCAGAGACACATTATAGTTATATATAGCTCACATAAAAATGAAGATTAAACTAAAAAAGTCAGACTAAAAATAAAAAGAGAAAATTAAGAAGTACTGCTACCAGTTGGGAAAAGGGCACATGCAAGCATTAAATATTCTAGGTCTGGTCACATGGTAAAACTGTACTTTGGAGCCCTTGTGGTTGGATGGGGCCATGTGACCACCTCTGGCCAATGAGTTTTGGGTGTAATAACATGCAGAAAGTCTTGCCCATATGAGACCTTCAAGAGTTATTTTTCCCTCTCCTATGGTTGCTAGCAAATATTTCCAGAGAGAGGATGTTAATAACACAGAAGGAGAACTCCCAGCTGATCAGTGGTAAACGCATAGCATGAGGGAGAGATAAAGGTTTGGGGAATCATTTGGTTACTGTAACATAGTAAGGTTCACCTTGACTGACACATCAGTCTAAACTAACTTTTCTCCTAAGAACCTTGTGGCTTCTATACTGTACTTCCCTACTTGGTTTGGAGTTCTGAAGCAACAGTTCATTTTCTGTACTCTGAATGCAGTAGTTCCCTAACTTGTAAGGAGCATAGGAGTTTACTTCATTCATGTTGGCATGTCTAGCCCCTACTATGTGACCTACAAATTACATAGTAGGCAGGGTTTCAGTTACTATTGTATTGCAAGTTGAATAATTGGATAATAATATAAATTCATCCCTATAGGATATTGCTATGATGAACACGATTGTTGTTTTAATATTGTAATTCATTATGTACATCAGTGTACCCACCTTGTGAACAATGAAGCTTGCTTAACATCTCCCTTGAATTTTCATCCCAATACTAAGCATGCAGATCAGCTTTGGCCAGTTCTTTAGCCAAAATGCAGAAATTAATGTAGATGTTGGTACCTCCTATTTAGGATTTTAGTAGGAGAAGTGATTTTTATTATTACTCCCATATTTGGAATATGTTGTATAGTTAGTGAGTCATTACACGGTCATTACAGTACAGTCACCAATTACACTTCAATTCTATGGAATATGCATAAAGTGCTGAGGATGGAGAGTGGCCCCTTTCTCAATGGGAGAAAAATAAGTTACAGTTTGCCAGGGAAAGACACTGTGTCAGGTGAATTTAATGCACCTAATTTACTCTTCATAGCAATCCTGCAAGATAGGTAATATTATCCTGACTTTGCTGATCAAGAAACTGTGGATCAGAGAGGCGAAATCCTCTTCCCAATAATACACAGCTTGTAAGTGGTAGAATTGGAATCTGAAATATTACTTTTTCTAATTGTAAAGTTGGTAAAAGTTTATGTCCCCAATAAACCACATAGTATTTCAATGTATTTGAATATTTTAAATAAAAATTTTGTAATAATAATAAAAAAAATTTGTAATTCTCTGTAAGCAATACTTATTCTTCATTTATCCTTCTGCATTAAGGGTTATGTTAAATCATCTTAGATTCATTCTTTTTGTGTGTGTATGAGGTAATTTATTTTGGCATATTATGAGTTAGCATTTCCCAAAATTTGTGCTTTGGAATACTAATACTGTGAAAAAGTTGTACATGGCTAAAGAAGTTTGGAAAATGCTTGTTTAAGCAAATGTGACATGTCTGTTTATTAGAGTCTTTAATATTCTAAAGTATATTTTAAATTTCTAAGAGAAGATGTAGAATTCAACATTTCCAAAACTTACATGACAAGAGAACCTTTTTCAGCTGAGCATATTATTGGATCACTGATCTTTGGAACATACTTTGAGCACTGTTTAAGTGTCCAGAGTATATTTCATATAAAATATATTCTTCTTTTTTGGAAAGTTCTACCTTATGCCTTACTTAAATCTTTCCTGATATTGTGTGTATATTTACATTCCTCTGGGGGAAAAGCATATACATGACAGAAGTTGGATGGAAACTATAGAAACAATTGGACCATCTAGGCAATCATTTTTTGATTATTAGATAGGAATCCAGTGGTAATGGGGAGAGCATGAATCCTCAGATAATATTAAAAAAATCTCTCATTCTCATGAGTAGTTTCAGCTTTTCCCCCTCTGATCAAGACCAAACACACAGTGGCTTATGAATTTCCAAGAATCATCTGTCCACTTGCTTTGTTACCTTTGCTGTCACACAGGAACCAATGGGCAGGGATGTGATGGAAAGGCAGAAGATGAGAAAGGAGCTTTGGTAACAACTGGCCTGGTTAAATGAGCCCTCAATAACCGAGAACTGACTAGACTTTGGTCAGTGTGGAATATGCTGAAGGTCCTGGTCTGGGTAAAGACTTCTTAGAGATCTGGGAATGGAAATCCCACTTGGGTTTCAGAGCTACTGCATGCATATTTACATATCCTAATGAACTGGTCATTAGAAGAATATTATTTTCTTCCAAACACTTGTCCTCATTTCTAGCTAGAGCCAACATTGCTGAAGGGTCCTACTGTGATAGCTATGTAGTAATTGGGAACAACCTTTTGCTAATGCTCAGTATGACTTATCTATAGCAAGCTCAAACTCAGTGAGTATCTCTTAGTTTCAACTGTGGATTTTTTTTTTCTTTTAAAAAATTTGCTATTTTTAGAGACAGAGTCTTGCCCTGTTGCCCAGGTTGGAGCACAGTGGCATGATCGTAACTCACTGCAGCCTCAAACTCCTGGGCTCAAGAGATCCTCCACAATAGTGGATTTCTTACCCAGCTGTTCCAGCAGTGTCCTAAATCTACAGCGCACAATGGAGTTAGAGATCTGATGGGGGCATGGAAAATGAAAACTTCATGTAGGCTTTAATTCTCCAAATAAAACTAAGTACCTCTTCCACGAATCGTTACACAGATCAGAAATCTGACCCTGTCCCAATTGAACAGCCCAAGTAGAAAAGAAGCTTTTAAAGCCTTCTCAGAGATTCTCTGGGTGTAGCTGGTGAAAGTCTAGGGAATATGTGCTCTACTTTCCTGTGAGCAGTGGTACAGAGGAAGATTAAAATTCAGGATGAGGTTACAGTTCAGTGCCCAGTCCTGATGTAAGGGAATGGGACAAAAATGAAGCGTGTCAGGAGGACTAGACTTAGAACCAGAAGAATCCAGCTTGGAGTCCTGATTCTGTCTTTTCCTGGCATTGTGACCTTGGGGAACACCACTTAGCCTCAGTGGTAATTACCAAAATGAGGATGAAAATGAGATACTGGGTGTGAAACTGCATTGTAAACTATATTATTAATAAATATGGAGGTTTATTATTACTGTTGTTATTATAATTGGCTGGGCTCCTGCAGGGATACTCAGGGGATTTTCCTTGGAGGCAAAATGTTTTTGGGTGAATATCCCAAAGAGCTAGCCCCGTTGAGGACTCTTGTGAAGGGACAATTCCGAGAGAAGGGAACTCATGGCAGCTGCTGTTTTTCTTGTGCTTGTTTTCAAACCGTTCATATGGAGAGAGGGAGAGGGAAAGGAAGTGAGCGAAGGAGAGGGAAGTCTCTTCTGAAGGGTTAAAGCAAGATAGTGCTGTAAAGTGATTCCAGATGTACAAATATTAATATCTCTCTCCCTGATGAATGAGAAGGTATGACCCAGTTAGGAAACTGCTAAAATTACCGGCGCCACCGAGACCTCAGTTGATGGCCCAGCACAGATTTTTATCCTTACCCCGGCAACTGTAATGCTGATGAAGGGCTCGGACCTGCTGCAGCAGACCTTCCAAAACTTCACTCTGTCCCTTGTGTCTGGGCTCTCTGTCGTCATAGTCTTTCCAGTCTATTGAACAAAAGAAATAAACATAGTGAAATTTTAAAACAGGGGAGGCCTCTTCCTTGCCCTGCGTCAGGAGCCGGAGTTTTGCTCATACTACCCACAGTCTCTGCGGATGAGCACCCCGCACATGCAGAGCAAGCAGGCGATGCCAAGGATTTGGAAGCTGCCATTGTTCAGAGCTCTGTGCAAAACAGTAATTGTGGTTGGTTTCTTGTGTCGGGCAGTCTTAGGGCAAGAGAAAATGGTAATTGAAAGCCAAAAGAAAACAGGAATTTGGGAGTCCAATCTAACCTCTTCCAACCCCTTCTCCCCTTTTAGCCTTCTACATCCTAACCAGTTCCTCTGCCATCTCTCCACTGAGCACCCCGAGTCTCAACTGGATTTTCACAGTAGGAAAGAAAGGGGTGGGAATGTGCAGACTAGATGAAATCCACAGTCCCAGTGCTTTTATTGTAGGTTTCACACTTTTGGCCAAATTGACATTTCTTTCCAAGGAAAGAGCCCATGTCAGATGCCAAGAAATGGAAATCTACATTTTGCTCTAATGAATGTCTGCTTTGGTGAGCTGGCACAGCAGCCCCTGCACATACTCTGAGCCACCAACCACCCTGTCTGCTCAGTCTCTAAATATACAGTATTAGCTTACAAGGCAAATTTAAATTGCAATACCCACTGAGATTTTTCTCCCCCTTCTATTTTCATTCCGTTTAGCTATAATGATATCAAGAGTAATAACCCATATGGGACTAATGTCAAGATTGTAATTCTGCTGTCTCCAACTCTTGTTTTTTTGTTTTTTTTTTCAGCAGGTCAGTCATTTCAGAGTCCATCCCTTCTTCCTTCTATTTTCTTTCCTCCAGTTTTCCTTTCTGGAGGAAAAAACAGAAAGCAACAACTTAATGTCTTTCTTAGTTGAGATGCTTTCTCTAAAATTGCTAGTCATTCTTCCCCAGAAAAGCCAGTTAGTTCATGAGTGTATCTTGGGCTTAAATTCTAGTTGAACAAGTTTCAAACTCCTTCCCCCACAGATTTATTTTAAAATACGGGGTCTCTTTCATTCAGAAACTTAATTAGATGTCATGACAGTTAAAGTTATATAAAAGCATTCCATAGTGGTTCATCCAAGGCCCAGGCATATAGCACAGTTAGGAGGACCATAGGTTCTGAAGTCAGGTAAACACAGGTGTGAATCCTGACTCCTACAATTCCTAGCTCAGTGTCTGCAGGCAAGTTACTTATACCAACAGGGCCTCTACTCCCTAACATGAAAAATGAGGATAGTATCTACTTTGCAGGATATTTGCGAGCATTAAATGAGAGATATCTTAGGTGTCTGGCACAATGCCTATTACATGATAGGCATTCTGTAAATATAACTTAAAAGGAAGGGAATTCATGACGGAAACACCATTTCTTACCCTATCAGCTGATTACCTATGAAGAAAGGGGCCTCAGAGATTTTCTGATCCTTCTTCCTTTCCACCCTCCCCCATGGACCTGTCTTTATTTTACTTTTCAGGATACCAGGGCTGATATAACCAATCCAGTTGTATATGACTCAGCTTGTTAGTGGCACAGCCAGGGCAATAATATCTCCTGACCCTCAATATATTGCTCATTTCATATACCATGGACATGCTTTTTATTTTTCTCTTTTCTCTTGGGAAGGAAGGTCAGAAGCTTGGTTGGAGTTTGTGTGGTGTGGCTTAATTGTGGTCAATGCTGGAGACAGGGAATTGGCACAGGTACCTTTTGTAGAGTCTTTGTTCCTTGTGGTCAAGAACCATGACTTAATTTCTCTTTGCCTCAAATTTTTTCTTTGTAAAGTGAGGTTTTTCTTTTTCTTTTTCTTTTTTTCTGAGAAAGAGTCTTGCTCTGTCACCCACGCTGGGGTGCAGTGGCACAATCTTGGCTCACTGCAACCTTTGCCTCCCAGGTTCAAGTGATTCTCCCTCCTCAGCCTCCCAAGTAGCTAGGACTACAGGTGTGTGCCAGCAGGCCTGGTTAATTTTTGTAGCTTAAGTAGAGACAGGGTTTCACCATGCTGGCCAGGCTGGTCTCGAACTTCTGGCCTCAAGTGATCCACCTGCCTTGGCTTCCCAAAGTGCTAGGACTACAGGCATGAGCCACTGTTGGCCTGGCCTATAAAGTGAGGTTTTTGTTTTTGTTTTTGTTTTGAGACGGAGTCTCATTCTGTTGCCTAGGCTGGAGTGCAGTGGTGCGATCTTAGCTCACTGCAACCTCCGCCTCCTGAGTTCAAGCAATTCTCCTGCCTCAGCCTCCCTAGTAGCTGGGGACCACAGGTGTGTGCCACCACACCTGGCTAATTTTTGTATTTTTAGTAGAGACAGGGTTTCACCATGTTGGCCAGACTGGTCTTGAACTCTTACCTCAGGTGATCCACCCGCCTTGGCCTCCCAAAGTACTGGGATTACAGAGTTTTTAAGTCTCTTTTTAGTTTGTCTGAGGTTTAAGAAAACAAAGCACCATCTGGGGCACAGAGCAGACTCGTTAAATGTTGGTGAGGCATTGTGAATAGAAGCACGATGATGTTCAGGTAGGATAAGATAGGAAAGGATTTTTACTGGAAAGTTCAAAAATGTTTGAGGAAATAAACACTCGGTATCCTTTAGATCATTTTTAGCACCCCCAGAATTGGGGCACAGTGAGAATAAACGTTGCTGTCATAGATTCCCAAAGGCCATTAGGAGTTTATTCTCTTAGTTGGATGAATGCATCTGAAGTGCTCATGATAAGATAAGCAAGGTTGTGTGTTTGAGTAAGACTCCTAGGTGGCTGAATTACTACGCGTCCCTGAACATGCCAATGCATTCTAAGGAGTGTGACTGCTGCCATCAATGTGAGGAGAGCTGAAATAGGCCTGTCTCTTTCAGCCCTATTACATCAGAGGCGAGCTCCATCTGATTACTTTATGATACATTAGAAAATTGCTAATGCTAAATTGCAGCCCAAGTGAGCACTGGACATAATGCCAAGGTTTTTGGAAAGAATGAGTTTTTCTCATAGATGTTTGGAAGGTTCTGACGACTACATAAAATAGGAGACTTTAGGGATGAGGGAGAAAATTGAAAATATATTAAGAAATCAGGAACCTGACAGGAATAAACTTAGCATGGTAGGAAAAGAGCAGATTGTGTCACATAATACAGCTCACTGTTCTGGTAATGAGACACTTCAACTGTGACACAATGCCGAGCTTACATTCACTGGCGATATCGGGATTTTCCTGATCGTAACTCAGACAAGCCTGTCTGGGTCCTTTTCTCTTACTATGTACCATACCATATAACATAAGTCTGTAAAAACACATTAAGGCCTTTTGTAAAAATATTTTTTAAAAAAGTTTTATAGCCTACTGGAACATATTACCAAATTTCCAATTACCCTGTCATGTTAGAATACATTGTCCTCTAGTAAATATCTGAATACCGATATATGTTACATCACAATGTCATACTCTGTTTATAAATAGGAGTGTTTTTATATTGTTCCTTCCAAGCGATAGGGCATGTCTGCAACAACTATAACCACGTTAGGATTTCAGTTCTTTGCCAGTTATCCCTACTAATCAAACATACTATTTTAGAAAGTAGTTGCTATTTGATATGTTAATTACCAGTTAATAAGTGACTCCTCCCAGTCCTGAACAACTAACTATTCTGGTCATTCTGGAGATGGCACCTCAAATGGGCTGTGACAGATAGTGTCTGAATGGAACGTGCAGCTTATGGAAACTGAACCTCTGATCTTTATCAGCAAATGCATCTATATGCAGATCAGAACTTGCATTTGGAGTGGGGTTCCCCAGACACCTCCTCACTTTCAGGTCAACTGAGACTAGCATTTTTGTGCATTTTCTGTCACTCCCATAATATACACACACTACTGCCCATCCCCAACATGAGATTGGTTCCTTTTATCCTAATCTTAGAATTCTGTTTGTGTTTCTGGCAAATCTTTGGTAAAAAGACAACTAGAAATAAATGACTAGAAATAAAAACATGCCTAGTCCAAATAAGTCTAGAATAATGAAGTCATCAAATGCCAGGAGAGTCAGGGACCTTAGGGATCTCAGGCATCGGTGGTCCAAGGCCCTGTCTGACCTGGTGTAGTTATCTGAATCTGCCAGAGATGGTAGTCAGGCACAGATGGCTGGCTCTTAGTCTGCCTGATAGCAGGGCACTAGTTACTGTAGCATCGGAGACATGCCAGATGACCAATTCAGGCTAGAGTCCTGGTTCAGCCATGTACCAGTGTTGTGACTTTCGGAAAGGCAACATCTCTGAACCCCAGTTCAAATGCTGGGCTCTGTATATATGTGCCTCTATGTTTATAGTTCCCTCATCAGTAAAATGAACCCAATAATAAAAATCACCTCAAGAGGTACCTTACGAAGATTAAATTAGTTAATCCATGTGAGGTACTTAGATTAATGCCCTCCATATAAAGAGTCTGATAAAGGTTATCTCCAATGCTGATAGAGATGCAGATGATAGTGACAATGATGCCTAGTTACAAGACAGAAATAATGAGGAAAGATTGCCGCAAGGATTAAGAGATACTGAATGTGAAAGCCCTTTACAAACTGCCTGATTCATGGCTGGTCTTGAGTAAATGGTTATTATAAAAAAAATACACAGGCATAGTTAAAAAAACTAAAAGAGACCATAATCTCATAACCCAAATGTCCACTGATAAATTTGGAGAGTTATGAAGACACATGGACACACTCTATCTAATCATGTACAAACCTACAGTTGAATGTTAGGTGAAAAAAAATCCCACATTTTGCATTTCTTTTTACATAAAACATAAAACTTACACTGTAGAAGTTTTTTTCCACACAATTTTTTTTAAAAAGACCATGTTTAGTGATTGTGTTTTATTTGTAGTTACTGATATAAAGATAGATATATCATACTTTAATACTAAATTAATACTGGATATTTGTTCTCCCTACCACACATGACGCTTCATTTTATGAGTGCATTGCTACACATCATCGTACAGACTGGTTTGTTTGCATTTCTTTTTACTTAGGGTAGAGTCCTAGACGTAGAATTATGGAGTAAAAAGAAACAGATTTTCTTAAGGCAGTTGGTATAACATAGCAAATTGTGTTCCATAAAGGATGTTAGCAGTTTTTACTCTCACAAGAAACATATGATATCACTTTTAACTCTCACATTAATGAAGTGTTTTTAAAAAATGAAAATACAATTCAGAGTACTGGGCTCATTACATAGAAAAATCTATGGTATGATATGTCTGGAGATATTTATTCTGGTTAAATTTTCTGGTTAATAGAGAATGCCCAAACATACCTGGCATAGACAATTAATTTTCAAATAATCGGAAGGCCTTTGCTGGGTTTCTCAGCCACCACTACAAATGCTATAGATTATGTTTGTGGGTTTGTAGCAGAATGCTGTTAGTAAGAAAGCTTTTTTTCTGACAGAGTGTCAGATCAGTAAGATTTGTTAGCTTTCATTTTCTTATCAGGTCGATGTGGATGTGTGCACTGCGGGTGAGGAAGGGAAGAGGAGAGCTACAATGGACTGTATGTACTCTGGGCCGCCACTCCCACCATGGCATCTGATCCATCCCCACAAAAGCCCTATGAAAGGGTGTGGTTGGACCTGTTCTAAAGACATGGAATTGAGTCTCAGAGACTTGGTTTTTGTTTTTTTCTTTAGAGGCAGTGTCTCAGTCTGTCACCCAGGCTGGAGTGCAGTGGTGCGATCTTAACTCACTATAGCCTCGAACTCTCTGACTCCTAGGCTCAAGAGATCTTCCTGCCTCAGCCTCCCCAGTAACTGGGACTACAGGCATGAGCCACCATGCCTGACTGTTAAACAACTTTTGAAGGCCACACAGATGATAAGAGGCATAATGGGTATCAAATTCAGCCTTTCTGTTTCCAAATTCCCTCTCCTTTTACTCCACTGAGCTGCTTCCCCAGGAGCATTTCTGCAGGGGAATCATTCATTATGTGGCCCAGATGCTGCCCTGAGAAGGTCTTATGGGTTGCAAGCAGTGGGGGAAGGGAATGGCAATGGCACCCTGAAGATGGAGTTGCAGTTGGAGTCTGTTACCATGCTGGAGAGAGTTCACAGCCACCACCTACTAGAAGGAGAGGCACATGCCGGTGTCGTGGTCTGAGCAGGTCCCCATCCTTTCATATTGTAAGCCGAGACTTGAACAAAATACTGTTGGCCCTGCAAAGTATTGAAATGATGCATCAGGCATTTTATTTAATCATTTTTACCCTAGACTCTATGGGTATAGAATTTAATAACTATGTGTGATTAACTCCTTCATCTCTTTGGAACTCTGTTGCCCATGCAACAGAGTTCATGGGCAACAGAACTATAGCCCATCTATAGCATTCTGGTTTTTCTTGACTATTATGTTTATATGTCACAGCAACCATATTTGAAGTTCCCTCTTAGTTTCTATGCACTTTCTTCTTTTCAAAATTTAAGAATCATAATGACTTTTCCTGAGCCCCCTGAAACTATATATAAATTTTTAAAAGTCACATAGTTCTACAAGGTTTACAAAAAATAGCAATTCCCACTCTCACATCATTCTCCTTATTTTCCCCTTCCTATAGGTAATAGCTGTCACTTCTTTTAGTGATCAACTTGCTTTAGAAAATGAATAAGTTATAATAAATATCTTTTCAGAGTAGTGCATTAAATAACTGCCTTGCTCTTTTTGTGTCTGCATACATTTCACTGTGAGCAAATATTCGGTATCATGTATTTAACCAGTCCCTGACTGGTGGACATTTAGATGGTTCCCACATTTTGTGCTACAATAAACATGCTGCAATAAACATCCTTCATTCAGCTGCATACACATTTAAAAAAATTAACATTTTGATGTGACTTCAATTTTAAAGCCATTGTTAAAACAATGGCTTATATTCTTTAATGGTCTTTTGTGATGTTAAGAATTAAGGAATTGTTTTTATTTGCTGATAATGTTTTAAAATCTTTTGTATAGTTTTTATATTTTGCTTGAATTTTTATATTTTACATTTTGCTTTTATATTTTTTTCCAGTGAACCCAAAGGGCATTTGAGAAGCCAGCATTTGATGAAACATTGCTTGTAAAAATTGTAAAATGATGTTTGAAGTTAAAAAAAAAAAGCACATCTTTGTAGAGACTTTTCTAGGGATCATAAAATATTGACCTTACTGTGTTAGGAAATCAATGTTTTAATGTTGAAAATGGGTTTCTATGACCCTCAAAGTTATAGAGATTGTGTAAAGTATAAATCTACTCCTAGGCTTTTATATGATTACAATAGTGTCTGCATTTCTTTCATTAGATGGTCAAGTGGAAAAACTTAATCCCTATGGAAATTAGTTCAGATATTAGAGAAACTCTTTATGGAGAGTTTTCCATTTTTATCACATATCACTTTTTCTTTTAAGCAATGAAAATTCCCTAGGGTTCCTTCTGGCCCTCTTCCATCTTGTGAGCCATAGGGTTGGAATCAGTCTTCTACTGATAGCATCTCTGGGGGCCACCCACTCAGGGGTTTGTTTGCTCTGGTAATCCACAGTTCTGGCCCCTGGTATAGATATGCGATTAGGACTAAACGTCAGGATTCCGTGGTGATTACCCAAGCATCAAAAATTCCATTAGAATAAGCAGGTTTAAACTTGAAGAAATGCAACCTGATGCATTTTTTTTTTAAGGGTGGGCTTTAGGATTATACTTTGTAGGTAACATTTTAATCAACAAACCTTTAAGAAAACAACAACAATAATAACAAAATTATCCCTCTACTTCCCTCATCTGAAGGTCCTAAGATATTAAATATTTGAATTGGACTGAAAAAGGTTTGATTTAATTTTACTTTTAAAATATTTTGAGAAAAAAGAATTTTATCTTTTGCATTTTAATTGCTTGAGGAAATACAGGGTTTGCTCCAGTTTGAACTGATTTACAAGGTGTTTTTATTTTTTTTGCATTTCATATGCTCATATGTTCATAATTCTAAATAATTAACTTTTGAGTTTATATTAGTTAAACAAATAAGCAGTTTGTTCCAGTTTTTCACTCACAGTTTAAATTAGTTTAGGTTGCTGAGAAACATAGCTCCACCATATATAGTTTCTTTTTTGTGAAAACATATTTAGACAGACTTCGTTTTTTTTTTTTAATCAAGGGAAAAGGATTTCTCTCAGGAAATTATGTGACTGCAATTGATGACTGATCTCAACCGAGGCTGAGGCTGTGGGCATGAGGGTGAGATGAAGCTGTTATTTTTACCATCAGACAGGGAGTCAAAATTGCATCTCTCAGAGCCTTTGATCCACTCCCTGCTTTCCCCCAGAAGATTAGACTGTGATCCAGAAAGCAGCAGCTTTCAAGGCTTGCATGAGGCCAGTCTTTTTCTGATCTCCTTAGAACACGACAGTTTATAAAGTGATTCATGCTGTCTGCTTACTCCTTTGTGAAATTCAGATTCTAGATACCAGACATATCATGCTTAATGAGTGGCAGTTGTTGCCAGAGGACTGGGCGTTGGCTGTTGCTTTCAGAATAGACATTTGCTACTGATATCCCAGCACAAATATCAGCAATAGGGAAATGAAAAGTCTACTGGGGACATTTACCATTGTAAGTCCTGTGATTGTGCATCTCAGAGTCTGCAGATTATCCATGATGATTTCTCCAGCCAAAGGAGAAAAGTCTTCGGACATACTCCATTCCACTGGAGGGAGTAGGGGGGCAGGGAGAGAGAGAAAGAGGGAGAATAAAATTCAGTCACACATCAAGAAGTACCATAGAAACTCTAGCATACAATCCCTCTCAGAAAGAGTTAAGTGCACCCTCCTTTCTTTATATTGGTGTATCAGACAACATTCCTTGAGATGTTAATTTAGTTTCCAAGTTCACATTTTTTTTAAAAGAAGAGCAGAAAAGAATAATAAAAACTTATCAGTTTTTTTGAGCCTTGATAAATATAATGTATATTGTAGTACATGCACATTTATGTGATGTTCTTAATGTCAGATGTAAGTTATATTAAATATATTGCTCATGAGACCATTGCCATATAAACACATTGTGTGTGTGTGCATTTGTGTGTGTATGTGTATGTGTATATGAATATACACACACATACTCAGGCACATTACATGTAACAGCTTGTTCTATATAGTAGATAACTTATTTACTGCATTTGAGAACCAAAGGATCCACTAGGACATTACCTTCTATTCGCTCTCCAAGTCTGACATCTGCTTCGCCATATTCTACTGAAAAGCCTCTCTTAAGGTCTGAGTGAGATTTTCACTCCAAATAAAGAAGCCTCCTTTCATTATCTCCACATCATTTGACACCTTCTTTTTCTGAAAACATTCTCTTCCCCTAATGCCTTATATACTGCTCCCTTCCCCTTCTCTCCTTCTTCTCCTTGATAGCTTCTTCCAAGCCTTTTCATTGGAAAAGGGGTTTGTGGCTAAGGTGTTTAATGTTCTTCTCCCTTGACATCCCCAAGGTGAATGTTTATTTCTAGTTAAGTCATACAAATTCTAACACCCCATTTTACTGTGATATCATATGCTTTCATCACATTTTCTATCAGTTGACAAAGCCATGGTCAGGAAAGATAAATTGTGCATCATCAGTAAAAAGTATCTTAAGTAATTGCTTATACCTGGTGGGATTTAAGGCAAGCATAAATGAAGCAGGGACTTAAGGGACTTAAATCCCATGGGAAGCAAGGCCTCTGTTTCTAAACTTTGTGATAAGCAATAGATCTTAAGATTTAAATGACATTCTCTAGGACACTTTAATATTTCAAAATCAAACCATCTCCAAAGCCTGCTGCGCCCCTCGAGTCACACAGTTCCCTTGCTCTGGATGATCCTGCATTCTCTCCTCTTCTTCAGAATGTTCCTGGGCATCTCGCTTGCTTTCCTCACACTCTTGAAACTGCTCTCCTAAAATTCTTGTGCTTTGATCATCAGCAACAGCCTCCCTTTGGGAAATCTTGCCATGTTTGGCCTTCCTTACTTTGTGCAACCATTCCCCTCCCCCGGTTTTGGTTGCACTTGCCTTTCTACTTCTCTTTTGCATTAACTGCCTCTTTCTAGACTCGTCCTGGTTTTGCCCCTTCTCCTTCTCCCTTTGATGTGATGTTCCTTGGGAGTTTGATGTTTGGCTCTCTTTTCACTCCACATGTTTGCCTTTGGTATTGACTTTATCCACTTTTTATGGCTCTAACTATGAGTCTTAAAACTGTGATTCTATGTCCAGCCTCCCCCTTGAGCTCGAACTTCCTTCTGTTAATCTCTACTTGAGTGCCTCCCATTCCGAGTGGTGGCATGCTCCTACTGTCCCAGCTACTCAGGAGGCTGAGGTGGGAGGATTGCTTAAGCCCGGGGGTTCAAGATTGCAGTGAGTTGTGATTGTACCACTGCACTCATCCTGGGCCACAGAGTGTGATCCTGTCTCAAGAAAAAAAATCCTTTTACTATACCCTGAATTATAGTTGAAAAATGAAGATTGAATGATTTTATTCCTCCACCTAGTATCTTTTCATAGAGTCCAGTTGCTTTGAAATAAAATGAAATCTTAGGAAGGCATTCAAGGACCTTCTTATCTGGTCCCAATTATATATTACTCTTCTAAATTCCTGCCATTTTTCAGAAGAAAGTCTTTGTTCTGTAAGTCTCTGTTACCTGATTATTTTGTGCATTTTCTGCTTCTGTGTCTTTTCCCCATCTTCCAACCTCTGCTTGGTGAAACTCACCAATCATTTAGGACCTAGCAAAGTCATCTCTAAATTCATCAGGAATAATTAATCAAATACACCAGTTTTTCTGCTCCCTAAGTCCCTTATTTCTGTAAAAACGAGATTTATTATAATGTATTATGTTTTACGCTATGTATCTCTTTCTCTTGAGCATGAGAAACTTGAGAACAGGAAAGTGTCATTCATTTTTTTCCTTTCTAGTGTGGGTCTGTGCTTGGTGCATTGAAGGTGCTTATTAAATACTTACAAATCAAATGCATATATATGTATACACACACACACACACACACACACACACACACACCTACAGTAGATTAGTTTTTCCAACACAAAAATATTTTTCTTTCATGTGAATCTTCTCCTTTTCTAGTTTCTTGCCCCTTGAAACTCTCAGGCATGTTATACCATCTAGTTAGAATCAAATGATTAAGATTATATATTAACTCAAATCGGTCTATACCTCCTTACAAATATGTATTCTAAAACACATATATATGTTTATATATATGTATATGTATTACATGTATGTTTCCATTTTTCAAAATGTTTTATTCCACTTACGAGCTACTAACTCTTGAAGAAGCCAAGTCTCTGAAAGTCAAATTGGGGAAGGTTTGTAATCAGAGAATAATGTTACACCTAATTTAGCTATAGAAGAAAAACGGTATGCTTGAGTAAGTTATTACAAACAGAACAAAACAAAAATGAGTAGCAAATTTGCAAAGAAATTTAGGAAGAGCAAAGAATATAGGAAAATTCTGGAAACAAAAATATCTTTGGTTGCCATTGAAACAGACATGATTAATTGCTGTGGTGGAGCTCTAAGCTGAAGGCTGAAAATCAAGGGCTGTGACTCCAGACTAAGAACTCAAGACAACTTGCCAAAAGAAGAGCAAGGGATTAGTGGGAATAATACCAGATTATTTGGCAAATGATTAATGAAAAGTTTTTCAGAGATACGATCTTTAGAATTTCTAAAGAAACCTCAATTTATTTTTGAAATTGTTCAAGTTTTACTGAAACATGTTTTACAAAGCAAGTTTCAGGTGGAAAAGAGTGTCAGGCTTCTTGCAGAACAAAACATAAACAGAAGCCGGTTGTAAGAAGATGTGGTTCTGTTTTGGGAATTAATAGAGGGTTTTAAACAGTTAAGTCTAATTAGATTTTATAACATATCTGAGTTTCAAAAGGGAAGGGGCTAGAGAAAAAGAAGATTCACATCAAAGGCAAACAATTCTCCATGTTAGAATGGCCAATCTATTCTGGGGCAACCAACAGTCTTTTTCCCTCTGTGTATTTCCTTGGGTTGGTGGACTCCTTTTGGCATGAAGCCACAGAAAGAAGAAAGGAATTTCTGGGCATTTAAAGAATGAAGAGGGAAACAGAGTGAGCAGGAGTCACTTTGAGAGTGACTGGGAATTCTTTTTTTTTTTTTTTTTTGAGATGGAGTTTCGCTCTTGTTGCCTAGGCTGGAGTGCAGTGGCACGATCTCAGCTCACTGCAACCTCCAACCTCCGCCTCCCGGGTACAAGTGATTTTCCTGTCTCAGCCTCCCAAGTAGCTCGGATTACGGGCATGCACCACCACACCTGGCTAATTTTTTTGTATTTAGTAGAGACGGGGTTTCATCATGTTAGTCAGGCTGGTCGTGAACTTGAACTCCTGATCTCAGGTGATCAGCCTGTCTCAGCCTCCCAAAATGTTGGGATTATAGGCATGAGCCACCGTGCCCGGCCGCAACTGGGAATTCTAAGAAGGTTAACTCAGAATGTTCTCTTTGGAAAGTTGTATATAGGTAGTTTACAGACTTACCATTAAAACCCTGAGAAAATCACGTATAAGCCGGTTCTAAAACTATACAAAACTTGTAATGTTTAAGATAAAGATGAGAGAAACTGTTTCTACTTAGGTCTGAGAAGGAAAAGCAGGGCTTAATTGCGCAATGGCTCATAGCAGTTGAAAATTAGCAAGAAAGGTATTCGACAAAACCTAGATATTAGTATTTCCTAAAATTTGGCTCTGGCTCACACTGTGATTCCTTGTATTTATATCAAGTAACTATGACTATTTTACATGGGATTCCTTGTTATTTTAACAAAACTTTAATTTTTATCTAGGTTTCAGATATGTAGAGTCATTTGGGCAGGGAAGTTCTACCTGAACACTGCCATTATCTGATGGCAGCTATGTAAATCACAGGCTGGAAGATTAAAATGAAAAAGAGCCCCTGAAGCCTGGCCCTGCCACCCTGAGGTCTATAATGTAATGGGAAATGTCACGGAATCAGTTACAAGACTAGAAAATTCACAACTCAGAAGAGTTTGGGTACCCAAGCAGAGAACATAGTATAAAGTTTAGGTAAATTTCAAGGCTTATGATGTGGATTAGATAATCCACCCTGTTTTAGCTGAAAACACTCAAATTGCAGGCCAGCTTTTGGAGAGGTGAAACTATGCTAATGTAAAGGCATAAAGATAAAACAGTGCAGCAATGCCTAATTAATTTTTATTCAATTGATCAAAAAAAAAACACCTCATAAAACTTGCTGTTGTGCAGATTCTCCCTAAAATCTCAAATGCCTCAAAGCCTAGAGTTGTTTTATCCTGTTCACACATCGGGAGGAATATACTGTAAAAGTTACATTCCTTCGTCTTAACCAAACATCACCCAAATCCTCCACTTAGCCTTATCAGTCACTTGCCCTTAGACCCAGCCATTGCTTGTGCTGTTTTCTCCTGTGATATGGCCTCCTCTTCCACAAAAACTTCTATCCTTTTATTCAAACAGTCCTGGTTCAAAGTCCTTTCCTTTTTCTAGTTTTCTCTGGCTTCCCAAGGGAATCATCCTTGCCAATTTTCCCTTAGCAATTTTAATATGTCTCACACATTGTACTTGCTTTATTGTTTTATGTTTTTCAATGATCCATCTCCTCTGTAGTCTATAAGCTCCTTAGGGCAAGGACCATGTCTGATTAATATCACTTTCCAAAGCACCTATCATAGCACCTAGCAGAGTGTAGGTGGCTCAGTAAATGTTTGGTGAATACTTGATTCTTGACTTTGGAATGCTTGAAGTCTACGGTAGACAGGAATTTCACGCTGGTACAGACAGCATAAGACAACTGTGTCAGAACGGAGGGAAAAAAGTCAAAAGGAGAATGGCAGTTACTTCTACTGCTCAGTTAGTGGTTGAAATGGAGATTAATAACTGGCCTTCAGATTCCAAGCATCCTGGACTCTTCACTTGTCCATACTGCCTCTCAGAAACCAAAAAAACTAAAAGTGTATTTCCTATTCCCTATCAGCTCTTCGATGGAACCAAAACAGCATTCTTACTGGCCACATTCACCCTGGCGCCTTAGCTAATGAACGGAATTTGGCTAGACTGCCCAACCCAGCACCAGAGCATTATGAAATCTTCCCCCGATCCATCTAATTGTGCAGTTTCTAACCTTTCAGGCCAACCATAGCACAAGAAGAAGAGAGAGAGAGAGAGAAGGACGTGCCGAGAAACCCAGACCGAGATCAAATACAGTCATTTCTAGAGATGAGAAGATGTGTCTTGCTGCAGCATGAACCCGCTCAACACTTGTGGGTTTTAAATTAGGAACTGACGTGAAAACTCTGGATCTGGGAATTCTGTTTAGCTCTGGCAAAATATGAGGTCGGAGCTGCTTGCATTTTTTATTTTAAATTCCCTTGGTAGTCTTAGGAACAGGGGCATGCATTACTTTCAAACAAGAATCTTTATTGTTTGCATAGCACACAGTCATCCAGTTAATTAGAAAAACATTTTTTTTCCCCAAATTAAATTTCCCTAGAAAAACAATGATTTAAATTAAGGGCAAAAGGCTTTTTCATCATCATCTTCTTCTTCTTCTTCTTTTTTTTTTTTTTTTTGACACTAGAAAAGCCTTCTTGCATCCACTACTTCTAGAAGATTAAAGCAAAGTTGGAATCAGAAGGCTAGATTCACTTATTTATTGGCAGGTTCTGCCATCCACAAAAATAATATGTGCTTCTCTACATATATCGTGTACTCTCCTAGTTTTGCTTATCATATGATAGAGCTACACACAGATACAGGTAGGGAGCAGAGGTGTCTAAATTTTCAGGATTTTGAAAAATTCATAAGCACTACAAGTAACCACAAAAAGTCTCCTCCATAGTCTGAACCATTTGCTTGTTAATTGCTCTCCTAATAGTTATTATATTATGGCTCTTACCTAAATTTTTTTTTGTTTAGATGGAGTCTTGCTCTGTCGCCCAGGACGGAGTGTAGTGGCACAATCTTGGCTCACTGCAACCTCTGCCTCCCGGGTTCAAGCAATTCTCCTGCCTCAGCAGAGAAATTTGCTGACCACTGGCTGAGACTTAAAAAAGTGATGGAGAAAATGTTAATAATGCAGACTAAATATTTCTGTGACTGTTACAGTTTTTTTTTTTTTATTTCCATAGGTTATTGGGTAACAGGTGGTATTTGGTTACATGAGTAAGTTCTTCAGTGGTGATTTGTGAGATTTTGGTGCACCCATCACCCGGGCAGTATACACTGCACCCTATTTGTGGTCTTTTATCCCTCACCCCCTTCCCGCCCTTTCCCCTTGAGTCTCAAAGTCCATCGTGTCATTCTTATGCCTTTGTATCCTCATAGCTTTAGCTTCCACTTATGAGTGAGAACAAACGATGTTTGGTTTTTCCATTTCTGAGTACTTCACTTAGAATAATAGTCTCCAATCTCATCTAGGTTGCTGCAAATGCCATTAATTCATTCTTTTTTATGGCTGAGTAGTATTCCATCATATATATATACATATATATAGTATGTATGTATATCTCACAGTTTCTTTTCTTTTTCTTTTAAATAGCACAAAAAATTGAGGAAATATTCTTCTAATACTCAAAAACTATTATTTAATTCAACAAAGAAGTTGCTTATGTCATTGATGAATAAGTTCTAAAACAGGTCTTTGTTGCTTTTTGTTTTACTTCCTTCAGGTAAATAAAAATAGCAACCAACATTTACATGGAAACTGCACCATTCCATTAATTGCAGCCACCATTTGGCTGCAGATTCAAAAGTTCAACAAAAATAAAAGCATTTTGATAGAATCAATGGGTGATAAAGAATCTACAATAAAGAGTATTGTGTGTTTTATTATTATTTGTGAATTGTGTGCTACACATTCTATCAGTAAAATTTACAATAGACTTATATGCATATATATGTCTGTGTGATTATACGCATATGTATATAATTATATGCACATATAATCTATATATATAGATTTTTCCTCTCCAGGGTATCAGTTGTTAAGCATTTACCATCATATCATTGTATAAATGCTAGATGATTGCTCAAGCAGATTTTGGAAGGTGGATGTATCATGATCAGCAGGTATAATGACTGTCTGAGGGGTGTAGACTTCTTGGGCATAATTTAGGTAACATCCTGACATCAGGAGTCAAGAATGAGGTACTCAAATCCCTTTAGGACACAGGAGTGGCACAGTGAGGGAATCTGGGGCAGAAGGTCAGTTACCAAGCAGTCACCACCTGGGAGGTCTGTGCAGTGGCCAGGCTCCAGGTCCTGGGCAGTACAAGAGTCCAGGTTCCCTGCATTAGCTCTTGTCTAAGCCAGGGCTGGCCCAGAAACTCGTGAAGGACACAGCCTGCAGGGTGGGCATCTGTGGACCTGACTGAGCAACCAGGGCAGCAGTCATGGACTGACAAACTAATTGCTGTTCTTATGGATGGCAGGCCATACCAGGGCGCTACTCCCGATAGCATAAAAGATTACGCCTGAACAGGACTAACCATGCTTCATTATTATTACATTTTATTACTATGTGTAGTAATATTTTATTATACATTATTACAATATTTTATTTCATGTTGTCTGGACCTTGTGAATAAGCACTTTTAGGACACTGAACTAAAAGTAGTCACATCACTAACTCAGACAAACTCTTCTACTTTCTCTTCTTCCTTGAAACCCTGCCATATCCTTGAGTAAGATGTCCAGATAGATCGTCACTTGTTTAGACTAGTTTTTTAGGAGAAACTGTCCTGATAATTTTTGTTCATGAAAAAAGTATGAGCTTTTAAAAAACTGTAATGGATGTAACTGAACAATAGCAAGAACTCTTTTAAAACCCAGTGACAATTGGAAATCAGCAGGCTTGGGCTGCTAACCCCACCACACCTCCCTTGAAAAGTGGCAGCCTCTGACAGCGCTTCCACAGGCCAAGAGCTCTCCTGGAGATGTTTCCTGGGATTCTGACATTTTTGTTTTGTTTTGTTTTCAGCAGAGCCATACCCATGTTGCTTGCATGGAGAGAGCTCCAGCAAGCTATTTTACATTCCTAAAGGAACAGAGCAAGGAGAGCACAGGATTAGCTGTCTGATTTACACACACAAAGACCAAGATACGTAGTCAGTTTACATTCACAGCTTTCTGAGTCCTGTTGGGCATTCCTGAAATTAAAATCACTAGCCACGGGGGCAAAAGCAAAAACAGTTCAACTTTCTTGCCAGATGCTGAGCCTTCATTTAGAAAGGGGCACTCTGACTTTTCTTTTATTCACTTACCTCATCCATTGAAAAGATCCCATTTTCCTCCTTATAATTTTAAGCAATGAATTAAACTCCTTGAGGACAGGATCAATGCCAGATTGATCTTTGGACACCCACTTTCTCTTGTAGAAGTACAGAATCGGGGCTCAGATTGAGTGGGTTTGACTTATGTGTGGACATAGATATGGGGAGGACAATCTTCATAGTTCCATTTTGCTCCCTGGGAGCCACAAAATAGGGATACCTTTGCTGAGCATTTAAGCTAATTTCTGAGCCTTAGGTCATATTATTCCCTGCATTTACCCTGTGCCCAGGGAGGAGAAACCATTTAATGAAAATCCACCAGCTTCTTTTACAGAAAATGTCATCATTATTTCTCATAATAAATAATTTTAACATTTATCCTCACAATTCCTGAAAGATGGGCTAGGTCAGTAATTTAGTAATTCTATCCATTTAACAAGTGGCATAACTGGGAATTAAAGCTAGGTCTGCTTCGACCCAAAACTCCCCTATCATTTCTGGAAGTTCTTGATCCTTCCCCTGGCCTACAAGGTCTGGATGGTCTGGGCCTTCTCCATCTGCTAGTTTTGGTTCTATCATGCTTACTTGTTTTGTTTCTGTCTCTGGTTTTTAGATCCTGAAACATGCCAGACTCCTTCCTGTCTCAGGAAACTCACGCATACTGTTCATTTTGCTGCAAATGCTCTTTCTTCCGACCTCCGACTTCTATTTCGTTATTTATTTCTTCCTTTTCCTTCAGCCATCAATGTAAATGTCAGTTCTACATGGAACCCTTCTCTGATCCCCAAGACAACATTGGGTCCTGGTATATCCTCTCAGAGCACCAAATACTGTTCCTTTGTAGCACAGTAATTATTGATTTGTGCAATTATCTCTTTAATTCTGATAAGCTCCATGAGGACAGTGACTATGTCAACTTTATATGGCACTATAGTCCTCAGCAGCTAGCATATGCCATAGCATGCAGAAGATCAATAAATACTTTTGGAATTGATGTTAGTTTTTTTAGCAGTTGCCATTAAATTTTATTTTCCTTTACATTTTCAAGGTTTACAATATGATGTTGTGATATTCATATACATAGTGAAATGATTACACAGTCAAGCCAATTAACATATTCATCTCTCACATAGTTACCTTTGTGTGTGTGTGTGTGTGTGTGTGTGTGTGTGTGTGTGGTAAAAGCATCAAAATCTACCCTCTTAGCAAATTTTTTTTAGTAGACAATGCAGTATTACTAACTGAAGTCTACCTAACTATAACTTTTTACCATTTGACTTACATCTCCCCATTTTCCCTCTCCCCATCCGACTGCCCCGGTTACTGCTATTCTACCCTCTTTTTCTGTTTGTGACCTTTTTTAAAAAATTAAAGATTCCACATATAGGAGAAGTCATGCACTATTTTTTCTGCATCTGGCTTATTTCACTTAGCATGATACCCTCCAGGTTCATCTGTATCACAAATGACATTAGATTATTGATCAGCTAGGTTGTAGGGTTATGGAGAGGCAAATGACATGATCTCTGACCTCAAGGAGCTTACGGTTTAATATCATGGTCCATTTCTTACAGATGAAAACAGGAGGACCAATATTTTCCAACATCAAAATGACTCTCCCTTCTCTTCTTGTCAAAAACCTACTCAAGTGAAAGACTCATGGTCCATCAACTTCAGGTCATTCTCTCTGGTCCTCCAGAATAATTTCAACTGTCATTCTTTCTGGCATTTATATACTCTACTTCATATTATAATGATTTACGTGCATGCATTTTCAACTCTACCAGCACAACATATTTCAAATTGGCCTCCTATTAATTTTTTAAACTCCATTGCTATAATTACCCTAATCCAAGCCACTATTGTTTCACATCCATACTCCTACAACAGTTTTATAGCTGAGCTAGTCTCTCTGCCTTTATTCATACCCCCACCAATCCAATGACACTGGAACAATCTTTTCAAAGCATAAATCCTATCACAATACTTTCTTACATAGAAACCTTGTACTGGTTCTCTAATGCACCTGGAATAAAATCTAAACTCCTCAACATAGTCTACAACAGGACCTGGCAAACTGAGATCTGTAGGCCAAATCCAGCCTGCTGCCTGTCTCTGTATAGCCTGTGAGCTAAAAGTGGTTTTTATGTTGAAGAAAAAGCAAAATATTTCATAACGTGAAAATTATATGAAATTTAAATTCAACTCATTGGCTTATGTATTGTCTCAATGGAAGGATTTAATAGTTGGCATAGAGACCATATAACCTGCAAAGCCTAAAATATTTACTATCTGATCCTTTACAGGAAAAGTTTGCTAAGCTCTGGCCTACAAGGCATCATGATCTGGGTCTTGCTTGTTTCTTTGAAAGCCCCCCTTCTACCGTTCTATCCATTTCGCTTCATCTGCCCTTTCAGTTTCTCAAACTTAGTAAGTGATTTCTACCAAGCCCATTTATGCCTCTCCCCTAACACACTATCTTATTTTATTTTTTTCACTTATCACTATCTGAAGTTGTTTTCTTTCTTTACTTACTTGTTAACTTAAGAAAATGTGAGATCCATGGGCTCATCTGTTTTTACCCCACTGTATACAAGAGGATCTGCCCATGGTAGGCATTTAAAAAAGTTGTGTTAAAGGAATATCTTATCTTCCCTGGAACTTCTTCAGTGCAGACTCTGCACCTAACTCAATTTTGCATCCCTCACAGTGGCCAACATCTGTAGAGTAATAGTTCCAAAAACAGCTATTGAATGAATAAAATGAGAGTCACTTCTCTCTCCTTCTGGGACAAAATGAAAAAAAAAAAAAAAGCACTTTTTGTCAGCTGGGTCCCAAGAAACCATAATGTGTGCAGCATCTTTTTCACCTCATCTACAGTCTGCTGGTTGAGAGCACATTTTAAGAAGGGGCCATGGGCCGGTGCTGTGGCTCATGCCTGTAATCCCAGCACTCTGGGAGGCTGAGGCGGGTGGATCACTTAAGGTCAGGAGTTCAAGACCAGCCTGACCAATATGGTGAAACCGCATCTCTACTAAAAATACAAAAATTAGCCAAGCGTGGTGGCAGGCACCTGTAGTCTCAGCTGCTTGTCAGGCTGAGGCATGAGAATCATTTGAACCCGGGAGGCGGAGGTTGCAGTGAGCCAAGATTGTGCCACTGCACTCCAGCCTAGGCGAAAGAATGAGACACACCATCTCAAAAAAAAAAAAAAAAGAAAAAAAGCTCCAATTATTTGAAAAGTAATCAACTTTTAAGATATAGCATATAATTAATGTCACAAAAGGTGAACAGTAAAAAAAATAAATCCTGAAACAATCAAAACTGCAATGGTTTATTGGAGCTAACAGTAATCTTTGGAGGATGCTGGGAGACCATCTATTAATATTTACTGGAGCCTTGTGCTTTAGTTATAAATACGTCTTTCTTTTCTTTTTTTTTTTTGAGATGGATTTTCACTCTTGTTGCCCAGGCTGGAGTGCAGTGGTGCGATCTCAGCTCACTGCAACCTCTGCCTCCCGGGTTCAAGCAATTCTCATGCCTCAGCCTCCTGAGTAGCTGGGATTACAGGTGCCCGCCACCATGCCTGGCTAATTTTTTGTATTTTTAGTAGAGATGGGGTTTCATCATGTTGGCCAGGCTGGTCTTGAACTCTTGATCTCAGGTGATCCACCTGCTTTGGCCTTCCAAAGTGCTAGGATTACAGGCATGAGCCACTGCACCTGGCCATAAATACTTCATTTAATCCTCCTAACACTCCTATGTGGTAGGTAATGTTCTCTTCATTTTATAGATGAGGAAACTGAGACTCAAAACTTTTAAATAACTAGCTCAGATCCACACAGCCTATCAATGCAGAAGCTGGATTCAAACTCCTGTCTCTCTTATCTGCCTCCCAAATCCATATGGGGAGAAAGTAATAAATGGATTAATAGCCATTTTGAGGTCTCTTTGGCTAGAGAAAGCTCCACTATGTAAAGCTCAGACAGTCTGTGAGATATTGGACTTTCGCTGACTGAACTTAAGGCAGGGACTCCTGGTTGGCGCCTCTGTCCCCTTTCCCCAGGGGCCAGAGTTGTCTCTAATACTGTGATTTCCTTGTTATGCATTTCAAGAAGGAGAGAGGGTTGGGGGCAGTGACCACCAAGCAGAACAAGGGGTTGTACTGAGTCTATGAGTCTCATAAAGGTGTTCTGTATGTTCATATCAGCTACATGTGGCAATAGTGGCCAAGATAAGTACTGAGTAAAAAAAAAATAAACAGCAATGTAAACAGTCACAGAAGACTCGTGTACATTGCTGGCCCATAACTGGAGCCTGGTTCATGTTATGGAGTCTTACTGGTGCCAAGTGTTTCTCCTCCTCCCCCTCTAAGAGCCTACTCTGAGCACTCCCAGTTCTGGATAAGGTTCATATCTTTTAGTCACCTGTTTCTCTCTCTTCTGACTACAGACATGTAAGCTAAGGTGAGAGACAGGATGGAAGACTTGGGAACAAAGCAACTCCGAAGTAGCAGCGGTTCCTCAGGACCCAAAGGAATTTGTGGGGAATTAAAGATAAATAAAAAAGAAAAAACCAGACCTTCTTGGGAGGCCAGCCCCAGTCTTCTTCCCTCTGTGTCTCACTAAAAAGAATGTGCTATTTTGGGCTTTTTTCTTCTGTATTTGTTTTCACATTCTCCTGTAAATTACTCAACAAGGTGCCTTACTGATCCTGAAAAATTCAATCTTCAGATTTTTCCCATCAAGTCAAGAAGCTTCCACAGCTTCCCAGGGAAACAAAGAGTCTTGTTCTCCATTCCCAGGCTCAGCTTCTGCTTTTGTGATGATCAGACTGGCTGATGTTGAGACATAAATCTCCATAAGGTCACATGGGAGTTCTTTTTTGGGGGATTCTCAAGTAGGCTTCAGCAGATCAAAGAATACCCTTTATGTTATAAGCAAGATATATGTATTATTTTTTTCAGAACCCTGTGAAAGGTTAAACATCTCAACATACATTGCATATCCTAGCAAGGGGTATTTGAAGGACCTAGTTACTTTTCTTGGGAAAGTGCTGTAGTTATCTCTATTTTGTGTGTTGCCTTTAGTTTCTCCATATCTGCTTGTATGTAATATCTCTAAATTTTCAACATTCACAAAACACAGTTAAAACAGTAGCTTTGACCTAAAATGCATAATGTTGAGTATTTTCCAGCTCATCTGCTTAACTGGTAGATTGACTCATGCATGCCTTTTACTTTGGTCCATGACAGCAGCTGGCACATAGTAGGTATCCAATAAAGGTGTCTTAAATGAATGAATGCAGTTGTTCAATTAGTAAAGACTGTCACATTGACAGTTGAACAGGAAGAACAAGACTGCTATTTGGAAATATTCAAAAGAGGTCACTGACTGTGGGGAGGAGAATGTGGTTGAAAGAAAGGAACTCTTCAGATTTTGAAAAATTTTATGTATTCTAAAGTAACCAAGGTGGGACAGGAAGGTCATTGACCAGGATTAAATCTTGGGAGTAAGGTACTTGGCCCATAGACAGGAAAGAGAATTATGTGGACTTATTGGAGGGAAATATACATAATAGCTTCCAAATAAACATAATTGAATTTTTTGAATTTTGTATCTTTTGGTCAAATACTCAATTCCAAGCTAATTGCTGGTACATTCAGGATAAGAAATCAAATCCAACTTTAAATATAGTGTGCTGATTGGCTGACTGATTCATCAGACTCTAACTGACACCCTTCTAGGGACAAGGAAATGTCCTGGGGATGTAAATATGAACAAAGCTCAAATCTTATCCTACAGACAGTAACAGTACAATGGTGGGAAGCGAGACGGTCAAGTCAATTTAAGATTATAATACAATCTGATGAGAGTAATGATAGAGGCAGGCTCAGATTAGGGTCACCCTAAACAGTCTGGCAGGGAGTGGTTAGGGATAACTTGCTAGACAGGCTGGCTCCTGGCAGACTTCTGAAGGATGTATAGGAAAGAGTGGCTAAAGGCATTCCAGGCAGAGGTTGCTGTGTGTGCAAAGGCACGGAGTCATGGTGTGGTCGGGGAATTGCAAGGCAATTACAAGGAACAGGAGAAGAGATGAGGTGAGATGGGAGTGTGACTTTAGAAATAAGATGGGACAGGAGACAGGAGCTCAGGTTATGCTAAGAAGTATCAACATTATTTGAAAGCATTTTGGAGCTCTTGAAAGATCAGCCATTATGTGATCAGATTTGCATTTTAGGAAAATTTCTCTTATATTTTGTAGGAGGAAAATTGGAGAGAGTCAATGCTGTAGTTAAAGAGACCAGAAAGACATTGGTGCAATGATATATGTCAGATGTGGTACCAGTTAAATTGTGGACATTATCTCCACCTTTGTGAGGGGGAGGAAATTTCCTGACTTCCTGTTACCCACCAAAACCACCTTTTCCTATTCATTGAGGCATCTGTGAGCCAAATTTCTATGTAAACCCAAATATTTGGCATCACAGCATCACAAGCTCTCATAGGAATGCTGAATACTGGAGTTCAGCTACTTTTTTTTTTTTTTTTAACTAAGAGCTGTTAGCAACAGTGTATACTTAAAAATTTCCAAATCATATATCGTGGTCATATCAAAAGCCATGCTCTCTCTCCAGGTGTATGTAACGGGTCTCAGCTTTACTCAAAGTTCAATTGCAAACAGTAATAAAAACATTGGCATCTCATTGCTCATTTAATATTTATGTAGCTGTCACCATCTCAATTCTACACATTTGAAACCTCAGAGTTGGTTGGAGTTGAGGTGAGCTGAAATCCCCTTTGACAGTAGGTTTTTTTGGGGATGCTTTCATCCTTAAATAACTTTCAAAACAACACTCAGATAGTGGCAAGAGATCAAAGAAATACTCTGTTACCACAGGGGCTGCTGAAACTGTTATTTCCCCAAGAAAAGTTTCCCCTTTGCAGAGAATAAAGTAGATCAGCCTTATTAGGGATTGGAGCAAATACTCCGTCAGGCAAAAGCAGACCCAAGCCCAGCCAGATGTACATTCATACTGCTTCTTCTGCAAGGAATCCAAGAGAGAGATATGGGGGATGAAGCAACCAAGGAAGGGCAGACTGGGGCTAACTGTCTACTTCTCATTACAAGAGTAACACCTTGCAGTTCCATAACATTTTTACTTTGTGACACCTTCTTCCACATTTTTCTCCTTTGATTTTCACAACAACCATGTTATGTATTTTTCTCATTTTAGAGGTGAAGTTAAGGCTTTGCCAGACTGAGAGCACACACTGTGAATGAATGCGAGGGCCAGATTTTGAACCCAGGTCTGTCTGGGTTCAAAATCCAGTGCCTCCTTCTCACACAGTTTAATGAAACTTCAGCATGTACTCAAAAGTGACGAAAACAGCAGTTGTAGAGAAGGAATCATGGAGGTACACAGGTTTGTAAGTTTTCATTTTGAGTAAGTCTGAGGGATGATACAGTTCTATAGATCAGTGCAGGTCCATGATGAAGGGTAAAGCTTTATGTCTTTAAGGGTGTCACCCCTTAGTGCACCCACCTTCTACCCTGTGGGACTCCAGAAAAATCTGTAGCATCTATATTTAGAAGGATTGTAACACCAGTTTCTTCAAGTATAAAACTCTGAGACTAAATTCTCCTTTTATTTAGGTTCTCCACCTTCAGTAATAGTAATTACTGCATTTTAATGACACTTTCCAGTTTAAAAACATCTTTATGTACTCAGGTTTCTACATATAAAGCCAATACATTCCTGAGCATCATTAAGATTGGTGGGTGACAGGGATGTAAACAAAAATAAGAATTTATCTTTGCCCTAGAATTATCATAGCCCAGCATGCAGATGGATAAAGATACAGATAATTACAATAAAAATGTGATGCTCCCTATAACAGGCACATGAGCAAATTGTTGCTGAAGTGCCAATGACCAACTAAGTTGGGGCAGGGAGGAAGATGGGATAAGGGAAGGTAACATTTGGTCTGGGTTTTGAAGATTGAGTAGGATTTCACTCAATCTTGGGGCATTCCAGGGAGAGAGATTGAGAGCTGAAAAATTTGGGCACAATCATGTGAAAAAATGGATGTACTGCAGAAGAGAAAGAAGAGGAAGGCAAGACGTAGGGGCTGAGGGATAGGTTGATATGCGGAAGGCCTTGTACGCAATGCTGAAGGTTTATGAGCAAGGGAATGAGGTGATCAGTTCCTGGTTTAGTTTGATGACCAGTGTTGGTGTAAGGAGGGTCATTGGAGACATTTAAATCTTACAAGCTCTGCTGTTCTTACTCATATTTCAAATCAGCGAGCTGCTTCTCATACTGTTTCAAGGACTTTGCCCACTGCTAGCTAGTAGGAGTAGGAATTGCCACAACTTAGCTATACAACCTCTGACTTCAATTCCTGTTGACCCAACGTGTCTGTGTGGTGCGTGGCTCCAGCCCACTTGCTTTCTGTAGAGCCTTTGGTCTGTAATATTTGGGGTGATCTGCTCAGCTCATTCACTATCAACACTGAACAAATAACCTAGATTTCCCTTGAAGGATTGCCCTACATGAGAATAGTGACATATCTACACTTTTTTTAAACTTCAATTTAGTTACTAAAAGGAATCTCCTCAGAATAATTGCTGGATGGTGTTGACAAAAGTTTGAGTCCCATCATCTGACTGCAGTTGTGTTGACAGCAGTCCCTGGAGAACTCTGCTGCAGGGACCAATGGTTGCTTTCACCCTCCTAGGGCAGCACCAGGACTTTGGGGTCTCAAACAACTATAGTTACAGACCAAGCACGTGGTCTAGCAAAAGCTAGAGTCCAGCAGAGTTAAAAAGAGTTATGCGGCTTTGGCCATCTTCTTTATGAAACAGATTCCTCCATTTTTTTTAGTGGAAAATGCTAAAACATTTTTAGCATTGGGTCAAGGGTGAAATCAAGAATTTCAGGGCATTGTAATGGTCACCACAATAATTTATTTCAAGTTATTTTGAATGGTAAGGGTTTATCAAACGTTCATCATCCTCATCTGAAGGCTTAAAATAAAAAAAAAGTAATGAGGATCTTGCGCTTCAAGGTTTCGAATTTCAAAAAGCATTTGCCAACATTGGATACTGAATATTTATCTAAAAATTGTAGCAGCATATTCAGAGAAGTAGTTGAAGTGTGTGCGTGCATGCGTGTGTGTGTGTATGTGCGTGTGTGCATGCGTGCGTGTGTGTGTGCATGTGTGTGCATGCATGTGTGTGGTGGCAGCAGGGGTGGGGGTTTGGCTAAATGCTGCCTGGGACTGGAGAATGAAGAAATGAAAGTTTGTTTATTTTAGTATTTATCAAAATATTTGGTATAAAACCACATGGTCCAATAAGGCTAGGAAAATCAATTTACAAGTAAAAGGCCAAGGAAACCCAATAAAACATTTGTGACAACCCAATAAAACATTTTGTGACAGATATAAGTACCATGCGTTAGCAAGGTGCAGTGTGAACATGTTGCAAAGAAACTCACTTTTAAAATGCATAATTTATGCACAAATTATCTGACTAGTATTAGGAGGCACATGGTTTTAAAATTATATATACATTTGGATAAAATTAGTTTTTATTTTCAGAAGACTTTGGAAATATCTGATTTTTCTAAGTGTACTCATCATTTCACCCATGAGAGGGATAAAAATACAGGTGAAAGTGGTAGATCTGACATATTTCTTTCAAAAAGAAATATGACATCACGCATGGAAAAAATGTAAATGTTGCAAAAGGTTATATCCCCCCTTAGCTCGTGTCCCAGAGGCATGCTAATATCAGTTATTGACTCTCCAAGATATTTTCCATGTATATAAAGACAGAATATATTCTGATGAACCAGAGTGAAATTATGATTCCTAATGAGTAAAATGAGGCGGTATTTCACTGATTGGGTCGTTAAATGACATAATGATATGAAAAATCCTTGACAAACTTTTGAAGGGTTCGCAAATTTTAATCGATTACAGACTTCTTAATCTGGAGTCTGTGGACCTCTAGAAAGTCTAAAGCTTGGTTTCTGAGTGTTGTGGACAAAATATACAGGGTATGCGTACTAATGCATTATTAGAATTTGCTTTGTTTTGTATTTTTCCTAGGCAGACAAAGCCATGATGGCCAAGTTTCTTAAAGGGAGAGTGATGCCAAAGAGGTTTAGTATCAGCGTTTAGAGCCTAGTGCCATTGGTTTGGGTTTGTGCCCTATTCATTGAATGAGCATCAGATGAATGAGAGGAGGAAGATGGCAAGGTAGTTAATAGTTGTCTGTGGGACCCTCCGACTCCCTTTTTCTAGACCTCTCTGCCTGTTCTGGCCTTCATCCAGAACTGACATACGTTTCACCCAGTGCCTATGTGTTCCTCATTGAGGCATCTCATTCCTCTAACTAAGCCCACTGTCTTGCACCATTGTGCCAAGCTTCCAGAATTACCTTCCAGCCTTCTTCCATCATCAAAACTCTGAACCTAGCTATCACAGAGGAAAACACTTCTAACTAAAAATTATAGATACTTCTAATGATAAACTACTTTTTATCAAAGTGTGATTAATGGTAAGGGCAGAAACAGGCCCTGAGACCATTTTCATTTTTGTATTTTAATTATTTATTCCCGCCCCCCAGCACACAAATATTTTCATTTTAAAAGAAGGAGTCGGCCGGACCCAGTGGCTCACGCCTGTAATCCCAGGACTTTGGGAGGCCGAGGCGGGCGGATCACGAGGTCAGGAGATCGAGACCATCCTGGCTAACACGGTGAAACCCCGTCTCTACTAAAAATACAAAAAAATTAGCCGGGCGCGGTGGCGGGCGCCTGTAGTCCCAGCTACTTGGGAGGCTGAGGCAGGAGAATGGCATGAACCCGGCAGGCAGAGCTTGCAGTGAGCCGAGATCGCGCCACTGCATTCCAGCCTGGGCGACAGAGTGAGACTCCGTCTCAAAAAAAAAAGAAAACAACAATAAAAAAAAAAAAAAAAAAAAGAAGGAGTCAGAAGAAGCAACATAGAATATTAATTTCTGCCACAGAGTTTCCAGGCTTTTATTTTTCAGCACACATAAATAATTATGGGTTCTCATATATGCTGAATTCCTATTGATGTATCCAGGGTTATGCACAATTACCTGCACCCTAGGTATAATTTCACTGCTTTCATACTAAAGATAGTATATCAGAATGCAAGTGAGTAAAAGTAATATTATATAGATAACCTTTAGTTTCCCATAACATTAAAAAACAAAAGAAATAGTTTGCCAACTTTGCCACTCCAACTTTAGTATCATAACCATTATTTTAACTATTTGCCATAGACCTCATAGGTGATAATCACAAGACTGGTGTGGCCCACAAGGATGCTGAGACTATTTATTAAGATAATAGAGGTGTAATTTTACTTTTTTGAATGGGAGCTAGAATTCCTCTAAGTCAGCAGGTTCTCTAGTGCTCCTTAAATTATATGTATTCATTCCTTCATTCATTTCCCATCCATCTATTCATCTATGCAGCCACTTATTCAGTCTAGATGTTGGGGAGAGGTAGAAAGGCATGTCATGCAGAGGGAATAACGTGGTGCAATGGCATGAAGGCATGAGTGTATATGAGATTATATATACCAAGGTAACATGAGCTGCTCTGGGGATTTGGCCGTAGACTGCAGGATAAATGGTAGGAGATGAAGCTGGAAAGGTATGGGGAACCAGGTTATTAAAAGATTGTCTGTCTATTTAGGACTATGGACCCATGTAGTCATTGCCCCATGAAGCTGGTTATGCTAAAGGGAATCCATATACAGAGCAAAATCAGATTATTTAATTTATATTTTTCTTCTTATTTCTTTCTTTTTTTTTTTTTTTTTTGAGACAGGGTCTCTTTCTGTTGCTCAGGCTGGAGCACATAGCTCATTGTAACCTATAACTCCTGGGCTCAAGCTATCCTCCGTCTTGAGTAACTAGGCCTCTTGAGTAGCTAGGCTGTAGTAGTAGATACTACAGGTATGTGCCACCATGGCTGGCTGATTTTTTTGTTTTTTATTTTTCATGGAGATAGGGTCTTGCTAGGTTGCCTCAGGTGGTCTAGAAATCCTGGCCTCAAGTAATTCTCCTGTATTGGCCTCCCAAAGTGCTGGGATTACAGGCATGAGCCATCATACTTGACCCAAATTTATATCTCTTTTTTTTTTTTTTGAGATGGAGTTTCACTCTTGTTGCCCAGGCTAGAGTGCAATGGCGGGATCTCGGCTCACTGCAGCCTCCACCTCCCAGGTTCAAGCAATTCTCCTACCTCAGGCTCCTGAGTAGCTGGGATTACAGGCGCTTGCCACCACACCTGGCTAATTTTTTGTAATTTTAGTAGAGATGGGGTTTCGCCATGTTGGTCAGGCTGGTCTCGAATTCCAGACCACAGGTGATCTGCCCGCCTCGGCCTCCCAAAGTGCTGGGATTACAGGCGTGAGCCACTGCACCTGGCCCCAAATTTATATCTTAACATCATGGCAGGGCCATGGAGAAGAAAGGCCAGTGGGCTGCTCCTATCCACTGACTGGGGGTTGGCCAACTGCCTGGAGATTCTGACCTGATGAGTTGGTTCCCATGGTCAACTCAGTTAAAAATGCAGACATCTAAGGGCTGAGGTGTGAACCAGTAGAAGTAGCAAAGTCCTAAGAGTTCTCAGCATGTTACTCTAATCCCCCTGAGATCGGAGTTGAACCAAGCTTCTCTTGTTGAGAATGTTTAACTTCTGCAAACTCAAGAAATCTCACCTCAGTTCTACAAATTGCGCAGATCCTGGGCAAGGTGCATTAACCCCTGAAGTTCCTAGCCTAGGCTTCGGACTCTCTGTGGTTTCTTGTGATTTTTTTTTTTTTTTTTAACTTAGAAAGTAGTATGCTGTAGGGGAAATATAATGAACTGGGAGTCAGGAGTTTTGCATTTTTGTCCTGGCTCTGCCAAATAATTTTGTGACCTTGAGAAAGTCCCTTCACCTTTCTGGGTCTCAGTTTCCTCAGTTTTAAAAGAATAAATTGGGCCAGATAATCTCTGCTTTAATTTTATTATTAAATTCCAGAATCCTGGGGTTTTCTTTTATTATTATCGCATATATATTAAATGGCTTCTAGTGTTTATGATTTTATTGTAGCTTTTTAAGATCTCATCACACTGCCATCTTAAGCAAAACTTCTAAGAAAATCGACTTGAACATTTTCATTTTTATTTTACTCTTTTCTTCACTCTGCATTACTCTTACTGTTTTAAAACAAAGGGGCTTCTCTTAAAATCATTTTAATCCCAGTTTTAAAAAACTGTTACGGGGTTTTGATTTTCCAGAATTATATCAGGCAATGTAAGCAAAAGATCCATAAGGCCAAATTTTTATCCTCTGATCTCAAAGAACATCAAATCAACACAGACACATCCTTCGCCTTTGTTAATTCCTTACCAAATAACAAAGAATTTATCACCACAGTGTCAAATAGTTTCGATTATTTAAATGTGGAAGAACAAAACATCAGGAAATAAAGGGAGGTCTTATTTAAAAGGATGCCTCCAGAAACCACTTAATAATTATGATCAAATAAATGTACTTAAAAGTCCTGGGGAAGTTTTGCCAAACGATTTCTATTGGATAGTAGAAGACTCCTCAAATAAAAGTTGAAAGAAATTAGATTCCCTGCCCCTGACTAGTAAAGCAGACAGAGTATCTTCTGATTCAAGAAAACACTCATGTAGAAAAGACGAAGCATCCCAGAAGTGCTCATCCTCCTGTGTGAACAAAACTATCTTAAGACCTAACGCCTTGAAGAAAGAAAAGAAGGTGGACTTCAGAGAGTTCTAGTAGGCTCCCAGTTATAACACAGGGCAAAAAAATGGAAAGTCTAGAGTGATGTCAGCAACATGATGGAATAGGAAGCTCCTGCTTATCCCTCCTCCCACAGACACACTGAATAAACACCTACACATGGATCAATTCTCTTCAGAGAAAGCTGGAATCCAGTTGAAAGACTCCTGCACACTGGGTGACTGAGCAAATATCCATAACAAAATGGGTAGAAAAAAGGCAGATACATTCATGCACTAACCCTACCTTGGGCACAGTGCCTTAAACTCGGGAGAAAATTTCAACTCCCAGCTTCTTCCCAAGGGGACAGGGACTTGTACCACACATATAGTGCCTGACTATATAGTCCCTGCTGCAGGGCTTGACTCTTAAGTCACCCTGCTTGAGAAACAGCAGGGACAAGGCATCAGTGAATTTCCAACAAACACAAAGAACAAAGGGATTTTAAATTTATGTATTTTAAAAAACTTTTGTGGGTACGTAGTACATGTATATATATTAATGGAGTACAAGAGATACCCTGATACAGGCATGCAATGTGAAATTATCATATCACGGAAAATAGGGTCTCCATTCCCTCAAGCATTTGTCCTTTGTGTTACAAACAATCCAATTATACTCTTAGTTATTTTTAAACATAAAATTAAATTATTAATGACTATAATCATCCTGTTTGTCTATCAAATACGAGGTCTTATTCATTCCTTCTAACTATTTTTATTTTGTACCCATTAACCACCCCCACTATTCCCCCCAACCTCCCACTACCCTTCCCAGCCTCTGGTAACAATCCTTCTATTCTCTATCTCTATGGGTTTAATTGTTTTGATTTGTAGCTCCCACAAATAAGTCAGAACATGTGAAGTTTGTTTTTCTGTGCCTGACTTATTTCATGTTACCTAATGACCTCCAGCCCCATCCATGTTGTTGCAAATGACAGGATCTCATTCTTTTTTATGGCTGCATAGTACTCCACTGTGTAAATGTGCCACATTTTCTTTATCCAATCATCTGTTGATGGACACTTAGATTGCTTCCAAATCTTGGCTATTGTGAATAGTGCTGCAACAAGCATGGGAGTGCACATATCTTTTTGATACACTGATGTTCTTTCTTTTGTGTATATATCTAGCAGCGGGATCGCCGGGCTGTATGGTAGCTCTATTTTTAGTTTTTTGAGAAATCTCCAAATTGTTCTCCATAGTGGTTGTACGAATTTACATTCCCACCAACAGCGTACGAGGATTTCCTTTTCTCCACATCCTCACCAGCATTTGTTATTGCCTATCTTTTGGATGAAAGCCATTTTAACTGGGGTGAGATGATAATCTCATGGGAGTTTTGATTTGCATTTCTCTGATGATCAATGATGTTGAGCGCCTTTTAATATGCCTGTTTTTCATTTGTATGTCTTCTTTTGAGAAATGCTTATTCATATCTTTTGCCCATTTTAAAATCAGATTATTAGATTTTTTTTCCTGTAGATTTGTTTGAGTTCCTTATATATTCTGGTTATTAATCCCTTGTCAGATGGGTAGTTTGCAAACATTTTCTCCCATTCTGTGGGTTGTCTTTTCACTTCGTTGATTGTTTCCTTTGCTTTTTAACTTGATGTAATCCCATTTGAGAATTTTTGCTTTGGTTGCCTATGCTTGCGGGATATTACTGAAGAAATTTTTACGTAGACCAATGTCCTGGAGATTTTCCTCCAGTGTTATCTTGTACTAATTTCATAGTTTAGGTCTTAGATTTAAGTCTTTAATCCATCTTGATTTGATTTGTATATGGTGAGAGATAGAGGTCTAGTTTTATTCTTCTGCATATAAATACCCAGTTTCCCCAGCACCATTTATTGAGGAGACTGTCCTTTCTCCAATGTACGTTCTTGGCTTTTTTGTTGAAAATGAGCTTACTGTAGGTGTATCGATTTGTTTCTGGATTATGTATTCTATTCCATTGGTCTATGTGTCTGTTTTTATGCCAGTACCATGCTGTTTTGATTATTATAGCTCTGTAGTATAATTTGAAGTTAGGTAAAGTGATTCCTCCAGTTTTGTTCTTTTTGCTCAGGATAGCTTTGGCTATACAGGGTCTTTTGTGGGTCTATATAAATTTTAGAATTTTTTTTCTATTTCTATGAAGAATGTCATTGGTATTTTGATAGGGATTGCATTGAATCTATAGATTGCTTTGGGTAGTACGGATATTTTAACAATATTGATTCTTCCAACCCATGAACATGGGATATGTGTCCTCTTCAATATTGTGTCCTCTGCAATTTCTTTCATCAGTGTTTTATAGTTTTCATTGTAGAGATCTTTCACTTTTTTGGTTAATCCATAGGTATTTCATTTTATATGTGGCTGCTATAAATGGGGTTACTTTTGAAATTTCTTTTTCAGATTAGTCACTGATGGCATACAGAAATGCTACTGATTTTTGTACGTTGATTTGGTATCTTCCAACTTTACTGAATGTATCAGTTCTAACAGTTGTTTTGTTTTTTCTGAGTATAAAGTCTTTAGGTTTTACCAAATATAAGATCATATCACCTGCCAACAAGGATAATTTGCCTTCTCCCTTTCCAATTTGACTGTCTTCTATTTCTTTGTCTTGTCTGATTGCACTAGCTAGGACTTCCAGTACTATGCTGAATAACAGTGGGCATCCTTGTCATGTTCCAGATCTTAGAGGAAAGGCCTTCAGTTTTTCCCCAGTCAGCAAAGGCTGTGAGTCTGTTATATGTAGTTCTTATTATGTTGAGGTATGTTCCTTCTATACCCAATTTTTTGAGGGTTTTTTTTTCTTTTTTTGAGACAGAGTCTCACTCTGTCACCAAGGCCAGAGTGCAGTGGTGCGATCTTGGCTCACCACAACCTCTGCCTCCCAAGTGCAAGTGATCCTCCCATCTCAGACCCCAGAGTAGCTGGGACCACAGGTACACATCACCACACCTAGCTAATTTTTTCTATATTTTGTAAAGATGGTGTATCACCATGTTGCCCAGGCTGGTCTCAAACTCCTGGACTTAAGCAATCTGCCCATCTCGGCCTTCCAAATGCTGGGATTAAACACATGAGCCACCATGCCTAGCCTTTTGAGGGTTTTTATCATGAAAGGATGTTGAATTTTATCAATGCTTTTCAGCATCAATTGAAATGATCATATGATTTTTGTCGTTCATTCTGATTATATGATATATTACATTAACTGACTTGCATATGTCGAACCAGTTCTTTCTCTGTGTTATCTCTCCACATCCCTGGGATAAATCCTGCTTGGTCATGGTGAATGATCTTTTTAATGTATTGTTGAATTTGGTTTGCTAGTATTTTGCTGAGGATTTTTACACCAGTATTAATCAGAAATATTGGCCTGTAGTTTTCCTTTTCTTGATGTGTCTTTGTCTGGTTATAGTATAAGTGTAATACTAGCCTTGTAGAATGAGTTTGGAAGTTCCTCCTCTTCCACCCATCCTCCTGTATTTTTTGGAATAGTTTGAGTATGCTTTGTATTTGTTCTTTACATGTTTGGTAGAATTCACCAGATGTACAAAGAAGAGCTGGCACCATTCCTATTGAAGCTATTCCAAAAAATTGCAAAGGAGTGACTCCTCTCTAACTTACCCTATGAGTTCAGCATCATCCTAATACCAAAACCTGGCAGAGATACTACAACAACAAAAAAAAATTCAGGCCAATATCCTTGATGAACATCAATGTAAAACTCCTCAACAAAATACTGGCAAATGGAATCCAGCAGCACATCAAACAGCTTATCCACAATTACCAAGTAGGCTTTATCCCTGGGATGCAAGTTTGGTTCAACCTATACAAATGAATAAATGTGATTCATGGCTGGATGCAGTGGCTTATGCCTGTAATCCCAGAACTTTGGGAGGATGAGGTGGGCGGATCACCTGAGGTCAGGAGTTCGAGACCAGACTGGTCAACATGGAGAAACCCCATCTCTGTAATCCCAGCTACTTGGGAGGCTGAGGAAGGAGAATCGCTTGAACCCGGGAGGCAGAGGTTACAGTGAGCTGAGATGGCACCACTGCACTCCAGCCTGGGTGACAGAGCAAGACTCCATCTCAAAAGAAAAAAAAAAGTGATTCTTCACATAAACAGAACTGAAGACAGAAACCATATGATTACCTCAATAGATGCAGAAAAGGCTTTCAATAAAATTCAGCATTCCTTTGTGTTAAAAACTCTCAATATAAAACTATTGAAGGAATATAACTCAAAATAATAAGAGCTGAATATGACAAACCCACAGCCAATATCATACTGAATGGGCAAAGGCTGGAAGCATTCCCCTTGAAAACTGGCATAAGACAAGGATGCCCTCTGTCACTACTTCTATTCAACATAGTAATGGAAATCCTGGCCAGGGCAATCAGGCAAGAGAAAGAAACAAAGGGCATCCAAATAGGAGGAGAGGAAGTCAAACTGTCCCTTTTTGCAGACAACATGATTCTATATCTAGGAAACCCCATAATCTTGGCCCCAAAGTTGCTTCAGCTGATAAACGACTTCAGCAAAGTCTCAGGATACAAAATCAATGTTCAAAACTCACTAGCATTCCTATATACCAACAACAATCAAGCCAACAGCCAAAACAGGAAACTACTCCCATTCACAATTGCCACAGAAAGAATAAAATACATAGGAATACAGCTAACTAGGGAAGTGAAAGATTTAAAAAAAATGAAGATCTCAAATTAACAACCTAATGTTACGCTTCGAGGCACTTGAAATAAGCTCAAACTTAGCAGAAGGAGGGAAATAACAAAGATCAAGGCAGAAATAAACAAGACACTATAGAAACAATAGAAAAGATTAACAAAACTAAAAGTTGTTTTCTTTTAAAAAAGATAAGCAAAATTGACACACTTTTACTTAGACTTACAAAGAAAAAAGGAGTAAAGACACTGTCAGGGTTCTCTGGAGGATCAGGACTAATAGGATAGACGCGTATTTGAAAGGAAGTTTATTAAGGAGTATTGACTCACATGATCATAAGGTGAAGTCCCACAATAGGTCATCTGTAAGCTGAGGTGCAATAAAGCTGGTCCAAGTTCTAAAACCTCAAAAGTAGGTAAGCTGACAGTGCAGCCTTCAGTTCGTGGCCAAAGACCCAAGAGCCCCTTGCAAACTACTGGTATAAGTCCAAGAGTCCAAAAGCTGAAGAACTTGGAGTCTGATGTTCCAGGGCAAGAAGCATCTGACATGGGAGAAATATGAAGGCCAGAAGATCAGCCAGTCCAGTCCTTCCACATTCCTCTGCCTGCTTTTATCCTAGCCATGCTGGTAGCTGATTAGTTGGTACCCACACAGAGTGAGGGTGGGTCTGCCTCTCCCAGTCCACTGACTCAAATGTCAATCTCCTTTGGCAACACCCTCACAGACACGCCCAGGAACAATACTTTCATCCTTCAATCCAATCAAGTTGACACTCAATATTAAACCATCACAGACACAAATAAAATCAGAAATGAAAGAGGAGACATTACAACTGATACCACAGAAATACAAAAGATCAGACTACTATGAACAACTATAGTCCAAGAAATTAGATAATCTAGAAGAAATGGCGAATTCCCAGAAACACACAACATACCAAGACTGAATCAGGAAGAAATAGAAATTGGCAATAGACCAAAAATGAGTATGGAAATTGAATTAATGACAAAATGTTTCTCATCAAAGAAAATCCTTGAATCTGATGGCTTCATTGCTGAATTCTGCCAGTCATTTAAAAAACAGCCAATACTTCTTAAACTCTTCCAAAAAATCAAAGAGGAGAGAATAATTTCTGAACTTATTTTATGAGGCCAGCATTACCCTGATACCAAAGCCAAGGAATAACACAAGAAAAGAAATCTACAGGCCAATGTCCCTGATGAATATAGATGCAAAAATCCTCAAGAAAATACTAGCGAACCCAATTCAACAGCACACTATAAATATAATTTACCATGATGAAGTGGGATTCATTCCAGGGGTATGAAGGGATTTCAACATATATAAATCAATAAATGTGATACACTGTATTAACATAATGAAGGATGAAACCCATATGATTATCTCAATAGATACAGTAAAAGCACTTGTCAAAATTCAACATCTTTTCATGATAAAAAGTCTCCACAAAATCAGTATAGAAGAAAGCTGCCTCAATACAATAAAGACCATACACAACAAGCCGACAGCTAATGTCTTACTAAATGGTAAAAAGTTGAAAGCTTTTTCTCTAAGATCAGGAACAAGTAAAGGATGCCCATTCTTTCCATTTCTATTCAACATATTACTAGAAGTCCTAGCCACAGAAATTAGGCAAGAAAAAGAAATAAAAAGACATTCATACAGGAAAGCAAAAGTGAAATTGTCTCTGCTGATAACATGATCTTACATATAGAAAATCTTAAATAGTCCACCAGAAGAACCCAAACCTGTAGAACTGATACATTCAGTAGAGTGTAGGTTACAAAATCAAATTTAAAAAAATTAGTATTTTTCCATACACTAAAAACAAAGTATCTGAAAAAGAAATTAAGAAAACAATCCTACCTACAATAGCATAAAAATATGTAGCAGTAAATCTAACCAAGGTGAAATATCTGTACACTGAAAACTATAAAACAGTGATGAGAAAAATTGAAGAAGACAAAACATAGGTGGAAAGACATCCCATGTTCATAGACTGTAAGAATTAATATTATTTATACTACCTGAAGTGATTTACAGATTCGATGCAATCTCTATCAAAATTCCAAAGTCATTTTTTGGTAGAAACAGAAGAAACAACCCTAAAATTTGTATGAAACCAGCAAAGACCTCAAAATAATCAAAGCAATCTTGAGCAAAAATAACAAAACTGGATTTCAGAATATATTATAAAGCTATTGTAATCAAAATTGCATAGTATTGTCATAAAAACAGACACATCAACCAAAGGAACAGAATAGAAAGCCTAGAAATAAACCCATGTATTTACCATCAGTTGACTTTTGACAAAGATGCTAGGAATAATATAGTCAAGAAAAGACAATCTCTTCAATAAATCTCACTGAAGCAGAGTAGAAAGGTGGTTACCAGAGGTTGGCAGAGAGACGGTGGTGGGGGCTGGAGATGGAGAGATGGGGAAAGGGAGATGTTGATCAAAGGATGCAAAGCTTTGGTGAGACTGGTAGAAAAAATTTTAGTGATCTATTGCACTGCTTGGTAATCACAGTTAATTAATAATACATTATATATTTCAAAATTGCTAAAAGAAAAGATTTTTAATGTCCTCACCACAAAACAATAAGTTGGTGAGGTGATGGATATGTTAATTAGCTTTATTGAATTTTTCTACAATGTATACATAGATCAAATCATATTATACCCCATAACTATATGCAATTCTTTGTGAATTAAAAATAATAATAATAGGCCTGGCATGGTGGCTCATGCCTGTAATCCCAGCACTTTGGGAGGCCGAGGTGGGCGGATCATGAGGTCAAGTGATCGAGACCATCCTGGCCAATATGGTGAAACCTGGCCAACATGGTGAAACCCCCATCTCTACCAAAAAATGCAAAAATTAGCTGGGCGTGGTGGCACATGCCTGTAGTCCCAGTTACTCGGGAGGAGAATCACTTGAACCTGGGAGGTGGAGGTTGCAGTGAGCCGAGATAGCGCCACTGCACTCCAGCCTGGTGACAGAGTGAGACTCCGTCTCAAAAAAATACAACAATATAAAATTAAAATAAAGAAAATGAAAACTCTGTCATTTGGGGTTTTACCTCTTAAAATTGGCCTGGCTTTTCTTCTGCTTAATAGTACTCTACTTTCAGTTTTTTTAAAAAAATTATATATTATATTAAGTAATGGTGGATCAATTTTTATGATTCTGAAAACAGAGGCACTGCCTTCCTATTTTAAGAAGAAATTGAGGCAGAGGGGTTAAGTAACTTGTTCAAGGTCACACAGCTAAGTAGAGGAACTGAGAACAAATTCAAGTTAATGAAGAAGGTAATCGTGATTGCTTGTGTTTAAAAAATAGTACCTGTTTTTCCCTTATTAAACTAACATTTTAGAAAAAAGCTAGGCATATTAAGAGTATTATAATCATGATGTAGCTGTCTGGGAATAATTTGGCTCAATCAGGAGGAACAAGGGTCATGAAGTCCATTTGAGTCTCAGTTAAAGAGATGCTGATTAACTTCTGTGAGGCTGTCTTCATCACAGAGCAGTCAGCTATCAGGATTAATTTTGATGGCTTTAGGAACAAACTTTTAAATAAATGACACTAGTATGAGATGTTCTTCAACTCCAAGTCCCAGAAGTCATCTCCGTGTTGTTCTTAGGCTCTGAGGCCACTAGCTGGTCTGCTTTCTTTCTTCACCTTCCAGGGTCTTCTTATGCTTGTTTTATGTACAATGTTCAGTGTTTTTGGTTGCATTTAGCAGGAAGAATGAGGGAAAGTACATCTGCTCTATCTTCCTGTAAGTGCAAACAGTCCCAGGATGAGATTTTAAGATTACTGAAAGTCAGCTCCTTTCTTGGAATCTTATAAGGTGGGGAAACAAATCATAAGACACAGACATAAAAATAATCTTGGCCAGGCCTGGTGGCTCAGGCCTGTAATCCCAGCACTTTGGGAGTCCGAGGCAGGTGGATCACCTGAGATCAGGAGTTCGAGACCAGCCTGGCCAATATGGTGAAACCCCGTCTTTACTAAAAATACAAAAATTAGCTGGGCATGGTGGCAGGCGCCTTTAATCTCAGCTACTTAGGAGGCTGAGGCAGGAGAATTTCTTGAACCCGGGAGGTGGAGGCTGCAGTGAGCTGAGATTGCGCCATTGCACTCTAGCCTGGGCAACAAGAGCAAAACTCCATCTCAAAAAAAAAAAAAAAATCTTAAAAGCATTTACCATTTTGTATTCTAAGTAACATAATCTCATGACTGCCTTCTAACTCTATTGTTTTTACTTTTTGCGTTCAAACCCAGTCTAAAGTGAGAGGAGAAACTTTTGTTTTTACATCAATTTAATCATCTGTATAGAATCTGCAATGCTGATCTTTAAGGAGCTAGTTGCCTCTGTAACCAGGAAGGATGCTCACATCACAGACTACACCAAACTTCTTTCTCTCTTTTTTAGCCTGGTGTAAATAATTTGAAATAGGTAACAGAAATAAAATCTTTCATTAGTCCAATAATCTAACCTTAGTATCTCTGACCATCTCATCTCTTTTTCTGCAATATATGTGAGTTGAATGTAGTTTTTGAGAATGAAGAATCTGATTGCTCTTTCTTCACCACCAAGATAATTCAGAGTGTATCCCTGGTGGGTCCGCATAAGAGCGTCCACCATTTTCACAGGTGTCTATATCCTAATCCACTGCTAGTAATTTATACCTATATTAATTCATAACAGGAACCCAGAGTTAACTAGAGTGTCTCGAAGAAAAGAAATGGAGAAAATATGGTTAACAAACACTCACATAGGAAGATAAAATGTGTATAAACATCTTTGATAATATTCAAAGAGACACCCAGAATACTATAATGGGCCAACTGATTGACCATTATAAATAATTTAAATATTGGCTGGGTGTGGTGGCTCAAGCCTGTAATCTCAGCACTTTGGGAGGCCGAGGTGGGCAGATCCCCTGAGGTTGGGAATTCAAGACCAACCTGGCCAACATGGTGAAACCCTGTCTCTATTAAAAATACAAAAATTAGCTGGGCATGGTGGCCTATGCCTGTAATCCCAGCTACTCAGGAGGCTGAGGCAAGAGAATCGCTTGAACCCGGGAGGCGGAGGTTGCAGTGAGCCGAAATCACGCCACTGCACTCTAGCCTGGGTAGCAGAGCAAGACTCTGTCAAAAAAAAAAAAAAAAAAAAAAAGATAAAAAAGATTTTAAATATTTAGCTATTTGTGCTTAACACAAAGCTCTTCTAGAAAGTTTATATTGAAAACAGTTGTAGTAATTGGCGTTATTGAAGAAAGCATCAAGAAATTTTATTGAAACTTATCTCTAAGATCATTCTAGTTTAACTTATTTCTGATACAGAAATATGTAGCTAAAATGTCCTACAGTTAATGTAGCCAAATATTCTTTGTGATAGTGTTCTAATCTATTTTCTATTTGATTTTTAGTCCTATGGTACTTTGGGAGTTCTGAGATGGGAGTGGTCGGATTCCCTTTAATTCAAGCCTATGATTAAGAGGCCATAATCAAATACAAAGAATCTATTGATCATAAGTAAGCTTACAGAACAATAAAAGCCTGAATGTGTATTAACACTGATGGAGCTTTGATTTGATGTTATGAGCACACACTTCAGAGAAATATGTATTCTGGTTTCTTCACTTACTAATTGTTAGACTTGGGCAACTTCTTAATTTTTCTGAACCTGAATTTCCTCATCTACAAAATGCAGTTAAGAATATATCCTACCTCATAAGATTTTTGAGAGGATTAAGTGATATAACACATATAAAACATTTAGCTTGGCACCTGGTAAGAGCTCAGTAAATATTTCCTAGTATTACTGCTACTACTCCTACGTCATTTCTCTCATAAATCAATCTAAAGGATAGCACTTTGTTCAAAATGCTCTGTATGGTAGACTGTTTTTAATCAGATACAGATTTTGTTTACTCTGGTAAAATAATTAAACCTCTTTCTGGGTTCCATGCTTACCTCCAAGTTTGAAAACAGATACTATTAGACAATTTTAGCTTATCAAATGTTTATTTTTGGAACCCCTGAGCTACAGAATTATCCACATTTCCTTCCCCTTTTTCCCCTCCCTATTTATACCTGGCCCCATGCCAGATACTTCTTGGGGCTAATTCCAATTAGCATCCATTACAGATCAATCTAGAAAAGATTGGTTATTTATTGTCAGGTGGATACATGAACCATGGCAGTTTCAGAAACCAGAGCTAAAGTGATCTTATAAAGTTCTAGGTAGGTCAGCATGATACTATGCTGGTCTCATGATGACTTTCATGAAATTACCTCTGAAATGCTATGCATTTTCCCACTCAGAACCTCACTCTAACTCTATAACTTATACCAAAGATCACACTGTACCTGCTCCTAGCCTTGTAAGTCTTACAAAAGCCCTTGGCCAAAAGCAATAAAATTTGACCTGACCTAATCCTGGAGTCGCAATGGATAATGTGTGTATTTTTCATTCAATAATTTAACGTAGAAATTAACTGCATGTGTCACATATTCCCCATCTGAAAGAGAGAGGGTTTATGGTTCTAATATTACACAAAAATTAAATACGTAAACACTCCTGTCATTTAAGACTCTTCTCTTTCTCGATAGCTTAAATAAGCACTATAAAAGACTCTTTTGGGGAAATTTATTATTTAATTCAGTATGGGAGCCTGCTTCATGAAATTCACCCTCTATGGTTACAGAAATGATAGCCATGGAGATATTTTTCTTCCTCCCTGAAAGAATTGAAATAATTTGCCCATTTTAGCTTACTGTATTGTTTTCTCCTGTTTGTCAATATAGGGGGAAAAAACACTGTGGAAATTTACAGAAAACTTTGTTCTCGCTATCCCTTCTTTCAGGCATACTTTTGAATATTTTCTATTCCTGCGTATGGGATGAAAAGAGTCTGTACCTGACCTCCTCTTTTTGACTGCCCTTACGTGATTTTAAAGACTATTCCTTTATGGTAGCCTTCTGTCTGACCTATTTTTTCCCATTGCCTTTTCCTCTCTTGCCTCAGTCTGTTTCCTCTGTATCTCATTAACTTTATTTTTATTTTGATCCTTTTATTAAATGTTTTAAACAGATCTACATGGTTAAAAAACCAAAAGGTATAAACAATTATAAAGAGATAAGACTCCCTTATTCCTTATTTACCATCTTCCCAGTTCTTAGATTTTCCCTCCCACCATAGATATCCGTTGTTCTTAGCGTCCTATACATCTTCCAAGAGTTTATGTATATTCAAGCAAATGTGAATATAGATCCTCCTCCCTCAATTTTACACAAAAGGTAGTATATTACATATATGCTCTTTCAATTTTTTAACAATATACTTTGGAGGTCCTTCCATATACAATTCAAAATGAGATCCCACATTCTTTTTTATAGCTGTTTTATATGTATGTGTATGATAATTTATTTAATTAGTTCCTAATTGAAAGATACTCTATATTTTACTCCTTTAAACAACGTTGATGCAATTTACTTTTTAAAAATTCTTACAAACAACTCTTGTGCATGTTATTTTATATATATCTAGGTGTAGTTGTAGGATAAATCCCCCTACTTAGAATTACCAGGTCAAAGATTATTTGCATTTGTAATGTTGATAGATATTGCCAAACTACTCTCCATAAGGGTGACAATAATTTACACTTCTCCCAGCATTATATGAAGTTGACTGTTTCCTAGAACTTAATCTATAGAGCGTATATTAAACTTTTGAAGTTTTTGATATTCTGAAAGGTGAAAAGTGATACCTCAAGTTAGTTTTAGGTTGCATTTCTTGCATAATGAGAAAGTTTGAACATCTTTTTATATGCTTAGGAGTTGTCTGTGCTTCTCTGTGAACAATCTTTCCCTCATTTTTTCATATATATTTCAAGAGCTATTTATATATTAGAAATATGGATACTACTGATGGTCTCTGGAAAGGGCCACCTCCCGGCCGGAGGCCAACCAGCACAAAAATAGAGCGTTAAACCACCAGAGCTAAGAACCCTCATGGAGTTCATTGCACTACCCCCCACCACCACCTCCACTGGAACAGGTGCTGGTATCCATGGCTGACAGACCCATAGGTGGTTAACACCACAGGGCTCTGTGCAGACACTCCCCAGTATCAGACTGGAGCTAGGTAGACTCTCTGGGTTGCTAGACCCAGAAGAGAGACAACAATCACTGCAGTTCGACTCATAGGAAGCCACATCCATAGGAAAAGGGGGAGAGTATTACATCAAGGTAACACCCCATGAAACAAAAGAATCTGAACAACAGCCTTCAGCCCTAGACTTTCCCTCTGATAGAGCCTACCCAAATAAGAAGGAACCAGAAAACCAACCCTAGTAATATGACAAAACAAGGCTCTTCCATACCCCCCAAAATCACACTAGTTCACCAGCAATGGGTCCAAACCAAGAAGAAATCCCTGATTTACCTGAAAAAGAATTCATGAGGTTAGTTATTAAGCTAATCGGAGAGTCACCAGAGAAAGGTGAAGCCCAATGCAAGAAAATCCAAAAGGTGGTACAAGAAGTGAAGGGAAAAATATTCAAGGACATAGATCGCTTGAAGAAAAAACCATAAAAAAGTCAGGAAACTTTGGACACACTTTTAGAAATGCAAAATGCTCTGGAAAGTCTCAGCAATAGAATTGAACAAGTAAAAGAAAGAAATTCAGAGCTCGAAGACAAGGTCTTCAAATTAACCTAATCTAACAAAGACAAAAGAATAAGAAAATATGAACAAGGCCTCCAAGAAGTCTGGGATTATGTTAAATGACCAAACCTAAGAATAATCGGTGTTCCTGAGGAAGAAGAGAATCCTAAATGCTTGGAAAACATATTTGGGGGAATAATCAAGGAAATCTTCCCCAGCCTTGCTAGTGACCTAGACATCCAAATACAATAAGCACAAAGAACACCTGGGAAATTCATCACAAAAAGATCATCACCTAGGCACATTGTCATCATGTTATCCAAAGTTAAGAAGAAGGAAAGAATCTTAAGAGTTGTGAGACAGAAGCATCAGGTAACCTATAAAGGAAAAACTTGGATTAGCAGAAGATTTCTCAGCAGGACCCCTACAAGCCAGAAGGAATAGGGGCCCTATCTTCAGCCTTCTCAAGCAAAACAATTATCAACCAAGGATTTTGTATCCAGCAAAACTAAGCATCATATATGAAGGAAAGATACAGTCTTTTTCAGAAAAACAAATGCTGACAGAATTCACCATTACAAAGCTACCACTACAAGAACTGCTAAAAGGAGCTCTAAACCTTGAAACAAATCCTGGAAACACATCAAAACAGAAGCTCTTTAAAGCATAAATCACACAGGAACTATAAAACAAAAATACAAGTTAAAAAGAAAAAAACAAAAAATCAAAGTACACAGGCACCAAAGAGCATGATGAATGCAACAGTACCCCATATTTCAATACTAACATTGAATGTAAATGGCCTAAATGCTCCACTTAAAAGATACAGAACCACAGAATGGATAAGAACTCACCAACCATTTGCTACCTTCAGGAGACTCACCTAACACATAAGGTAAACTTACAGTAAAAGGGTGGAAAAAGGCATTTCATGTAAATGGACACGAAAAGCAAGCAGGTGTAGCTATTCTTATCTCAAAGAGGGACATTATATAATGGTAAAAGACCTTGTCCAACAGGAAAATATCACAATCCTAAACATATATGCACCTAACACTGGAGCTCTAAAATTTATAAAACAATTACTAATAGACCTAAGAAATGAGATAGACAGCAACACAATAATAGTAGGGGACTTAAATACTCCACTGACAGCTCTAGATAGGTCATCAAGACAGAAAGTCAATAAAGAAACAATGAATTTAAACTATACCTTGGAACAAATAGACTTAACAGATATATACAGAACAGTTCATCCAACAACCACAGAATACACATTCTATTCAACAGCACATGGAACTTTCTCCAAGATAGACCATATTATAGGCCATAAAATGAGCCTTAATAAATTTAAGAAAATTGAAATTATATCAAGCACTCTCTCAGACCACAGTGGAATAAAACTGGAAGTCAATTCCAAAAAGAGCCTTCAAAACCATGCAAATACATGGCAAATACAGGCATACTGCTCCTTTTGGGTCAAAACGAAAGCAAGATGGAAATTAAAACATTATTTGAACTGAACAACAATAATGACACAACCTACCGAAACCTCTGGGATACAGCAAGGCGGTGCTAAGAGGAAAGTTCATAGCCCTAAATGCCTACATCAAAAAGACTAAAAGAGCACGAACTGACATTCTAAGGTCACACCTCAAGGAACTAGAGAAACAAGAACAAACCAAACCCAAACACAGCAGAAAAAAGGAAATAACCAAGATCACAGCAGAACTAAATGAAATTGAAACAAACAAACAAACAAACAAACAAAAATACAAAACATAAATGAAACAAAAAGCTGGTTCTTTGAAAAAATAAATAAAATTGATGGACTATTAGCAAGATTAACCAAGAAAAGAAGAGAGAAAATCCAAATAACCCCACTAAGAAACAAAACAGGAGATATTACAACTGACACCACTGAAATACAAAAGATCATTCAAGGCTACTATGAACATCTTTATGCACACAAACTAGAAAACCTAGAAGAGATGAATAAATTCCTGGAAAAAATACAACCCTCCTTGCTTAAATCAGGAAGAATTAGATACCCTGAACAGACCAGTAGCAAGCAGCGAGATTGAAATGGCAATTTAAAAATTACCACCAAAAAGTCCAAGACCACACAGATTCTCAGCAGAATTCTACCAGACATTCAAAGAATTGGTACCAATCCTTTTGTCACTATTCCATAAGATAGAGAAAGAAGGAACTCTCCCCAATTCATTCTATGAAGCCAGCATCACTCTAATACCCAAACCAGGAAAGGACATAACCAAAAAAGAAAACTACAGACTGATATCCTTCATGAACATAGATGCTAAAATCCTTAACAAAATACTAGCTAACTGAATCCAATGACATATCAAAAAGATAGTCCATCATGATCAAGTGGGTTTCACACCAGGGATGCAGAGATGGTTTAACATATGCAGGTCAATAAATGTGATACACCACATAAACAGAATTAAAAACAAAAATCACATGATAATCTTAATAGATGCAGAAAAAACATTCAACAAAATCCAGCATTGCTTTATGATTAAAACTCTCAGCAAAATTGGCATACAAGGGGACATACCTTAATGTAATAAAAGCCATTTATGACAAACTCACAGCCAACATAATACTGAATGGTTAACAGTTGAAAGCATTCCCTCTGAGAACTGGAACAGAACAAGGATGCCCACTCTCACCACTCCTCTTCAACATTCAAAGAAGAATTGGTACCAATCCTAGCCAGAGCAATCAGACAAGAGAAAAAAAGGGGCATTCAGATTGGTAAAGAGGAAGTCAACCTGTCACTGTTTGCTGAAAATACGATTGTTTACCTTGAAAACCCTAAAGACTCCTCCAGAAAGCTCCTAGAACTGATAAAAAAATTTGGCAAAGTTTTCAGATACAAGATTAATGTACACAAATCAGTAGCTCTTCTATACACCAACAGCAGCCAAGCAGATAATCAAATCAAGAACTCAACCCCTTTTACAATAGCTGCAAAATATACAATATAATACAATACAGTACAACACAACACAACACAACACAACACAACACAACACAACACAATACAATACAATACAATACAATACAATACAATACAATACAATACTTCGGAATGTACCTAACAAAGGAGTCAAAAGACCTCTACAAAGAAAACTAAAAACACTGCTGAAAGAAATCATAGATGACACAAACAAATGAAAACACATCCCATGCTCATGGATGGGTAGAACCAATATCGTGAAAATGACCATACTGCCAAAAGCAATCTACAAATTCAGTGCAATCCACATCAAAATACCACCATCATTCTTCACAGAATTAGAAAAAGCAATTATAAAATTCATGTGGAACCAAAAAAGAGCCCACATAGCCAAAGCAAGACTAAGCAAAAAGAATAAATCTGGAGGCATCACACTACCTGATTTCAAACTACACTATAAGGCCATAGTCACCAAAACAGCGTGGTACTCGCATAAAAATAGGTACATAGGCCAATGGAACAGAATAGAGAACCCAGAAATAACCCAAATACTTACAGCCAACCGATTTTTGACAAAGCAAACAAAAACTTACAGTGGGGAAAGGACACCCTTTTCAACAAATGGTGCTGGGATAATTGGCTAGCCACATGTAGGAGAATGAAACTGGATCCTCATCTCTCACCTTATAAAAAAAATCAACTCAAGATGGATTAAGGACTTAAACCTAAGACCTAAAACTATAATAATTCTAGAAGATTAAATTGGAAAAATCCTTCTAGACATTGCTTAGGCAAGATTTCATGACCAGGAACCCAAAAGCAAATGCAATAAAAACAAAGATAAACAGCTGGGACCTAATTAAACTTTTGCACGAGCTTTTTGCACAGCAAAAGGAACAGTCAGCAGAGTAAACAGACAACCCACAGAGTGAGAGAAAATCTTCACAATCTATACATCTGACAAAGGACTAATATCCAGAATCTACAATGAACTCAAACAAATCAGTAAGAAAAAAAACAACCTCATCAAAAAGTGGGCTAAGAACATGAATAGACAATTCTCAAAAGATGATATACAAATGGCCAACAAACATATGAAAAAATGCTCAACAACACTAATGATCAGGGAAATGCAAATCAAAACCACAATGTGATACCACCTTAATCCTGCAAGAATGGCCATAATCAAAAAATCAAAAAACAGTAGATGTTGGTGTGGATGCAGTGATCAGGGAACATTTCTACACTGCTGATGGGAATGTAAACTAGTACAGCCACTATGGAAAACAATGTGGAGATTCCTTAAATAACTAAAAGTAGGACTACCATTTGATCCAGCAATCCCACTACTGGGTATCCACCCAGAGGAAAAGAAGTCATTATTCAAAAAAGATACTTGCACATGCATGTTTATAGTAGTACAATTCACAATTGCAAAATCGTGGAACAAACACAAATGCCCATCAATCCACAAGTGGATTAAAAAAATTGTGATATATATATATATATCACTGTATATATATCACTATATATAATATATATATATAAAATGGAATACTCAGCCATAAAAAGGAATGATACATATATATATATATATATATATATATAAAAAATGGAATACTACTCAGCCATAAAAAGGAATGAAATAACAGCATTTGCAGTGACCTGGATGAGATTGGAGACTATTATTCTAAGTGAAGTAACTCAGAAACGGAAAGCCAAACATCATATGTTCTCACTGATAAGTGGGAGCAAAGCTATCAGGACGCAAAGGCATAAGAATAATACAGTGGACTTTGGGGACTTGGGGAGAAGAGTGGGAGAGGGGCGAGGGACAAGAGATTACAAATATGGTGCAGTGTATACTGCTCGGGTGATGGGTGCTCTAAAATCTCACAAATCACTAAAGAACTTACTCATGTAACCGAATACCACCTGTACCCCAATAACTTACAGAAAAATAAAAACCCAAAGCCTAAATAAGGGGTTATGACTTGTGTGATGAGAGATTAAAAAAAAAAATGAGCCTGTGTCCATTGTTATGAATATTTGTCTTATTTACTTTGCTCATAGTTGTTTTTGTTGAAGTTCTCTTAAAAAGTGAGGTTGAGTTTTTTTCTCGATATTAAACCATACTATGGTATAAATGCCTTTCCTTTTGTAGTTATAAAAGATTTCTCCCATGTTTTATTCTAGAAATTTTATTATTTTATTTTATATGGAAATCTCTGGTCCCCTTATAATGTACTCTGGAATACAGTGTGTTAACTATGGCATGATATAAACTAATATTATCATGTTTCACATAATAAAGTGAAACATGAATACAATTTTATTTTACATTTAGATGGTAGCCCAGTAGCCTTCTTATTGAAATTTATGTATTTTCCTCACTGGTATGTGACATCATTTTTATTTTATACAAAATTTCTGTATTTGGAGCTACTTATGAATTTTCCTTTCGAATCCATTGGTCTATTATGTACCAGCATGGCATTGCTTAATTATTTTGGCTTTATGACCTTTATGTTAACCTAATAGTGATAGTATTATCTTACATTTATACTGCACATTATAATTTACAAAGCATTATAACATATTATCTCATTTGTTTTGTTCTTCATAATATCACATGGGGCAGCTGGGACAGTAATACTCTCCTTATCAGAAGAGATGAAACGTTTTCCAAGATCACAAAGATGTTAGGTGGCAGAGTAATGACTTGTCTCTTGGTTCTGTGTCTTTGCCAATTCATGGTTGTATGTCTCAGGGCATCTCATATAATCTCTGGGTATCTCTTCACCAGAGAGAGCTTGTTCATTTCCACAGATTAACTCTATGCTATTGAATACTAAATTTATGCAGGATCATCAGCTTTATTTAACTTTTGGATTGAGGAAGAGACTAAATAATGAAATTATGGAATGCTATAGAAGGAGACCTGAGATATCACAAATTAACCTAGTTGTTTTAAAGAAAAGGAAACCAAAGCTCAGAGAAGTTATGACCTTTGTACTCAAGGTCATATAGTTAGCAAGGAGGTAGGGCCAAGCCACAACTCAGACACAGTTCTTTACACTTGGTGTAGTAATAAAGAGGAGGAGGAAAACAATGTGTTTTCTTTACTGAGACTAATCATATCCATGTTCACAGGCACTTCCAGGGCCAGAAATGAGAGGTATTAACTCATTCATGTATTCATTCATTCAATAATGTATCATGTACCAAGTGCCAGGTACTGGGCTACTCATTGGGTTTGTAACGGTGAATTAAATAGGCATAGTCTCTGCTCTCATGGAGAATATAATCTAGAAAAAAACAGATATTAAGTAATTAATATATAAATAAAGATGAAATTACAAAGTGGGAAAAGGACTGTGAGAGAAGCTTACATGGTCCCCTGAAAGAATACAACAGGAAGACCTAATTTAGAAAACGGAATCTGGGAAACCCCCTACTGCCACCTCCCCTGTCACTTCATGTTGTCCCATAGGCCATAGGCATCTCTGTGGAGACCTAAGTTTCTATAGATGTTTGAAAACCGCTGATTTAATCTTATTCCCTAATTTCTTCACAGGGAGAACTAAGGTTTAAAGACGAGATATGACTTACTCAAGGTCACACAGGTAGTTACGGCAGGACCAGAACTAGCACAATAGCCTCCTGACTTCAGGCTAGGTCTCTTTCCTCTACATAATTCTGTCTTAGTGAAGACCGTGGTTCTGCTACCAAAGTTTACAATGACCTCATCCTTCCCAGGTCATGGGCTCACAGGGGATTGTATCACTTTGGCTTAGTTTATATCATGCCATAGTTAACACACTGTATAGAACAGACAAGTCAAGATTTTGACAAACACTTGCCATTGATGTGAGGCATTTTTTAGAATATAGTTAATCTCATTTTTCTTGACGGGTTCATCAGTCATTGTAGTAAAGAGTCTGAAGAGTGGGATGGACTTTCCTAAACCAAATGCACATTGTCAGAATTTAAAGCACTTTGTAGAACAGACTAAATCCTTCCTTTGGCAGTGGACAGTTCTTTGGCAGTGAACAGTTTAACCACCATTCCCTTGATGAATTATTTCTATTGATTGGTGTAGTTCTTAGCACACACGTCATCAGAAATGGAAATGGTTGATTAGAAGATCTCCAAACCTATTTATTTAGATGCGGTGAATGTGTAGGCAGCCCATCCTGTTTAGCCTGCTCTCAGCATTCATGGATGTGTTCCTGTTTAACATCTGAGGCAGTGGGATTAGTTGGGGGTGATGGATCTTCATCTATTTAGATGTCAATTTTTGTTAAAATTTAAGCTACTTGACTCATGTTTTTGAGTATGAGTATAAAATTAACTTTATAATTTTATAAAACTATATATAATTTTTCTAATTTTAAAAATTTTATTAATTTTATTTTTCTTTTCTTTGGAGGTGGGGTAGACTGGTAGACTAGGAGAGTTTGATATTATTTCATATACTACATTTAGCTTTCTGCAACTATATGATTTGAAACTAGAAAAATCAAGATGGGGGAAGAAACTATTAGAAACTTCCTTTAAGCTGATGGGTGGTGGAAAAGCTGGTGGGATAGTGTAGTCCTTAAGAGGAAAGACCCTAGGATCAATGATTGGGATTAAATTTGATTCTGGCATATACTGGCTGTGGGACCTTCAGCAAGTTCTTGTCTTTGCCTTAGGTTCCTCATTCATTAGGAGAGGATAATAGTAGTACCTACTCCACAGGACTGTATGAGGTTTAGAAGAAGCAATGCCTATAAAGTCCTGACCCAATGGCTAGCACATGGTATGGGCTTGACAAGTATTCATCACTATTTTTAGGTAGGTATAATAATATTATAATAATTATTAAATGTATAATCTTAACTTTGTTATAAAATGTCAAAAAAAAACCAGAAGTTTCTTCAAGGAGTAGATTTCTTTGGGATGTAAAAGTAAGAATGATTTTTTCCTGCTCTTTGCAATGTTCGATGTTCTTTTTTTTTGCAGACGAAGTCTAGCTCTGTTGCTCAGGATGGAGAGCAGTGGCGCAATCTCAGCTCACTGCAACCTCCGCCTCCTGGGCTCAAGTGATCCTCTTTCCTCAACCTCCTGAGTAGCTGGAATTACAGGCGTGTGCCACCATGCCCAGTTAATTTTTGTATTTTTAGTAGAGACGGGGTTTCACCATGTTGGCCAGGCTGCTGTTGAACTTCTGACCTCAAGTGATCTGCCCGCCTTGGCCTCCCAAGTGTTGGGATTACAGGTGTGAGCCACCGTGCCTGGCCCGTGGCCCCTTCTTAAAATGTGCTCTCAAACAGTAGGGTGTAGATGAGGTGAAAAAGATGCTGCACACATTTTAGTTTCTGGGGACCCAGCTGACATCAAGCATTTTTTTGTTTTTTTTGTTTTGTTTTGTTTTGTTTTCATTTTGTTCCAGGAGAGAGAAGTGATGTCATTTTATTCATTCAATAGCTATTTTTGGAACTATTACTCTACAGATGTTGGCCACTTGAGGGATGCAAAAGTGAGTTAGACGCAGAGTCTGCACTGAAGAAGTTCCAGGGAAGGGAATCATGCTTCCCCCCACCTTTGTTTTTCTTTTTTGAGTCAGAGTCTTGCTCTGTCGCCAGGCTGGAGTGCAGTGGAGCGATCTTAGCTCACAGCAACCTCCACCTTCCGGGTTCAAGTGATTCTCGTGCCTCAGCCTCCCGAGTAGCTGGGATTACAGGCATGCACCACTATGCCTGGCTAATTTTTGTATTTTTAAGAGAGGTGGGGTTTCTCCGTGTTGGCCAGGCTGGTCTCGAACTCTTGACCTCAATTGATCTGCCTGCCTTGGCCTCCCAAAGTGCTGGGATTACAGTTGTGAGCCATGGCACCCGGCCTACAATGTTCTATGATTATTATATTGGTTTTTCCATTGGTCCTCTAGAACAATTTGTCTTTTCAGTCTTTTCACCCTGGAATTCTTTATGGACCTTCTCTGTCCCACTCTGTGTCTTTGGGAGGCTGACACCTATGGACTGCATCACCCAGGGCCCCTTGCCCTTGGGCTGCTAGTTGGGTACAGCCAGTGCCTCCGTATGGCTGTGGTTGTGTCTTTTCACACAACAGCGTCTGATTGGTGCTCCTCTCACCCCACGTTTTACCCCACTCCTTTTCAAGTGTAGGGGTGATAAGACTGGCCCAATGTTGTTAGTCCCTAAGTGCTTTAAAATCCCTTGTCCTTTCATGAACCCTCGTCACCTCTCTGTAAATAATCCCTTCATTAAAATTTCTTCAAAATTCAAGATGAGCATGGCTTCTGTTTTCTGCTGGAACCCTAGCTGATATAAGGAGCCTACATTATTTTTATAATTGGAAAAATTGTATTAAAACAACACAAAGGGACACCTTCCACCCCCAACCTCCCAAAGGGAAGTACCCTTCAGGGACTGGAGAGGCCCTTCAGCTTCCAGACTTGAGGGTGATTATTTTTGTTTCAGTTTTGAGCCTTCTCATGAAATTAGGCTTCAGGCTACAACACCTATTTCTTAGAAAAACACACTTTTTCCTGGAGAGAAATTCTAGAAAGCAGTCGCGGACTATTGACAAACTATAATGCTGCAAAGGGATCTGGCCAAAAATGATTCAAGAGAAAAATCTCTGCAGGGAGAAGGTGACCTAGAAAGCGGCTTATCATCTCCAGTGCCAGCTGCGTGTCCAGTTGGGTAGTCACAGACACAGCTCTGCTTGAGTCTGCATGTGCCTTGAGTGGAGACCTGCCTCTGTGGCCACTGGAAGCTCACCAGTCCCTGAGGCGTATGGGCTCAGCAACTGCCAGGCTCCCAGGGGATAAGTGATGCCATTTGTTCAGTCCAGGGGTAGGGATGGTGGGGATGGCGGTAGCTGGGGGGCAGGGGAAACTTGGCAAGTCACTATGCACTACTCCACTGTTAAATCTCCACTGGCAGGCTGACTTTTCCCCAGGAGGAAGTGTGGAGAGGAATCTCACAGTTGCATGGCAATAAAGAGCTGCCTGGTGGGCCTCCATCTCCGCCAAGGCTTCATGGCTCCAGAGTTCCCGAGGGGTGTATGACAGGGAAGAGGGAGGAATAAGCTGCTCTACTAAGTTGGTGACATAATCACCTTTGCAGAAACTTTCCAGTGGCAAGTGTGTTGAAGACAGTGAGCTTGGAGGAGCCACCATAGTGTAAGATGAAACTGAAGACAAGGGGCAGGGGTCTGAGAAGAGAGCTGTGAACCACAGTACTTACAAAAGAAAATGATTTGAGGTGAGGCTCACTGAAAGAAGGGTGTTGGACAAAGTCAGTTAAAAAGGCTTGCCTCAACACTTTGGTCAATGACAGGTTTTATTTTCTTTACACTGCAAAGTGAATTCTTATGTTGGTGAGCTTTGTTTTCACCACTAACATCCAAGCTCCATAAACAAGGGGACTGTGTTTAGTCTGTTCATTGCTGCATACTCAGAGGCTTGTGCACTACCTGATACATCATGAACACTTAGTATTTGTTGACTGGTAAAGGAATGGATGCCTAAATATTAGTAAATTCCTGCACTGCTTGGCTAGGAACTCCACTATTACGGCAGCAACTGTGCTGATCTTATTTACTGCTGCATTTGTGGTGACTAGAAAAATGCCTGGCACATAGTAGGAACTTCAGTGGTGCTTGTTGAATGATGGGTGAATGAATGAGTGAATGAATGAGTAAATGACATCTTAACTATATGCTCCCTACAGGGAGAAATCACGTATAGCACATCTTCACTGTGCCCACATTACCTAGCTGAAGGTTTTTTGAATAACAAACAAATAATACCTATTCTTATGTTTTCCTTTTGCTTTTACACAGAATTTTTGCTTTCATAGTTGTTTCTTATCAAGAGTTTAGTTCAGCTCAACAACTAGCCAGGTACTGTGCACTGACAGTTAATGAGGTGTAATTTCTTTTTGCCCTCAAGTTATCCATAGAGACAGGCATGCAAATAAATGTCATGTTGTCTAATGTGCTGAGTGAAAATAGTGTTTGCAGGCCACTGAAGTGTTACAGAGGATGTAAGTGGCTGGTTCTGTATGGGTGGGAGGTGGGGGCCAGTGAGGGCTTTGTTTTGAAGGATGACTAAGGGTTTATTGGGCAGAGAAGAGGTTTGGAGGAAGGAAAGAACATGTCTAAAGAATGAGAAATTTCCACTGGACTCTTCCCTGCAGTGATGTTAGGTAGGAAGAGTTTTAGGTGGATTCCTCAGAGGTATTGTATACAAATGGCCAAAGACTCAGTTCTGTTGGTATCAGAGCCACTCAGGCCACAGGACTGAAGGTTTTGTTTAACGGTGGGCCTTACACTTAAGAGAAAGAGTCACTATACCATATGAAGGCCAATGAAAGGAACAGGGGATATTTTATAGCCTGGAACAAAATGACCTAAGGCAGGAAAAAGAGGAAGGTGATAGCAATTTTCAAATATTAGAAGAGCTGCTATTCAGACTTCCTGGGTGCTCTCGGAGGTCAGAGCTAAAATCAGTGGAAAGTCATCAGGGAGCTTTTGCATATGACAAGAGCTGGCACAATGCGAGGCATATAATAGTTAAATGGTAAATATTAGAGAAAGTTTTCTGAAATATGGTTCCTCTAACTTCTGATGCTGTTCCTGATTCCACAATCTGGAGCAAAAGGATTGGCAGATGGTCCTGAGATTGAGAAAGCCAGATAGACCCTGAGCCTGCTTATTGGCCAGACTGTAAATCATCTCAACAGTTGTTTATTTATTTTTGGTTGGTTCTGAAATTTTTCCATATCGTGTGAAATATTTGGAGAAGATTAGGAGTTTCTGTAGTGTGTTTGCTGTGCCCACGGTGTGTTTATTTTATCTGTGACTCAGCCCACCTGATTTTAAAATGAATGATACAAGCCAGAAAGGTTAGAAACTCCTATTCAACAATGGAAAAATCTGCCCTACTGGGAAGTGCATCCCTTGTGTGTAGCGCTATTCACTCCAAGGCTGGAGATGCCCTCTAAGGGGACCTGTGGGGGTAGAGCAGAAGATGGGAGATGGGGCTAAATGACTGGCTTGCCATCGTGAACAGGATACCTCCTTAGGCTTTAGGTGATTCAGAGACCAATTCATGCATTTGTTTGTTAATTCAGAGACATTTTATTGCCCAGGATTTGCTGGTGGTTACTGATGGGCCCTTGCGTAACAATGCGTGGGTTCAACTCCCTGCTCAGCCCCTACTTATTATGGGACCTTGCACAAATTTCTTAACCTCCTTGTATCTCAGTTTTCTCAACCATGAATTAGAGGCAATAATGCCTCCTAAAGATACGCTGTGAGAATTAAGTCAATTCATGTATATAAAGTCATAAGAACATGGCTTGGCATGTAGGAACCACTTAGTATGTATTATTATTACTCCATAAAATGTAAGCTCCACAGAGATGGGGATTTTTGTCTGTTTGTTTATGGTTACATCCCCGCTGCCTAGAATACAGTCTGACACGTAATAGCTGTCACTAAATTGTTAATGAGTAAATACATTAATTAACTGAGTACCTATTTTATATATGGGTATGTCCTATGCTAGGAATACAGGAATGAACAAAACATTATGGCTTACATGAGACTTACAGCCTGGTGGGAGGGATAGATATTAAAAACTTGACCTTATGTTCTCAGCCTACATGAACATTAACATCACTTAGTAGCTCTTAAAAATTATGTATTCTTGGTCAGGCGCGGTGGCTCACGCCTGTAATCCCAGCACTTTGGGAGGCCGAGGTGGGTGGATCACGAGGTCAGGAGTTCAAGACCAGCCTGGCCAAGACGGTGAAACCCTGTCTGTACTAAAAATACAAAAAATTAGCAGGGCATGGTGGCACATGCCTGTAATCCCAGCTACTCCAGAGGCTGAGGCAGAGAATTGCTTAAACCTGGAGGGGCAGAGCTTGCAGTGAGCTGAGATAGCGCCACTGCACTCCAGCCTGGGTGACAGAGCGAGACTGTCACCCAGTGAGACTGTGTGTGTGCACATATATATATGTACACACACACACACACACACACACACACACACACACACACACATATATATATGTATTCTTGGGCCTTCAAGAATACATATATATATATATGTACACACACAGAGCGAGACTGTGTGTGTGTGTACATATACATATATATATGTACACACACACACACACATACATATATATATATATATATATATATATATATATATATGTATTCTTGGGCCTTCACCCTGCAAAGACTCAGATTTGATTGGTCTTAGAAGGGATCCCCAGTGATTCCAATGTGCAGCTTGGTTTGAGAATTCCTGGTCTAAATCTTCTGAAGTGTCCACGGAACATTTTCCCCATGAAACATGCAGTGATGGTCAAATTAAATTCGGGAAATATTTTATTATATATATTAGATGTGAAAGACTCTAAGAAGTTCTATAATAAAGAAATCTGTTTAAACTTAAAAATATACTATATAAATAAATAGATGCTTGCAGCTGTAAATATTACTTCGAAGAAAAGGTGGAGGGCATAATAGCACTTATGATAGGCCTGGTCTAGAGTAAATACTTAGAAAATGCTTCTCTGAAGACATTTATGTGGCCAACGAACATATGAAAAAAAGCTCATCATCGTTGGTCATTAGAGAAATGCAAATCAAAACCACAATGAGATACCATCTCATGCCAGTTAGAATGGCAATTATTAAAAAGTCAGGAAACAACAGATGCTGGTGAGGATGTGGAGAAACAGGAACACTTTTACACTATTGGTGGGACTGTAAACTAGTTCTACCATTGTGGAAGACAGTGTGGCAATTCCTCAAGGATCTAGAACCATAAATACTATTTGACCCAGCAATCCCATTACTGGGTATATACCCAAAAGATTATAAATCATTCTACTATAAAGACACATGCACAAGTATGTTTACTATAGCACTATTAAAATAGCAAAGACTTGGAACCAACCCAAATGCCCATCAATGATAGAATGGATAAAGAAAATGTGGCACATATACACCATGGAATACTATGCAGCCATAAAAAAGAATGAGATCATGTCCTTTTCAGGGACATGGGTGAACCTGGATGCCATCATTCTCAGCAAACTATCACAGGAACAGAAAACCAAACACCCCATGTTCTCACTCATAAGTTGGAGTTGAACAATTAGAACACATGGACACAGGGAGGGAAACATCACACATTGGGGTCTGTCAAGGGGTGGGGGGCAAGGGGAGGGAGAGCAATAGGACAAATACGTAATGCATGTGGGGCTTAAAACCTAGATGATGGGCTGATAGGTGCAGCAAACCACCATGGCACACGTATACCTATGTAACAAACCTGCATGTTCTACACATGTACTCCAGAACTTAAAGTAAAATTAAAAAATAAAAAATAAAAAAAAAAGAAAATGCTTCTCTGAAGAAATGTCTTTTAAAAGACACCTGAACAATCAGTGGGCAAGTGAGTGGGAGAGGCAATGTACTCAGCACAGGGACCATCGTGTACAAAGGTCCTGTGGTGGGGGAACTGGTTCAAGAACAAAAAGAAGGCCAATGCTTGTGTAATGTAGCAGGTGTGGAATAGAAATGAAAAAGACACAGTTTCTGCCTTCAAGGAACTCATATCTCAGGAAAAAACTCACATATTCCAAAAACTTCTTATTACTCCATGGGTCTATAACTTTTCAAATATTACAGGAAGAAGAAGAAATCAGTGTCAGGAATAATCCTTCACCAACTGACATAAAACCTTAGTTTTGTGTTTGTCTCTAGCTAACTTACACAATTTTTTGAAATACCAGATACACTTCCACAAGTGTTGGCTTAAGCTAATGTTAGTCTGAGGTCATGTTTACTGAGCATACAGCTGAATAAAAAGGAGAAGTGACTTAGAACTTGAATCAAGAGGCCAAACCAACACACATGCCTACCTATCCCTTTTCTCTCTAAATCCTTTAAAAGGTAAACAAGGTATTTTAAAATGCATCCATTAGCTAGAAAACAAGAAAGGGAGCTATACACACCCTCTTCTCCTCTTGGCAACCGCTAATCTGTTCCCTACTTCTATTATCATTTTAAAAGTGTTACATAAATGGAATTGTGCAGCATTTAGACTTCTGGGATTGCCTTTTTTACTTAGTAGAATTCTCAGAAGATTCATCCAGATTGTTGTATGTATAAATAGTTTGGTTTTTTAGTTGCTGAGTAGTATTCCATGGTATGGATATACCACAATTTAACCATTCACCAATTTAAGGACATCTGGATTATTTCCAATTTGGCTATTAGGTATAAAGTTGCTATAAACATTTGTGTACAAGTTTCTCTATAAAAGTAAACTTTCATTTTTCTGGGATAAATGCCAAGTGGTAGGATGTATGGTAGTTGCATGTTTAGTTTTTTTTTTTTTTTTTGAAATTGCCAAACAGTTTTCCAGAGTGGCTGTATCATTTTACATTCCCACAAACAATGTAAGAGCAACCTAGTTTCTCCAAATCCTTGCCAGCATTTGCTGTTGTCACTATATTAAAACGCTTTGTTACTGTGATAGGCATGTAATGATAGTTCATTGCAGTTTTAATTTGCATTTCCCTAATGGCAACCCTAGTGAGTTATTACTATGTAGTGGAACAGGAGTAGAGAATACGCTGAGAGGGAAAATAGATACTACTCTTGGGGAAATAAGTAATACTCTGAAAGGAACATTTGAAAGGAAATGAGAATATGTTGATTGTAAATAAAGTAGAAGAGAAAAAAGGTAATTAGAGATATGAAGAAAATACATGGAAAAGGAAATATAATCATAGTACACTATTTTGCAATATCAAAAATGTGCACACTCATAATGTATAAACATAGTTGGCAATTAAAAATAGAAATATAGCTATGTTGAGAGAATAAGGGAGTGCAGAGGAGTGCAGTATTAAAAGAGTTAAATGCTTTTCTTTTGTAGCTATAATTGCACAGATATTGATAAATCAAGAAATAGCTGACTGGGTGCAGTGACTCATGCCTGTAATCCTAGCACTTTGGGAGGCCAAGGTGGGTGGATCACTAGAGGTCAGAAGTTCGAGACCAGCCTGGCCAACATGGTGAAACCCCGTCTCATTAGCTGGGCAGTGGTAGTGTGCACCTATAGTCTCAGCTACTCGGGAGGCTGAGGCATGAGAATCACTTGAACCCAGGAGGTAGAGGCTGCAGTGATGCAGTGAGCCAAGATCATGCCACCGAACTCCAGCCTGGGTGACAGAGTGAGACTCCATCTCAAAAAAAAAAGAAAGAAAGAAAAAGAAAAAAAGAAAGAAATAGCCATAGAAGCTTATTAATTAGAGAGGTAACTGCTAGAACTAAAAAATGTTAAAAGTGGCTGACTATGAGAAGAAGAGAGTAGGAAGAATGAAGAAAACCACTGCCTATTTTTCATTATAAGCTTTTCAGTACAAATTAAAAAAAAGTCCCCTATATCACTTTGGACAAAACAATTAAATGTGTATACAAAAAAAGACAGACTCTTAGATTGAGTATATAAGTTAACTATATACCCTTTACAAGAGACAAATGCATTGCAAATGTCCTAGAAAGGAGAACAACAGGTAGAGAAAAGACAGCAGGCAATGGAAACATAGAAGAAGAAATGTGAACTACAACTGAAATAGAAATCAAGTCAAACTGCATGAAACAAGACAAATCAAGCAGGTTTTTCAGAGATCAAAGACCAAAGGGACGAATATTTTAAGGAAAAAAACCAGGGTACTTAAACAACACACACACACATTCATACTTTATAACCTAATGGAGTTTACACACTCTTTTCAAATATCACATATGGCACATATACAACTGATTCAGTAGTTAGCCACAAGTAAGAATGTTAAATTCCCAAAAGGACTGTAGTCCATATTTTTGGATTTTTAACATATGATATGTGCATAATAAAATTAGACATTAACGATAAAAATACACCAGATAAAATCTGGCCACTTGGAAATTTAAAGTGATTCCTTGAAAAACTCTTGGATTAACATGGAAGTGAAACAAATTACAAATTGTTTACAAATAAGTGATAGTTACAACACCACATTTTAAACTTTTTGGATATGGACAAAACAGTACTCAGGGGAACATTTACAGCCTTAAACCCATGGATTAGAAAACAAGAAAAATAAAGGAACAAGTAAATTAAGTTTCAAATAAAAGAAAAGCAAAACTAGTAAGGAAACAATAAAGTAAGCCCATAGAAAGTAGCAGGAATTGGTAACATTAAACCCAAAATTAATAAAATAGAAAATAAGCATAAAATAGAATTTATGAATCAAAAATCTCTTCAAACAAACCAACAAAATAGTCAAATGTTCAACAATTATAAAAGAAAAGGCACAAAAGCATAAACTTTTGAAATATTAAAGGGGCTATAATCACCATGATTTAAACATTATGTTCAACAACACTGTATCAGTAATCGTAATCCAGATGAAAATGATGATTTTCTAGGAAAAATATAGTAAAATCATGATACAATTTAACATATCTTTCTTAAACAAAATAAAACAAAAACACTTCTTACTAAGCTGATAAGAAAATAAGACTTCTTAAATCCGATAAAGGATATCCACCAGAAACCTACAGTAGATGTCATACTTAATGGTAAAATATCAGATGAATTTTGATAAAAGACGATAAGAGAGACAGATAGAAACTCTCACAGCTACTATTCACAGTATAGTAGGAACTGAATTCACATTGATTCTTGTCGAACAAGTGAGACCAGAAAAAGAAAAAAAAATTAGAAAGAGACAAATGCATCATCCTTAAAGACAATATGCAAAAAAAAAAAAAAAAAAACTCATGAGATGCAAGATAATCTATTGATAAAGAGCTATTACTAAGAGATTTTAGTAAAGCAGCCAATTAAAGTTTTTCTTTTTTTTCTTTTTTATTTTATTTTATTATTATTATACTTTAAGTTTTAGGGTACATGTGCACAATGTGCAGGTTAGTTACATATGTATACATGTGCCATGCTGGTGTGCTGCACCCATTAACTTGTCATTTAGCATTACGTATATCTCCTGATGCTATCCCTCCCCGCTCCCCCCACCCCACAACAGTCCCCAGAGTGTGATGTTCCCCTTCCTGCGTCCATGTGTTCTCATTGTTCAATTCCCACCTATGAGTGAGAACATATGGTGTTTGGTTTTTTGTCCTTGCGATAGTTTACTGAGAATGATGATTTCCAGTTTCATCCATGTCCCTACAAAGGACATGAACTCATCATTTTTTATGGCTGCATAGTATTCCATGGTGTATATGTGCCACATTTTCTTAATCCAGTCTATCATTGTTGGACATTTGGGTTGCTTCCAAGTCTTTGCTATTGTGAATAGTGCCGCAATAAACATACGCGTGCATGTGTCTTTATAGCAGCATGATTTATAGTCCTTTGGGTATATACCCAGTAATGGGATGGCTGGGTCAAATGGCATTTCTAGTTCTAGATCCCTGAGGAATCGCCACACTGACTTCCACAATGGTTGAACTAGTTTACAGTCCCACCAACAGTGTAAAAGTGTTCCTGTTTCTCCACATCCTCTCCAGCATCTGTTGTTTCCTGACTTTTTAATGATTGCCATTCTAACTGGTGTGAGATGGTATCTCATTGTGGTTTTGATTTGCATTTCTCTGATGGCCAGTGATGGTGAGCATTTTTTCATGTGTTTTTTGGCTACATAAATGTCTTCTTTTGAGAAGTGTCTGTTCATGTCCTTCGCACACTTTTTGATGGGGTTGTTCGTTTTTTTCTTGTAAATTTGTTTGAGTTCATTGTAGATTCTGGATATTAGCCCATTGTCAGATGAGTAGGTTGTGAAAATTTTCTCCCATTTTGTAGGTTGCTTGTTCACTCTGATGGTAATTTCTTTTGCTGTGCAGAAGCTCTTTAGTTTAATTAGATCCCATTTGTCAATTTTGACTTTTGTTGCCATTGCTGTTGGTGTTTTAGACATGAAGTCCTTGCCCATGCCTATGTCCTGAATGGTAATGCCTAGGCTTTCTTCTAGGGTTTTTATGGTTTTAGGTCTAACATTTAAGTCTTTAATCCATCTTGAATTAATTTTTATATAAGGTGTAAGGAAGGGATCCAGTTTCAGCTTTCTACATATGGCTAGCCAGTTTTCCCAGCAGTGTTTATTAAATAGGGAATCCTTTCCCCATTGCTTGTTTTTCTCAGGTTTGTCAAAGATCAGATAGTTGTAGATATGTGGCATTATTTCTGAGGGCTCTGTTCTGTTCCATTGATCTATATCTCTGTTTTGGTACCAGTACCATGCTGTTTTGGTTACTGTAGCCTTGTAGTATAGTTTGAAGTCAGGTAGCGTGATGCCTCCAGCTTTGTTCTTTTGGCTTAGGATTGACTTGGCGATGCGGGCTCTTTTTTGGTTCCACATGAACTTTAAAGTAGTTTTTTCCAATTCTGTGAAGAAAGTCATTGGTAGCTTGATGGGGATGGCATTGAATCTATAAATTACCTTGGGCAGTATGGCCATTTTCACAATATTGATTCTTCCTACCCATAAGCATGGAATGTTCTTCCATTTCTTTGTATCCTCTTTTATTTCATTGAGCAGTGGTTTGTAGTTCTCCTTGAAGAGGTCCTTCACGTCCCTTGTAAGTTGGATTCCTAGGTATTTTATTCTCTTTGAAGCAATTGTGAATGGGAGTTCACTCATGATTTGGCTCTCTGTTTATCTATATTGGTGTATAAGAATGCTTGTGATTTTTGTACATTGATTTTGTATCCTGAGACTTTGCTGAAGTTGCAGCCCTGAGATTTTGGGCTGAGACAATGGGGTTTTCTAGATATGCAGTCATGTCATCTGCAAACAGGGACAATTTGATTTCCTCTTTTCCTAATTGAATACCCTTTATTTCCTTCTCCTGCCTAATTGCCCTGGCCAGAACTTCCAACACTATGTTGAATAGGAGTGGTGAGAGGGCATCCCTGTCTTGTGCCAGTTTTCAAAGGGAATGCTTCCAGTTTTTGCCCATTCAGTATGATATTGGCTGTGGGTTTGTCATAGATAGCTCTTATTATTTTGAGATACGTCCCATCAATACCTAATTTATTGAGAGTTTTTAGCATGAAGGGTTGTTGAATTTTATCAAAGGCCTGTTCTGCATCTATTGAGATAATCACGTGGTTTTCGTCTTTGGTTCTGTTTACATGCTGGATTACATTTATTGATTTGCGTATATTGAGCCAGCCTTGCATCCCAGGGATGAAGCCCACTTGATCATGGTGGATAAGCTTTTTGATGTGCTGCTGGATTTGGTTTGCCAGTATTTTATTGAGGATTTTTGCATCAATGTTCATCAAGGATATTGGTCTAAAATTCTCTTTTTTGGTTGTGTCTCTGCCCGGCTTTGGTATCAGGATGATGCTGGCCTCATAAAATGACTTAGAGAGGATTCCCTCTTTTTCTATTGATTGGAATAGTTTGAGAAGTAATGGTACCAGTTCCTCCTTGTACCTCTGGTAGAATTTGGCTGTGAATCCATCTGGTCCTGGACTCTTTGGTTGGTAAGTTATTGATTATTGCCACAATTTCAGAGCCTGTTATTGGTCTATTTAGAGATTCAACTTCTTCCTGGTTTAGTCTTGGGAGAGTGTATGTGTCCAGGAATTTATCCATTTCTTCTGGATTTTCTAGTTTATTTGCATAGAGGTGTTTGTAGTATTCTCTGATGGTAGTTTGTATTTCTGTGGGATCGGTGGTGATATCCCCTTTATCATTTTTTATTGCATCTATTTGATTCTTCTCTCTTCTCTTCTTTATTAGTCTTGCTAGTGGTCTATCAATTTTGTTGATCCTTTCAAAAAACCAGCTCCTGGATTCATTAATTTTTTGAAGGGTTTTTTGTGTCTCTAATTCCTTCAGTTCTGCTCTGATTTTAGTTATTTCTTGCCTTCTGCTAGCTTTTGAATGTGTTTGCTCTTGCTTTTCTAGTTCTTTTAATTGTGATATTAGCGTGTCAATTTTGGATCTTTCCTGCTTTCTCTTGGGGGCATTTAGTGCTATAAATTTCCCTCTACACACTGCTTTGAATGTGTCCCAGAGATTCTATTATGTTGCATCTTTGTTCTCGTTGGTTTCAAAGAACATCTTTATTTCTGCCTTCATTTCGTTATGTACCCAGTAGTCATTCAGGAGCAGGTTGTTCGGTTTCCATGTAGTTGTCTGGTTTTGAGTGAGTTTCTTAATCCTGAGTTCTAGTTTGATTGCACTGTGGTCTGAGAGACAGTTTGTTATAATTTCTATTCTTTTACATTTGCTGATGAGGGCTTTACTTCCAACTATGTGGTCAATTTTGGAATAGGTGTGGTGTGGTGCTGAAGAAAATGTATATTCTGTTGATTTGGGGTGGAGAGTTCTGTAGATGTCTATTAGGTCTGCTTGGTGCAGAGCTGAGTTCAATTCCTGGGTATCCTTGTTAACTTCCTGTCTCATTGATCTTTCTAATGTTGACAGTGGGGTGTTAAAGTCTCCCATTATTATTGTGTGGGAGTCTAAGTCTCTTTGTAGGTCACTCAGGACTTGCTTTATGAATCTGGGTGCTCCTGTATTGGGTGCATATATATTTAGGAGAGTTAGCTCTTCTTGTTGAGTTGATCCCTTTACCATTATGTAATGGCCTTCTTTGTCTCTTTTGATCTTTGTTGGTTTAAAGTCAGTTTTATCAGAGACTAGGATTGCAACACCTGCCTTTTTTTGTTTTCCATTTGCTTGGTAGATCTTCCTCCATCCTTTTATTTTGAGCCTATGTGTGTCTCTGCATGTGAGATGGGTTTTATGAATACAGCACACTGATGGGTCTTGACTCTTTATCCATTTGCCAGTCTGTGTCTTTTAATTGGAGGATTTAGTCCATTTACATTTAAAGTTAATATTGTTATGTGTGAATTTGATCCTGTCATTATGATGTTAGCTGGTGATTTTGCTCGTTAGTTGATGCAGTTTCTTCCTAGCCTCGATGGTCTTTACAATTTGGCATGATTTTGTAGTGGCTGGTACCGGTTGTTCCTTTCCATGTTTAGTGCTTCCTTCAGGAGCTCTTTTAGGGCAGACCTGGTGGTGACAAAATCTCTCAGCATTTGCTTGTCTGTAAGTATTTTATTTCTCCTTCACTTATGAAGCTTAGTTTGGCTGGATATGAAATTCTGGCTTGAAAATTCTTTTCTTTAAGAATGTTGAATATTGGCCCCCATTCTCTTCTGGCTTGTAGAGTTTCTGCCGAGAGATCCGCTGTTAGTCTGATGGGCTTCCTTTTGTGGGTAACGAGAGATCCGCTGTTAGTCTGATGGGCTTCCCTTTGTGGGTAACCCGACCTTTCTCTTTGGCTGCCCTTAACATTTTTTCCTTCATTTCAACTTTGGTGAATCTGACAATTATGTGTCTTGGAGTTGCTCTTCTCGAGGAGTATCTTTGTGGCGTTCTCTGTATTTCCTGAATCTGAATGTTGGCCTGCCTTGCTAGATTGGGGAAGTTCTCCTGGATAATATCCTGCAGAGTGTTTTCCAACTTGGTTCCATTCTCCCCGTCACATTCAGGTACACCAATCAGACGTAGATTTGGTCTTTTCACATAGTCCCATATTTCTTGGAGGCTTTGTTCGTTTCTTTTTATTCTTTTTTCTCTAAACTTCCCTTCTCGCTTCATTTCATTCATTTCATCTTCTATCACTGATACCCTTTCTTCCAGTTGATTGCATCGGCTCCTGAGGCTTCTGCATTCTTCACGTAGTTCTCGAGCCTTGGCTTTCAGCTCCATCAGCTCCTTTAAGCAATTCCCTGTATTGGTTATTCTAGTTATACATTCATCTAAATTTTTTTCAAAGTTTTCAACTTGTTTGCCTTTGGTTTGAATTGCCTCCTGTAGCTCGGAGTAGTTTGATCGTCTGATGCCTTCTTCTCTCAACTCATCAAAGTCATTCTCTGTCCAGCTTTGTTCCGTTGCTGGTGAGGAACTGCGTTCTTTGGAGGAGGAGAGGCACTCTGCTTTTTAGAGTTTCCAGTTATTCTGCTCTGTTTTTTCCCCATTTTTGTGGTTTTATCGACTTTTGGTCTTTGATGATGGTGATGTACAGATGGGTTTTTGGTGTGGATGTCTTTGTGTTTGTTAGTTTTCCTTCTAACAGACAGGACCCTCAGCTGCAGGTCTGTTGGAGTTTGCTAGAGGTCCACTCCAGACCCTGTCTGCCTGGGTATCAGCAGCGGTGGCTGCAGAACAGCAGATTTTTGTGAACTGCGAATGCTGCTGTCTGATCGTTCCTCTGGAAGTTTTGTCTCAGAGGAGTACCCGGCCGTTTGAGGTGTCAGTCTGCCGCTACTGGGGGGTGCCTCCCAGTTAGGCTGCTTGGAGGTCAGGGGTCAGGGACCCACTTGAGGAGGCAGTCTGCCCGTTCTCAGATCTCCAGCTGCATGCTGGGAGAACCACTGCTCTCTTCAAAGCTGTCAGACAGGGACATTTAAGTCTGCAGAGGTTACTGCTGTCTTTTTGTTTGTCTGTGCCCTACCCCTAGAGGTGGAGCCTACAGAGGCAGGCAGGCCTCCTTGAGCTGTGGTGGGCTCCACCCAGTTCGAACTTCCCGGCTGCTTTGTTTACCTAAGCAAGCCTGGGCAATGGCGGGCGCCCCTCCCCCGGCCTCGCTGCTGCCTTGCAGTTTGATCTCAGACTGCTGTGCTAGCAATCAGCGAGACTCCGTGGGCGTAGGACCCTCTGAGCCATGTGTGGGATATAATCTCCTGGTGCGCTGTTTTTTAAGCCTGTCGGAAAAGCACAGTATTAGGGTGGAAGTGACCCGATTTTCCAGGTGCCGTCTGTCACCCCTTTCTTTGACTAGGAAGGGGAACTCCCTGACTCCTTGTGCTTCCCGAGTGAGGCAATGCCTCATCCTGCTTTGGCTCGTGCACGGTGCACTGCACCCACTGTCCTGCGCCCACTGTCTGGCACTCCCTAGTGAGATGAACACGGTACCTCAGATGGAAATGCAGAAATCACCCGTCTTCTGCATTGCTCACACTGGGAGCTGTAGACTGGAGCTGTTCCTATTCGGCCATCTTGGCTCTGTTTCTAAAGTTTTTCTTAATTAGCAATACTCTTCTACTGTCCCGCAACTAAATGTCCTGAAAAGAGAGTTCATTCATAACAGCCGTAAAAACTGTAAAATATAGCTAGCATGAAACTCAATAGGAAGTATAGAATATCTATGTAAAGAAAATAATTAGACTGTTCTGAATACACACAATTCAGCCTGATTAGGAAGACAGCTCATGGATGAGATTCTCCCCAAATTAATTTAGGAATATGATGTAAATCCAACAAATAAGATTTTTAAAAGTGAACTTGACAGGCCAATTCTAAAATTCATTTGTAAGAGACAATGCGCGTGAATAACAAAGACATTTTGAAAAAGATTTTAATGGGGAGGAACTTGCCTTACCAGATGTTAAAATATGCTGTAAAATTATGGTATTATGATAGTAACACAGGTATAGACAGATCAATGGGACAGTGTGTGAATCCACAAACAGTCCCTTCTGCTTCTAGTTAACCATAATAGAAAAATATTCTCTAGATAAAAGAGAGATACATATAAGAATTGTAACATTATATAACAGAAAATATTAAAACAACCAACATCCATCAATAGGAGAATGATGATACCTCTTTCTGTGGAATAGGAATACTATACAACTGTAAGAGGAGCCAAACACATTTACATAGATTTGTAATTTATACTGTTGAACTGTAAAAATATCACTGAGTTGAAAAACATCCAGTTGTAGGATTAGAAAAACAACATAATATTTGTATTAGAGCACATAAACAAAATTTTGTATATATCCATGTGCATATACATATCAAAAAAGAATTTGTAAGGACATACATCGAACTCACTATAGAGTTTGAGGTATGAATACGACTGGAAGAAGGGTGAAGGACTTTGACCTTTTTTTTTTTTTTTCTTGAGATGGAGTCTCACTCTGTCACCCAGGCTGGAGTGCAGTGGCACGATCTCAGCTCACTGCAAGCTCCGCCTCCCAGGTTCAAGCCATTCTCCTGCCTCAGCCTCCTGAGTAGCTGGGACTACAGGCGCCCGCCACCATGCCCAGCCAATCTTTTGTATTTTTTAGTAGAGACGGGGTTTCACTGTGTTAGCCAGGATGGTCTCGATCTCCTCACCTCATGATCCATCCACCTTGGCCTCCCAAAGTGCTGGGATTATAGGCATGAACCACCGCGCCCGGCCTGACCTTTTATATGTATATATTCCTACACAATATAGTTTGAGGGTTAACATTTTGTTAAATGATGAAAATTTAACAAAATTTAAATGTCAGAAAAGCTATTCTTGACAATATACATTATTGGAGAAAGGTTTTAAGGTGGTTTACAAGATGGTTGGAGAATAAATTGGCCGGATCCTGACAACTCAGCAACTAGTGAATGAAAGTAGGATGAGTAAGGATGTAGAAGCCTTAGTAGCTTAGAAGTGAGTCTTGAGCACTGTTGCCTTTCATTTTTCATCCTCTCACCCCCAGCAGACTTGTTATTTTTCCCCATCACACATTTTAATCACTAACCCCACTTTCATATTTTCACCCTAACACAAAAAATGTTAATCCACTAAGTTTCATGTCCTCTGGACGTAACATTTCCTGCTCCTCCTCGTTGCTCTCATCTGCAAATCTTTGGCCTCCTCCCCACCTCTCTTTCCCCAAACAGGCTAAAGAAAGTTATAAATACTTTTGCTTTGTGGAATTGTATCACTTCAACCTAGTAATGAAGGTAGCTACCTCATACCTATGACCAGATTAGTCCTTCAATTAATTAAACATATAAATAATTATATTCTTTAATGGAATGCATTTTTCTTGATAGATAAATATCCACCCAACTACAAGGTGTAGGAGGAAAAAACAGAAAGGGTAAGAAGAATATAAATCACAGAGCAATGGGAACCTGTGCTCTGTGATGTCAGGGTTTTCTCCATTCTTGTAGAAAAGATAGTCCAAGTCATCAGGTTATGATCAAGTTCACACTATTATTATTATAAATGATCGACCCTGAGGGTTTTAATGTCCCAATGGTAGACTCTCCTTCTTAGAAGCTGAAATGTCCCCTCATACACCGCCCTGGAATTTTTTGGCTGCTTCTCCTGAGAAAGAAACTGAAGGTGATGGTCGGCAGAGATATGGGCCTGGTCACTGCAGAAGCAGATACACTATGAGCTCCTGAAAGGCCCTGTCAGTTTCTGCAAGGAGAGATGCTTTTTAATTTTAAAAAATGTCATCAAATGACGAGCAGTTAAACAATTTGCTATTACAAATCTTTGTAGGGAGGAACTAGGGTGGTGGTTTCTAATCTGTTAGGGAATGAAGTAGGAAAAGACACGGGCAAGGATACCACCCAGAACCCGGGTACTGCACTCAGGCAATGCAGCAACTACTGCAGCATGTTGTAATTAGCAAACCCCAAGGTGTGGCCACTTCGAGGCCCAATTAAGAAAAAAAACACAAACTCGAAAATGTTTCATCTTGTGGATGGAAAAGAGGTTTTGTACTGCACCTCTTTCAGGATGCCTTCCTAACCATCCCCCAACCCTGCAAGGAGCAGTAAAATCACTTTTGCAAATGTTTTCTGTCTCAGGCCTGCAGAGAAATGACATAATCTGCAAATGAGAGGTTCAGGCAGGTGACCCAAGGCAGTGAGGAGAAAATGTGGTACAAACTTCTGGCAATTGTCCAAAGCATCGAAGCATCTGAAATAACTGTAGGTTTTCCTCTGTCAGCCATAAAAATGGGTGAGATGAGACTAAAAGATGCAAGCCTCCTTTGAATCCAGAGAGAAAACACCTAGAAACAGAGAGTAGATCTCCTAGCCCCGTTTTACTGCATTCAGGGGAAATTCAGAAAAAATCATGTGGGTCTCACTGAAAACTGTTTCCTAGGTTTGATGTGGAAATTGATGCCTTTAATCTCCGAGTTGTGATGGCAGTTGGCCTGGTGCGTGCCCCCACGGTGTGAAGAAAACTTAAAAAGTGATGCTCTTAAAAAGATGTCAACATATCAACAAACTCTTATAAAACAATATGTTGATGGGTTGAGTGTAAACAAATGAGAAACAGAAGGATTTAGATTTCCTTTGAAATACACCCTAGCTTAAGCATGAAGGAGGAAAACATTGAGTTGTCAAAATAGGCTTGAGGTTTTGCTGAACCCAGAAATTCTGGAGAATAGTCTGAGATGTTTTTGCCAAACCCTAAATGCTGCAGGGGTAAACTTTCCCTCTAACCAATTAGATAATTGCCATTTCATTCTGTAGATTTCTCAATTGTTTCTTCTTTTTCTTTTCTTTCTTTCTTTTTTGCAAACAAAATAATTACACTAATATTTTCATAATTAAATAATTACTTCAACCCCTGAATTAAAAACTGCACTGCTGTTCCTGCGGATACAGTAGGCTGCCAGCTGTTTTAAATAACCCTTGAGAACGGTCAGGTTAAGGACTCAATTTATGACCTTATAAATTAACACAAGGAAACCTACTCCATAATGCAACAGACAATTCTATTTATAATGCTTAATTAATCCCCTCCAGTCTCTAACAGAACCCACTTGTGACCTTTCATTTCAACCTCACCCAAATGCAAGTCTCCTGAGATGAGAAGTGTTAATATGTGAATGCGGATAGAATTTGCCGGCATTGTGGGCAAGTATTAAATTGCTGACAGTCTGGACTGGTTGGTTCCTGATAGCTCACTCATCAAAGTAAGAAGGAAATGTCAAGGTGGGCAGCACTGATGAAACTCTTCATCGAAATCCTGAGCTGGAGAGAGGCAGAAAGAAAGAAAACGTCCATATCTAACATTGCCCAGAAATGCTTGCTCTGAATTTCAGTCTTGGCAGATGAGACAACCAAGAAAAGGTATCAGAGTTGTTTCAAAGGATGGCTGTGGGGGGCCATCCTGGGTGGTTTCATTTATCTGCTGTCCTTAGTACCCTAAGGCTGCTTTCTCTTAGACTGATACAGAAAATCCAGGGATAATCAATTCAATGCTGTCTTATCTAAGGTATTACAAACACAGTGGCGTTATCTGGAAAATTCTAAGTACCCAAGAAAGCTACAGGGTGTGGGCAGAGTAAAGTTTGCAGAGACATATGAAGTTCCCCAGAGGGACAGGCCTGAGAATGAGAAAGGAAGGCATGTGCACTACTTGAACATGTTTGTGGGCAGAGAGAGCCATAGTGACCTGAATGCAAAGAAAGTCCACACTGTAGCCTGGAACCTTGGAATATGTGTGGAGAGCTTTATCAGCTTTTAGGGCTGTTCAGTGTAATTCCATATGTCCTTGTGAATCCAGAAAATAGCTTTCCTTTTTTGTTCCTCGTATTCAAGAGTCAGCATAATGTGATGATTCTGTCTCTGTTGTAAGCATTTAGGCAAATTCCTTAACTTCTCATTGCCTCTGTTTTTCCATCTGCAAAGTTGGAATCATAACAATACCTGTCTCATGAGATCATTGTGAGGATTAAATAGAGTTAAAACTTTAAACGGCTTTAAATGGTGCCTGGTGCATAGTCGGTGCTACGTAAGCATTAGCTGTTGTCATCACAATACCTCTGCAGTACATTTTTCCTTTGGGCTTTCCCTTTCTTTTCCCAATGCTGCCATTGTAGCCAGGTCAGGCTATCATGACCTCCCTCTTGAATAGGTTCATAATTCATTTCCTTCTTCTAAATCTCTATTTCTCTCAATAAATCATACACAGTATCACCACTCCAATCTTTCAAAAGTCTACCTCTGATCCTGTCCCTACCTTATTCAATGGCTCTGCTGAATTCATCACATAAAGTCTAAACTCCCTAGCCTTAATTTCGAGCCTCATTCTGTCCTTTTCTGTTGATCATAGTTTCATTCTTTAATCTTAACATCTTACTGTACCTTCTCACGACCCTATGCTTTTTCGGAGCCATGCTATTTTCTATTCCCTCTACTTGTTCCCTTAGTTTGCTCTACCTGTCCTGGTATGTTCTTGGTTTTATACCTGTGTTGACTGTCCTTTCCATTTGGAATTTACTTTCCCCCCAATATCTTCCAGGCCAAAGCCTACTTATCCTTCATAGCCAGGCCTGAATGCCACCTCCACCCTAGGGAACCCTTACTGATCCCACCATTTTATCTTCCCCTTGCTCTTTCCTGACCTCCAATATACTTTATCTGCATTTTTGAAAAACCCCAACCCTGTTACCTAGCTTTAGTTATTGTTTTTTTTAACCCCTACTTAGTATGTTCCATATCACAACCCCTCAGATCCTTGGATCAAGTCTGATTCTTCAGTGTTTCCTACTCAGGCCTGTCCCCAGCCCTGTGCTATGCATAGAGCAAGTCCTCTGCAAAGATGAATGAAACAGTAATTGAGGGACTTGAAATGACAGCCTGGTCTTGTGGTTCTTCCTTTCTGTGACATTCTCAGTCACTTGATTGTTCCTTTACATGAGTGCCTATGGAAATATTTCAACTTCAAAAGTCAATGGGATAAAAACATTCCTATCAGTAGGAAAAACAAACACACAAAATGCACTATTGATTCTCAAACAGCAGATGCTTTTTTAAGAAGGAGTGATGAAAACATGTCTTGGGTCCAGTACCTTTATACCTGGTTACTACAGCTGCATTGACGCTAAGAGGCTCTTGGAAGCTGACAGTGAGTGATGTGCTGCTGGTTACCATGAGACAGACATTGGTTGGCATCTCAGGGGCTCCTGGGACAGAAGGAAAAACACAAGGATCTTAACATAGCAAATCCTTTTCAAACAACGTTCCTCCCTCTTCAAAGGATACCCTGAAATGAATACTATGGAAACATTTGTTTGTGGAGCCTAATAGCTTTCGCTTTTGAACATTTTCATTAGACGTCTCAATGGCTTTTATTTGTTGCCATTGGGGTCTTATTTGAGCATTAGAACATTTTCTGAAAAGGTAAATAATACCAGTTAAGCCTTCCTAAAGTATCCTGCAAACACGATAGGAGATTGGGCTGGATCAGTGAAGAGAAAGGCAGGAAGTGATAGCAGGATCCTATATTGTCAGTGGACACCCTTACGTTTTATAAAGTACATCGTTTCACTGGAGGCTTTTTGCAGCCCTCCTTGGTAGAAAGGGCAAGAAATAGCACACTCACTTTTGGTATGAGGAAACCGCAGCCCCAAGTGGCCAAATTCCTTGTTCAAGAACACAGTGAAGACAAACAGTCAGGATGAAAGCCCCTGGCTTCAGTTGCCTACTTTTGGGCTCTTTCCAGTATTGATAGAATTCTAACTCACCTTGCTCTCAGGCTTTCTCCTATTACAAATGAGCAGTATTTTCCGAGAAAAAAATTTATGGGTGGATGTCATGTCCACTAACCTCAGGTTTTAAAGGACTCCTGATGGCTTTTAGTATTGCTTAACACGTAGAAGGTGTTTTATAATTTAGCAAATTACAAAAATTGACATCAAATCTGAAAATATGTCTGTTTCTAGTGTTAATCTGTCCTAAATGAGGCATAATAGCAAATGCATTTATTAAAGCAAGCGCTGAATCTCTTTAAACAAACCCATGCACCAGCCTTGCTGGAGAGTGTTGATGTTGAAAGCAAACTTTCATTAATGTTGCTAAGTTATTTGCTCCAAGAGAAAGGATTAGGCCTAGATTTGGTATTTAGTGTACTTAAGAAAACATCATCACTGTCTTTGGTCTTTGTCTACATCACAACTAAGTTTCCTGCAGCAGAGGCAGAGACCTTTCAAACTAACGAACTTTCCCTTATATTTAAAATTTCCAGCCTAATTTTTTTGTTGTTGTTTAGTTACGATCTCCTTCTAGAATGAGAGTTTAATATTTCACAAGTGTTTGAATTTTATATTTTGTTTTTGTATCAGGAGCTACACTCAGCATTACTTTCCAGTGCTAATGAGTATTATCCAAAAAGAAGGCTTTTCTTAAACTAACAAAAAGAATTGGTAAAGAAAATGAAAGTGCAGACAAAAGCGTAATTCTTGAGTTGATTGTTCTTTTCGGTTGCCTGTGTTAACTGAAGTTCAGTTTATAGCTCTATATAAAAAAATGCAGTAGAGCGTTGAAAACAACTTAAACTTGAGCTTGGAGCAGAAACTGGACAAACAGGCAAACAAATATTTTTCCACCTCCCTATCCCAAAATATAGCCATCTAGGGCATCAGACCATCCAGATCATTAGGCATTAGGGCGTAGCGGATGGAAAGTGCTAGATGAGTGTGACATGGTGGAGAGAGGCCAGAGGCATGAAGCCTCATGGCTGTGGTCAGAGCACCCATCAGGAGCCAGAAACTCAAGCAAGATAAAAGACCCTTTGACAGCCTCTCAGAGCCCTTGCTCCATACAGGCTGACAACGGCCATCCATGACTCTGTAGAGCTGAAAAAAAAAATCTGTAAAAGAAGACCTGGCTGTCTCAAACTGAGGCTCAGTCTAGTGAAATGTAGACATTTTCTGCTTATACTCACTGGCATGCTCAAAGCCTGTTTTCATGCGTCTGTAGAGCCGATACCTCCACTCCCAAGCTTTCAGCTGCTTCTCTTTCTCTGTGTTGTCCAGAGTGAATCCTTCATTCTCCACCTGGGCAGACAGTTCACTCACCCTCTCCTGGGCTTCCTGGACCAGTGTGTTGAGGTGCATTGCTCGGCTTTCCAGGCTGACAACTAAAGGGAAAGAAATGGGATTACTTCTCTTTCTTTCTGGGGAAATGCTGCTTCATTGGAAGGATATATCCCAGAGTTTACTATGATTTGAAAAAAAAAAAAAAAATGCCTGGGAAAAGTGGGATCTGTGTTTGTTATCAAGTATCTTACTATGATAAGGTCTAATTAGTGACACTTACAATCAGATTAAGTGGTAAATTCATCACATTAATATATTCCCATTGCTCTCCAGCCCTGCTGTAACACATACCTCACTTAGCTGCTTAACTTAGCTAATTAGAATTCCACCATCAAGTACCCAGGAGGACCACTTCTCATCCAGAGAGTACACATTTGTTGCCATGACCTCTAGAAGGACAAACATGTAGGGGCAAAACTCCGTATGGCCAGGAAGACCCTAGGAAATGTTATCCATGAGGCAAGTTGCATTCTGATGAAGTTTTGTTTTGCTTTTGGTAGAACCTGATTCAAATTTTCTGCCTTTAACACATTCTTCCCAGCTTATAGACATTTTTGTACGTACATCTTAGAGGCATAATTTTATTATTGTTAATCAATGTATTTATTGCTTACAAAGAGTTCCGCTACTGCTGCCACAGTTGAGCTAGTGAGTTCTGATGACTGGCTGACTTGAATGTGATCAGAAATTGATCTTTGATTGTGGTGTAATGGTAGGAATGATCTCCAGAGATACCTATGCTCAAGAGGATAAGTTATATAAGCCCCTCTTGCTGAGAGAGGTTGTAGAGCTTGCTATTTCTATTTTACCCAATATGTGATAGTCTTCATTTGATTTACATCAGATTGTTTAGCCATCCTGCTCTTGCGTTCATGTCAATGAATGGGAAGGAATGTATGTCTCCCTTTCTTGTGCTGAGCAGTGAGGCTGCCTCTTATGATCTCCTCATGGCTGTTATGCATATGAGGGCCTGCCACGATGGTCACTTGGTCACTTCAGAGCCCCACCTGGTTAAGTGATAAAAGAGCCTCAGCATGGGAATATGGTAGGGGATCACAGAACAGTCAAGTAAACCAGACTAAAGTCCTACAGATCTGTTGCTGAAATGTGTTTGACACTCCCTGTGACCAAAACAATATTTCTCCCTGGTGGGTGGGAAAGAAATCCAACTATTTCATTCTTCTAATTAAAGGGGAAAATATTGTGAAGATAACTCAAGTGAAAATTTGTTAGGTGTATTTTGAAATGGAAATTAGGTGGTTATATATTCATATTCTCTGTGTTCATGGGCATGTTTGCATTAATTACAGGAAATGAATACTAATTTATTATTGCCTCTGTGCACCATCGGTCTAAATTTATTTACAGACGAGGTCAATGAAAAATTAGTTGAGTCTTTTTTCTTTTTCTTTCTTTCTTCTTTCTTTTTAAAGTTGCTGTTTAGAACACTCAGGACTGTGTTTTGCTGCAGATTTGTCATGGTTAATGAATGTTGCTGTAGCAGTCAATCATGTACTCTAAATACTGTCACACTTTTTTTTAAAAGCCTCAGTCATGAGCCATGACAGAAAAATAAACAAATAAATATAAAGCTAAAAAACTCTTTCACTGAGCAGCTACACTATGCAGAATCCCTGGGGAAGGCTAAAGGAGGCCAGAATAAATGATAATATAAGTGCTGTGGACGTAGGGAAGCAATGATGGGGTATGAACGCAGAGGTTCTGGAGAAAAAAAAAACACATACACACACGCGGGCGCACACTCCAGTGGAAAAATTGGCAATATTAGTAGCCTCAAGGTGCAATTTCCTGGAGCAGTGAGATTGACAAGTCAGTACTAAATGCTGTTAATTTAACTAACTTCAGATTAATGGTAGAGTCTGCTATGACTGAAGCCCTCAAACACAGTCTCATTATAGCCTTGCTGGGAAGGTCCTAAATATAGGCATTGACAGTTTAAAACAAATTCGTATACATTTGTGTATTTTTAGACATAGGTTAGGCGTCAGAGTTTGTGTCACAGTTTTCAGGTTGATTAATTGACCCAGTAACTGCACTCTCTACCCACTCCCCCCTCCTTCTTCCACTCCAAATTATAGAGAAAATGGGGGAATTGTCCTTGTTAAGTTATCCAGTGAGCTTTTTATTGTATGCCTGATGTTTGAATTGCATGCATGCGTCAACACTTGGGTGACAGACACATGATTTATAAAAATAAATTTTTCTAATACTATGAAATCCCCACTATTAATTTTTATATCCACAACAGTTATTACTGGTGTGAATTCCAGGTGGCATTTCAGATGGACAGCTTCTCTTGAACTATGCTTGGCTCCTTCTGACAATTTTTCTGCTTTCCCTAGAACCACACATTTTGTTTCTGCATTTTCCCTTTCCTTCTAGGCTTTAGATGCAATTTGAGTTATAATGATAAAGGAATTCCACCTCTTCAAGATAATGCATTTTGCCTCTTCAGAGACTAAAGACAGAATTTTATAGCTGGGTGAGCTCTGCAAGATTATTTACATCCCAGCGCACCTCAAACTGGGATATCTAAACTCTAATGTAATATAGTGGTGACGGTGGGTGAAGTAGGGGGTGCAATGATCACCTCTAAAAACACAATATGAATGAATGTGTCTTCTTGGAGCATCAAATTTTACATGCAGATTTTGATTAAGCATATTATTTAGAAATTAAATAGGTCTATTATGGAGAAGAATGGAAAGTGTTTTCAAAAATTGAAGATTTTGAAAAAAGGGAAACTTTGTAAAACTCTATCCCTTTTTTCCAGGTTAAGAACACAGGTGTCCTTGAGACTATCATTTGCATCTGTTGTTAAAAGTAATTGCATGGACAAGTCAGAGAAGCACTGACTGAGCCACTGGTTTCCAACCATTTCGGCAAGCAAACTTTTATTTATTTTTTCCAGTGGATTTTTTTAATAGCTTAATAAAACACCCTCTTTTGAAAGATTTTTTTTGTCTACTAAACCAGCTGACTTATAAAGTGATCATGTTTCTCCCTATTATTAATGACCTATATAACCATCAATAGAAGCATCTGTTCAGAATGAGATAATCAACCTAACAAACTGGGTTAATATATTTTAAGCAGAAGCAAGTAAATATGACAATTATATTAGACTGTGTAGTTTATCTTGAGTAATGGTGTGATAGTTAGCCTTTTTGAAAGCTTGAAAATTGTTCTGGGAATCCAATTTCTATTTTTGCCACCCTGGAATGGGGGCATTTTTTTTTTACAATTGAGAAATCATATTTAATAAATCATTTTCAATTTTTATAATGTTTCAAGCCCATTCTTTGTTGATAGCCTCCACATTTATATGGTGAAATCATTGATGCTGTGCTTCTTATCTATGACATTATTTTTATATCCCTTCATTTGTGGATCTTAAGATGTTGCAGAAGGTTCATTCCTGTACCCCAATACAGATTCACTTCCTTTAGCTGCCTTCTCTAGCACCAATGTGCTTTAAAAAAAATGTGCAAACAACAAGCAGTGACAGTGGCCAATTCCTTGAATGTCCAGATTAATAACTGTAGCATGCTAAAGAAAGGTGTGCGTAAATAGCTGGAGATGGTGTATGGTCCAGAGTCTAGAATAAATGTATTTCCTTTCTGAGCATTCCTTCCATTCCCCTAACCCGAATACATGCATTAGAATGCAGCAAAACCCTTCAGGAACTTCTCTTAGCCAACTGCAAACTTATCTGTTGCCACAAGTGCAAAGGGGTAGGATGTGAACCAGTATATCACAAAGCTCTTTAGCCACTTCAGTTGGCGACAGAACACAAAAGGAAAAAATTCTTATGTATACACCTCAGTCTGTCTCCACTTTTTATGAAACTGGAATAAAATGGGAAAGTGCCACCTTTATTAATCCTAATTGAATTTTAAATGTCCTTTTGACACAACAAGGTATATACATGACACAGCTACACAACCTTTTTTCAACTGGACAACAAGTGTCAAAACCCTGTGGATGTATAGGGTAAAACAAGATTGGTCAGGAAAAGAGAATTGTTGCTATAACTGGTAATCTGACACAATGTCCTATTGCCATTAAAAAAAAAGGTCCATTTTCAGCCGGGCGCGGTGGCTCACACCTGTAATCCCAACACTTTGGGAGGCTGAGGCAGGTGGATCACCTGAGGTTGGGAGTTTGAGACCAGCCTGACCAATATGGTGAAACCCTGTCTCTACTAAAAATACAAAAATTAGCCTTGCGTGGTGACCGGCACCTGTAGTCCCAGCTACACGGGAGGCTGAGGCAGGAGAATTGCTTGAACCTGGGAGGCGGAGGTTGCAGTGAGCCAAGATCGCACCACTGCACTCCAGCCTGGGAGACGGAGCGAGACTCCTTCTCAAAAAAAAAAAAAAAAAAAAAGTTCATTTTCAGTTTATTCAAGTTTGTTTTCATGGTGTTTTATACCTCTTGATAAAAAAATTTCAGACTTTTGTAATTTGTGTATGCTGATCTTCATCAAAAGGTTCATTCTCTGGATCAGTCAGTGGTGTCAGAATATTTATAGTGATCAGGCTCATTGTCACTAACATCTGGTGTTACAGAAGTGTAACTACTAGCCTCTGGATCTGATGGCAGAATGGGGCTATTTTCAACTTCCTTATTTTAAAGATGAAGAAATTGAGACCCAGGGAGATGGGATGACTTATTCATGATCTTCATCTAAACCTTAAAGAACTCGGTGGATTTTCTCTAAACCAAATAGAATACAAATCAACCTATTATTTATATATTACAATTTCCTGATTGTTATCTATTTGGTATGAAATTGGTGAACTCAGTTTGGCTGGTTGGTTTGATTTAGAAAATAGAAAGGCTATGTCTGTTTTATCATTCCTGCCCATCCACTTCTCTTTTTCTTGGATTCATTCCCCTTTCACTTCCACCCACAGGACACTTTTCCCTGGAGGCCATACTCCTGATCTCTGCAAGGTTTGGTCTTTTCTCTCATTGCAGTTGGTTCCTTCTCCAGCCAAGCAGCTATCCCTCTGAGCAGCCATACCAGCACAATGGAGGGTCTGTGACTGTGTGGTAAGCAGTCCAGCAGGGGCAAGACCACTCAGTGGCTCCTGAAACAGGCTCTGTGCTATTGTGGTGTTTAATTATCAACAGCATTTCTACCTCCCAGTGCTTCTGAGTGGGCATTTGTTATAAGACCTATGCAGCTAATTAACCAAGGGATGGGGTGGGGGATGGGGCAGGAATTTGTGTTCAAAGAATACAATTAGAGTTACTGTTTAAATCCCGAGATAAACAATGATCAGGGACTGAAGGGATTTTCTTCACCATTAGAATCTAACCTATGGATTGCTACTTACAGTTTCTTAACTTTGCCCTTGCCTGCAATTGCTAAATTTGGGCCTGGCTGATAATTGCTCAAAGCTTGAAAATACAATGAGTGTAACATGTAAACTAATTTTAATTTTTAATTAAGAATTTTAGGGAACAATTTGTTTGGTTTGCTTGAAAAAGACGGACACATTTGTCTATTACTAATGATGTGCCATTTTTCAATTTAGTAACAGCTTTTCTGTTATTATGGGTATGTTCCTGTTTTTCAATGATGAGAAAATGAGGCACTAAGACAATCATTTAATCTCAGAGTTAGAAGGATACCTTACAACCAACCTCAGTTACCTCCCCTTTAGTACCCTTGGTCCTGTGTAATTTCCTACATGAGGGGAACTCACTGAGATGACCTTGTCCATTTTCATACAACTCCGAATTTTAAAGTTTCCTTATCCTGAACTGAAATCTGCTTTCCAATTACAGTCATGTGTCACTTACTAACAGGGATATGTTCTGAGAAATGCATCCTTAGGCAATTTCATTGTTGTGCAAATATTACAGAGTATACTTACACAAATCTAGCAGGCATAGCCTACCACACAGCCAGACTCTATGGTATAGCCTATTGCTTCTAGGTTATACACCTGTACAGCATGTTGCTGTACTGACTACTGTAGGCAGCTATAACACGATAGTATTTGTATATCTAAATCTATTACAACATGGAAAAAAGTACACTAAAAATACTAAAAGTATGGCATAAAGGATAAAACATGGTAGAGCTGTATAGGGCATTTACCCTGAATGGCGCTTACAGGACTGGAGGTTGCTTTGGGTGAATCAGTGAGTGAGTGGTGAGTGAATGTGAGGACGTAGGACATTACTGACACTGCTGCAGACTTCATAAACACTGTACAATTAAGCTACACTAAATGTATAAAAAATTCTTTATCAATAATAAATTAGCATAGATGGACAGCTTCTCTTGAGCTATGGTTGGCTCCTTCTGACAATTTTTCTGCTTTCCCTAGAGCCACACATTTTGTAACTCTTTTGCTTGATAAACTTTTTAAAACTTTTTGGGTCTTTTGTAATAACAGCTGAAAACACAAACAAACAGTACCACTGTACAAAAATATTTTCTTTATATCCTTATCCTATAAGCTTTTAAAAAATTAAAAAAAATTTTAAACTGTTTTTGTTAAAAATCAAGACACAAACACACACACTAGCCTACGCCTATGCCTAGGGTCAACATTATCAACATCATCATCTTCCACCTCAACATCTTATCCCACTGGAAGTTCTTAAGGGGCAGTAACACGCATAGAGCTGTCATCTTTTATGGTAACAATGCCTTCTTCTAGAGTACCTCCTGAAGGACCTGAGGCTGGTTTACAGTTAACCATTATTTTTTAAATAATTAGAAGGAGTGCAGTCTAAAATAATGATAACAAGTATAGTAAATACATGAAACAGTAACATAGTAGTTTAGTGTCATTATCAAGTAGTGTGTCCTGTACATAACTGTATGTGCCATACTTTTATATGACTGGCAGCACAGTAGGTTTGTTTAAACCAGCATCACAATGAACATGTGAATAATGCATTGCACTGTGATGTTATGACAGCTACATCATTAAGCAATAGGAATTTTTTAGCTGCCTTATAATTTTATGGGACCACCTTCATATACATAGCTTACCATTGACTGAAATGTTATGTGCATGTGATTGTACTTCCAAACTGCAAGCAACGTGGTAAAAGGGCTTTGGGGTTCTATAGCTCAAGCGCTGCCCTTACATATGGGTGATCCTAACTAGTTACTCTGCTATATTGAGCCCAAATTTCTCATTTGTAAAACTGGCATTGTAACAACACTTGTCTTATAACTTGTAACAAATTAATGATAATCTTTACATAGAAGACTCTCAGTGGAGGGTTGCTTATTATTATTACATCCATTGATCTTATACTTTTAGAAGCACACAAAATAAATCAAAATACTTGTTTTATAAAATAACTCTATGTTCTTCCATCAAAAACCCCTCTTGCCTCAAATAAAATTTTTCCATCCTAGCTACTGTTCAGAAATATACACTAGCAAGTGATATCAATTTCAACCCCATCTGCTATTTCAAGGCAGAAAACAAGGTCACTTAGATTTGAACGTTGCATTGTAACAAATATACTCTGGGCAGTTAATAAAATTTATTTTTGCTGATTATAAGCGACAACCTTCTAACAACTTCACTACTGACTTGTTTTAAGGTAGGAATGGCAAAGTAATGTAGGGGAATTCTAAAAATTAAATACTTTTAATTCAAAAACTCTTATACCAGAGAAACACAAAACATAGTTCCAATTTATCCATCTTAAGATTCAGGACGCAAGACTCATTTTGGCTTCACTTAGGTCTCAAGCTGTTATTACATTTTCAGATTTTCCCAAGGACATTGAGATGTGGTTCCAAAAAGGTTTTAGAGATCTGGAGATTAAATGTTTCATTTTAATGACTGTGAAACTTTCTTCTCCTATAACTTATTACACCCAGACATGGGGCTCTGAAGTGTTCTCTGCAACTTTCCAGGAGGATGTTGACTCACAAAGTCCTTATATAACTTAGATTGTAACTGGTGATTTCTTAAGAAGCCAGAACAAATGACACAGAAAGGAACTTTTGGAACTCATCAAACTCAAAGGGGAAAATGGACATCTTCTCTAAAAGCACAACATGCAAGCCACTTGAGTGGATTATTTAGAAAATTCAAAGGAAATTGCCCCATGGCATCATAAGAGGTTTAAGTAATGAAACAAGATAACCATGTTTTCTGCCAATATTTTCAGTGCTGTTCATAGACATATAGTGTGAGCCACATCATTTAAAATTTCCTAGTAATGACAATAAGAAAGCAAAAAGAAATAGGTTGCATTAATTTTAATAATATATTTTACTTAACTTGATATATCCAAAATGCTACCATTTCATCATGCAATCAATATACAATTTATTAATTTTATATTTTATGTTATTTTTGGTACTAAGACTTTGAAATCAATGTAATTTTACACTTAGAACACTTATTCATTTGCACTAGACACATTTCTTTTTTAAATTTTATTTTATTATAAATTGATAATAATGTCATGTATTTATGGGATACAAAGTAATATTATGATTTGTGAATACAATGTGGAATAATTAAATCAAGCTAACTAGACATATTCATCACCTCAAATATATATCTTTTTTTTGTGGTGAGAACATTTGGAATTTACTCTTTTACCAATTTTGAAATGTACAATACACTGTTATTAACTATCTTCATGACACAGTGCAATAAATTTAATAAAACCAATTATTTCTCCTGTCTGAGATTTTGTACACTTTGACTGTCATCTCCCCATTGTCCCCAACCCCCTGACTCTGTAACCACCATTCCACTTTCTGCTTCTATGAGTTCAATCGTTTTAGAGTCCACAAGACTCTAAATAAGTGAGAACATGAGACATTTGTCTTTCTGTGCATGGCTTATTTCATTTAGCAGAATGTTCTCCAATTCCATCGATTTTGTCACAAATGACATTTCCTTCCTTTTTAAAGGCTGAATAGTATTCAATTATGTATATATATAATATATAACATTTTAAAAATCCACTCATCTGTTAATTGATACTTAGGTTAATTTCATAACTTAGCTATTGTGAATAGTGCTGCAGTGAACATGGAAGTGCAGACATCTCTTTGACAAACTGATTTCAAACCTTTTGGGTAAATACCCAGAAGTAGGATGACTAGGTCATATGGTAATTCTGTGTTTAGTTTTTCGAGGAAACTCCACTTAGTTTTCATAATGGCTGTGCTAATTTACATCCCCACTAACAGTGTACAAGCGTTTCCTTTTCTCCACATCCTCACCGACACTTATCTTCCATCTTTTTGATAATAGCCAGTCTGACAGGTGTTAGATGATATCTCATTTCTCATTGTGATCTTAATTTGCATTTTCCTGAAGATTAGAGGTGCTGATCATTTTTTTTCCATATATCTGTTGGTCATTTGTATGTCTTCTTTTAAGAAACCCTATTCAGGTTCCTTGCTTATTTTTATTTTTATTTTTATTTTTGAGATGGAGTCTCCCTCTGTCCCCAGGCTGGAGTGCTGTGGTGCGATCTCGGCCCATTGCAACCTGTGCCTCCCGTGTTCAAGCGATTCTCCTGCCTCAGCCTCCCGAGTAGCTGGGATTACAGTAGCTGGGATTACAGGCACCTGCCACCATGCTCAGCAAATTTTTGTATTTTTAGTAGAGATGGAGTTTCACCATGTTGGCCAGGATGGTCTCGGTCTCCTGACCTCATGATCCTCCCGCCTTGGCCTCCCAAAGTGCTGGGATTACAGGCATGAGCCACTGCACCTGGCCACCTATTTTTAAATTGATTTATTTATTTTGTTCCTGTTGAATTGAATTCCTTACATTTTTTGGACATTAACCCCTTATTGGATGTACGGGTTGCAAATATTTTCTCCCAATACACAGGTTGTCTCTTAACACTGTTGTTTCCTTTGCTGTGAAAAAGCTTCTTAGTTTGTTTTACTCCCATTTGCCTACTTTTGCTTTTGCTATCTGTGTTTTTGGGCTTATATGCAAAAGATCATTGCCTGGACGAATGTCATGTAGTTTCTCCCCTATATTTTCTTCTAGTAGTTTTACAGTTTCTGGTTTTATGTTTATGTCTTTACTCCATTTTGAGTTGGTTTTCGTATATGGTATGAGATAAGGGTCCAGTTTCATTCTTCTGCATGTGGATATACAGTTTTCCCAACACCGTATATTGAAGAGACTATTCTCTTTCCATTGTATGTTTTTGGTAACTTTGTTGAAAAGCAGTTTACCGTCCATTCATGGTTTCATTTCTGGGCTCTCTATTCTGTTCCATTGGTCAATGGCATCGATATATTTCAAATGTTTGATAGTCATATGTGGCTAGTGGATTCTGTGTTGGACAGTGTAGTTTTAGAACATAAAAATTATACAAATTTTAAAAAGTGCTTCATAGGAAGTGTTTTGGAATACAAACTATATAACTAATGGGTAAAATATTTAAATTCTTTACCAGAAACTCTTGGGTCATTTTATTTTGTTTTTGAGAGTTATGTTGGCTAACAATTTTTAGAAATCAATTACAATTGGCCAGGTAATGTGATAAATGTTTTAATGGTATTATTCCACTTAATTCTCAATAATCTTATATGGGTAATAAGGTAGCCAGCCTCCAGGAGGGCCTGCAGTGACCTATGTCTGCTTGCATTCACACCCTTGTATAGTATTCTCCTACACTGAACAACCAGGGTTGTTCTGTGAGATCAGCAGAATTCTGCAGAAATGACACTATGTCACTTCTGAGATTAGGTTATACATGTCACTGTTGCTTCCACCTTGGCTGGTCTCTCTTTCTCTCTTTCTCAGATCATTTTCTCTGGGGGAAGCCAACTGCCATGTCATAGAGTAGCCATATGGAGAGACCCATATAGCAAGAAATGTGGGGCTCATGCCAGTAGCCACTATGAGTAAGCTCGGAAGTGGGGTCCTCTAGCTCAATCAAGCCTTAAAATGACAGCAATCTCATGGAGTCACATGAGATTATGACTGAGCCATAACCAACCAGCTAAAGCCATTCCCAACTCAGACTCACATGAGACAAACATTTACTATTTTTAGTTGCTGTTTGGGGGTAATTATTACACAGCAATATATAATAATACAAGTTAAGTACAATTATTATATCCATTTTACAAATGAAGAAATGGGGCCACAGAGAGGGTAAGGAATTTTCCCACAGCTACCAAAGGTCAGATGTGGGATTTGAAGCCAGAGCTCTCTGACTCCAGAAATTTAATTTTTAGCCTTTTCTAAGGGTTTAATTTAAAAGCTGCTCCCCAAACAATTCTATTGTTTTTATGTTTATGTTAAAACTCATGGGGAAAAGTCTGCATACCCTCTAAACTGATAACAATGGATATATTTTGGGTTTTGGGGGATGGGAACCTAGATTGTGTGTGCACGTGGGGATTAGTTGGGTGGGCTATCAAAGATACCTTTTAACTTTATCTATAATCTTTTCATTTCTGACAAGGAGAAGATATTCTATGTTGCATGTATATTTAAAATTTTTTTAAAAAGAAAAAAAAGATGGCTATAAAACAACATGGATGAACCTGGAGGACGTTATTCTAAGTAAAAAAAGCCACACACAGAAAGAGATAATGGATGATCTCACTTAAATCTGGAAATTTAAAAAGTCAAACACACAGAAACAGAGAGTAGAATAGTGGTTGCTATGGGCTAGGGGTGGGGAAAATAGGGAGATATTGATCAAAGGGTACAAATTTTCAACTAGAAGATGAACAAGATCTGGGGATCTAATGTGGAGCATGGGTTGTGATGGATCTGTGAATTAGTTTGATTATGATAATCTTTACACAACACATATATCAAGTCATCACATTATATACCTTGAATATATACAGTCTTGTCAATTAAATATTTTAAAGCAAAAAACCAGAAAAATGCAACTATCAACTCAAAGAATAGGTGACATGAACTTAGGTTTTGGCCATCTGATGTTTAAATAATTATTTGAAAACATAAAAAAGATCAATGAGCCCAATACTAACTAAAATCATTCTTTTCATAAGGGATAATATATTGACACCCCTCAAAAGAAATAGGCTTGGGATTGATTCAATTAAATTCAGTTGAGTGTCTACTGTTTGCTGGGGACTCAGTAATAAATGAGAGAGGTGCTGTCCTTTGGAATTTATGTTCTATTGCAGAGGAGATGAAAATAAGCAAATAAAAACATTGAGAAAAATTGTCAGTGCTATGCACAAAATGACAAGAGAGTGATGTGATGAGAAAATGTCATTTTAGACTTTGGACTTGGTGGCCAGAGAAAGCCTCTCTTGAAGATGTCACATTTAAGCTGAAATGTGAATGTTAAGAAGGATTTGGCCATGTAATGAACAAGATTAAAAGCACTCGAGCATTCCAAGTAGATGGAATAGCCAGTACAAAGGCCCTATGGTAAGATAGCCTGGCATGTTACAGGAACAGAATGGAGGGTGGTGTGGGTGAGGAGTGCACAGTATAAGAACAGATTTGTAAGTTAGGGTGAAGATCTATACCCCTATTTTAGTGAAGCAGAAAAAAATATTGAGGGCTCATTATAGAGACCTGTCTAAGGCTTGTTCTTTACATATTCTTATTGGCTGCAAATCTTTGTCCTTTGAGGGTGGATTTGATTTCAGGAAATCTCTCTAAATAATTTGAAGCCAAGTCTGGTGAACACAGAGGGTGATGACGCTAGGCAATGCTGTTTTGGAACAAAAATCAGGTGTGACTCTCAGCAACGAGTCAGATTTTCTCATAAACTGACTCTGAGGACAATTCCAAAGTGTTCAGAGCAATGGCAGCACTGTTGGAGCAAGTGTGGGGTCTCCCAGGAGGACCATGTGGAAGGGTAACATTCGCTTGGATTGTAGACTTTCTAGTGTGTTTGTTTACATAAAACCAGCCTCATTAGTTTATAGTCACACCTCTTAGACATGCCCTGACCAGTCCCAGCACAAACACGAACCCCTTACTACTGCAGAAATGAGTGGTGCATCCTGACAAGACTGCCAAAATTGTAACACTGGTGTCTGCACCATACTCAAATGACAGCAATTCTGTAATTGCATTTTATGAAGTAACTGGACATAACAAATTCTGAGTGACACTTTCTAGTTCCACAGGCAGCATCTGAGAGAAAGTTAGAGGGAGGCATTCACCAAGAAATGCAGAGGGAGAGGAGAGGGACTAGAGAGAAGGAGAATGTAGCTAAGGGAAAGGGCAGAAAGACTGAAACAGAGAGGTATTCCACCATTCTTACTGGTCTGTGTAATTAAATAGTGTAAAAATAAAAACAACTAGGCTACATCTACAACCAAATTCTGTAACAATGTCTGGAAAACAATAACAGCATTATTAACAACAAAAGGTGCCCCAAAGTTTAAGTTACTAGAAGACTTGAAGGTTTTTTTCCCTACATTCTGTGTATGCATGTGTGTGTGTCTGTGTCGATGATACACATAGTGACTGTGTATGTGCACACTAAGACTTGACATCTGTGACTCCCAGTAGCATAAGACAAGGCTGTCACAAAGGCTAAAATTTCAACTGTAATTTTCTGAGCATCTACTATGTACTAGGTACTGGAGTCAAAGAATGAAATAAAATCTCTGTGAGTGACCAGATTTGTACACAATAGGCAAAAGAGCTGGTTTCTTTATGATTACTATCTATGGGGTCTTAATGGCCATCTCAGAAAGGCAAGACTCCCATCGATGATTCAGCAAACTCCTCCTGGAGGCTGTTGGTTTGAGGGTGGGGGCAGAATACGAGTTAGTCAGAAAAAGGGAGGGGTTTATGACTGGGGGCTTTTATATACAGAGACAACAAGTCTTTCTTTGATAGCAGTTGTTCAATTGAACATGAGTCATAGCGACTGGGATCCTAAGTGTATGAAACAGTCCATGGCATACCCATGGGTGTCCTGTGGTGCCTCTATACATTGGCTTTCCTAGTTGCAGTCCTTTCAGATTCAGTGGTTGTTTTCCTAAGCTCAGCACATCAGTCTGCAAGAAAGTACTTGGGACTCTACTTCAATAATGGCTGATTGTTTTTCTGCAAGGAAAGAATATTATTTTGTGCTGTTTGCAAAAAGGTAGGAGGAACAGAAAAAAGTCATTGAATAAAGATAGTAGATTCGTCTAATGAGTAGGCTGGGGTTCTGTATATATTTAACTTGAGAGCAGTGTACAAGTTTAGATGGCTGCTTCTGGGATTTTTCTATGAGTAAGGAAACACAGATGGTTGAGTTTCAAGCTATGCCTATAAAGAACACATCCATGTGGCTCTGGCATCGAGGGGTTCAAGATAGAAGACAGGCCTGACCAATGGTTTGGGAGTTAGTTAAGTCCCTAAACCCTGTGTGTCACGGTGATTCCTGTTAAGAAATGGAGAAAACTACAGAGGATGTTCTTCTGAATTGTGTGAGGATACTTGGTTGGCATAGTGAAAAGAATACTGAGCTAGTTTTCAGAAGAGAATACACAGAGAAAGAGAGGAAAGAAAATTAACCTTGTTAGAAACCCTGGAGTCTGCACTCTGCTTTGAAATATGTAACTGTCATTAGAAGAGGAGCAGATGGAGAGCCAAAATAGGGAGGAATTGAGCATCTAATGTGTAACAGTGAGCATGCCAAAGCTTTCTCACAAACACCAAGGCAATTAATACAGATCTGGGTTCAAATCCTGACTGCACCACCTATTAACTTTGTTGTGTTGGGATAACTATTTGACCTTTAAAATTCCGATTTCTTTATTGATAAAGATGAAGAAAACAACGTCTCCCTCACAAGCCAGTTGTGAGGATCAAGGGAGATGATGTAGACAAAACCATTTTTGTAGGTGTAAAACACTCTAAGAACTTCAGACCTCATCATTAATTTTCCTCTCTTATATATCCTGCCTCTTTAGCTTCTGGGGAACAGTTTACGGCAGGTGTTTGCTTATCTGGTTCTGGCTGGCAGACTGGTTTTCCTCTTGGGCCTGCTCAAACTCACGTACAGAAGCATTCTGCTTCTTTTGTACTTGATATATAAAGTGAATTAAAAATGCCTGAAAACACTATGTTTTTCTATCCTGCCTCTCTCCAACACGACTGACACCTTAGTGCGCAGAACAGAACAAAGAAATACATCATATGACTTTAGCAAACAGTAGAAAGGGAGAGATGCAGGGGCCCAGAGGCCACGGCCCTCCATATTGGTTATGTGGAAAGGCAGTGAGTTTGTGTGGAAAGATTCCAGGTGTTGGCATCCTACAGATCCGGGCCTGAGTCCCTGGCATCCTTATTCATTTCCTGGATGTGTGACCTTGGGCCAGTCAGTTAACTTCTCAGAATCACAAGTTCCTCCTCTTAAAATGGAGTTAATAACTTTATCCTGTAGGGTTAGTGTGAAAACCAGAGATGTTGTATGTGGAGACTTCATAGGTACACAACCAATATTGCATTGCCATTTTTACACATGTAAGTCTATATGTGGTCGTATCTCTTTGCCTTCTTAGGTAGCCAAGGTGACTTAGGTGTCATGTTTCCTGGAGGCTGAAACCTGGGTTTATCTCCCACCATTTGTCCTTTACAACTTTGTGATGGTAACATGGCTATCATCCCAGAGAGAATGAGGAGGAAAACCAGGGATCTCTTGAACAAATTTGCTTTTGGTTTAACTAGATATTTAGTACTTGAGTTCTTTTACAGAGGTTTAATTATGCACAGGGGGCTTTGGGAGGTAGGGAGTCTTACTGTTTTCACAGAAAATGCAGAGTTTTTTGTAGTGTCGCAGGTAAGTGAGTAGGACTAATGTTTCATCCAGCCCAGTGCAGGATGGCCATGGCAACATCTGGATGAATGGTCTCCTTGTTCCTGTAGAATGGGGCTCAGTCTGCATTCTCCATGTTCAGACCCTCTGATTCTCTCTCCACCCTTCTGTCACTGGATCTTTGGGACAGACGTTGTTGCAGAATAAACCGGAAGGCAGCAAAGATGCCATTTCAATTTCTTCCATCCTCATTTATCATCCTTCCAAATCCTCCAGTTCCACTAAAAAGGGGCAGCACTTTGACTATAGAGCTCTTTTGAAGAGCTCAAATCCTACTGAATCCAAATCTTCACTGTCTCTGACATGGATATGGTAAGCTTAGCATTTTTATAGTAAGAAATTTTCTGATACAAGGATCTGCTTCTGTACCTAGTCTTTGGGTGGTGGCGATTTACGAAATTTAGGAGCAGAGATGTGACCTCTAATTATATATTTGCTTGCTTCTCTTTCAGCCTTCTGGGTCTCACCACTTGGAAGTAAGTGAATCAGTATTAGTGAAACTAACAGTTTGATGAGTTTACTTTTTTCTTTTAGGAAACATAAAAACAGTGGCTCACAGCCATTGTGGTCAATGGGTCAGAGAGTTTTCACTAAGGGGAATGTGAGTGCCTACTTCATAATGTTGCTGTGAGGATTAAAGGAGTCAATACATGGAAAGTGCTCAGAAAAGTGCCTGGCACAGGGTGAGTGCTGCATGATATTATCCCACCCACTCCTGGGTGGGGTCTGCCATTAGCCCCAGTGCAACTTTCTTCCCCAAGTACTATCAGCTCTACTTCAAAACACATCCAGAAAGAAGCCAGTCACAGAAGACCATATATTATATAATTCTGTTACATGAAATGTCTAGAACAGGCAAATCTATAGAAACAGAAGGTAGGTTCATGGTTGTCAAGAGCTGAGAAGAGTTGGGGAGATTGGGGAGTGATAATAGTCAATGGTATGATGTTTCTTTTCAGGGCAATGAAGCTCTAAAATTGATGGTGGTGATGGCTGCACAACTCTGTGCATATGTTAAAAACCACTGAATTGTATACTTCAAAAGGGTAAATTTTATGGTATGTGAATTGTATCTCAATAAAGCTGTTAAAAATATATCCAGAATTCTGACACTACTCAACATCACTGTGATGTTAGTCCAAGCATCCAGTCTGTCTCCTGCACCACTAAAATGACCTTGTAACTGGTCTTCTCAATTTCACAATTACCTCACCACTGTCTCTTTTCCATAGAGCACTGTGGTGATCTTCTAATGTAAATCAGAATATGTCATTTACCTTCCTAAATTGCTCCACTGCCTTCCCATCGTACTCCACAATTAAAGTTGAACACTGACCATGGTCTCAGGGTCCTGCATAATCTGGTCCCTGTGACTTCTCTCTCAATCATCATTCTCCCTCTTGCTACTTTGCTTTGGACCCACTGACTTTTTTTGTTCCTCCAGTATGTCAGTCTTATTCATGCCTGCCTCAGCATCTTTCTATTTGCCATTCACTCTGCCGAGAATTTGACCCCCACATCTTCTCATAGTTCATTCCTTCATATCTTCTAGAATTCAACTCAAATATCACCACATCAGAGAGGCTTTTCTTGCCCAACCCTATTTATGTATTCATTTTTTAATTGACATATTGTAACTGCCCATATTTATGGGGTACAACTGGATGTTTTCATATACATATATGTTGTATAATCATTAAATTAGGGTATTTAGTGTATCCATAACCTCATGCATTTATCATTTCTTTGTGGTGAGAACATTCAAAAGCCTCTCTTCTAGCTACTTTGTAATATACAATACCTAACTGTTAACCATTCCAACATCACCCTACTGTACAGTAAACACCAGACATTCCTCCTACCTAATTGTCAAAATTAAAAATAGAACTACCATATGATGCAGCAATCCCACTACTGGGTATATATCCAAGGGAAATAAAATCAGTATGTTGAAGAAATATATGCTTCCCCATGTTTATTATGGCACTATTCACAATAGCTAAGGTGTAGAATCAACTTAAGTGTCTGTCAATAGATGAATAGATAAAGAAAATGTTGTATAAGCCAAGCAAAGAAAGATAAACATGGCGTGATCTCACTTACATGTGGAATTTTTTTAAAAAGTTGATATCATAGAAGCAGAAATTACAGTGTTTACCGAAGACTGAGGGGTGGGGATTGTGAGAGATTGGTCAATGGGTATCAACCCTATTTAAAATAGTCCCTTCCCTATCAATCTACAGCCACTCATCCATTTTATTTTCTTCACAGCGTTTATCACTATTTTGAGTTTGTATTTTATCTATTTACTTGCTTATTGGAAGTATTCCCAACAAGCATGTAATTTCTATGAGAATAGGGACTTTTGTCTTGTTCACTGTTACATTCCTAGCACCTAGAACAGTGTCCCACACTCAGTGTTTATTGAATGAATGAATGAATGAATGAATGAAGCCACCGCATTGACTGTGGATACAAAACAGAAACACGCAAATGCTCATTCTTCTATATATATCTCCTATTCTATATCCTCACTTGGAGTATCTCACATATTTTAAAGCTTGCAATAAAATTCTTAGAAGTTCTTTGGGGGTTCCTTTTTAATGCCATTCGGCATATTCTATTTAGAAAGGAACTTGATGCTTAGACCAATAAATGCTGTCACTATTTGCATGAAAGCCCATGAAAACATCCAAAGCCTATCAGAGTCTATGCTTAGTCAACCATTCCTGCTCTGAAAGTCAGCAATGGCTATTTTGGTGGCATAAGGCTGGAATCTGGCTTTAATAGTACATGTGTTTATTCTCAGGTTACTTACAGTGTGGACTTTCTCGGGCCCCTGTCCTCAGAAGAATCCTTGCAATGGGCACATTGTTGGTCATGATGGCAATATCCAGGGGTGTCAAGCCCTCGCTGTTAGGTGTGTTGAGGTCAAGTTCTTCTGGTGTGTACTGATACAGGAGGATCTGCACAGCATCCATGTCCTGCTGTTCGACTGCCTCAAACATGGCTTCATTGCCCTGGAAATTCTAGAGAGGAGCAAAAGTAGATCAGCACAATTTCTTAAACCAGTGTGTCTTTGTAGCTTAGCTCTTTTGAAGTTTAAAGACTGTTTCAGGGACTGCATGTCCACTTATAAGTGGAATAACTACAATTTATCCCAAGGTCTCCAAAGTAAACACTCTGTTAGGCTTCCCCTCCGTCATTTCTAATGGACATTGAATAAGTGCACTGAGAGAATACAGGATAGCCTGGCTGGGCTGTAGATAAGAGCAAACCTCAGCTTTTCTCAAACCAGTCTTCTGAAAAATACTCTAATAGTTCATTTGGCTGGGCATGGTGGCTCACACCTGTAACCCCAGAATTTTGGGAGGCCAAGGTGGGCAGATCACTTGAGGCGAGGAGTTTGAAACCAGCCTAGCCAACATAGTGAAACCCCATCTCTACAAAAAATATAAAAATTAGCCGAGTGTGGTGTTGGGTGCCTGTAATCCCAGCTACTCTGGAGGTTGAGGCAGGAGGATCACCTCCTGCCCAGGGGGCAGAGGTTGCAGTCAGCTGAGATTGCGCCACTGAACTCCAGCCTGCACAACGGAGAGAGACGCTCTTAAAAAAAAAAAAAAAGTAATTAAGAGATGTTCTATGAAGAAAATAGCATGTGGTCAAATCAATTTGATAAACATTAGATTAAACCAAGTGTACCCCATTACTTCCCTGTAGGCTTCCTCAGGGTCTTTAATAATTTTAACATGTATTTTATTGCATTTGCTTTGACTACTCCTGGAATAGTGTTCTACAGAATACAGTTTGAGAAATGCTGGCATAGGTAATGTTAGCACAGGTAGCAGTTATGGCTAGCTTGGAATTGAGAGTACACTTTCTCTGTTTTTCCTCAAACTCACCCCTCCCTCTCCATCCCCAGCCTCTACATTGTCATCTCATGTCTGGACCATGGCAATGACCTGTCTGCTGCTAGTCTTGGTCTCCCCCAGCTCTCACTCTATACTGATACAAGAATAATCTTCCTAAAATATACATGTTACATGTTACTTCCTTATTTCCAAATATCTGCTAGCTCCTGTGGGTTGATAGTTTCTGAGCCCTGAGATGAGGAGTCCAAGTGGTAGTGTTCAGGGAGGGTTTCAATGGCTGGATGGCAAATTGGTTTTGGGCCTCATGGGACCAGAGTTGAATATTTATAGAATACACTTCACTTGTAGAAAAAAATAGCTTAAGAAAATATGGTTCCTTTGAAAAGTTCTTTCCAAGGATTAATAGTAAATAAAAGAGAAGAACTCCGGAATTCTTTTAGGTACATATTTCTTAGCACATGGGAGAAGACCAACACACGTATTATTTACACATCTATCTGGTATCTTCACCAAGAGTTGCTTGGTCTTTAAAAGAGTTGGAATACCACTGGTTTTAACCTGCATAGGGGTCACCTGATTAACATGTGGAAGATCTCCAGTGACCAAATGTTCAGGTGGTCAGGTTTTATTTTTAGTCTCATTAAAAATCAATTCTCCCTATCAAAGGCTGCAGGTCAGCTTTAGCTGAGTACATAACACAAAATTGAAATTTGAGGAAAATACAAAGCTATTATGCAAATGCTTGTTTTGACAATGGGGACCCAGGGAATAAAGCTATTTTGGTATGCAGTTTTCTTTGCTACAAGACAATCTGCTGAATGGTAAAGTGTTTTATCCACAATCTGCTAAACTGAAGAGCCTCTGATGCTTAGGCCCCGATTTAACCACAGCCAAGTCCTCCCAAAAGATGAGTTTGAAATGCGAAAACATATTAGAAAACAAACGAGTTCAAAGTTAAAGTGCCACCCTGTCCACAGTCGTGTATTTGTTTTTGGCTCTTAGTATTCCTAATTTCTCATGTGCCGTATTTACTCTCACTCTTAAGTCATTTCCTCCTCCAAGCTTTTGTTGGCAAACTTTGGCATGCTTCTATCTGGAAAGGCTAGGACTCATTTCTGTTTTAAGAGCAAACAAATGGTGCCATTACTCCCTGCAAAAATCCCCTTGCTGAGCATGTTAATATTATGCTCTCAGCTTTTACTGAGGGCTGTTCTGAGAAACTATTATATGAGAATACCTGTAACATCATGAGTTCCACTATTTACGCCATTCTCTATTACATAACTCACTATGACATCTACAAGGTCCAGAGGACTGAGCAACAGGTGAATATTCATTCCTCCTGATGGACTGAGACATTTTTAGTTATCAACAGATGGGATGCTATAACCAATTGTGTTTCTTTTTCTGCTTTGACTTTCTGGGAAGTCAGAGATGAATGTAATGATAAATTTCAGGTACAGGTACTATATTTGCCTAGAGTTTTTGATATATCTATTTTTATTCTTATACCCAATATTTTCTTTTCCTAGTTGTTTTTTTTTATATTTTTCCCTTACTTTCCTTCCTTCCTCCTCTCTCTTTGTCTATCATATAATACATGTGCATTCTTTGGATTCTATTTTGAATGCCTTTGGAAAGAATGTGTGGTATACATCAGAAATAAGTAATAATATCATTATTTGAATGAACACTGGAACTCTCAGAAAGCCCATTTAACCTGAGACTTCATAGTTGTCAAGCTGCTTTTTTTTTTGAGGTTTATTTATTTTTTGGTGTAGTGGTGAAATAAAAATTAAGAGAGAAGAAAAAGAAACAAAAAGAAAGAGAAACAGCTCACAATCACTCAGACTTTGTCTAACAACATAAATATGTACAGTTACTACCCTACCTGAATCTATTCCAGCATTTATAAAATTGCAAGCATCAACTTCTGAAGTAAACATGAATCATCTTAGAATATCCTTAAACCCAAACATAAATGAATAAATCAAACTGACACAAGAATAAAAACAGTTTTGTTACCACCGAGGTCTTCCTGAGACTCAGCCGATCAGTTCTTGTCCTAAAATAGGCCTCATCGAAGGAAGAGTGGCTCCCTTTCAGTTTCTCAGAGAGGTTCCTGTACAGGCGTTTGGCTGCGTTGGGAGATGAGGGAGCACTATGTTTTTTTGACTGACAGAGATGTAAATTTTGCATTTGTTGCGTCATTTTCACACGACAATTCCTAAGAAGAGGAAAGTCCGATGTTATATCTTTTACACCACAAATTATAAGTTGACATATGATTTTATCATCTCCAGTCAGTATCTGGAATCCAAATACAATATTAGAGCTGGTAGGGACCTTAGAGATTATCAGACCCAGCTTTTTTTATGTTTTAAATGAGAAAGCTGAAACCCAGGGAAAGGAAGCAGCTTACTCATGGCCACAGAGCTAATTGGTGGCAGGAATGAAACGACAACCTCCATTTACTATATAAACATATTCATTCACATACAGACATATATATGATTGAACCTCGACTCAAGTCTTTACTTCTCTATCCCAAGTGAGGAAGTGTCTCTCTGTAACCTAGGGGGTCTGTTCAATTCCTCTTGGGTATATATAATTGGGACTTTTCTACTTACATCCACCTAGATGTTGGCTTCTGTTGGGTATATAAGAAAGTGAGGCTTTGTCTCAGATGGACAGACACAAGTTACCTTCTGCATAGCCCCAATCTCTTGAGGTAGCAGTTAACTTGCATCTGTCCTCTGTCCATCTGAGGCTTGGTGAACTATCCCAGTATGCATAAATTTGGGGAATTTGTACCCATAGGTCCATCCCTGCTTACCCCAGATACCCTGGCTGGGGCCCACCAAGGCACTCACTACTGGCATTCTTCAATTAGTACTTGACCATTGTTTCAGAAATCTCTAACGAGGTCCTCACCAATGTCACAACTGAAGTCAGTTTCCAGATCAGCCATGCCATTCAAAAGCCATCCACAATAACTGTGGGTATTGCTCTTGAAATTTTGATGCTATCAAGACTCTGGCTGCCTGGCATGTGTATATGTATTGGATGAACAAAGGAATGAGAGAAATAACTAGCCAAGGTAATTATGTGCAAAGTGTCTCCCTGGTAGAGCCTCTGATGCACTGGGCCCAGCGTTCTCTGGAGCATGTCACTGCCTTCTCACCACTTCCCCTCAGATGTTTTAAATTTAATTTTTAAAATTGGTATATAATAAATATACACATTTTGGGGTATATGTGATAATTTAGTACATTTATATAATTTATAAAGATCAAATCAGTGTAGTTGGGATTCCCATCACGTTAAATATTTAGGAGCCTAGTATCTAGGAAGACTCATAGTAGCTAATATTTTTGTTGTTGTAGGCTTTCAATAGATAATTTAGAATAAATGAGTGCACATATGAGAGTCTATTATATTTAATATACTAGAGCACTACCCAGAAGTTAATTTCATCCTCATGCCTTTGAACTGGGTTCCATGTCTGCTAGCACAAACTAACTTTGATTCGCCTTGACTTTAAGAAATGGAGATTCATCTTCATTATATTGTTAAATGTCCTCAGGCTTTTTTTTTTTCCAGCTTTTAAGTTCGTGGCTACATGTGCAGGATGTGTAGGTTTGTTACATAGGTAAATGTGTGCTATGGTGGTTTGCTGCACAGATTATCCGTTTACCTAGGTATTAAGCCCAGCATCCATTAGCTATTCTTCCTGATGCTCTCCCTCTTCCCAGCCCGCACTCACTGACAGGACCCAGTATGTGTTGTTCCTCGCCATGTGTCCATGTGTTCTCATCATCCAGCTCCTACTTATAAGTGAGAACGTGTAATATTTGATTTTCTGTTCCTGCATTAGTTTGCTGAGGCTAATGGCTTCCAGCTTCATCCATGTCCCTACAAAGAACATGATCTCATTTCTTTTTATGGCTACATAGTATTCCATGGTGTATATATACCATATGTTCTTTATTCAGTCTATCATTGATGGGCATTTAGGTTGATTCTGTGTCTTTGCTGTTGTGAATAGTGCTGCAGTGAATATATGCATGCATGTATCTTTATAATAGAATGGTTTATATTCCTTTGGGTGTATGCCCAGTATTGGGATTGTATTTCTGCCTCTAGGTATTTGAGGAATCACCATACTGTCTTCCACAATCATTGAACTAATTTACACTCCCACCAATACTGTAAAAGTGTTTTGTTTTCTCCACAATCTGGCCAGAATCTGTTGTTTTTTGACTTTTTAGTAATAGGCATTCTGACTGGTGTGAGATGGTAACTCATTGTGGATTTTATCTAATGATCAGTGATGTTGAGCTTTTTTGCATGTTTATTGGCCACATGTATATCTTTTGAGAAGTGTCTGTTCATGTCTTTTGCCCACTTTTTAATGGGGTTGTTGTTTTTTCTTATAAATTTGTTCAAGTTCCTTGTAGATGCTGGATATCAGACCTTTTCAAATGCGTGGTTTGCAAATATTTTGCCCATTCTGTAGGTTGTCTGTTCCCTCTGATGATAGTTTCTTTTGCTGAGGCACCTTTTAAGTTTTGTCTGCAACTTTCTTCAAAACAAAAAGACTTCCTAGATCCTTTTAAGGTGGTCCTACTTAGTCAATCTTAGTAATGTCCAGGAGGCCCTACCCAGTTTTAGCTAAATGGACATATTTACATTTGGAAGGATGATGCCAAGCATTGTCTGTAATGTGTATGTATGTGTATGTTTTTATAAATCTTTAATAACATTCTCAAAAGTAGAAATGGAAAGGGAGGTTATCTGGCATCTTTTTTCTTCCATCTACAAATCCTTTACCTTTGATTCAATAGCAAATAGGAGGTTTTCTCTAACTTATTTTTTTCCATTCTCATAAAAATTTCAGATTCATATGCAAGCTGGCTCACATGGGGATTGCCTTAACCTCTTTCTTTCTGCCTTCTGTCTCTAGCTTTTTCCTTCAGCATTAATGCCCCAGTTCAAGCCATCTGTTTTCTCTACATCATTATTGTTCCCAAAATAACTCTACATTCTTTTGTATCTCCCACAATGCCCAGAAGTCCAGTAAATAAATTCTTGTCTATTGATCAAATTCCAGCTACTTGCCCTCTAACTGATGACACCTACCCACATGGCCCCTTTTGTCTTTGCTCATCTCCCATCTGTTCCCTTCAGTCAACATAGGTTGACTTTCTCTGTCTCTCTGACTTCCTTCTCATCCTCCCCCAGCTGTCCCTTCCTTCCAGGCTATTCTGTAGCCGTTTCCACTCTTCTAGCTTTCATCTATCATTATGTTTTCTTTTTCTCCTCTATATTTAAAATTTTGTCAGATAAGATGGTAAGAAAGACAACTTTCTGTTATTTGTTATTACAAATATGCATGACCCTCCCAACTAATTGTGCTCTTAAATTTTTACCCTTATGGAAAGAGACAAGCATTTGAGAATCAGTGTAGCTTTAGTTTTGGGATTTGGTAGACCCAATTGGAATCTTGATATTGTTACCTATAATCTGTGTGACTTTGGGAATCTCATTTCAATTCTATGAATTCATGTCATCATTATCAAAAGACACTTATCAAAACTCTTTTTTTCTAGAATTGTGAAGATTAATCAACAAATGAAAGGTACCTATTCTGTTTTGTGCATAGTATCCACTCAATAAATAGTAGAAATTATCACCTTAAGTCTTTTTCTCAAAATAGAGACACCAAAGTATATCATAACAATTTAAATAGTTTTATTGCTTGTCTTAAATAATGTCTTGAAACTAATTTTATGTACTCAAGTAGAGACTTCTGTGTGTTTGTTTATAGTAACATATACTAAAACAGATATAGGAAGTGGAAACTTCAAACTATTAGAGGGAAGGGTGGAATAAAGATTAATCTAAAATAATTTAAAAATAAAAAAATAAAAAAACATAATAAATAGAAAATGTAAAATGAAGTCATAAGGTTAATGTCCTAATATTGTCTTTTCATAAATGATAAAATAAACTCAGGGAATTTAAATAAGGTGCCCAAAGTCACAGAGATTGTAGGTAACAGTATCAGAATTTCATTTGGGCCTGCCAAATTCCAGAACCAAAACTATAGGTTGAATATATCTGTGTGCACAATATATTCAAAAGTTTACTTTTCCTAATAAAAGACAAAGACTCTCCAAGCAGAATTCCTAAAAAGCCATTTACAAATGGTACACCTAAAAAAAATTTCACATAAAGATTCAAAATTAAAAAAAAAATAGTACGTCAATGGGAATGGCAGAGAAAGGACTTCCAAAAGTCCCTTTCTCCATAACAGCAAAGAGAACCATAGCAAAAATGGCTAAAATTAACTTTTTCAGGATCTGGGATATTAACCAAAGGCTTGCAGCAATCCAGGATGTCTTTATTCAAGAAAAATGGCTAAATTTAGTAAGAACAGCAAGCTTTGTGGCATTTTAACTTGCCCTATTCCCATCTTCTCCAGCTCTGTGGCAGTCTTGGAAACCAACAGTTTACATTCATGGTAAAAGCAGTGGCCTGTCCCATCAAGTTACCATTGACTTTCTTGGCAGAATTAGAAAAAAATAATTTAAATTTCATCTAGAACCAAAAAAGAGCCCGTATAGCCAAGACAATCCTAAGCAAAAAGAACAAAGCTGGCGGCATCATGCTGTCTGACTTCAAACTATACTACAAGGCTATAGTAACCAAAACAGCATGGTACTGGTACCAAAACAGAGATATAGACCAACGGAACAGAACAGAGACCTCAGAAGTAACACCACACATTTACAACCATCTGATCTTCAACAAACCTGACAAAAACAAGCAATGTGGAAAGGATTCCCTATTTAATAAATAGTGCTGGGAAAACTGGCTAGCCATATGCAGAAAACAGAAACTGAACCCCTTCATCACATCTTATACAAAAATTAACTCAAGATGGATTAAAAACTTAAATGTGAAACCCAAAACCATAAAAACCCTAGAAGAAAACCTAGGCAATACCATTCAGGACATAGGCATGGGCAAAGACTTCATGACTAAAACATGAAAAGCAATTGCAAAAAAAGCCAAAATTGACAAATGGGAGCTAATCAAACTAAAGAGCTTCCGCACAGCAAAAGAAACTATCATCAGAGTGAAGAGGCAACCTAGAGGTTGGGAGAAAACTTTTGCAATCTGCCCCTCTGACAAAGGTCTAATATCCAGAATCTACAAGGTACTTAAATAAATTTACAAGAAAAAAACAACCCCATCAAAAAGTAGGCAAAGATATGAACAGACACTTCTCAAAAGAAGACATTTATGTGGCCAACAAACATATGAAAAAAAGATTATCATCACTGGTCATTAGAGAAATGCAAATCAAAACCACAATGACATACCATCTCATGCCATTTAGGATGACAATTATTAGAGAGTCCTGAAACAACAGATGCTGGAGAGGATGTGGAGAAACAGGAATGCTTTTACACTGTTGGTGGGAGTGTAAATTAGTTCAACTGTTGTGAAAGACAGTGTGGTGATTCCTCAAGGATCTAGAACCAGAAATATCATTTGACCCAGTGATCCCATTACTGGATATATACCCAAAGGATTATAAATCATTCTACTATAAAGACACATGCACATGTATGTTTATAGTAGCACTGTTTACAATAGCAAAGACTTGGAACCAACCCAAATGCCCATCAATGATAGGCTGGATAAAGAAAATGTGGCACATATACACCATGGAATACTACGCAGCCATAAAACAGAATGAGCTCATGTCCTTTGCAGGGACATGGATGAAGCTGTAAGCCATCATTCTCAGCAAACTGTCACAGGAACATATAACCAAACACTGCATGTTCTCACTCATAAGTGGGGTTGAACAATGAGAACACATGGGCACAGGGAGAGAAGCATCACACACTGGGGTCTGTCGGTGGGTGTGGCCAAGGGGAGGGAGAGCATTAGGACAAATACCTAATACATGCGGGGCTTAAAACCTAGATGATGAGTTGATAGGTGCAGCAAACCACCAGGGCACATGTATACCTATGTAACAAACTTGCACATTCTGCACATGTATCCCAGAACACAAAGTAAAATTAAAAAACACGCAAACAAACAAACAAAAAAACAGTAGCCTGTCAGCCACTGGAAGGGGGCAGAATGGGGTTGTAGCTCCTTTAAAATGCCTCTTCCAGAGAACTGTCATTATTTCATCTGTCTGGGGGTTTTCTAGAAAATCCTACTCACAAGGCTTATCTTCATTCGCTCTGACTTAGAGCTCATGAAGGGCTAATAGCCTTTTTTTCTGTTGTTTTTTTTTCTTTCCAAAAACAAAGATTAGTAATTGTTTAACAGTAGTTTAACTATGTTAGATGGAGAATTAGATGTCCACAGAGAGCTTTGAAAAGCTCTGTCATTTTCCTGAGAATCTAACAGACTACAGGGCAGGGAGCATGCTCAGAAAAGACCTGAGAAGATCCTAAAATCTCATCTCTGTCTGACTTCATGGCTCTGCAAGCAGGAAGTGAAGACTAAGGTGGTATTTTCAGCTGCCTGGCTGAGTATTGAAGGTGTGCCCCAACACACACATGCAGAGCTCTTCAGCAAAAACTAGGATGCTTATCAGTTCTAGGCATTTAAGGAAATCTCTGTTCAATCATTAACTCACCACTAAGTTAACCAAGTAGCAACTTCAGTGGCCACATATAACAAAAAAATATAGATTTTACAAATTTAATTCTGAAAACTCATTAAACAACAATGAACACTGGGGAGAAGGGGTAATATAGTTTCCAGAGTTGCTACATCATTAATAAAATGCTTAGTTTTCAAGAAAACTATGTATGAGGCATGTACAGAAACAGAAACTATGTCCCATACGAGGAAATAAAGCAGTCAATAGAAATGATTCCTGCAGAAGCCCAAATATTGGGCTTACTACACAAAGACCTTTATATTAGCTATTTTAAATATGTTCAAAGAGCTAAACCATACCCAAAGAAATAAAGAAAATTCTGAGAATGATGTCTTGCCAAATAGAAAATATAATAAAGAGATAGAAATTATGAAGAAAATCAAGAACTAAATAGAAATTCTAAAATTTAAAAGTACATTAACAAATGAAAAATATACTCAACAGCAGATTTGAGCAGGCAGAGGAAAGAATCAGCAAACATAAAGATAGATCAATCAAGATTATCCAGTATGAGGAGTGAAAAAATATGAAGAAATGTGAAGAGTGCAGAGATCCTTGGAACACTGTCAAGTATACCAATATACAAATAATAGGAGTCCCAGGAGAAGAAGAGAGGTATAGAAAGGCTATTTGAAGAAATAATGGCCAAAATATGCCCCTATTTAACTATGCATCAACAGGCTCAATGAACATTAAGTAGAATAAACTCAAAGAGAGCCACATCTAGATACATCAAAATCAAACCATTAGAAGCCAAAGACATAGAGAGAAAGTTAAAGATAGCAAGAGAGAAAAGACTCATCACATTACAAGGATCCTCAAAAAGATTAACAGCTAATTTTCACCAAAAATCACAGGGGCCAAAAAGAAGTGGTAAAACATAATCAAAGTGATGAACAAAAAAGACTGTCAAGAATTTCTCTACCCAACAAAACTACATTTCAAAAATACAGAGGAAATTAAGATACTGCCAGATAAACAAAAACTTTGATATTATACCTACTGTACAATAAACACAAACACGACACCTTCAGGTTGAAATGAAAGAACACTAGATAGTAATGCAAATCCACATGAAGAAAGATAAATAATTGAGCAATGACACATATAGACTCAAAATAAAGGGATGAGGAAAAGCTACCAAACAAATGGAAAACAGAAAAAAGCAGAATTTGCAATCCTACTATCTGGCAAAACAGACTTTAAACCAACAAAGAACAACAACAAAAACCAAGAAAGACATTACATAATGGTAAAGGGTTCAATTCAGCAAGAATGTCTAACTATCTTAAATATCTTAATATATATGCAACCAACACAGGAGCACTCAGATTCATAAAGCAAGTTCTTAGAGACCTTCAAAGAGACTTAGACTCCCACACAATAACAGTGGGAGACTCTAACACCCCACTGACAGTATAAGACAGATCACCAAGACAGAAAATTAACAAAGATGACCTGAACTCAACACTGAAACAAATGGACCTGATAGATATCTATAGAACTCTCCACCCCAGAACAACAGAATATACACTTTTCTAATCACCACATGGTACTTACTCTAAAATTGATCACATAATTGGAAGTAAAACACTCCTTAGTAAATGCAGAACTGAAATCATATCAAACAATCTCTTGGACCACGTTACAATCAAATTAGAACTCAGGACTAAGAGATTCACTCAAAACCATACAATTACATGGAAATTGAATAATATGCTCCTGAATGGCATTTGGGTAAATAATTAAATTAAGGCAGAAATCAAGAAGTTCTTTGAAACTAATGAGAACAAAAATACAATGTACCAGAATCTCTGGGACACAGCTAAGGCAGTGTTAAGAGGGAAATTTACAGCACTAAGTGCCCCCATTAAGAAGTTAGATCTCAAGTTAACAACCTAACATCACAACAAAAAAACCTAGAGAACCAAGAGCAAACAAATCCCAAAGCTAGCAGAAGACAAGAAATAACCAAAATCAGAGCTGAACTTAAGGAGGTAGAGACATGAAAAACCATTCAAAAGATCAATTAATCAAGGAGCTTTTTCTTTGAAAAAAAAAAAAGATAAACCATTAGCTAGAATAATAAAGAAGAAAAGAGAGAATATTCAAATAAACACATCAGAAATTATAAGGGGGATATTACCACTGACTCCACAGAAATACAAACAACTATCAGAGAATATGATAAACACCTCTATGCACATAAACCAGAAAATCTAGAAGAAATGGATAAATTCCTGGTCACATACACCCTCCCAACACTGAACCAAGAAGAAACTGAATCCCTGAAGAGGCCAATAATGAGTTCTGAAATTGATGCAGTAATAAATAGCCTACCAAGCAAAAAAAGCCCAGGGCCAGATGGAGTCACAGCTGAATTCTACCAGATGTACAAAGAAAAGCTGGTATCGTTCCTACTGAAACGATTCCAAAAAATTGCAAAGGAGGGACTTTTCCCTAACTGATTCTATGAGGCCAGCATCACCCTGATACCAAAACCTGGCAGAGCTATAATAAAAAAAAAAACTTTAGGCCAATGTCCTGGAAGAACATTGATGCAAAAATCCTCAACAAAATACTGGCAAACTAAATCCAGCAGCACATCAAAAAGTATATCCACCATGATGAAATAGGCTTCATCCTTAGGATGCAAAGTTGGTTCAACATATGCAAATCAATAAATGTGATTCATCACATAAAGAGAACTAAAGAAAAAAAGCCACATGATTATCTCAATAGATGAAAAAAAGGTTTCTGATAAAATTCAACATCTCTTCATGTTAACAACTCTCAATAAACTAGGTACTGAAGGAACATACCTCAAAATAATAAGAGCCATGTATGACAAACTCACAGCCAACATCATACTGAATGGGCAAAAGCTGGAAGCATTCCCCTTGAAAACCGGCATAAAACAAGGATGTCCTCTCCCACTACTCCTATTCAACATAGCACTGGAAGTTCTGGACAAGGCAATCAGGCAACAGAAAGAAAGAAAGGGCATTCAAATAGGAAGAGAGGAAGTCAAAACTATCCCTGTTTGCAGATGATATGATCTTATATCTAGAAAATCCCACAGTCTCAGCCCCAAATCTTCTTAAACTGATAAACAACTTTAGCAAAGTCTCAGGATACAAAATCAATGTGCCAAAACTACTAGCATTCCTATATACCAACAACAGTCAAGCCAACAGCCAAAAGAGGAATCTACTCCCATTCACAACTGTCACAAAAAGAATAAAATACCTAGGAATTCTGCTAACTAGGGGGGTGAAAGATCTCTACAAGGAGAACTAAAACCACTGCTCAAATAAATCAGAGATGACACAAACAAATGGAAAAACATTCCATGCTCATGGATAGGAAGAATCAATATCATGAAAATGGCCATACTGCCCAAAGCAATTTATAGATTTAATGCTACTCCTATTAAACTACCATTCACATTCTTCACAGAACTAGCAAAAACTATTTTAAAATTCATATAAAACCAAAAAAAGAGCCCGAATAGTCAAGACAATCCTAAGCAAAAAGAACAAAGCTGGAGGCAGCATGCTACCCAACTTTGAACTATAACACAGGGGTACAGTAAACAAAACAGCATGGTACTGGCACAAGAACAGAGACATAGACCAATGGAAAAGAATAGCAAACCCAGAAATAAGACTGTGCACCTACAACTATCTGATCTTCGACAAAGTTGATAAAGACAATAGGGAAAGGATCCCCTATTCAATAAATGGTGCTGGGATAACTGGCTAGGCATAAGCAGAAGACTGAAACTGGAACCCTTCCTTACATCATATATAAAAATTAACTCAAGATAGATTAAAGACTTAAATGTAAATCCCAAAACTATAAAAAAAACCCTGGAAGACAACCTAGGCTGTGTCATTCAGGACATAGGCATGGGCAAATATTTCATGATGAAGATGCCAAAAGCATTTGCAACAAAAGCAAAAACTGACAAGTGGGATCTAATTAAACTAAAGAGCTTCTGCACAGCAAAAGAAACTATCAACACAGTAAACAGACAACTTACAGAAAAAGAGAAATTTTTTGCAAACTATACATCTGACGAGGTCTAATACCCAGCATCTACAAGGAACTTAAACAAATTTACAAGAAACAAACAACCCCATCAAAAAGTGGGCAAAGGACATGAACAGACACTTTTTCTTCAAAAGAAGACATACATGCAGCCAACAATCATATGAAAAAAGCTCATCATTACTAATCATTAGAGAAATACAAATCAAAACCACAATGAGATACCATCACACACTAGTCAGAATGGCTACTATTAAAAAGTCAAAACATAACAGTTGCTGGCAAGTTTGTGGAGGAAAAGGAACACTTATACACTGTTGGTGGGAGTGTAAATTAGTCCAGCCATTGTGGAAAACAGTGTGGTGATTCCTCAAAGACCTAAAGACAGAAATACCATTTGACTCAGCAATCCCAATACTGTGTATATACCCAAAGGAATATAAACCATTGTATTATAAAGACATACATGCATATGTTCATTGCAGGACTATTCACAGTAGCAAAGACATGGAATCAACCTAAATGTCCATCAATGATAGACTGAATAAGGAATATGTGGTACACATATAACATGGAATACTATGCAGCTATAAAAAGAACAAGATTATGACCTTTGCAGGGACATGGGTGGAGCTGGAGGCCATTATCCTTAGCAAACTAACACAGGAATAGAAAACCAAATATTGCAGGTTGTCACTTATAAGTGAGAGCTAAATGATAACACATGGACACATAGAGGGGAACAAGAGATACTGGGGCCTTTCAGAGGGTGAAGGATAGGAAGAGGGAGAGGATCAGGAAAAACAACTAATGGGTACTAGGCTTAACACCTGGGTGATGAAACAATCTGTACAACAAAACCCCATGACACAAGTTTACCTATATAACAAACCTGCACTGATACCCTGAACTTAAACCAAAGTTAAAAAAGAGAAAGCATCGAGAAGGAAATTATACAGAAAAATATAAAATACAGTATAAATATAAAGAGAGCATAAACTTATCTTTTATTTTTGTATTTTTTCTCCTTTCTGATTTAAATGACAATGAAATGGAAATGAAATAAAGAAAACAATTTAATTTACAATAGCATCAAAAGATTAAAATACTTAGAAATAAATTTAACAAAAGAAGTAAAAAAACTAATTTTCAGAAAATACAAAACACCATTGAAATAAATTAAGAAAAATATAAACAAATAGAAAGACATTCCTTGTTCATGGATTAGAAGCCTTGATATTGCCCACCCAATGGGAGGCACTGGCTGGAAATTGGAGAGTAAGGTAGTGATATTTACCCCTCTTCATCTGTGGGGTATCCCTTTCAATACAACTTATTTCCTCTGCATTACAGAAATTGCTCCTCCTTTTGTCCCTTCAGGCTTTACCATTCCTTACTGGTTTTCACTAACTTGCCCATTCTTTTGTAAGTGTTCTTATTAGTAACCTCCCCTCTGTTCTTCTGTTTGAATGCACTATATGATTCTTGCTGGGATCTTGAATAATACATCATGTAATCTCTATAGCATCCATAAGAGTATCTTGAAATGGATAGCAACGGTACTCTTTGCAACTTTAAACTGAACTGAAAAAAAGAAACCTCAAGTGTTAAATAAATATACGGCAGGTAAAATAAATATAGAGTCCTTTAAAAAGACTGGACAAGGAAACTGTATCTGTTGTGTTAAATCTGGGATATCACTCTTAAGAGAGCGTTCCTTATTAGCCATTTTCACTGAAAAACCCACAGGTTGAAGTCTATCATTACATTTTATTCCATTCTTTAAAATTATACTTTAAGTTCTAGGGTACATGTGCACAATGTACAGGTTTGTTACATAGGTATACATGTGCCATGTTGGTTTGCTGCACCCATTAACTCATCATTTACATTAGGTACTTCTCCTAGTGCTATCCCTCCCCCAGCTCCCCACCCCACTACAGGCCCTGGTGTGTGATGTTCCCCGCCCTGTGTCCAAGTGTTCTCATTGTTCAATTCCCACCTATGAGTGAGAACATGCGCTGTTTGGTTTTCTGTCCTTGTGATAGTTTGCTGAGAATGATGGTTTCCAGCTTCATCCATGTCTCTGCAAAGGACATGAAATCATACTTTTTTATGGCTGCATAGTGTTCCATGTGTATATGTGCCACATTTTCTTAATCCAGTCTATCATTGATGGACATTTGGGTTGGTTCCAAGTCTTTGCTATTGTGAATAGTGCCGCAATAAGCATACGTGTGCACGTGCCTTTATATAGCATGATTTATAATTCTTCGGGCATATACCCAGTAATGGAATCGCTGGGTCAAATGGTATTTCTAGTTCTAGATCCTTGAGGAATCCCCACACTGTCTTCCACAATGGTTGAACTAGTTTACACTCCCACCAATGGTGTAAAAGTGTTCCTATTTCTCCACATCCTCTCCAGCATCTGTTGTTTCCTGATTTTTTAATGATCGCCATTCTAACTGGTGTGAGATGGTATCTCATTGTGGTTTGAATTTGCATTTCTCTGATGACCAGTGATGATGAGCATTTTTTCATGTGTCTGTTGGCTGCATAAATGTCTTCTTTTGAGAAGTGTCTGTCCATATCCTTTGCCCACTTTTTGATGGGGTTGCTTTTTTTCTTGTAAATTTGTTTCAGTTCTTTGGATATTAGCCCTTTGTCAGATGAGTAGATTGCAAAAATTGTCTCCCATTCTGTAAGTTGCCTGTTGACTCTGACGGTAGTTTCTTTTGCCGTGCAGAAGCCCTTTAGTTTAATTAGATCCCATTTGTCAATTTTGGCTTTTGTTGCCATTGCTTTTGGTGTTTTAGTCATGAAGTCCTTGCCTGAGCACCCAGATTGATAAAACAAGTCCTTAGAGACCTACAAAGAGACTTAGACTCCCACACAATAATGATGGGAGACTTTAATACCCCATTGTCAATATTAGACAGATCGACGAGACAGAAGGTTAACAAGGATATCCAGGACTTGAACTCAGCTCTGCAAGAAGTGGACCTAACAGACATCTACAGAACTCTCAACCCCAAATCAACAGAATATACATTCTTCTCAGCACCACATCGCACTTATTCCAAAATTGACCACATAGTTGGAAGTAGAGCACTCCTCAGCAAATGTAAAAGAACAGAAATCACAACAAACTGTCTCTCAGACCACAGTGCAATCAAATTAGAACTCAGGATTAAGAAACTTTCCCAAAACTGCACAACTACATGGGAACAAAACAACCTGCTCCTGAATGACTACTGGGTAAATAACGAAAGGAAGGCAGAAATAAAGATGTTCTTTGAAACCAATGAAACAAAGACACAACATACCAGAATCTCTGGGACACATTTAAAGCAGTGTGTAGAGGGAAATTTATAGCACTAAATGCCCACAAGAGAAAGCAGGAGAGATCTAAAATCGACACCCTAACATCACAATTAAAAGAACTAGAGAAGCAAGAGCAAACAAATTCAAAAGCTAACAGAAGGCAATAAATAACTAAGATCAGAGCAGAACTGAAGGAGATAGAGACACAAAAAACCCTTCAAAAAAATCAATGAATCCAGGAACTGGTTTTTTGAAAAGATCAACAAAATTGATAGACCTCTAGCAAGACTAATAAAGAGGAAAAGAGAGAAGAATCAAATAGATGCAATAAAAAATGATAAAGGGGATATCACCACCGATCCCACAGAAATACAAACTACCATCAGAGAATACTATAAACGCTTCTACACAAATAAACTAGAAAATCTAGAAGAAATGGATAAATTCCTGGCCGCATACACCCTCCCAAGACTAAACCAGGAAGAAGTTGAATCTCTGAATAGACCAATAACAGACTCTGAAATTGAGGCAATAATCAATAGCCTACCAACCAAAAAGAGTCCAGGACCAGATGGATTCCCAGCCGAATTCTACCAGAGGTACAAAGAGGAGCTGGTACCATTCCTTCTGAAACTATTCCAATCAATAGAAAAAGAGGGAATCCTCCTTAACTCATTTTATGATGAAGCCAGCATCATCCTGATACCAAAGCCTGGCAGAGACACAACAAAAAAAGAGAATTTTAGACCAATATCCCTGATGAACATCGATGCGAAAATCCTCAATAAAATACTGGCAAACTGAATCCAGCAGCTCATCAAAAAGCTTATCCATCAAGATCAAGTTGGCTTCATCCCTGGGATGCAAGGCTGGTTCAACATACAAAAATCAATAAACGTAATCCATTACATAAACAGAACCAACGACAAAAACCACATGATTATCTCAAAGATGCAGAAAAGGCCTTTGACAAAATTCAACAGCATTTCATGCTAAAAACTCTCAATAAACTAGGTATTGGTGGAACATATCTCAAAATAATAAGAGCTATTTATGACAAACCCACAGCCAATATCATACTGAATGGGCAGAAACTGGAAGCCCTCCCTTTGAAAACTGGCACAAGACAGGGATGCCCTCTCTCACCACTCCTATTCAACATAGTGTTGGAAGTTCTGGCCAGGGCAATCAGGCAAGAGAAAGAAATAAAGGGTATTCAATTAGGAAAAGAGGAAATCAAATTGTCCCTGTTTGCAGATGACATGATTGTATATTTAGAAAACCCCATCATCTCAGCCCAAAATCTCCTTAAGCTGATAAGCAACTTCAGCAAAGTCTCGGGATACAAAATCAATGTGCAAAAATCACAAGCATTCCTATACACCAATAACAAACAGAGAGCCAAATCATGAGTGAACTCCCATTCTCAATTGCTACAAAGAGAATAAAATATGTAGGAATCCAACTTACAAGGGAAGTGAAGGGCCTCTTCAAGGAGAACTACAAATCACTGCTCAACGAAATAAAGGAGGACAGAAACAAATGGAAGAAGAGTCCATGCTCATGGTTAGGAAGAATCAATATCGTGAAAATGGCCATACTGCCCAAGGTAATTTATAGATTCAATGCCATCCCCACCAAGCTACCAATGACTTTCTTCACAGAATTGGAAAAAACTACTTTAAAGTTCATATGGAACCAAAAAAGAGCCCGCATTGCCAAGACAATTCTAAGCAAAAAGAACAAAGCTGGAGGCATCATGCTACCTGACTTCAAACTATACTACAAGGCTACAGTAACCAAAACATCATGGTACAAAACAGTGATATAGACCAATGGAACAGAACAGAGACCTCAGAAATAACACCACACATGTACGACCATCTGATTTTTGACAAACCTGACAAAAACAAGCAATGGGGAAACGATTCCCTATTTAATAAATGGTGCTGGAAAAACTGGCTAGCCATATGTAGAAAGCTGAAACTGGATCCCTTCCTTACACCTTCCACAAAAATTAATTCAAGATGGATTAAAGACTTAAATGTTAGACCTAAAACCATAAAAACCCTAGAAGAAAACCTAGGCAATACCATTCAGGATATTTTATTCCATTCTTTATGGTGGTTTTAAGCACAGTATTAAAAGTATGGCTCTGATATAACACTGATTGAACTTTATTTATGTTTTGACTTTTTAACTTATTAACTGTATGACCTTGAGCAACTTATTTAGCTTCCCTGAACCTCAATTTCCTCATAATTAACATTATTCCTCATGTTAATAGTAGTCATGTATTGTCCAAAAAGGGATATCAGAATTTTAAATGAGCAAATACGTATACATTGTTTAGCAGAGTGCTTGAAAAAATAGGTGTTCAATAAATATTAGTTATTATCCTTTAACAGGTCTTTTGAGGTATAATTAACATAAAATAAACTGCATGTTTTAAAAAGTACAATTTGATTAGCTTTGACATAAGTGTTCACTCATGAAACCATTTGTCACAATCAAGATAATGAACATATACATTATCCTTAAAAGTTTCTTTGTGTCTTTTTGTAATCTTTTCCCCCCTCCCCTGATTAAAATCCCTTCACTGCCCCCACAGTTTCTAGGGAAGTATCAACATTCTTGCTGATACTATAGATCATGTTTCATTTTCTTGAATATACACATGGAATATTCAGTATGCACACTTTTAAAATCCACCTTCTTTAAATCAGCGTAAACATTTTGAGATCCATCTATACTCTTCGTGTCAGTAGTCCTTCAGTTTTTATTGCTGAGACGTATTCCATTGTATGGATATGCCACTATTCATTTATTCAATTGTTAGATGTTATTTTAATTTAATAATACTTAATATTTAATAATGAAATTAAATCCCATGGGGTTTGCTTTAAGCAACAAGATGTATCATTTTCTTCCTTAATAAAGATGTAGGGGACCCGAGTTCCAAAGAGAGGGAAACACACGGTTGGTCAAAGGTGGGCTGGTCTCTACAACTTGGCTATAGGACCAGGCTTTAGGAGATATTAGCTAGGAGACCACCTTTTATGGGAATGTTAATTTCTAGTTTTACATTTTCTTTTTCCGTATGCTAATACTTTATCCTAAAATCTTTAATAAATGTCATGTTAAATGTTACAGCCTACCAGACCTTTAAGGAATGATACCAATTCGACATACAACTCTTCCAAAACTTTGGCTTCATTTTCAAGGCTAGTACTGCCTTGATACTAAAACCAGGAAAAAGGCAAGACATGAAAAAAAAGGTATGGACCAATGTCTATCATGAACATGGAGGCAAAAAATTTCAACAAAACGTTAGCAAAATTAAATCCAGCAATGTATATTATAAAAAGGATAATGCATCACGACTAGGCAGGGTTCATTCCAAGAAGGCAAGGTTAGTATAACATTTATCTACCCATTAATGTCAATGTAATTTAATATATTAAAAGAGAGGACAAGGAGGAAAAACTATATGATTATCTCTATGGATTCATAAAAAGCAATTGGATTTAATAATATACAACATTTATTCATGGTAAAAAAATCTTTCAGGAATGTAAGGGAACCTCTTCAATCTGATTAAAAGAATATTTTAAAACCTATAGCCAATATCATACTTAATGAGTAAAGACTAAGCTCTTCTATCTAAGATCAGAAACAAGGCAAAAATGTCTACTCCTACTTTTTCTATTGTACTGGGCATCCTAGCCAGTGAAGTAGGGCAAGAAAAATAAGTCGAAGACATATATATTGGAAAGAAAGAAATGAGATAGTCTTCATTTGCAGATAACATGAAAGTTTACATAGAATAATCTAATAAATCTATAAAAATCTACTTATGAAAAGCCTGGATGCTGAACATGACATGATATTAAATAATGAAATTAAAGAAGATATATATATATATATATATACACACATATATACACACCTTGTTCATGGATTGGAAGAATAGGTATTGTTAAAGTGTCAGTTCTTCCAAACTGACATATACATTCAATGCAATCTCAATCAAAATCCTAGCAGGCTTTTTATTTCAGTAGAAATTGACAAGCAGATTCTAAAATTTTTACAGAAATGGAAAGGATCTAAAATAGCCAAAACAATTTTGAAAAAGAAGAACAAAGTTGGAAGACTTACACTATGTGATTTCAAAACTCCCTAAGAAGCTACAGTAATTAAGACATACAGGATTAGATTAAGGCTAGCCATATAGATAAAGACAATTTCATAAAGATAGAAATATAGATGAATGACACAGCATAGAGAGCCAGGAAACAACCTGTACGTATATGATCAATTCATCTCTGAAAAAGATGTCAAGGTAATTCAATAGGAAAAAAGATAATCTTTTCAACAAATTGTACTAGAACAATGGTATATCCATACTGAAAAATGTAAAAACCCTCAATCCCTATTTCACATCATATACAAAAATTAACCTGAAATAGATCATCCTAGACCTAAATGTAAAAGCTAAAACTATAAAATGTTTAGAACAAAACATAGGAAAAAAATAGTACATTGGCCTGGAGAATGCAGGTCCAAAATGGGAAGAGTAGCCTGTGCAGAGTGGAGCCTCCTCATGTTGGCTTCACAAGCACCTGTTCCCTGGGCTTTGCTGCTTACATAAGCAGAGAGCCTCGATTGCCGCCATCATCCTGTCTCCTAAACTACCAGCTGTCTCAGGGAGAGGGCGTGTTTTGATATGGTCTCCATCATGCTTGTTGTGACAGTAGCTGCAGCAGCCCTGACCCAACAAGACCCATGGAGGCCTTCGCTTTGCTTGTGGCTACCCTAAGAGACTGAGTAACACCACCGAAAATGGAGAACATTGGACCAGTGAGACACAGGAGACTTTCAGTAGCCAGTAGATAATTTCTTCTCTATTGCTTGCTATAGACTGTTCTGAGGGCTACCTGGAAGCCAACATATATAAAAGAACAACAAGATGTGTTTTCTTGTGAAGCAAGTGCTATTTCAGTTACAGCCACCTTTGTTTTCCTTTCTTCCTTGACTCACTTCCCTTTTTTCTTCACTCTTGATGCCCTGAGGTTGTATCTCCCAATACCCAATAGATAATTTGCAATTGGCTTTACCTTAAGTTTTGTTTTTACATGCTAAAACAAGATATAATAATAATTATCTGAGGAAATAGCTGCTTTGACCATATTCTCATTTTACTGAGGCCCAGAGAGGTTAGCTAACCTGTCCAAGATGTTACAGCCAGTAAATGGAGCAGCAGGATTTGAACTCTGGCTCCAAAGTCCATACTTACAACAACTCTGCTATTATTATTTCTAAGGGAACTTGATCTGGCTGCCTGTCAGCTTCATCTCCCTAGATCTTGATTCTGAAGTCAAGACTTCCTGTCATGTTGTGAGTTCTGGCACCTCCAGAGTTCATGTTTCAGTGGAGCTTGGTTGTGGGACTTTCTCAGCATATTTGTACTATGACAAAAGGTCTGAGCCAGTCTGGATGAGAAGCAGTTGTAAGACATAGCATATTCAAAATAGGAGTTCTAACCATGCTTGACAGGTGGGTAGACAGATATAGTCAGTGAGAGGGACATTTCTGACTGGGATTGAAATATTTTTTTCAGAGGGTAGTTCAGGTATGGGTATAATCCATGTATAGAACTTATGGCAACTTTCAGTTGCTCAAATTGCTCCTGTTCCCATGCATATGGAATTAGCAGCTGCAAATGTACTATGATTTGAGAAGCTCTAGAAGCAATTGGCTTCTAAAAGCAAAAGATTGCTTTTCTAGCTGTGATGTGAACTAGGGGACCTTAAGGCTTCAACCTGCCTGTCACTAGGCAGAAAAGAAAGTTAGACTCTTTCCATTCCCCACCTGCTGTTAACATAACAGGTGTGTCTTTGAGTGCTAAAGGGTGGCCAATCCTATTACAATGATGACACAGAGTGGAAGCCACCTTTCTAGTTCCTGTGCACTTTAATGTATATATATTAAGTGATAAGTTTTGAAAAGTCAGCAGTAACTCCTTGGCAAGAGGAACACTATTTTTGAAGTATGAAAGCATACATTTATGAAGAAGAGGATAGAAAGATGATTAGTATTGATTCTACAGTTCAACAAATACTTATGGATGATCTACTTTGTAACCTGTGTATCCTGTGATAGACCCAAGGGATTAAAAAGTAAGTAAGATAGTATCCCACATAGGGTAACCAACTGTCTTAGTTTGTTCAGGACTGAGAGAGGGTTTCCAGGATGCAGTACTTTCAGAGCTAAAACTGGGAAAGTACTAGGCAAATTGAAATGAGCTGGTTACCCTACCTGTTCCCAAGGAGCTCATACGCTAGAAAGGAAGTCAGTTATGCAAATGCATAGCTATGAAATAGTGTGGTATGCGAAATTATGGACTAATAATACTAGCTTATATTTCTTGATATGGCTTGGCTGTGTCTCCACCCAAATCTCACCCTGAATTGTAATAATCCCCACATGTCAAGGGCAGGGCAAGGTGGAGATAATTGAATCGTGGGGGCGGTTTCCCCCATACCATTCTCATGGTAGTGAATAAATCTCATGAGTTCTGATGATTTTTTAAATGGGAGTTCCCCTGCACAAGTGCTCTTGCCTGCCGCCATGTAAGATATGCCTTTGCTTCTCCTTTGCCTTCTGCCATGATTGTGAGCCCTCCACAGCCATGTGGAACTGTGATTCCATTAAACCTCTTTACTTCATATATTACCCAGTCTTTCCTTTATACATTTCATTTAGTAGCAGTGTGAGAACAGACTAATACACTTCTATAACACTTTCTATGAGCCAGGTGCTATTTAGAATAATACCTGTCTTAGTCCCTTCAGGCTGCTGTAACCAAATACCATAAACTGGGTGGCTTGTAAACAGTAAACATTTATTTCTCACAGTTCTGGAGACTGGAAAGTCCAAGATCAAGGCAACCAGTAGATTTGGTGCCTGGTGAGGGCTGACTTTCTGCTTCAAACACAGAACCCTCTTGCTATAGCTTCACATGGCGGAAGGAACTAGTTAGCTCTCTGGGGTTGGGCACTAACTTCAATGATGAGGGCAGGGTTCTTATGACCTAATATCTTCTTGAAGGCCTCAGTTCCTAATACCACCACCTTGGGGGTTAAGATTTCAACATTTGGCTTTCGGAGAAACATAAGCATTCAGTGTGTTGCAGTGTTTTTACATGTATCAACGTATTGAATCCCATAATAGCCATGTGAAGGAATGACTATTATTATCTCCATTTTACACAGATAGAAATTGAGGCACTATTAAAGAGTAGTAAATCTGGGATTCAAACCTAGGTAGTATGATTCTAGATTTGAGATCTTAACCTCTAAACACTTTTCTCAAAAAACCTAAAACATAGAAGTAGCACAGAGGGGTGAGTGATGAACTTTCTGTGTGACAGGATGTGGTCATTGGATAAGAGGTTGTGGGAAAATGGGCTAGAGAAAGTGATGCCTGAGAAGGATTTTGAATGATGAATGAGGAATTAACTAGCAGGAAGGGGAAAAGGGGCATTCTAGGTATAATAGTTCAGCTTAGGATATAGAGATGGGAAACATCATGGTGTCACTGGTAAGTCAGTACCAGTGAGGGCCCCCATGAAGTTTTTCTGGGCTTTGACACTCACAGTGGTACATTTCATCAACCACACCAGGACCTTTGGAAAGAAGCCTGAAGAGGTAGCAGGGCCAGACCACCAAAGAACTTGCATGCCATGATAAGAATCATAGACTTTAACCTGTACCCAACAGGGCAGCATTGGAGACTTTGAAGGAAAAATTGAGATTTGCTTTTTTAGAGAATTGCTCTGGTAGCAGCTAGAGGATTGCTGGAAAGGGGAGGGATGTAGGAACAGTGGTGGGGGACAACCAAGTATGGAGCTCTTAAAAAATTACCCCATGAGAGCTGGTGACTTCAACTAAAGCTTGTGGCAATGGGGATGGGGTGGGCTGGACAGATTCAAAAGATGAAGGAAATAAAATAGACTACATTTTGTTAGTGATTGGATGAAGGGGCTAGAGAGATCAGGAAACCCAGTGACAAATTCTGTGAGCCTTATTAGCTGACTGGGTGCATGATAGATTCCTGCCCCCCCTTTTTTTTTTAAAGGAACATAGGCAGAGAAGTGAGTTTAGAAAGGGAAAAGATAATGAGTTTGGCTTTCCACAATGTGACTCTCAAAAGCCTATAGGAAATTGAGATGGTATTGTCTAATCCAGATATTCCATAAAAGAAGGAAATAACTTGCCCTAAGCGTACTTATTTTTCTGATGAAGAGTGAAATAATAATTATAAGTGAAGTTCTTAGAGACAGGTATGAAGCAAATACAAAGCAGAATAATTAATAGAATACTAATTCCACATCCTTTGGGTTACCTTTGAGGTAGAAACAATTTAATACATTCATTTATCATAAAGTATCAGTGGCTTACTTTACTATTTCCCCTAGGAATGTTTGAATTTTATAAAAGACATCAATACTTAATTGAGTCTCTGATGAAAGAATTTCAGGTGCCCTAATACTAAGAGATGGGACAAATTTTGGGGGGTGCAAATAAGCCTTCTAGAGCTTCTCAAATCATAGTACATTTGCAGCTGCTAATTCCATATGCATGGGAACAGGAGCAATTTGAGCAACTGAAAGTTGCCATAAGTTCTATACATGGATTATACCCATACCTGAACTACCCTCTGAAAAAAATACTTCCATGTTTGTTTCAAAATACTAATGATCTTTGGGATCTTGGGGTCGTAAGTATAGCAAATCAGTTATCACTAATCAATATTTTTTAAAATCCTTTTTATTTACATGACCTATTTATTTGAATTTGAATTTTTTTAACATCACTTCTCAGCTCCATTCTCCTCTTCTAATTCCCTAAGTGTGATCATGCTTCCTTCAGAGTGTTCTGGATCCCTTAGATGAGGGAAGGGACATGTATCCCCTCATCCTCACATAAACCCTCATCTGTGTATTTCTGATGAACGACCTCTGGATTAAAGTACATGAACAATGATCTTGAATACTTAGTTCATCATTTAACAAAAGAACCTAAAGTAGTTTCTCATGAAAACATTAACTGAGTTTAGCATGTCTTCTTTGAAACAATTAGGAATAGAAGGAATGGCAGAACAGAGATCCACAGAGGCTAAGGAAATTTCCAAAAGACACATCTTTAATCTGGGAGCCAGCACAAATATGCAACTATCCTGACATCTCACCATTCCTGTAACCAGTAGGCAACTCGGTCTCCTTGCTATTAGAATGCCATCATTTGTGAAATAGCCAAATCACCTGGGAGAATGACCTTGGCTCTTGTGATTGAGTGGCTTGGAGATCCTTTCCACCAGGCAAAACTTCACCCATCTCTCCAGTTTCCTAACTTTGGTTTTTATTTAGAGAAGCATGCTGCTCACTGTTGTGACATCATTCATCTTTGTCACACCCAAGGCCACAACTTTGTCTGAACAGCCAGTGATATACTGCAGATAGAGTGCACCAAAGACATTAAACTCTATATGACACTTATATGGACTCTGAGTTCACCAGAGATGGATTGATGCTGCCATAAAGCCTTGGGGTAGCCAGGCAAACAAAAGACTAAGGAGACTGGTGGGGGCGGGGATGGTGGTAAGAAAAGCAAGATCTTTCTACATTCACTTTCTCTATCTGCTGAGGTTGGCCTACCTCTTATTTAGGAAATGAAGAAACCAAGTGAGTATGGGGATTTTTGGAGCCCAGTACAGAAGCAAATTCAGTCTTGATTATCAGTGGAGCTCCTGATGGCCGTGACCAGGCCAATGATCAGCACGGGTAACTGGATACTTAGAACATCCCACTTTGAACCCAGTACACCTCAGCAACCATATCTTTATGAAATAAAGAAAAGACTTAGATAACACAGATGCAACAGTAGTGGTGGATCAAGCAAGGATTTAAATACATGTCCATTGATTCCCTTGGCAGATATCCTCAGTATCACAGTCATAATGTTATTTATGGGCACACTCACCCAGGATGAACAGAGTGCTGGCATTCCACTCTGCTTGCCCAGTCTGAAAATTGGATTAAAGACAGTAATATATCTGGGTTTGCATTCAGGATTATCAGCATGATGGAACCCATCTTTACCTGACCCAACAGGTGTTTTGTTAGGTACTCAGGAACCTGACTGGAAAATGATTTTATACAACAAAACAGTAATTTATTTTTCATAGCCAATGCTAATCAGTTATGCAAGCACTTAATGTGATTAAGCTTACTGCAAACAAAATGCCCAATTATCAGAAATGGGGCTTCCCTACCCCCATCCTCTCTCTCCACAGGGACGTGTATGTACAATTGCAGACCACTGTGTGTGTGTGTGCTTGTGTGTATTCTTCATGGACCACCTGCAGCTAACTTTGGAAGATGCAGATTTTTAAGTATCATTTAAGCCACAGCAACATATACACATTTAAAAATAATCAGTAATTAAGAAAGCTCCATATTCACATGAAGAAAGACAACAGTAAATTTGACTTACCAGTTTATGCTGTTCGAGGCAGCAGAGGAACAAGTTGTTGGTAATTGTCCAGTGCTTTCATTCAATAAATCACATTGGCTTTGCTTTCTCCTGTGGCTCAGCCTCTGTGCAAAGCAAGCGAATCTCCTTCCTATTCTGTGTAAAGAATAAAATGCGAACAGGATCACTACAGGCAAGAGCCGAAGTCCATGATCATGAAGATACTCTTAATGCAAAATAAAAGAGGAAATGATGCATAGGGAGAGAAAGGGAGAAGTAAACAGCTTGGCTCAGAGGCTAGGTGTATTCTCTAGACTGCAGCCTGGGGAAGGCTTGATTCCTGTAGCTTGTGTGCGTGTAGTGAAAGGATACCATGACTTCAGTGTGTGCTTAGCCTATTGTATCCGTGAGGACCATTTGAAACGGCTTGCGGAGAAAACTAGCTACATAGTAAACAAGACTGAATCCGAACCGACTGTCACTCAGGGGTGAGCAGAGGGGCAGTGGGTCACTACATCAACCGGCAGGGAAAGAAATATTGTCTGGCATCCAAGAGCTCATCCAGCAATCTGTGAGTGCAAATGATCTACAGCCCTTCTGGGGCCAGACACCGCCTTGTTTCCACAGCCGTCTGGGACCAGAAGCACACAAGTGGCCGTCACATCCCTTCACCACAGGGCACCTGCGCAATTCCTTATAAGCTCCTAGCAGGAGCTAGGGGGCATCTTAAGAAAGCTCTAAATCCAGTCAGGGCTGCTGAAGCTGTGCATGGGCTTTTGTCTGAGCGGGTTCTGAGAAAGTAGTCAGCAGATGTGGGACTTAGGACAGCAAGAGGCTCAGTCTCAGGAAGAAGATTCCAGTGCTGCTTCTATGCCAGACACATATGGGTATACCCGGCTCCTTTCACAGCATTGTGCTTTACATGACTAATGAAAGACACAAATAGATTTCCTAGAAAGCTGCATATGTAGGCATTTTTAATGGCTCTCACTGAAATAAAATGGCAAATGACCTTCACAGGCTGTTTATTATGTTGAGGGGTGGGACTTGCCGATTGATAGCACATATGAATACTGCACACGTGCACACACACACACACACACACACACACACAGCGACACTAGCAACAGCATTAAGAATCTTTCTAAAGCTCTGTTCTGATTCTTTCTCTGCCAAATGAATGTTTAGCTGCTGTGATGACTTCAGGAGTAATTTTGGACTCTTCTGCTAGGCACTGACTAGTCTGTTATTTATACCTGGAGCCAAATAAACTCTCAAATTTTGAATGAGACTCTGTAGCAAGTCAGGAGAAAGTCTCTTGATCATAAACAAGAGGGTGGAGAGTTAATCTTTGGCCTGGTAATTGCTTAGAATCCTGGAAATGACATCTTGTATTCATGAAACTCTCCCCCTTTCTAGAGACATTATCTCCCCCTGATAGCTCGCTCACCCCCAACAGGTGTCTGTTCTGGAGTTCCGATCTGAGGCAGGGCTCAGTGACTCATAAAACCTGGGTGGCCAAAGGAAGAGCTTGGTTTAGCTTTTAACAATTGTCTTACTTTTTCTTTTCTTATTAAAAAGGCAAAATCTCTCCTTCGAACATTTACTATCACTTTCTATCCTTGGATTTATTTGTCCATGGAAGTGTTGCTATGAATAATCTAATTTAGGAATATTCATGCCCTTGAGGTTTAGAGGGCTATGTTTTTCATCAAGGATTAAGAAAGAGTCCGGCTTCTCTTGCACACCTTAGGCCAAAATGATTGCCAGGTAAAACTTTACCCTTTCATCTAGAAAAATTTTGGCTTGAATGCAGACTTACTTGAATTACATCTGCTGTGGTAAGCTAGGTGACTGAGTAACTCTACTAAGGTTAGGGGGTTGCCTCACAGGGGTCATGAGTTACACGTGCCATGCAGACCTAAGGGGAGAGTGCCACTGATAATAGTAGCAACACTTTCTAGAGCAAATACTCAAGTTGAGTCAAAAAGCCCATGTTTATTGCAAAGGAAATTCATTAATTCATCCATGTATTCATTAGTCTACTCTTCAATAGACATTTAGTAAGTATTTAGTAGGTTAGATTCATTGTGCTACATACTTTAACGTTACTTAGAGCCTATTGATGAAGTATAAACTCCCTGACATACCCTAGAAAAATTTCCCATATTCTGGCTCTTCCTATCTCTCTAGCCAAATTTCTCACCACCTTTCTATTTGCATTCCATGCTGTAGCTATTTTGAATATCTCTTAGTTCCTTGGACATGCTATATTCTTTCTGAATACCAGATCATCAAATATGATGGGTGTTCTTCTGCCTGGATGCTCAGTTTCCTATGTCTGGCTAACTCCCGTACAGCCTTGGAATCTTGGCTTAAACATCAACTCTCAGAGATATTTTTCTAGCCCCTAGGCTGTTAGGGTCCCTGCTCTGTGGTCTGAAAGCACGACACCTTATACTCTGCCATCATTATATCCCTTATATTTTATTGCACTTCATTGTTTAGCATCAGTCATCCCCATTATATTGTAAGAGTTTAAGTGCAAAGTCTCTTATTCTCTGCTGTATGTCCAGGGTTTAGCAGAGTTCCTGGCACATAGAAGGCATTCAATAAATATTTGATGTTTTGTTGAAGTGCTTAGCATGTATTTATTGAATGAATACATAAATCACCTCAAGTAATAATGGGAAATGGGGTCTCAGAATTGAAAGGAACCTTAAAGTTCTCTTGGTATGTCTAATCTTTCTTGCCAAGTGACCATCCACAGAAGGCTTGCCTCCTCCAATTAATCCTTCTGGATTAATCTCAGCCCATATTGATCACACTCTTACTTTGTCTCCCACTTCCTAGCACTTTTACAGGATGTTCTTCCTTTTTGTTCTCTGGCTGTTTCCTGGAGTTCGTCTCGTCTCTGCAGACTGGTGCTCTATAACTCTTAGCATAAGCCTGCAATTATTTGATGCTTGATTCATTGAACATCAAACACTTGAACAGGGAGTTAAATGATCACAGTCTTGTTTTAGGAAGATTTCTCTGGTTCTGAGAGAAGTATAAGTGAGATTAGCCAGACCTAGAGAAGACTCTAATAATGACTACAGCACGAGATGGGATCTAAAGGCAGCTTTGCCCTTTCTTTCCTTCTACTCCTCCCCCATTACTCCACCCTCCATGTCATAATACTAATGTTCTCATTTGGAACACTGAGAATGTTTGTTCCACACTCAGAACTTCCCCTCCACCCAATTCCACCCCCACAGTTATTTAACTTGCTTAGGATATTTGCGAATGTGTCTCACTGATTCAATTAAAAGCTCCTTTAAATACAAGGATTGTGTTTTATTTTGCATCTTTCTCCTTCAGCCACTACACCTCCAGCCCTAGTAAGTGCTCAGTAAAATTAAGAAAGAAAATCATTTATTATATGCAGATATTAAATGAAGCAATGTGGTTGGGAGGGCGCATTGCTCCCATTCAAAGATGAACAGGGCATCTTTTCAAAGATAAAAGAGATATACTTAGCATGAGATATGCAACCAATTACAATAAAAGGCAGAATTAAGTAAATGCCATAAAAAAGTATGAGCAATGTGCTAAGGGAACATAGAATTATTACTTCTTTCTGTAACACATAGAAAATGTTCACAGAGAAGGTGGCGTTTGAACTGGAACTGGAGGAATGAAGATCTCTCTACAGGTTGAAAAGAAGAAACAGGTTCGGCGTCACGGCATAGTGTCAAGGCATAGAGTTCCGGGGCTGTTAGGGAATGACAAGTAGTCCAGTGTACTGGAGTGAATAATGCAGGGAAGAGCTGATGGAATTGGTCTCAAAAAGTAAGCAGGAGCTAAATTGGGGAGAGCTCGAACACCATGTTAAAGAGTTTGGATGTTATGCCATAGGTGACAGTGAGCTGAGCAGGAGAATGCCAGAACAGTTGATTAGGATCCACCTGGCCTGGCCATTGTGGATAGTGGTGAGAACCCAGAAGCAGGAAGACACTGATGGTGTGAAGGCCCGTGAAGATGTAAATTAGGAGATGAAAGTCTTATATTTGGAGATAGAACTTACAGGATTGTCAATAGTATAGGTGGGGGATGGGGAGGATGAGAGAGAGAGACACGTTGAAGGTGACTTAAAGTTTTAGCCTACATGATGGCGGATGATGATGACATTAATTTATTCCAGTACATACACCTAGAGATAATTATGGCATGCAGGTTGTGGTCTGTGCTCTTTTTTTTAAGACAGAGAAAAGAACAGAAGCTGAGTCCTTGGAGTCATGTCAATGTGCCTAGACATTCATAGAATGCTTTGAAGAACCCATTTAGCACCAGGTAAAGATTTTAGCCCAGGCTGTGACAGATGAGCTGCCTCTAGCAACATTGAGGGCCATTTCCAGGGGGCATGGGTACAGGGTTTCCATGAAATGTGAGAGTCTGCGGTTTCCCACTACAGTTGTTTAGCTCATTGGAAAGAACCTGGGTCTGGGAAACGGGAGTTTGAACTTCAGTCCTTGAGCTGCCCCTCACCAGCTGTGTGATCTTGGGCAAGTTACTTTTTATCATTAGGCTTCATTATTCTCACCTGTGAAATGAGAGCATTGGACCAGTTAAATTCAAAGGTCTCTTTTAGTATACTCTCCTCTGATTTGTGACATATGATGTATAGAATTTCAGAATACTTGCAAAATTAGGCCAAAGCCCACCAACATCAGAAGCCAGTAATGTCCACTTTCCCCTGCAAAATCCTGACCATATTTTGAGAATGTCCATATATCGCTGCAAATGCATGTCTGCCCTGTGGTTAGTTCCATGTGGTTTGTTTGTTAGACATAAATTTAAATTGATCACTTTTTGATGGCTATTTTCTAACAATTTTTCACTTTTTTTTCAGCGAAGATTTTTTTTTTTTTTTCTTAGGGAGTGCCTTTTCATCAGGATCTCAAAATTAAATTATAAGAAAGTGGCATTCCCTTACTGTGGTCAGCAAAGAGCCTGGCCAGCCTACTTCCGTTCCCTAATCTCTTGACCTTCCTTAGGGCGAGGCTGCTCAATAACGGCTCCGATTCTTTTTTTAAAAATAAAATGTGCTACTTACCGAAAGCTGCTAAAAAGGAGACAAAAAAATAGGAAAAGAAAACTAACACCCCAGGGTGTATCTGAATATGCTTATTATGTGCGAAGTTGTTAGTAATGAATGTGAAACTCTTCTTCCTCCTCCCTCTCAATTTCTAATCCCCAAAGAAAAAAGAAAAGGGGTGGGGGAGTGCATTGGCTATTCAATCCAAAGCAGACTTTTTTTTTTTTTTTTTTCCTAAAGAAAAGATGCAGACTGCTCACGGGCATGCTAGTTCTTGATTATTTTGTTTTAAGCACCAATTGACCTTTCAGACTAAAAGTAACGGTCTCAAAATATCCTGAGAAAGCCTCTTTTAGAATTTTTCTCTAAGTCTTGGAGACGAGACACATTGCATTCAAAAAGACTCTTCGAAAAGAGATGGCCCATATTCCTCGTAGTGCAATCCGATGACAGAGTGTTTATCTGAACTAATCATGTGGGATTTTCCAGTGCCACATTTTTGAGAAACGGGATTCTCTTAAAGGAGGTTACAAACACTTCACTGAAAGCTTTCCAAGAACAGCTTCATCCGTCCTCTCAGCAGCCTCTCACCGGGCTGTAGCACCGACGTGATAATCGGAGTCCATGCTTCTGAAAAGCCTTCTTGTCCTGGCTGCCACCCTCCTTTCAGTCATCATTAGAATTCTCAAGCTATGAATCCCCTATTGTCTGTATGAGCCCAGGATCCCCCACACCATGCCGAGGAAGGAATGTGAGCCTCCTGGGTCTGGCTCTAAGTCTCAACCTTATCCAGCAGGTCACAAAGCCCCATTTATATGCAGTTCCAACATTTTATCATAATTCTTTATCTGCTCGGCCCCATATATCCTCTAGGGCAGTCAGGAGACATTTGGTAATGAAGCCCATTTATCCTTATTTTCTCAATTGGCACACTTCAGGTTATAATATTTATGTTCACACTGTCTTAATTTTGGATGTCAAAGATACTATACTAGACAAGTAGCATTGCCAAAGGATAATTGAACCATGTGGAAGAGTTCACCAGAGTCTGATACATGATGTGGTTTGTCATATTACCAATCATTGCATCAAAATAGTTACTTTTAATAGCTCAGTGGAAAAATAAATGCTGCCATTTATCAAATACCTTCTATGTGCCATGCAATGGTATCTCTGAATTCTCACACTCTACAAAGTAGGATTACCCACTTTTTATCGATGAGGAAACTCAGGTTCAGAGAGATTAATCAGCTTGTTTATGTGCATTTAGGGACTGAGCTGAGACTCAGACCCAGGTCTCTGCAAAGTTTGTGGTATTTCCACTTCATTCCTTTGCCAAGAAATAAGAAATAATACATAATATGTATAATAATATAATAAGAAATATAATACATTTCGTTAGTTGTTTTACATTAATGTAACATAATTATTTTTCATCAAAAACATGTAAATAATTATGAAGTTCGGGCTGATAAAATGCTTTGGCCAACTGAGAAATGAGATCAGCTCTGATAAGCATTAGCACATCAGTAGGAATTTGTAGCATAAATTTCACCTATCAATAGGTGGCAGTATTCACCTAACTCTCTTTAAAAGGAGCCAGCACAGGTTGCTTCTTATGACCAATCCCTAGGCCATCTGTATTCTTTGATGCACTAGATTTGGTCATAATGAATAAAGTGTGTAATAGGTTGGTGGCTAATTGGACCTCAATCATGCCTTTGTATAGGGATATCTGGACTGTAGTGCGGTTGTGGTAGAGGACTGTTATCCATGGCAGAGATGTTGGGATCCCTCTCCATTTACAACACTCATTTTGGCCGTTCCTCTGGGGAAGTCTTTTATTGGTGATTCAAAGCCAAAGATGATTTTTGTGCCCTGGTTTACTTTAAGGATGTTGTGCAGAATTCTCAAACAATTTGAAAATGAAATAGTTAATACTCTAGGATTTGATAACTCATAAACCAATGTTTGTCTAGATTAAAAAATAGAACATTTATCAGACTTCAGGGTTTCAGCTTTTTCAAAACCCTATGTATGTGTACAGCTACCCATCAAATCATATGAATCTTCACCAGTAGGCACGGAAGCTGGAATCCATGAGGTGACTATTCAATAGACAAGTCAAAACGGTTTCGTTGATTAGTCAAAATACTGAAGGATAAATGACTACTCAATTTTAGGCAGACCCCTCCTCCTCTTCTTCCTCCTTTGTCTATGTTTTTTCTTCCTCCTCATTTTTTTTGTAAAGAAAATCTTAATATTGAAATATCTGCAGTTAAAAGTCACAGATTCAGTCTCTATTTTCTACTTGCCAACAGGAGTCCACTTAGGAGAATTTAGCTTTATAAAGTCAAGAAAACAGGTAGATAAAAAGATAAAAGAATAACCTGAAAGACTCTTTGACCTATCTTTATGCTATCTTCTCCATTTTCATTTGAGATACTTGGGAACAGATCATTATCAATGACGACAAACAAGCACTTGGAAATCAGATAGGATGAGTAGTCCTAACTCAGAACTAAGACGTTGACTCCAATAAGATTCTCAGCAGACCAGATTTTCTTAAAAGAATACAGATTGGCTGGTGGAATAAGGAAGGTGGCCCTGAAGACAGACTATTTACCTCTCTTTCATGTTCCCGATGGAATGAATGTCTTTCTCCTCTCTCCTTGTAGTATTTATAACGATGTTAAAACTCTCAGCACAGCCTAACTTCATTAGAGTTACTTGGGGCTCTATGTAATTCCCTTACTGGATTGAAATCTCCATGAGGGCAGGACCCGGGCCTCATTGATTTTTGAATTTCCCTCTCAGCTCTTGGACTGGGGCCCTGTGCATGGTAGATAATTTTCAATACATATAGGTTTAATTGAAAAGAATTAAAGAGAACTCAGAGGAATGCATTTTATACTTTTTCCCAGTTTAAGGAAAAGGGCAGCTTTGGTGTTGGATGCTATGCATGCTCATATTTCTACTTTCTTATCTGCTTCTTCCATTTCAGGACAGTATTGGTGAGGGTAGAGGTATCATGCCAAAGGCCAGCACACCCCCCCCAGAACCATTAATTATCTATTTTTACATCCTTGGCAAGGCCATCTGGTTTTGTAGAAAAATGCCCTGGTTATATGAAGGTTAATTGCAGAGGCAGGCCAAAAAATAAAAATAAAATTTAAAAAAAGGCAGTTACAAGGGACATTAAGTGACCTACTGTGTCATTCCAATCACTAATATTTCCTGCCTTTGTGGTCTGGAGACTCAATCTGCACTAAAGAGCTGAACAAGGCAATGCTATTTCCTGGTGGTGGTTATCATTGTTTCCCATATTAGGACAAAGCTAAGCACAAGGGGAGACAATGTGTATCGTGTCTCACAAGGGAAGGGTAAGCATCTTCAAAAGCTTACAAAATTACATTGAACCCATTTAGGCATATCAGGAGATATTGCCAAGCTGGAGAAATGAATTACCCAGCTGAATATCACAGGCATAATGAAGTTGTCAACAGCAACAGTGCAGCTGTAGATTGTCTGATTATGTGTTGACTGCACTGGCCATTCAGGGACACACCAGGAAGGAAATTGTTGTCATATTGTCCACCACATTCCAAGCCCCATCCCAGCCATGGTGATAAACCCGATACCCTTAGGAGTATGTGGAAAATAAAAATAACAACAGCAAGCCAGAAAGAAAGAGCATCCTCTTCTGATGGTCTCTTATGTCTAGCATTGCTGGAGTCTCTCCCCTTCTGTTACTCTAATCTGTCATCTTCTTTTAAAAAAATGACCATGACAAGGAATGCAAGTTTAGATTCTGGCCCTCCAAACAAACATTTCACAATGGGCTTTTTAGCCTTTGTTAAATTCAAAATAAGCGGGAGTCCAGCAAGAAAGCTTTAACTACGTGGGTGGGATTTACACCTTTCCTATGAGTCAAAGATGAAGGCAAGCTGGAGTTTTCCCTTTTGCTAAAGCATCTAAAAAGGTTGATTTGCAATGTTTCTGGACAGCAACTGGAATGTTCTTGAAGGTTCTTCTGGCTTTTTTCTTTTTTAAAAACACCTTCAGTTTTCTCCTCTAAGTGAGGGGGTCATGCTAGATGACGTTGAAAGTCACTTCTAGCTCTAACATGTTATGATGTCAAGAAGCCATAGAGCACTTAACACATAGAAGAACTTCTCTGCCACAAAGAAAAAAATGCTTTATTTCAACCCAGCTAGTCTTGGTTTGTATTGGACATATGGTCTGATATTTCAGAGTCAATATATGTGATCTCTCTTTCCAGAGAGTGTGCTGAAATCTGCTTTAAACGTGTGTTATTTATCAGGAATGTTTTCTTTTTTAAAAAGGAACTAATGTAGATGTGCCTCACTCATTAATAGAATTCTATTCTCTATTCAGGTTTTCTTCAGAGAAAGCCAACAAGATGTTTCTATTAGTGGGACTGGTGCTTTTTAAATGCTTACAGTATAGCACAGGAGCATTTGATCCTTTAATTACCCTAGGTGGCCCCACTCAGTGGGTGGTGATTTGGGTGAGGAATCTGGATAGCTTTGGTGGTCAGTCAAGCCATAAAGAAAACTCTCCTCCTTCCACCCTCATTTATTTTTCTCTCCTGAGTGCCAGTCAAAATGAGATTTTTTTGTTTTTTGTCAATTCTTCTAGGAATACTTCTGTTTGGCATTTGAATCCAGGCTTAAGTTAAATTTTAGGCCCCCAAGACCAAATTTCCAAAAGGGTCCTCTACCCTTGGCTAACTGCTAAATGAATAAATCTCTAAAGAAGCCTTCCGTATTTTCCAGGTCCTTTTCTCCATTTATTTCACAGCCTAAGTGTTCCTTAGATGATACTTGAGTGGGTGGCTTATGACCCAGTCTCCTGCCAAATTGCTCAGCTTTCTACTGCCATAAGAAATACCTCCTCCATTTTACAAATGGAAAAGTCTCCTTGGTTTATCTCCACAACTTCATGGAATCAGATCCTTAGTATTAAGGAGAGAATTCTTTGTAATTAATCACAGTGAGAATTTGAAATACCAAGAGAAGCAAGGAAGTTAATTCTATTTGCACATTCAAGCATAATAATAAAGACGCATAACTGTGTAATAAGACCCAGCAATTATAAAGGCCATCTGCACTATCAGTTAAACGTTGACTGTAAATGCCACTTTACCCATTAAAATTACTCTCAGCTGAAAATAAAAACTTTGTCCCCTTTCTTCTAAAAATGTCAGATGAAGTTTGCTGTACAAATGTCAGGAGCGTCTGACCTAAGGCATATAGCAGCAAAGAGGCATTTAATGAATTGGAGAAGAAAGAAGAACAGAGGAGGAAAAACAAAAAGAAAGTTGAAGAGGTTGTAGGAACACTTTTAAGAAGCCTTGACTGATTCATCTTTTTAAATTGTAGCCTCATCTCTATTATTCCCATCTTCTCTTCACAGACATTGGTGTGACCCTTTTATTTCTGGCCTAGTTCTTCTGTCTTCAGACTCCTGTCCAAATTCCCTTTCTTCATTTTGTCCCAGACTCTGAACTCCTATGAAATCAGATAGAGCAGAGTCTGAATGGGCTGCTCTGGCTACTTTCTAAGGAGTAGAGGAGCTTTCTAAGCTCAGAGGAGCTTTCTCAAGGACTGCATATGCCAAATACTCAATGTCATTCTTCTGCATTGTGAAACCTACTGGATGCACCTTGCAGCACAGCAAAGGCGTTGAATGGAATTAAAAGGTCAATGGCTTATTCACTTCCTTCACTATTTGGGAGAAAAGTACAAGATTTTGCTCAGAGAGGATTAAAAGGACAGCAACAGGCACCTTCTGTCTGGGCTGCCCTGCTAGCTAGCATAGTCTTCTCTTAGTTTGAAAGGGGAGTCACAGTGTTTCACGCATTTGTCAGATGCTCAAACTCAGTCTGTCAAATACAACTACAACCAAGGCTGATTATCCATTCTCATTGTTCCTTCAGTGATTTATCTTCAGCATCAAGGAAAAGTGGGAGTTTTCTGTGACATTTGCAACTTCAAAGTACATTTAATTCTTAAAGAAAGAGAGAGAGAGAGAATGAATCATGCTACATATTCACCATCTCCTCCAGCTATATTAGTGAGAAAATCAAGCCTCAGGAGCATTTACATTTCATTAAGCAAACATTAACTTACTGCAATGTGGCATATGGACAGGAGAAATTGTGGCTGTTTTAACTGATTGAATTAAAAACAAATAGGCTGAAGAGAGTTACATGTAGCCCAGTGAAACACATTTGCACCTGAACAAGAAGGGCTTATTTCGAGCTCGGCAGCATTGAGGAGTTGAGACTGAGAATACATCTCTGCCTGAGAGGGTATCAGGTACCAAACAAGAACTCCAGAATTAGAGTGATGGTTTTGATGACTAATTAAAAAAAATTATGTTGCTTTCAGTTAATGTAAAATCATTCATGTCTTCTTTTGTCTACATCTATAAATTTTTTGACTGTGCCCTTATCTAAAAGGTCCTGAGGTTCAGGATGCTGTAAAGATTACTGATGAGGGCAGCTTGAGCTTGAGAACCATTGTAGGAAAAAGTCCAATATATTGGAAATGAAACACCAGTTAGAGTCAGGAGATATGAGTAAAAGACTTGGGTTTCCTACTTATTAGCTGTGAATCTTTGCAGTCTTTGGCCACTTGACCTGAGTCTTAATTCTCTTATCTATAAAGTGAAATTAATAGTAGTCACCCTGCAAATGCTAGAATAGTCATATTACAATAGAAGATATACAAATGGTCAATAAGCACATAAAAAGGTGCTCAATATGATTAGTCCTCAGAGAATTATAAAATAAAATTAAAATGAGATACTAGTTTACACCCACTATGATGGCTAAAACCAAGAGTTGGTGAGGTTGTGGAGCAACTATAGTGCCTTTAGGTTGCTGATTGGAGTATAAAATGGTATACCTTTGGAGAACTGTTTGACAGTCTTTTACAAAGTTAAATATAATATACCTTATGACTCGGCACTTCGACTTCTGGGTTCTACCCACAAGAAAGAGAAATAAATGCTCACGGAAAGAATTACACAAGAATATAGCAGTCTTAGTTAAAACAGCCAACCTGGAAATAGCCCAAATATCATGAATAGAGTAATAGCTAAACAAATTGTGGTATATTCATTCTATGGACTATTACTCAACAATAAAAAAGGAATAAACTACTGAGACATACAATAATGTGAATGAATCTCAGAAACATCAGATTAAGCAAAAGAAGCTAGACACAATAGAATACTTACTACACAATTACATTCCCCTGATGACCAAGTACTGAAAAAACTGATCAATAGTGACAGAAATCAAAACACTGGCTGCCTAGGTTGTACTGGGTTGGTGGGATATTTGGTTGGACAGTGGCAGAAGGAAACTTTCAGGCCGGTTGGAAATGTTCTGTATCTTGATTTAGGTGTTGGTTAGGGGGTATATACAATTATTGAAACATAACTAACCAAAACACAAAATCTATTCATGGTATTTTATGCAAATTATAATTAATGAATAATGCCTGCCTTAGCTACCTTACAGAGAAATTGGAAGATCAGATGAGATTTGAAGCAAATGTAAAATGCCATGTAAATCTGAGTTGTTATCATTTGATAGATAAGATCAAACATAGACTAATCTAAGAATGGGCAGGCATATGGGGATGGGTATTTGTAAGCTGAGTGCAAGATCCCAGGATGTGAACCCAGGCTGCAGCCCAAGGACCAAGAGAAAAGGACTGAGAGCCATCCTCTTTCCACCTCAAGGCTCAGATTACTACTAGCTCACACAGTGTCTTTATGAGGCTCAGAAAAAGAACCTGTTCCTTCCCCTTACTGTGGCACACTGCTTGGGGAACAGAGCCTGGCTGGGTTTCAGCACTTCCTTTACCTCCATGACCAGGCTTGTTTGTGCCCTGAACAATCTGCACAGCTTCATATGAGGTCCTGTTTAAGATCTTTGCACATACTGTTCCATCTGACTAAAACATCTGTCCCTGTTTCATGGGACTGGCTCCCTTTCATCTCTCAGGTCTTGGCTTAAATATCATTTCCTCAGAGAGGAAATACCCTTCCCTCATGTCCATTAATCTTTATTTCAGCACCCTGGTTTTTTTTTCTTTTTTTTTTTTGAGTTGGATTCTCGCTCTGTTGCCCAGGCTAGAGTGCAGTGGCATGATCTCAGCTCATTGCAACCTCGCCTCCCCGCTTCAAGCAATTCTCCACCTCAGCCTCCTGAATAGCTGGGATTACAGGCGCCCACCACCATGCCTGGCTAATTTTTGTATTTTTAGTAGAGACGGGGTTTCATCACCTTGGCCAGGCTGGTCTTGAACTCCTGACCTCGTGATCCACCTGCCTTGGCCTCCCAAAGTGCTGAAATTACAGGCATGAGCCACCGTGCCCGCCCCCACTGTTGTTTTTCTAAAAGCACCAACCATAGTTTGTAACTACTTTCTTTACTTGTCGTTTGTTAGTCTGCTCCCTTTTAGACTGTGAGTTGCATGGGAGCAGGGAATCCATCCCTTATTCACTATAATACCCCAAGGTTTAGCATAGTGCCTAGCACATAGTGGGTGCCCTACAAATATGTGATGAACGACAAAATCAGATGCAGGTTTGGAGAGGTGTGAGGCTGGAAGCTAGTGACCTTTCCAGCAGGCGACAGGTAGCAAAGACTGAAAAACTGGAGACGAGCAAAGGAAAGGAGGTCTGTGGAGGACCATGGAGGGCCAGAGATTTGGCAGTTAGGGCAGCCGGGATTAGGAGAGAGGCTCCGAGAAAGTGGGAAGTACCTATGTTAGGGATTCAACTAAAGGAGTGTGAAAGGAGGTACTGGGAGAATGGGTCAGAGTAAGATCAGCAGAAATAATGCCTAGATGCTAACCCTGAGGTCTCCTGGGATTGGCTTTCTTTTATACTCTGGGTCTAGACTAGATAGGCAGTGCTGGGCCACAGACAGGGTCAAATCAAAAGGCCTCTGGGAATTGGCAGCCAGACACATGTGGAATATCAAGCACCTTCTCACAGAAAAGTATCATTTAATTTTAAGCAAATCAGAGCCAAGGTGGGAGTGGGCAGAAGCACAGAACACAGGTCTACTATCAGATAGGCTGAGGATAGCTTCCAGTAACCACATGGTAGCCCTCAGGATATAGAGGGGCAGACCCACTGCAGTCAGACCAACACTGGGTGGTGGGGGTGAAGGAAGATAACGTCCAATGGGAATAGAATATTTAGGAATGGCTCTTTCTTTTTAGAACCAAGTTTTCAGGTGAACCATAGGCCTGAAGAGGAGACCGCGAAGAGTTCTAGATTCTGTGATCAGAGAGTGATCACAAAATAACAGCACCGATATCACAAAATAATGGGACTACAAGTTGAGTATCCCTTCTCTGAAATGCTTGGGACCAGAAGTGTTTCAGATTTTGGATTTTTTCTTGGAGTTTAGAATATTTGCATATATATAATGAGATACCTTGGGGATGTCACCCAAGTCTAAATACAAAATTCACTTACATTTCATATACACCCAATGCAAATACCCTGAAGGTAATTTTATACAACACTTTTTGCTAATTTTGTGCATGAAGCAAAGTTTGTGTACACTGAACCAACAGAAGGCAAAAGTATCACTATCACAGCCACCCACGTAGACAATCTGTGGTTGTTTGGCATCACTGCCATTCCTGTCTCTGAATTTATATGCTACCAATAAGCAATCATGTTTGTATACATTTTCACACATAAGTACTTAACAGTAAAAAAAATGACATACATTAATACAGTGAAAATATAACGTACTCAGGGTAGTTTGTAGCATCACATTGGCACTGAAAAGTTTTGGAGTTCGGTACATTTTGGATTTTGGATTTTTGGATTAGGGATGCTCAACCTGTACTTGATGAGTCCCTTATACTCACCAATTCTTTTGAACCCCACAGCAACCCTGTGATGGGAAGTAGCATTAGAAGCATCTGAATTTACAGATGAGAAAAGTAAGGCCCAAGTCTCATGGCTAGTAGGTGGCAGAGCCAATACTTTATAAAAAGAATCACCTTCACATGAACAGTGAGTAATGGATAAAAGAAATGTGGTACACACACACACACACACAAACACACGAGAGAGAGAGTGAGCGAGAGAGAGAGAGAAATATTATGTAGCCCTAAAAGGAGGAAGTTCTATTATTTGTGACAACATGTATAAACCTGGAGGACATTATGCTAAATGAAGTAAGAAATAAGCCAGGCACAAGAAGAGAAATACTTCATGACGTCACTCTAGTGTAGCATCTAAAAAAG